>NC_000008.11:62177265-62802265 GCF_000001405.40 Homo sapiens | reverse complement strand
TCTGTATTTCCTGAATCTGAATGTTGGCCTGCCTTGCTAGATTGGGGAATTTCTCCTGGATAATATCCTGCACTGTGTTTTCCAACTTGTTTCCATTCTCCCTGTCACTTTCAGGTACACCAATCAGACGTAGATTTGGTCTTTTCACATAGTTCCATATTTCTTGGAGGCTTTGTTCATTTCCTTTTATTCTTTTTTCTCTAAACTTCCCTTCTCGCTTCATTTCAATCATTTCATCTTCCATCACTGATACCCTTTCTTCCAGTTGATCACATCAGCTCCTGAGGCTTCTACATTCTTCACATAGTTCTCGAGCCTTGGCTTTCAGCTCCATCAGCTCCTTTAAGCACTTCTCTGTATTGGTTATTCTAGTTATACATTCGTCTAAATTTTTTTCAAAGTTTTTAACTTCTTTGCCTTTGGTTTGAATTTCCTCCTGTAACTCGGAGTAGTTTGATTGTCTGAAGCCTTCTTCTCTCAACTCGTCAAAGTCATTCTCCGTCCAGCTTTGTTCCATTGCTGGTGAGGAACTGCGTTCCTTTGGAGGAGGAGAGGCGCTCTGCTCTTTAGAGTTCCCAGTTTTTCTGCTCTGTTTTTTCCCCATCTTTGTGGTTTTATCTACTTTTGGTCTTTGATGATGGTGATGTACAGATGGGTTTTTGGTGTGGATGTCCTTTCTGTTTGTTAGTTTTCCTTCTAACAGAGAGGACCCTCAGCTGCAGGTCTGTTGGAGTTTGCTAGAGGTCCACTCCAGACCCTGTTTGCCTGGGTATCAGCAGCGGTGGCTGCAGAACAGCGGGTTTTCATGAACTGCGAATGCTGCTGTCTGATCATTCCTCTGGAAGTTTTGTCTCAGAAGAGTACCTGGCTGTGTGAGGTGTCAGTCTGCCCCTATCGGGGGGTGCCTCCCAGTTAGGCTGCTTGGGGGTCAGGGGTCAGGGACCCACTTGAGGAAGCAGTCTGCCCGTTCTCAGATCTCCAGCTGCGTGCTGGGAGAACCACTGCTCTCTTCAAAGCTGTCAGACAGGGACATGTAAGTCTGCAGAGGTTACTGCTGTCTTTTTGTTTTTCTGTGCCCTGCCCCCAGAGGTGGAGCCTACAGAGGCAGGCAGGCCTCCTTGAGCTGTGGTGGGCTCCACCCAGTTGGAGCTTCCCGGCTTCTTTGTTTACCTAAGCAAGCCTGGGCAATGGTGGGAGCCCCTCCCCCAGCCTTGCTGCTGCCTTGCAGTTTGATCTCAGACTGCTGTGCTAGCAATCAGTGAGACTCCGTGGGTGTAGGACCCTCCGAGCCAGGTGCAGGATATAATCTCTTGGTGCACCGTTTTTTAAGCCCGTTGGAAAAGCGCAGTATTAGGGTGGGAGTGACCCGATTTTCCAGGTGCCGTCTGTCACCCCTTTCTTTGACTAGGAAAGGGAACTCCCTGACCCCTTGCACTTCCCGAGTGAGGCAATGCCTCGCCCTGCTTCAGCTTGCGCATGGTGCACTGCACCTACTGACCTGCACCCACTGTCTGGCACTCCCTAGTGAGATGAACCCGGTACCTCAGATGGAAATGCAGAAATCACCCGTCTTCTGCGTCACTCACGCTGGGAGCTGTAGACCGGAGCTCTTCCTATTTGGCCATCTTGGCTGCCACTGATATTGTTTTTAAAGAAAAACATGGCTTTACCGAAATTCTCCGTAGTGAATTTATAGTAGAGAAAATCCCTGGAAGGTGCAGGCTGTATGTCTGCAGATCTACATGATGATTTTAGTTCTGTGTACTGGGAATTCCTCCTTTTAGAAATAGATCTGAGGTCATAGCATAAAATTCAGTACTAGAAGGGAATTCCATCACAGCAGATAAGTGGCAGAGTGGTAGACTTGGTCTTTGGTCTTACTCCAGAGTCCTAGAATACTTTGTATCACAAACAATGCTTTGCAGAGGGTCTTGCATGAACCCCTCCACGAGTAATAATTGGCAGAATCAACCACTGGCATATACAAAATTATAATCCCATTGCATATGCAGTATGGCCAATTTAACTTTTTATTTATTTATTTGTTTGTTTATTTATTATTTATTTCAATAGGTTTTTTGGGGAACGGGTAGTGTTTGGTTACATGAATAAGTTCTTTAGTGGTGATTTATGAGATTTTGGTGCATCCATCACCCAAACAGTATACACTGTACCCAATTTATAGTCTTTTATCCCTCACCCACCTCCCAGTCTTTCCCCCAAGTCCCCAAATTCCATTGTATCATTCTTATGCATTGCGTCCTCATATCTTAGCTCCAACTCATGAGTGAGAACATATGATATTTGGTTTTCCATTCCTGAGTTACTTCACTTAGAATAATAGCCTCCAATTCCACCCAGGTTGCTACAAATGCCATTATTTTGTTCCTTTTTATGGCTGACTAGTATTGCATACTATATATATGCCACATTTTCTCTCTATCCACTCGTTGGTGGATTGATGGGCATTTGGGCTGATTCCATAGTTTTGCAATTACAAATGTGTTGCTATAAACATGCATGTGCAAGTATCTTTTTTATATAATGACTTACTTTTCTCTGGGTAGATAAGTAGTAGTGGGATTGCTGGATCAAATGGTAGATTTACTTTTAGTTCTTTAAGGAATCTCCACACTGTTTTTCATTGTGGTTATACTAGTTTACATTCCCACCAACAGTGTAAAAGTCTTCCCTTTTCACTGTATCCACATCAACATTTACTATTTTTTGATTTTTTGATTATGTCCATTCTTGCAGGAGTTAGGTGGTATCACATTGTGGTTTTGATTTGCATTTCCCTGATAATTAGTGATGTTGAGCATTTTTCCGTATGCTTGTTGGCTATTTGTATATCTTCTTTTGAGAATGATCTATTCATGCCCTTAGCCTACTTTTTGATGCAATTGTTTGTTTTTTTCTTGCTGATTTGTTTGAGTTCTTTGTACACTGTAGATATTAGTACTTTGTCAGATGTATAGATTATGAAGATTTTCTCACACTTTGTGGGTTGTCTGTTAACTCTGCTGATTATTACTTTAAGTAGGAAATATGCTCCAAACATGATGAAATTATTTTGGGCAGACTGCTTCCTAGTTTATGCATCCCTCCTCACTATGTTCATATTCTCTAGATCTCCACATACAATTCCCCTCCATTTCCAGTCCCAACAACAATTTAAACTTGATAAAGAAAACATTTAACCAGCTCTAATTCCAACCTCAAAGCAGGCCCTCATGTGCTATTTGATCTTCAACCCCCTTTGATGGACACCTTGGTCCTGTGAGTCCCCATCTGGTTACTGCCTTGACTCCAGGTCAGGGGCCTATTTCTTCCAAAGGCATTATAGTCCAGTTCTTCCATCCTAATTAGTGGTTAGGACACTGCCTCTGGTAGCAATGTTTTCTTGATATCTCCTTTCCTTTCAACATTTTTGGTACTCTTCCTACTTCCAAATTCTTAATTGCTATGTGTATTAGTGTGCTAGGGCTATGTGTTGTAAAAAACAAAATGCCCACAAACTGATTGGCTTAAACAACAACAATTTATTATCTCAGTTCTGCAAGCCAGAAGTCTGAGATCAAGGTGAAAAGGGTCATGGGTGAAAAGAAACATTTTGAACTATTCACCAATCTTTGAACTATTAGGCATAATTCTACTTTTATTTTTACTTTCTTTTGTTGTTTTTTTTTTGGGGGGGACGGAGTCTCACTCTGTCACCCAGGCTGGAGTGCAGTGGTGCAATCTCAGCTCACTGCAAGCTCCGCCTCCTGGGTTCACACCATTCTCCTGCCTCAGCCTCCAGGGTAACTGGGACTACTGGTGCCCACCACCAAGCCCAGCTAATTTTTTTGTATTTTCAGTAGAGATGGGGTTTCACCGTGTTAGCCAGGATGGTCTCGATCTCCTGACCTCATGATCCGCCCACCTCAGCCTCCCAAAGTGCTGGGATTACAGGCATGAGCCACCACGCCTGGCCTATTTTTACTTTCTAATAGTGGAGCTGCAATTAAATATCGGCAACCCAACAGGAGATGCATAGCTTTACAGATCTGATAGAGTTTACCCCCAAACTCTGCAAGGTGCTGCAAGGAACTGATAAGGTCTCTTTTCTCACATCATGAGGAATTGTCTGCTTGGATTTGAGGTCCACCTTCACTCACAAGCTGTGTGACCTTGGGCACATTTTTTAACTTCTTCATGTGTCTCAGTTTTCACACTTGTAAAATGACTACAATAACACCACCCTCATGGGTCATTTTGAGAATTAAGTGAGTTCATATTTGAAAAGCACTTTGGGAAGAATCTGTTCCATGTCTAGCATCTGGCAGTTCATTAATTTGTGGCAGCATAACTCCATTCTTCACATGGCATTCTCCTTGTGTGAGGGTCGGTCTACAAATTTCCCCTTTTTATAATAACAATAGTCACATGGAATTAGGGGCTCACTCTACTCCACTGTGACCGTATCTTAACTAATTATTGTCTTCAGAGACTCCTTTCCATAAGGTCACATTCTGAGTCACTGAGGGTTAGGACTTCAGCATGAGTTTCTGGGGCATACAATTTAGCCCATAACATTATAGTTGTTTTTACCTTGTTTAGACATTGCTGGTTACAATTTTTAATTCATTTATGTGTTCATCATTTTCCACTAATATTTATTGAAAGTCTACCATATATGAGACTCTCTGCCAGACATGAGAAAAAATAAGTAAGGCCCTGCGAGCTGAGGGAGGTCACTGTCTGGCAGGAGACACAGGTAAACAATGGAAGGGCACTCCATTTTGCATCGTTCATCTCAAGTATAAAAAGGATGAGTCATTTTTTCCCAACATTATTTTAACTGCTCATCATCTGCAAGATTTTGGTAGAATCATTCTTTTAACTTACATGTGTACACATTTTCCAAAAGTGCCTGCTGCTAAATTCACCTATGACCAAGGAGTCTATTATGTGGATTTCTACCATTTGTTATTTGCAGACTGCATTTTCCTGACCTTTGGGTGAACAAGAGAGCCCATTTATGTAAGTTTTAGGGTCTGGAAAAAATCCATTTACTATGCTCTTGTTTAGCTATGAAAGTGATTTCTGCTAAAGAGCTGTAAGAAAAGAGTTTTAATCCTCCTGAGGAGAGATCCTTCTCGGAAACAAAGAAATTCTGCTTTTTACAGAGAATAAAGATCAAGTCACATACAGAAGAAACAATAGGTAGAAGATATTTTCATCCAATTCCTGTTATATCACAGAGGGGCTATTGTTCTCTAAACAAATGGAATCAGAGAGCACTTCATGCTGTCTTTAAGTTAGTCTAAAATACTTGTGAGATAAAGTCCACCTTTTTCAGGAGAACCAGCATGTATGAATAAAATCACACTTGAAGTGCTAATGGACAGATTTCAGAATGGTGCCTTGAAATTTTTGTTAAGCTCAATGTGTGTTCATGAGTATTTGTGTGTGTGTGTGTGTGTGTGTGTGTATGTGTGATACAAAAACTAGTATTCTTTCAGCATAAAAATCACACTTCCCCTTTCTACCAAATTAAATTACACAGTGCTTACTATCCTGTACATACTTGTTCCTCTGCACAGTACAAGATAGGTTAAGACTAGAGTCTGGGTGTAAACAATTCTTTGAGATTTAAGTGTTGTTATGAGAAAATATTCTCTGTAAATCCAGATCTCTGGATACATTTAGTCATCAATGGCCTACATGTGAGGAATTCAGATTGGCTGCCTGCAATTAGATGAATGTCGAGCATCATGTGTGCATTTGGGCAGTGTAATCATCTAGACAAATTGAGCAGCCTTGAGCATCTGCAGAGACTGGATGCAGTATCTAGCATTCATTGCTGACTTTTTTTTTTTTTTTTTTTTTTTTTTTTTGAGACAGAGTCTCACTTTGTTGCTCAGGCTGGAGCTCAGTGGTGTGATCTCGGCTCACTGCAACCTCCACCTCCCAGGTTCAAGCGATTCTCCTGTCCCAACCTCTGGAGTAGCTGGGATTACAGGCATGCACCACCATGCCCAGCTATTGTTTGTATTTTTAGTAGAGATGGGGTTTCATTCTGTTGGCCAGTTTGGTTTCGAACTCTTGGCCTCAAGTGATCCACCTGTCTCTGCCTCCGAAAGTGCTGGGATTACAGGTGTGAGCCACCCTGCCTGGCCTACTGCTGACTTTAAAATCACATCACAGAGGAGGGACATTTAATTGGTAAGCCTCAAACTAAAGGTGGAGAATTGAAGACAGTCATTTTTTTGGCCAAATCAACACTTTTAAAAAGGGTCTTTGAAAGGTTTTGAGGCTTGGTTGGGATCTGGATATTTGGTGGATTTATACAGATTCACAAATTGCAGAGTTAGGGTCATTTCATACATACACACATGCATACACATATTTGAAAATGTGATTAATACATAGTAATTTCAACTGAAAACATGACTAGCTGATACAGTTAAAGTGAGTTCATACAATAATGATTTTCTGGGCCTAAGGATCCTTCAGGTAATTTAGATTAACATGGGGAAAGGTGAATAATATATACTGAACCTAATTTTGAACATTCATAATGTTCCAAGATACTACCTATGTTATCTAATTAAATTTAGAAACTTATAAGACATTATTGTTACTAATTCTCTTTTAATTCCATTTTAGAGCTAAAAAAAAAGACAAAAGACAAAATGAAGACATTGAGAAGTTAAGTACCTTCTAGCTGAACGTTCTATAGCGAGTAAATTCTGGAGCTGGGATCTAAACTTAAGACTGCTTGATTCTAGGATGGGTTGGTGCCTTTTGTGCTGCACAGCACTGCTGTAAAATTCCTGTTTACAGTACTTCTCAACCTGGGGTCCATAGGCACCCAAGGGGCTTGTGGATGGAATTCAGGGGACCCATGAACATGGTGGGGAAAAAAGTACATTTTTCTTTTCACTAACCTCTAACTCAATTTTAGCATTTATTTCAATTATAAATGTTGGCAAAAACCTTAGACATATTAGTTATTGGTTTCCTTTTGTGTTACATTTGTAAGAGAAGAAAATAATCAGGATAAGGTTTTAGCAGCAGATAAGAAAAAGTCAAAGGGGGACCTCCTTGGTGGTAGCAATCCAGGTCAAACATATTTGAAGCTGCTAAATAAGCGGTACTCAGACAGGTCTGAGAATCAGAATCATCTTTAGAGTTGATTAATTATACAAATTCCTGGACCTTGCTCTCTACAGATTTTGATATGCTGAGCTTAAGTCAAATTGTGGTCACTGGCACCATGATATACACACACAGGTACACAATAAGTTGTGTGAAGGGGATGGAAAGATCATAGATGGATGGATGGATGGATAAATATTGGCATGAACAAGCTAGAAGGGGGAAAGGCAATAAAAGAAGCAGCAGGAGCCAAGAGACAGCTAGTGCTGTGCTCTTCAGCTACACCCCCTTCACTATCTCTGCACTCACAGTCCGTGTGTCAGGAAGCTACTCCTCATTTCTACCACGTTAGACACTTCAATGCTGGAATACAAATTATACGCAGTATCACAGGGCTGTAGGCAACTACCAGGAAGTCTGACATTATTTGTAATGCTCTCCCTAATAAATAAGTAACAAGTGTAGGAGATGGAGAGGAAAGAACATGAGGCTAGAAGAAGGGCTGAGCTCAAACAGATCTCCGTTTCTCCTGCTCGCTACCCTTACTTTTCCCTTCCCAGCCCCTCACCTCAAGAAACACTTTAATAGATATGTAAGAACAGTATTTTATGTAGATTTGGTGGGGGGGTGGGTATAGATTTTCCAGAGAGCCGCTTCAGAATCCAGGACTATTTTGTAAGTACTGTTACTGAGCTCTGCTTTTGCCTGATGACATTTTATCTATTAATAGCATTCATTAGTGACTGTTGAATGGATTTTTCATGTACTTATACACGACATAGGAAGTGAAAAAGGAGTTGTCTATGACATTTGTCTCATGATTTATTTGATATTTATTGGAGCCAGACTAGAATCTGGACATGTTAAAAAAATCAGCTCATTTTGATGCCACTTATTACTAGTCAAGCCACCTTACTTACTGTAGAGAAATTAATAGGCTTTATGTGCAAAGGCTACTAATGGTGGCAAACAGAAGGCAAAAGCAGTGATAAGAAGAAGAACAAAGCTATTGCTAGCACTGCAGCTCACCTATTCTAATAGCCACTGATGTTGTAAGAGAGGCCTTTTATTTTAAAGGGCAGAAAGCAGATGTTCAAGCACATCCAATGTGAGTAGGTAGAAAAGAAATGACTGTCAACAATTGTTTATATGGTCAGATGCATTTGGTTAATAAAACAGGGCATCTTTCTGTTGTGACTTTATTAGTGATTTCCCCCCAACCTTGGGCTCAAATTCCAGTAATGTTAGGAATTAATTAATGTAGAAATATCAGGTTTGATGAAGATTATAGACATTCTGGGTAATGACATTTAGGATGCATATCTTAGATGTTCTTAGAGCTGAAACTTCAATGTTGGAGATTAGATTTTCTTAGACCTCGAGAATCAACTCAGAGGCTTTTATGCCAACTTTACTGGGAGAAATAAGCAGAGCTGCTCAGCCTCAACAGGCCTGCCCACCATAATCACTTCTGAGGGAAGTGGTCCCATCCACCCTCCTACCACTACGTCTCCATGTTATTCCCACAGTCACAGGTAATGGATCTACTGATAGGTAGTGGACTTAAAGAGGGACAACCAGCTCATAAACTGGCCAGTAACCCACAGCCTAGTAAAAAAAAGATTAGCTGAACCAATGAGATTCATCCTTTCAGGATTTCAAAACAGGTTTGTAAGTTCTCAGTTGCTGAGAAAGCTGAAGCCAAAAAGTTTTGATTTGGAGAAGGGCTTGGGGTGCCATGTCTATAGTGAGATAAAGCCATGAGGAAGCAGAAACTATAAGTAAAAAATGTCAATTGACGGAGAAAGAAAAATGAAATTTACAAAAAAACCAGCAAGCTATGGGGAAGGCAGGGTGGGGATCATTTCCATCAGCTGAGTCCAACTCTTGTTCTTGGACTTTTGGGAGTGCTTTTTTTTTTCCCTTGGTAAAACCACCCACTACCTGAAAAACGTTGACTGGGCTTCTTTTTCTCACAAGCGGATGTGTCAGGTTAGGCATACTCACTTCTAAATGCCAAAGTTGAAGGTGGCTTAAGACTCCACAGATGAATTGTAGTATTTTGCATCTCTGAAACTCCAATAGTTGACTCTTTTGACCAACATAAAGGATTATCTCTTATGGTTCAACCCAACACTGCACCCTATGTATATCACCTTGGGCATGCACAGAGTAGGAAGCCCTTCATGGGTTTAGTACCCACCTACCTTTTTGTTCCTTATCTTCCACCACTTTTCCTATTAAATCATTACACTAAATCATTTCACTCACCTGAATGTACTATGTTGTTTTACATCTTCATAAAATTGTCTGTGCTGTTCCCCCTTCACTGGAATATTATTCCCTGGCTTTTTAACCTATAAATTTCTATTCATCTTTCAAGACTTATTCATGTGTCAGCTTATCTGTGAAATGTTCCCACATTTCACCAGATCCCTTCCTCAATCCACTTTTCCTTGATACCTTGGTCCTCTAACTTTATGTTAGTGTGTATCACACTGAGCTACTATTACCTGTTGAAGGTCTGTCTTACCTACAGGGCTATGGGGTCCTTGAGAACAAGGACCATGTTTTATTCTTCTCTCCATTTCAATGTCTCCACCCAAATAATGTTGAACATGCTGCTTGAATTATAGCCAAGAAAATGAAGAGTGTGGCTTGGAAATAACAGTCCAATTTCCTTGCAAATGTATGCTTTCTCTTGTTGAAAGTTTGAGAATAGGTTAAATAAATCTGCTAATTTATTCTGTAATCCATTGAAAATATTGGTTTGGAATGGACTCTCTGATAGAGAAATTCACTTTTTTTAAGTTGATAAGTTAATAATTGGATTTACATTTTAGAAACATACAGACAATAGCTTTAAAAGGGGGAGGTACAGGAAGGGAGACCTATTCAGGTACTGTTCCAAGCTTAAATTAAGGCAGTGGCTGCATAGATGCAGAAAGGAAGACAGGAAGAGATATTTAGGAGTATTCACATTGAAGCCACCAGAGTTTCATTTACATGGGTAGGGTTGAGGATAAGAGGTCTCAGACTATTGAAATTTTTATATTAGTATCCCTGGTCATGAATTTAACTAAAGAGGTAGTGATACCTGGAACTATGTGAGGTGATAAATATTTTAATTAACTTGATAGTGTAATTATCTCACAATGCATACATATCAAAACATCAGGTTGTACACCTTGAATATATACAATTTTTGTCAACTGTACCTCAATAAAGCCAAGAAAGACAGAACAATCAGCACAGAAACAAAAACAAACAAAAAATATATTCAATAATGTTTACTTCTGGGTCCTTTGGTAAGGTAGTGCTGTTAATTTTTCTGGAAACTGTTATGAAGATGGATAATAGTTTTTTCACAGGGAAGTTTTCAATCATTATATAAGTGAAAGTCAAAACACCTTAAAATAAGCTAATTCTCACATGGGAGGAATAGGCATTTACAGTGTTAGAAACACTTCAACATAACTGGTATCAATCAGGATATATGTGGAATTTGTTGTAATGGAACTAGTATAAGCAATTTATGTCTTGGTCTACACATTGAAGAATGTTTTCAGTTTTGAGGATCAAAGTCAAAACAAATTCAACAATATTTAATAATATTGAGGATTATGATTCTCACACCAGCCTGAGTCATTTATTTGGACCTTTGAAAAACTCCAAATAATAACAAAATATTCTAAAATTGTTGGTTAAATTTTCACTGGTTCTCAATTCAGTACCAAGTGATTTGCAAAAATACCCACATAGTTTGCTCTGGACAGAAAATGTGGTGTCATCATTGGCTCCTTTTTTCCTTTTTCTTCCACTTCCCCATGTCCAGTCATACACTAAGAGCTGTTCATTTTATGTTCTTGTTGGTTCATTTTATATTCTCCACTGTCATGTGGAAGATTGCCAAAATGGCCATGGCACTTTGCATTTCCTCTAAACGGGTGGAAACTGTATTCTCATCCTTTGAATCTAGGTTGCCTTTGTGACTTACTTTGACCAGTGGGATGCAGCAGAAGTGAGATTTGAGGAGTTTTAAGACTTGGACTCAGAGACCTTGAAGCTTCTGCTGATATACTCTTAGTCATGAGACTGCCATGAGAAAAGACCTATTTAGTCCTCACAATAATACAATTACTACGGAGAAGGTGAGCAACATGGCTGAGGCTATGGGGATGGTCATCGGCCGAGATAGGATTTAAACTTTAGCATATTTAAACCTACCACTCACCTAGGCAGAGATAAATGCTCTACTGACCAGGGCTAAGCCGAATCTCCCTGTTATCTGTGATGGGAGGATTATGCACCCATCACTGTGAGTAGCACTTATCAGAGTTGTTATTACTTGCCCAAAGCATGTCTTTCTCAATAGCTTTTAAGTGCAGTGAGGGCAAGACCACATCTGTTTTGTTTTCTGTGTATCCCCAGTGCCTGGAAACGTACTAGACATACAGCAGATATTTAAGAGAGAATAATTATTTTCCTTTTAGAATTTCTGCTGTACACACAGACAGACACACACACACACACACACAGACAGACAGACAGACACACACACACACACACAAGGAAAAGAGCCTCTTGCTCACTGCCTAGTGGTATTCAGCATCACACCAAGACAGCAAGAAAAACACATTTTGTATTGATGTGCAGTTTTGAGAAATTCTCATAACTTTTTAAAATAAGAGGATGATAAGAGAGGGCATCCCTGTCTTGTGCCAGTTTTCAAAGGGAATGCTTCCAGTTTTTGCCCATTCAGTATGATATTGGCTGTGGGTTTGTCATAGATAGCTCTTATTATTTTGAGATACATCCCATCAACACCTAATTTATTGAGAGTTTTTAGCATGAAGGTTGTTGAATTTTGTCAAAGGCCTTTTCTGCATCTACTGAGATAATCATGTGGTTTTTGTCTTTGGTTCTGTTTATATGCTGGATTAAATTTATTGATTTTCATATGTTGAACCAGCCTTGCATCCCAGGGATGAAGCCCACTTGATCATGGTGGATAAGCTTTTTGCTGCGTTGCTGGATTTGGCTTGCCAGTATTTTATTGAGGATTTTTGCATCAATGTTCATCAAGGATATTGGTCTAAAATTCTCTTTTTTTATTGTGTCTCTGCCAGGCTTTGGTATCAGGATGATGCTGGCCTCATAAAATGAGTTAGGGAGGATTCCCTCTTTTTCTATTGATTGGAATAGTTTCAGAAGAAATGGTACCAGTTCCTCCTTATACCTCTGGTAGAATTCGGCTGTGAATCCATCTGGCCTTGGACTTTTTTTGATTGGTATGCTATTAATTGTTGCCTCAATTTCAGAGCCTGTTATTGGTTTATTCAGAGATTCAACTTCTTCCTGGTTTAGTCTTGGGAGAGTGTATGTGTCCAGGAATTTATTCATTTCTTCTAAATTTTCTAGTTTATTTGTGTAGAGGTGTTTGTAGTATTCTCTGATGGTAGCTTGTATTTCTGTGGGATTGGTGGTGATATCCCCTTTGTCATTTTTTATTGCATCTATTTGATTCTTCTCTCACCACTCCTATTCAACATAGTGTTGGAACTTCTGGCCAGGGCAATCAGGCAGGAGAAGGAAATACAGGGCATTCAATTAGGAAAAGAGGAAGTCAAATTGTCCCTGTTTTCAGATGACGTGATTGTATATCTAGAAAACCCCATTGTCTCAGCCCAAAATCTCCTTAAGCTGATAAGCAACTTCAGCAAAGTTTCAGGATACAAAATAAATGTGCAAAAATCACGAGCATTCTTATACACCAGTAACAGACAAACAGAGAGCCAAATCATGAGGGAACTCCCATTCACAATTGCTTCAAAGAGAATAAAATACCTAGCAATCCAACTTACAAGGGATGTGAAGGACCTCTTCAAGGAGAACTACAAACCACTGCTCAAGGAAATAAAAGAGGATACAAACAAATGGAAGAACATTCCATGCTCATGGGTAGGAAGAATCAATATTGTGAAAATGGCCATACTGCCCAAGGTAATTTAGAGATTCAATGCCATCCCCATCAAGCTACCAATGACTTTCTTCACAGAATTGGAAAAAACTACTTTAAAGTTCATATGGAACCAAAAAAGAGCCCGCATTGCCAAGTCAATCCTAAGCCAAAAGAACAAAGCTGGAGGCATCATGCTACCTGACTTCAAACTATACTAGAAGACTACAGTAACCAAAACAGAACGGTACTGGTTCCAAAACAGATATAGACCAATGGAACAGAACAGAGCCCTCAGAAATAATGCCGCATATCTACAACTATCTGATCTTTGACCAACCTGACAAAAACAAGCAATGGGGAAAAGATTCCCTATTTAATAAATGGTGCTGGGAAAACTGGCTAGCCATATGTAGAAAGCTGAAACTGGATCCCTTCCTTACACCTTATACAAAAATTAATTCAAGATGGATTAAAGACTTACATGTTAGACCTAAAACCATAAAAACCCTAGAAGAAAACCTAGTCAATACCATTCAGGACATAGGCATGGGCAAGGACTTCATGTCTAAAACACCAAAAGCAATGGCAACAAAAGCCAAAATTGACAAACGGAATCTAATTAAACTAAACGGCCTCTGCACAGCAAAAGAAACCACCATCAGAGTGAACAGGCAACCTACAGAATGGGAGAAAATTTTTGCAATCTACTCATCTGACAAAGGGCTAATATCCAGAATCTACAATGAACTCCAACAAATTTACAAGAAAAAAACAACCCCATCAAAAAGTGGGCGAAGGATATGAACAGACACTTCTCAAAAGAAGACATTTATGCAGCCAAAAAACACATGAAAAAATGCTCATCATCACTGCCCATCAGAGGAATGCAAATCAAAACCATAATGAGATACCATCTCACACCAGTTAGAATGGCGATCATTAAAAAGTCAGGAAACAACAGGTGCTGGAGACGATGTGGAGAAATAGGAACACTTTTACACTGTTGGTGAGACTGTAAACTAGTTCAACCTTTGTGGAAGTCGGTGTGGCGATTCCTCAGGGATCTAGAACTAGAAATACCATTTGACCCAGCCACCCCATTACTGGGTGTATACCCAAATACCCAAAGGATTATAAATCATGCTGCTATAAAGACACATGCACATGTATGTTTATTGCGGCACTATTCACAATAGCAAAGACTTGGAACCAAGCCAGATGTCCAACAATGATAGACTGGATTAAGAAAATGTGGCACATATACACCATGGAATACTAGGCAGCCATAAAAAATGATGAGTTCCCATCCTTTGTAGGGACATGGATGAAGCTGGAAACCATCATTCTCAGCAAACTATCACAAGGACAAAAAACCAAACACCACATGTTCTCACTCATAGGTGGGAATTGAACAATGAGAACACATGGACACAGGAAGGGGAACATCACACACCGGGGACTGTTGTGGGGTGGGGGAAGTGGGGAGGGATAGCATTAGGAGATATACCTAATGTTAAATGATGAGTTAATGGGTGCAGCACACCAACATGGCACATGTATACATATGTAACAAATCTGCACGTTGTGCATATGTACCCTAAAAGTTAAAGTATATTAATAATAATTTTAAAAAAAGAGGATGATAGTATTTATTAACTGAGTTTTCCTCTTTGTCCTGGTTACACAGGAAGTTTATAATTAAGTATCATGGCTAACTATTGGAGATTTTGGGGGCAGGAGGTTTTGTTCTTTTTCTCTGCCTTTCTCTTATTTTTGACTATTTTCTTTGTTTTATTAATAGCTGTTTTTGGTCTTTTCAATTTTTGTGCTTCTATTGCTAGCTGCCTAAATCTTTTGGAGAGTAAACAGAATATGAAAATACCTGTAAAACAATAAGCGATATGTTTTTAATATTTGTTTACTTGACACATACAGCATATAAAACTGGAAATGAAATATATTTATTGCTTGAGGAATGCCATGCCTTTCAAGGAAAGCATCAGTTATTTCCCTCAAGCCACAATGAATGATTAAAATTATGTAATGTACACAGATACAGAATCATCTCAAGAAAAGTATTTTCTTTTTCTGTTTTTCTCCTGCTGTTCTTGCATTTGTTGCTCTCTAAACGGATTGATCCCTGTACTCAACCATTCAAAGTTAAATCTGCCAATGCCTGGGTTTCCCATTGTCCTGCCTCAGGTTCAGGGTAGAGAGCAGCTGTGGGTTTGATAGCTCACCTACTGAAACATATGCTTACAATTGTCCTCCAGGAACAAGCACTGACAACTGCATTCAAACTGTTCACATGTGCCAAGCACAGTCCAGACTCTAACATATTAAGAAGTAACCAAATCATCAGGGTTTCCTACTTTACTGACACCATGCATGTTACAGACCTTTCTCAAAGGGTAAAAGCTTATGTTGCTTTTTTTAGTTCAGCAATAAATATTTATGGGATTACTAGCCCATTGTAAATAGGATAACCGAATGCATTCTAATGCAAAACTGCTGGCTGCTTATCTAGCTGTTTGACAGAATGCAATTACAAGACCAATTTTCTTTTTTGTGCCCTTCTGTTACTGTTCCCTAGATCACCCATGATGGACCCTCTGTAGGTGTTTTTTTTCAACTTTGCTAGGTAATTCAACATGAATCCTTTATATGAGGAGATGAGAAGTGAAGCAGAATTTGGCCACTCTGAAAGCAGGTGGCAATCCCTTAGGAGTACAGGAGTGGGGCAGGGTTTTACTGGAAAGTACTGATTATCCTCAAGCTGTCCCTCCCTGCAATATATAAAAATGAAAGACACTTAATAAAAATATTACCCCAGATGGGATAAAAACAATTCAGTACTATACTGTTAAATGTGTTATTTAGTCATTTATTTATTCCACAAATATTTATTCATAAGAAGGTTTAATTATGATTCCACATGTCTAGTGTAAGTAGCTCTGCAAGACTACTTGTTATGGGAGTATCATCTATCTCCATTTTTTATATGTACATTTGTAGGGACTAAAACTCCTTTGCTGAGGTTGGGAGCACTTGAATTGAGCACTTTTTTCTTTTTGTTGCAGGGAGGGGGGTGTGGTGGTGGTGGTATGGAAGTAGGGATGGGAGAACCAACTTGCCTGAAAGCATGATTTGCTCTCTGACACTTATTTCCGTACCGGCCCCATGGAGAACACCTGGCTGTCCAGTTGTGAGGGTGCTCAGTTTGAGAGGCAGGGATTCGAAAGACACTTTAATTGCCTATCTAAAGCCATGCTCTTCAACTGGATTTATGAGAAATAAGGATCATATTCTGATTTCCATTTATCCATTTCCTGTGTCATTTTCCAGCTTAATTTTAAACTGAAAAAGAAAATAGAGGAGTGATGTATTGTCTTTTAACAACCCTCTGAAAAGATGACAATATGTCTATTCATTGCAGTATTATTTTTAACATAAAAAGTCAGAGAAAGACTGTATTTCTGGATGTTCGCTAATCTTGCATTCCTGGAATGAATTCCCCTAGGTCATAGTATATAAAACTTTTTAAAACCAGTTTTATTATGATATATTCACATAGCATACAATTCACCCATTTAAAGTGCACAATTCAGTGATTTTTAGTATATCCACGGAGCTGTGCAACTATCACCACAATCTAATTTTAGAACATTCACATAATTGCAAAAAGAAACCCAATGCCCATTAACAGTCACTCTCCATCTCTCCTCCTCCTCACCACCCCATCCCCAGTGTAAGTGACGACTGATCTACTTTCTGTCTCTATAGATTTGCCTATTACAGCATTACATATAAATGGTATCATATACCATGTGGTCTTCTGTGAATGGTTTCTTTAACTTATAATGTTTTGAGGGTTATCTACATTGCAGTGTATACTAGTGATTCATTTACTTTTATTGCTGAATAACATTTCATTGTATGAAAATTAATGAGTTATAATTATGGTTTGGCTGTTATGAGTAAAGTTGCTGTGAACATTTGTGTACAAATTTTTGTGTGGATTTATGTCTTCATTTTTCTTGGGTATATACTTAGAAGGGAAATTGCTGGTTTACACAGAAGTTCTGTATTTAATTTGTTGAGAAACTGTCAGACTGTTTTCCAAAGCAGCTGCATCATCCTACATTTCGAACCAGCAGTGGATGAAGGTTTTAATTTCTCTACATCTTCACCCACATTTGTAACTGTCTGTCTTTTTAAATCATAGCCCAATTAGTGGGTGTGAAGTGACTATTTCACTGTAGTTTTCATTTGAAAATAAAACTTTTCATATGTTGCTGGATTTTGGATTGTCAATGTCTGAAAAAAGATTCATATATCTATGTTTTTTATTTTTGTGACGTCTTTTTGTGGCCTTGGTGTCTAAGTAATACCAGCCCAACAGAAGCTGGGAAGTGCTCCTTCATGCTCTATTTTCTGAAGGAATTTGTGAAGAATTGGTATAAAAATATTCGATAGAATTCACCAGTGAAGCTATCAGGGCTTAGGATATTTTTGTTGTTGTTGTTGGGTGATTTTTAGTTACTAATTTATTTATTTTCTCTTTTTCAGTACATTCAAAATTTATACTTCTGCTTGAGTCAGTTTTGGTAATTTGTCCATTTTTTGGTAGTTTGTCTAAATTATTGGCATACAGTTGCTCATAGTATTATCTTATAATCTTTTAAAATTTCTGTATGGTCAATAATTATGTCCCTTCTTTCATTTCTGATTTTCATGATTTATGCCTTCTTTCATTTTTCTCTTAGTCAGTCTAGCTAAAGCTTTATCAGTTTTGTTGGTCTTTTGAAAGTAGCAACCTTTGGTTGTACTGATTTTTTCCTGTTGTTTTTCTATTTTTATTTTATTAGTTTTTGCTTTACTCTTTATTATTTCTTTACTTCTGCTTGCTTTAGGGATAGTTTGCACTTCTTCTAGTTACTTGAAGTGAACATCTAGACAAATTGTTTGAAAACCTTTTTCATTTCTAATATGTCCATTTATAACTGTCAATTTACCTCTCATAACTGTGTTAGCTGTGTCTTGTACATTTTGATACGTTATGTTTTAGTTTCCGTTCTATTCAATGTTCTTATGGTCAGAGAACACACTTAAATAATTTAATCCTTTAAAATTTATTGAGACTTGTTTTACAGCCTGTCATTTGGTCTGTCCTGGAAAATGCTGCATGTGCTCTTTAAAAAATGTGTATTCTGGGCCAGACACGGTGGCACATGCCTGCAATCCCAGCACTTTGGGAGGCTGAAGAATGTGGATCACTTGAGCTCAGGAGTTTGAGAACAGCCTGGGCAACATGGTGAAACAAACAAACAAAAAACAAAATACAGGTCTCCACAAAAAAATAAAAAATTTAGCTGCATGTGGTGGCACATGGCTGGAGTCTCCCTTGTAGTCTCACCTACTCTAGAGGCTGAGGCCAGAGGATTGCTTGAGCCCAGGAGGTTGAGGCTGCAGTGAGCAGAGATCTTGCCATTGCATTCCAGCAGCCTGGGTGCCACAGCAAGACCCTGTCTCAAAAAAAAAAAAAAAAAAAAGTGTATTCTGCTGTTTCTGCTGTTAAGTGGAACGTTTTACAGAGTATCAGTCAGGTCAACTTGGTTGCTAGTGTTGTGGAGGTCTTTTATATCCTTGCTAATTCTCTGTGTCTCATTCTGCTCCACCTGCTATAACCAAATACCATAGACTGGGTGACTTATAGGCAACAGAGATTTATTTCTCACAGCTCTGGAGTCTGGAAAGTCTAAAATCAGAGTGCCAGCATGGTTGGATTCTGCTGAGGATCTTCTTCCAGGCTGCAGACTGCTGATTTCTTGCAGTGACTTCACATGGTAGAAAGGGCTATCTGGCTTCTGGGGGCTCTTTTATAAGGGCATTAATTCCATTCAAAGCCCTCATGACTTAATCCCTTACTAAAAACCCCACTGTTTATACTATCATCTTTGGGATTAGGATGTTAATGTATGAATTTTGGGGGGACAAAAGCTTTCAGTCCTTAGCACTCTGTTATCAATTATTTTTGTGCATGTCTGTAAACTTAAAAAGTTTTATTTTATTTTATCTTTTATTAATACATAATGTTTTTGTGGGGTACAAAAATGCACATTTCATGACATGCATAGAATGTTTAATGATCAAGTCAGCATTTGGGGTATCTATCACCTTGAGTATCATTTCTATGTTTTGATATCATTTCAAGTCCTCTTTTCTAATTATTTTGAAATACACACAATATTGTTACTATGTACAGTCACCTTAGTCTGCTAACAAACATTAGAACTTTTTCTTCTATCTAACTGCATTTTGTACCCATTAGCCAACTTCTTTTCATTTTTCCCTTCTTCTATTCACCCACTCTATCCATTATCTCGTATGTATCATTCTATTCTCTGTGTCCATGTGACCAAGTTATTTATTTATTTATTTTTAGCTCTCACATATGAGTAAGAACATGTAGTATTTGCCTTTCCATGCCTTGCTTATTTCACTTAAATTAATGACCTCCAATTCCATCCACGTTGTAGTGAATGACATGACTTTATTCTATTTTATGACCAGATAGTATTCCCATTATGTATATGTGCCACATTTTCTTTATCCATTCATCCATTGATGGACACCTAGGTTAATTCCAAATCTTTGCTATTGTGAATAGTGCTGAGATAGACATGTGAGTGCAGGTGTCCCTTTGATGTACTGATTTCTTTTCCTTTGGATAAATACCCAGTAGTGAGATTGCTGGATTGTATGGTAATTAAATTTTTAGTTTTTTTAAGAAATCTACATACTGCTTTCCATAGTGGTTTTACTTATTTACATTCCCTCCAACAGCATATAAGCATTCCCTTTTCTCAGCATGCTTGCCAGCACCTGTTATTTTTGTCTTTTTAGTAATTGGCATTCTAACTGGAGTGAGATGATATATCATTGTAGTTTTTTTTTGCATTTCTCTGATGATTAGTGATGTCGAGTATCTTTTCATACACTGTTGGCCATTTGCATATCTTCTTTTAAGAAATGTCTATTCATGTCTTTTTTCCATTTTTTAATGAGAATTTTTTCCTGTTGAGTTCTTGTATATTCTGGATATTAATACCCTGTTGAATAAGTAGTTTGCAAGTGTTTTCTCCATTCAAGAGGTTGTCTTTTCACTCAATTAATTGCTTATTTTGCTGTGCAGATTTTTAGTTAAATATCCCATTTGTTTATTTTGGATTTCATTGCCTGTGCTTCTGAGGTCATAGCCATAAAATTTTTGCCTAGAGCAATGTTTCAAAGAGTTTTTTCTATGTGTTCTTCTAATGGTTTTATAGTTTTGGGTCTTACTTTAAAATCTTTAATCCATCTTACCTTAAAATCTTTAATCCATCTTGAGTTGACTTTTGTATATGGTGAGAGATAGGGATCCAGTTTCATTCTTCTGCATATGGCTATCTAGTTTCTTTTTTTTTGAAGACGGTTTATTTTACCCAGTGTATGTTCTTGGAGGCTTTATGAAATATCAGTTGGCTGCAAATATTTGGATTTATTTCTGGGTTCTCTATTCTGTTCCATTGGTCCATGCATCTATTTTTATTCTAATACTATGCTGCTTTGGTTAGTATAGCTTCATAATATGTTCTGAAGTCAGATAATGTGATGCCACCAGCTTTGTTCTTTTAGTTCAGGATTGCTTTGAATATTCTGGCTCATTTTTTATTCCATACACATTTTAAGATTTTTTTTTTCTATTCTTGTGAAAAATGAAATTGTCAATTTGATAAAGATTGCATCGAATCTGTAGAGTCCTTTGGGTGGTATGATTAATGATATAAATTCTTCCAACCCACAAGCATAAAATGTCCTTCCATTTTTTTGTGCCCTCCTCATTTCTTTCATCAGTGTTTTATAGTTTTTCTTGTAGATATATTTCACATCCTTGATTAAATTTATTCATATATATTTTATTTATTTTTTGCAGCTATTTTAAATGGAATTGCCTTCTTGATTTCTTTTTGGCTATTTCAATATTTGCATATATAAATGCTACTGATTTTTATGTTAATTTTGTATCCTGCAACTTCACTGAATTTGTTTGTAAGTTCTAAGAGTTTTTGGTGAAATCTTGGTTTTTCTAAATATAAAATGAGGTTATTTGCAAAGAGGGACAATTTGACTTCTTTTCCAATTTGGAGGCCTTTTCTTTCTTTCTCTTGTCTTATTGCTATGCTAAGGAGGTTCTATACTATGTTGAATAAGAGTGGTGAAAATGGGCATCTTTGTCTTGTTACAGTTCTTAGAAGATGAGCTTTTGACTTTTTTCCATTCAGTATATTAGCTATGGGTTTGTCGTATATGACCACTATTATTTTGAGATATGTTTCTTCTATGCCTAACTTTTAGTTGAGAGTTTTTATTCATGAAAGGGTATTGAATTTTATCAAATGCTTTTTCTGCATCTAATAAAATTATCATATGACTTTTGTCTTTAATTCTGTCTATGTGATATATCACAATTACTGATTTTCATATTTTGAACCATTTCTTCATCCCTGGAATAAATCCCACTTGATCATGGTATATTATTTTTTTGATATGCTGTTGGATTCGGTTTGCTAGTATTTTGCTGAGAACTTTGGCATCTATGTTCATCAGTGATATAGGCCTGTAGTTTTCTTTCTTTGCTGTGTCCTTGTCTGGGTTTGGTATTAGGATGATGCTATCATTGTAGAATGAGTTAGGGAGAATTCCCTCCTCTTTAATTTTTAGGATAGTTTGAGGGAATTGGTATTAGTTCTTTATACATTTGGTGTAATTCATTGATAAATCTGTCTGTTCCTGGACTTTTCTTTGTTGGGAGACATTTTATTGCTGATTTAATCTCATTACTCACTATTTAACTGTTCAGGTTTTCTACTTCTTCTTGGGTCAATCTCAGTAGGTTGTATATTTTTAGGAATATATCCATTTCCTCAGGGTTTTCCAGTTTGTTAGCTTATAATGGTTCATAATAGTCTCTGATGATCATTTATATTTCTCTGGTGTCAGTTGTAATATCTCCTCAATTCTGATTTTGTTTATTTGGGTCTTCCCTCTTGTTTTGTAGGGTAGCAGTTTATCAATTTTGTTTATCTTTTCTAGGAACCAACTTTTTGTTTCAATGATCTTTTGTATTGTTTCTGTAGTCTCCATTGCATTTAGTTCTGCTTTGATCTTTATTATTTCTTTTCTCTGTCAATTTGGGGTTTTGTTTGTTCTTTTTTTCCTAGGTTCTTGAGGTGCATTATTTGGTCGTTTGAATTTTTTCTAAGATTTTCTTTTGATGTAGTTGTTTATTACTATAAATTTCCCTTTTACCACTGTTTTGATTTCTAGTTTTGTTCCATTGTGGTATGAGAAGATACTTGGTATAATTTTGAACTTTATAAATTTGTTGATACTTGTTTTGTGTTCTAACATATTGTCCATCTTGGAGAATGTTCTGTATGCTGATGAGAAAGATGTATATTCTGACAATGTTGCACAAAATATTCTGTAAATGTCTGTTAGGTCTATTTGGTCTAACATGCAGTGTAAATTCAATTTTTTTTGGCTTTCTTGCCACAGAGAGAGAATATGTGGGATTGGGACAGGGAGAGCACAGTGATTGTGAGACTTTGTGTTGGAACACAGTTCTGTGCTGTCTCAGTGGAAAGCAACACTGGAAAAAACTCAGCTGACACCATGTAGGGAGCATTTATAACAGCCCTAGTCAGAGGAGAATCATCCATGCCAGTGGTCAGAACTTAGGTTCTGGCAAGCCTTGCCATTGAAGGGTGAGTGCTCTAGGGTCCTAAGTAAATGCAAGAAGCAGGCTAAGCATAAGGACTGCGCTCCTGGGCAAGCTTTAGTGCTGTGTGGACTTTGGTGCCAGTGAACTTGGGGAGCATGTGACCTAGTGAGATGCCAGCTACATCAGTCAAGAAAGAGCTTGTGTCACCCCTCCCCACCAACACCAGCTAGTACAGATCACAGCTTTGTAAGAGATTCCTTCCCTCTGCTTGAGAGGAGAGGGAAGAGTAAAGAGGAGGTTCTCTTGCAACATGGATACCAGCTCAGCCACAGTAGGATAGGGCACCTGGCAGAGTCCTGAGGCCCCCATTCCAGGCCCTAGCTCCCACATGACATCTCTGGACACACTGGGCCAAAAAGAAACCTGTGGCCTTGAAGGGAAGGATCAAGTCCTGGCAAGATTCATGGCCTGCTAACTGAAGAGCCTTTGGGCCTGGAATAATCAGCAGGAATACCCAGGCAGTACCCACTGTGAGCCTAGGTGAGACTCAAAGATATTCTGGCTTCAGGTGTGACCCAGCACATTCCCAGCTATGGTAGCTATGAGGAGGGACTCTTTCTGCTTGAGAAAAGAGAGGGAAGAGTAAAGGGGACTTTTTCTGGTAGCTTAGATACCAGCTCGGCCACAGTGGAATAAAGCAAAAAGTGGGTACTTGGGGTCTTTGATTCCAGTCTCTCGCCCTCTCAAAGCATTTCTGGTCCTGTTCTGGGCCAGAGGAGAGCCCACTTCCCTGAAGGGAGAGTCCCAGGCCTGGCAGTATTCACTACAAGGTGACTTAGGAGTGCTTGTGTTTTGAGTGAACATTGGCAGTAGCCAGACAATATTTGTTGTGAACCTGTGGTAGTGGTGACTGTGGGAAGAGTTCCACACTCCTCTGCTTGCGGAAAGGGGAGAGAAGAATGGTAAGAACTTTGTTCTGTGGCTTCAGTGCCAGCTCAGCTGCCGTAGCATACAGTATCTGGTAGATTCCTTAAGTTTCTGATTCCAAGACCTGGTTCTCAGACAGCATCTCTAAACCTACCTTGGACTGCAGGAACTCACTGCCTTAAAGGGAAGGACATAAACCTGGCTGGTTTTCCCACTTGCTGATTTTAAGGGTCTAGTGCCTTAAGAGAACTTAGGCAGTAGCCAGGATGTGGTTACCATGGGCTGTGGGAGAGACTCAGTGCTGTATTGGCTTCAGGTTTGATCCAGCACAGTCTCCGTGGTAATGGCCACAGGGATGCTTGTGTTACTCCTCCCCCAGCTCCAGGCAGCTCAGCATATACAGAGACTCTGTCTGGGGGAAAGTAAGGGAAGAGAATAAGAGTTTCTGCCTGATAATCTAGAGAATTTTTCTGGGTCTTATCCAAGCCCCCCAACATGCTACCTCTACAAGTCTTCAAGTGCTACAATATGGGGCTTGGAATGTCTCCTAATGCTGACACAGCTGCAGAAGCCAAAAACTTAGATCTCAACAATCAAGGACCTTTGAATACCTGGAAAGTGTTTCCAAGAAGGAGGTGTACAAACAAGCCCAAACTATGAAGACTACAATAACTTCCTAATTTTTCTATGCCCAGACACTGATGAACGTCCACAAGTATCAAGGCTATCAAGGAAATTATGACCTTACCAAACAGACTAAATAAGGCACCAGGAACCAATCATGGAGAGACAGACGTATGTAACCTTTCAGATAGAGAATTCAAAGTAGCTTTTTGGTGGAATTTCAATTAAATCATTATAACAAACAAAAAATTAAGAATCATGTCAGATAAATTTAACAAAGAGACTGAAATACTTAAGAATAATCAAGCAGTAGTTATGAAGTTGAAAATGTCTGGCATATGGATGAATGCATCAGACTCTCTTACTTGCAGAATTGATAAAGCAGAAGAAAGAATTAGTGAGCTAGACAGGCCATTTGAAAACACATAGTCATAGGATACCAAAGAGAAAAAAATAAAAAAGAATGAAGCACATCTACAAGATAAAAAAAAATCCTCAAAGGAGCAAATCTGAGACTTATTACCTGTAAAGTGGAGGTAGACAGAGAGATAGGGTTAAAAAGTTTATTCAAAGGGATAATATCAAAGAACGTCCAAACCTAGAGAAAGATATCAATATTCAAGTACAGGAAAATTATAGAACAACAAGTTGATTTAACCTAAAGAAGGCTCCTCAAACTATTCAATAATCAAACTCCCAAAAGTCGAGGATAAAGAAAGTTTCTAAAAGCAGCAAAAGAAAACAAATAACATGAAATGAAGCTCCAGTGTGCCTGGCAGCAGACTTGTCAGTGGCAACCCTGGAGAGCATGAGAGCGGCATGACATATTTAAAGTGTTGAAGGAAAAAGCTTTCACCATAGAAGAGTATATCCAGTGAAAATATTCTTTAAACATGAAGGAGAAATAAAGACTTTCTCAGACAAAAGCTGAAAAACTTCATTAACACCAGACTTTTTTGACAAGAAATGCTACAGGGAGTTGTTTAATTTGAAAGAAAATGTCATTAATGAGTGAGAAGTAATCATCTGAAGGTACAAATCTCACTGGTAATAATAAGTACACAGAAAAACACAGAACATTATAATACCATAATCATGGTGTATAAACTACTCACAACTTGAGTAGAAAGATTAAAAGATGAACTGATCAAAAATAATAAGTACAACAACTTTTCAAGACATAGGGTATACAATAAGGTATAAATAGAAACTATAAAAACTTTAAAAGCAGGGGCAAGAACTTAAAGTATACAGCTGTTATTGGTTTTCTCTTTCCTTGTTAGTTTATTTGGTTTTCTTTAATGCAATCAGTATTAAGTGGCCATCAGTTTAAAATAATGGGCTATAAGATATTATTTGCAAGCCTCATTGTAACTTCAAATCAGAAAACATACAATAGAAATGCACACAAACTAAGCCAGAAATTAAGACATACCACTGAAGAAAATCACCTTCACTAAACAGAAGATAGGAAGGAAGAAGAAAGAGAAGGTCACAAAAAAACCCTCAGAAAATAAATTAAAATATTGCAGAAGAAAGTCCTTACTTATCCATAATAACATTGAGTGTAAATAGACTAAATTATCCAAACAAAAGACATATGGTGGCTGAATTGATATAGAAAAAAGAAAGGAAAAGAAGACCCAACAAATAAGACCCCTAGAAGAAACACACTTCACCTATAAAGGCACACATAGACTGAAAGCAAAGTGATGAGAAAAGTATTTCATGCAAATGGAAACAAAAAGCAGGAGTAGGCATATTTATATCAGGCAAATAAGTTTCAAGACAAAAACTACAAAAAGAGATGAAGAAGATCATTATATAATGATAAAGAGGTCAATTCAGCAGGTGGATATAAAAGTTGTAAATATATGTGTACCCAGATAAATAAATATTATTTGAGCTAGAGAGAGGTAGATCCAAAACAATAATAGCTGGATAATTAAACACCCCACTTTCAGCATTGGACAGATTATCCAGATAGAAAATCAACAAAGAAACATCAGACTTAAACTGTACAATAGATCAAATGGGCCTAATAGATATTTGCAGAACACTTCATCCAATGGCTGCAGAATATACAATGGATACTAGAAAAAACTAGAAATCAATAACAAGAGGAATTTGGGAAACTATAGAAGCACATGGAAATTTAATGACAGGCTCCTGAATGACCAGTGGGTCAATAAAGAAAATTAAAAAAAATTTAAATTCTTGAATCAAATTATTGTAGGAACATGACCTGCAAAAACCTATGGAATACAGCAATAGCAGTACTAAGAGGACAGTTTATAATGTAAGTGCCTACATGAAACATGTAGAAAAACTTCAAATAAATAATATAATGACATCTTGAAAAACTAGGAAAGCAAGAGCATTGCAAGTGAAAAACTAGTAGAAGAAAAGAAATAATAAATAGCTGAGTAGAAATAAATGAAATTGAAATGAATAAAACAATATAGACTATCAACAAAATGAAAATTTTGTTTTTTGAAAAGATAAACAAAATCAACACATTTTTAGCAAGGTAAATGAAGAAAAAAATGAACGAAGACCCAAATAAATAAAATTAGAGATGAAGAAGGGGACATTATAACTGATACTACAGAAATTCAAAGGATTATTAGAGGCCACTGTGAACAATTATATGACAATAAATTGGAAAGTTTAGAAGAATTAGATAAATTCCTGGACACATACAACCTCCCAAGATTGAACCATGAAGAAACCCAAATTCACAACAGCCCAATAACAAGTACCTAGATTAATGCCATAATAAGAAGCCTCCCAGCAAAGAAAAGCTTGGGACGTGATAGCTTCACTGCTGAATTTTACCAACCATTTAAAGAAGAACAAATACCAATCACATCCAAACTATTCTGAACAATACAGGAGGAGGAAATACTTCCAAATTCATTCCATGAGGCCAGTTTTACCCTGATACTAAAACCAGGCAAAAACATATCAATAAAAGAAAACTATAAACCAATATCCCTGATGAGAATTGATACAAAAATCCTCAACAAAATACTAGCAAACTGAATTGAACAATAAATTTAAAGATCTCTCATCATAACCAAGTTGGATTTATCCAGGGATGCAAGGATAATTCATCATATGCAAATCAAACAATGTAATACACCATGTCAACAGAATAAAGTACAAAAACCATGTGATCAGTTCAATTTATGCTGAGAAAGCATTCTATAAAATTCAACATCCTTTGTGATACAAACCCTAAAAAAACTGAGTAAAGAAGGAACATATCACAACACAAGAAAAGTCATATTTGACACACATACAGCTAGTCTCACACTAAATGGGCAAAAATTGAAAGCTTTTCCTCTAAAATCTGGAACATGACAAGGATGCTCACTTTCACCACTGTAATTCAACATAGTAATGCAAGTCCCAGCTAGAGCAATCAGACAAGAGAAAGAAATAAAGGGCATCCAAATTGGAAAGGAATAAGTTAAGTGATCCTTGTCTGCAGATAATATAATCTTATATTTGGTAACACCTAAAGACTCCACAAGAAAACTTTTAGAACTGATAAACAAATTCAGTAAAGTTGCAGGATACAAAATCAACATACAAAAATCAGTAGCAATTCTATATGCCAACAGCAAACAATCTGAAAAAGAAACCAAGAAAGTAATCTCATTTACAATACCTACAAATAAAGCAAAATATGCAGAAATTAACTTAACCAAAGAAATCAAAGAGGTCTACAATGAAAACTATGAAACACTGATGCATAAAATTTAAGACACAGAAAAATGGAAAGATATTTTATGTTCATATGCTGGAAGAATCAATATTGTCAAAATGTCCATATTACCAAAAACAGTCTACAGATTCAATACAATATCTGTCAAAATACCAATGACATTCTTCAGAGCAATAGAAGAAACAATTGCAAAATTTATATTGAACCACAAAAGACCCAGAATAGACAATGCTATTGTGTTAGTTCATTCTCACACTGCTAATAAAGGCATATCCTAGACTAGGTAATTTATAAAGGCAAGAAGTTTAATTGACTCACAGTTCCACATAGCTGGGGAGGCCTCACAATCATGGTGGAAGGTGAGTGAGGAGCAAAGGCATGTCTTATATGGTGGCAGGCAAGAGAGCGTGTGCAGGAGAACTCCCCTTTATAAAACTACTAGATCTCGTGAGACTTATTCACTATCATGAGAACAGCACAGGAAAGATCTGCCCCCATGATGCAATTATGTCCCACCAGGTCCCTCCCACTGCACTTGGGAATTATGGCATTACAATTCGAGATGAGATTTGGGCAGGGACATAGCCAAACCTTATCAGCTATCCTGAGGAAAAATAACACTACCTGATTTCAAATTATGCTGCAGAGCTACAGTAACCAAAACAACATGGTACTGGCATAAAAACAGATACATAGATCAATGGAACGGAATAGAGAACCCAGGATTAAATCTATACATCTACAGTGAACTCATTTTTGGCAAAAGTGCCAAGAACATAAATTGGGGAAAGGACAGATTCTTCAATAAATGGTGCTGGGAAAACCAGAAACGCATACACAGATAAATGAAACCATACTCCAATCTCTCTCCATATACAAACATCAGATCAAAGTGAATTAAAAAACTCAAGTATAAGATCTCAAATCATCAAGCTACCAAAAGAAAACATTGGGGAAACTCTCCAAGACATTAGACTGGGCAAAGCTCTGCACAGTAAAGGAAACAATAAACAAAGAGACAATCCTCAGAAAGGGAGAAAATATTGGCAAACTGTATGTCTGACAGGAGATTAATAACCAGAATAAACAAGCAGCTCAGACAAATATATATGAAAAAAATCTAATAATCCAATAAAAAAAGGGCAAAAGAGCCGGGCGTGGTTGCTCACACCTGTAATCCCAGCACTTTGGGAGGGTGAGGTGGGTAGATCATGAGATCAGGAGTTCGAGACCAACCTGGCCAATATGGTGAGACCCTGTCTCTACTAAAAATACAAAAATTAGTTGGACGTGGCAGCGTGCGTTTGTAGTCCCAGCTACTTGGGAGACTGAGGCAAAAGAATCGCTTGAACCTGGCAGGTGGAGGTTGCAGTGAGCTGAGATCGTGCCACTGCACTCCAGCCTGATGATGGAGTAAGACTCCATCTCAAAAAAAAAAAAAAAAGTAGGCAAAAGATATGAACAGACATTTCTCAAAGGAAGACTTACGAATAGCAAACAGACATATAAAGAGATGCTCAACATCACTGAACGTCAGAGAAATGCAAATCAAAACTACAATGGGATATTTCTCCCCAGTTAAAATAGTTTTATCCAAAAGAAAGGCAATAAATGCTGGCAAGAATGTGAAGAAAAGGGAATCCTTATACACTTTTTGGTGAGAATGTAAATCAGTACAACTACTGTGGAGAAGACTTTGGACGTTTCTCAAAAAACTGTCAAAAGATATCTACACTCCCATGTTTACTGTAGCTCTAATCACAACAGCCAAGATGTGGGAGCAACAAAGTGTCTATCAACAGATGAATGGATAAAGAAAATGTGGTATACATACACAATGGTGTACTATTCAGCTATAAAAAGTGAGATCCTGTCATTTGCAACAACATAGATGGAACCTGAAATCATCATGTTAAGTGAAACAAGCCAGGCACAGGAAGACAAACTTTGCACATTCTCACTTATTTGCAGGTAGTAAAATTTAAAACAATTGAATTTATGGAGAGAGAGAAAGTAGAATAATTGTAACCAGAGGGTGGGAAGAATAGTGGGGGGTAGTAGGGATGGTTAAGGAGTACAAAAATATAGTTAGATAGGATAAATAAAATCTAGTATTTGATAGCACAACACAGTGCCTAAAGTAAACAATAATTTACTCTACATTTTAAAATAACCAAAATGATAAAGCTGGATTGTTTGTAACACAAAGAAAGGATAAATATATGAGGTGATGGATATCCCAATTATTCTGATGTGATTATTATGCATTGTATGCCTGTATCAAAGTATCTCCCATACCCAATAAATATGTATATCTACTATGTTCCCATAAAAATAAAAAATAAAAAAGAATTTCTCCTTGATTTTCAGCATTTTAACTATAGTGAATTGAAGTGTGACTCTCCTTGTGTTTATCCTACCTGAGGTTTGTCAAGTTTCTTGAATCTATAGATCTTTTTTTTTATACATGTGATAAGCTATGGGCCATTCATTCTTCAAAAACATTATTTTTGCTACTTACTCTCTCATCTCTCTTTCTGACACCCCAAGTACATTTATATTGTTATGTTCCATATTTTCCCCAGATCTCTGAGGTTCTTTTATTTGTTCTTTAATTATTATTATTTTTTCATCAAATTGAATAATTTCTGTTTCTCAAGTTTAATGCTTCTGCCATTTCAAATCTATTATTGAAACTGCTTAGTGAACTTTTCATTTCAATTTATTGTAATTTTCAATTATAAAATATCCATTTAAAAATCTCTTTCTTTATTGAGATTTTCTATTGTTGAGTCATTGTTGGGATATTTTCCTTTAATTATGTATTTATTCATTTATTTTTTGTGGAGATGGGATCTTGCTATCTTGCCCTGTTTGGTCTTGAACTCCCGGGCTCAAGCGATCCTCCCACCTTGGCCTCCCAAAGTGCTGGGATTACAGGTGCGAGCCACTGTGCCAGACCACTTTTATTATTTAAACATGATTTTTAAAATTTTGGACATTTTGATAATTAATACTTTGAAGTCTTTGTCTGATAAAATGTACAATACCAATTAGAGACAAATATCTATTTATTAATTTTTTCTCCCCTTGGAGTTTGAGTCACACTTTCTTGTTTCTTTGCATGTCTCATTTTTTGTTGTCGTTGAAAACTGAATATTTTAGATAATATATCTCAACTCTGGATTCTGCATTCCCTCCACCCCCCGCCCACCAGCCTCCTGTCAGTTGTTACTCGTTTGCTTTGTTTTGTGTTAAAATAATTTTCTAGGTTTAATCTTGGCTTCTGGTCGCTGAAGTCTCTGCTTAGTTTTTTTTTTTTAATTCTGCTTTTATTTTTATTTTATTTTTTATCCTGGGCTGTTAGAGGTCACCTATAAGTCTGCATAACTTAGTGGTCAGTCAATGACTGGTTAGAGGTTTGCTCAAACACCTTGCTATGGACTGCATGTTTGTGTTCCCCCCAAATTTATATGTTAAAATCCTAACCGCCAATGTGATGGTATCAGTGGATCCCTTATAAATGTTATTAGTACCCTCATAAGAAGAGACATGAGGGATTGGTTTCTGTCTGTCTCTACCATGTGATGATAGAATAAGAAGCCAATCATCTGCAATTTAGGAAGTAGGCCCCCATGAGACACTGGATCTGCTGGTACCTTGATCTTAGATTTCCTAGCATCTAGAACTGTGAGAAACACAGGTTTGTTGTTTAAACTACTCAGTCTGTAGTATTCTATTATAGCAGCCTGAACTGACTAAGACACACCTAAAGCCAGTAAATCTCCTATCCTCTGCTATTGCACCTGTGTGGGGGTTATGGAGTACACTAAAAACTCAGGCAATTTGTAGATTATCCCTGGATCTTCTGTGCTCTCCAGATCTTTCTTGCCTAGGCATGCAGTCACCCAATGAGCCAGGGATGTTTGGAGAGCTTGGGCCCCTTAGTTTCTCTTCTGCTAGATGTGCAGGCTCCTCCTAGTCTTGTGTAATGTAAAATAATCATGGGAATAACATCCTAGCACTTTTGCCATATAATATAATAAATCGTGGGATGGACATGTCATCTTTGTCATATTCTATTAGTTAGAAGCAAATCCCAGATGCTACTCACACTCAAGAGGAGAGGATTATGCAAGGGCATGAGTACTATAAGGGGAGATTATTGAGTTATCTTAGGTTCCATCCACCAATAGAGAAAGTTAATTGGGGCCCACAGTGTCTACATATTCTAGGATAGAAGATAAAAAAGTCATAAATTAGGAAGCTTTTCAGAGAGGACTGTTGAATCTCCAAACTGCTTAGAAGAATCACCTATACTCTTTTAATTGTCCAGGAATGGTCTAGAGATAAGACTTTAGAAACTTTGGGTTTAATGATAGAGAAGGCTTATTGAATTAGGGTAAAAGAGGCACTATAAGATGCTGAAGTTTATTGTAAGTGGAAGGAATAAGCAAAATGAGTTGTTGAAGGAATAGTGAGATGGGAGGAGAGCCCTGGCTTTTCAGACTGTCTTAGCCAAATCTTCTTAGGTTACAACTCACTGATCAACAATTTTGAGAACATTAGCTTGTCAATTCATTGGTGAATTTTTTTGCATATTGAATTAACTAGGTTGAATGAACTGAATTAACCAAATGTTTGGGGCATCATATAGACAGAACTCCAATTTGTGGCTGTTGATAGTAATTGAAACAAGACAATTGGGGAGGGTGTTTGAACAGGCTGTAGAGTACCTTAGCATGTATTGATATTTTGAATTAGATTCATCAGCATACAATTTATTACTTCCTAAATTACACATCCGGATAATTGGGGCATATTATTTTATCCACAAATCCTAGATGCTCTAACTAGTGCCTTGTATAAACTTTTGAACTTGTCTTATTTAACTTTTTCATTAAGAACTTTCTTTGCAATAAAAAGTTTTCCATAGATCAGAAAAAACTTTTGTTTGATCACTAGACTAGAATGTGGATTTCAGAGATTAGTGGTGCAATCTAAGCTGAAATGACAGGAAATGAAAAAATGGTTTTGGACAGATGGGTTTTTATTTTCAAGAGTGCCAATTGCCTGAAATAAAAATAATCCCAATTAAGAAGGCATAATTTATCATGGATGTCCACAACATTGCAATGAAAATACTTTGAATATATCATAATCACAGACAACAGTCTTTGGAACCATAACTTTTTTTCTTGAAAGATTTTAATTTTGTTTAATCATGAAAATAGGCATCAAGATCTAAAACTTGAAATCTTCATGACATACTTAAATAACAGTCTGCTGCATTCCACCTTACTTGTTTGGATTGTTAAATTTAAGAAGGAAATTAAATTTATTGGTATTTCTTTAAAGACACTAGTGACATGAAAACCATTTACCTTTTGTCAGCCCCAGTCTGTCTCCATGAAGCTTAGGTTGGAGTAGGTTATGTTGGAACAGACTGTTGTCTGCTGAAAATGAACTCAGAGCTGCTATTTCCTGTTGACAACTGCCCTTTTCTCATCCCAAAGTCCACATTCATTTCCCGTGATAGAACTCAGAGCAAGGAATGACATCCCTGATGGATGTCCTTAACTCCTGTACCTCTCTCATTTAGACTTTTGGGGCAGAGAGAACTTCTGGAGCCTCAAGCAGAAGTCTCTACTTTGTCTGTAGCTTCACAAGAAGATGAAGCCTAATTTATCATTAAGCACAGAAAGATTATGGCTACCAAACCTGCAACTGTTGTCAATGCAAATAGCGTATCCTGTCAGCAGAGCGGGAGTCAAAAATGTCTGTGATGTCCTGTTTCATAAGACTGTGAGAGACAGGTTGGATGGCAATCTTCCAGTAAGAAGTAAAAATAGCTGAATATGTATGAAGAGTAGATACTCTGTGATACACAAGAGGCAGAACTAGTGCCAATAGATGGAAGTTCCAAAGTGATGGATTTTGAATGTAGAGGCACAAAATCGTTTTTACACTTAGAACAGTCCAATGATGGATGCGCCTGCCCAGAGGGTTAATTAGCTGCATTTTCAAGCAGAGGCTGCATCACCCTTTGTCAGGGACTAGCACTGTCTAATAGAAATATAATGTGAGTTGCATATATGATTTTGAATTGTCTAGTAGCCACATTAATAAATTTAAAGAAACAGGTAAAATTAATTTTAATAATATATTCTATTTAACCCAATATATCCAAAAGACTTTTAAGATATATAATCAATATAGAATAATTATGTATGATATTTTATCTTCTTTTTTGTACCAAGTTTTCCAAATCTAGTGTGCATTCTATACTTAAAGCACTCTCATTTGGACCTGCCACATGCCTTCTCTCTATAGCAACATGAGGCTGGTGGCTGTCACATTGGACAGCACAGCTGTAGATGATGTTCCTGCGTTGTGAGAAGATCGGTCTAGCAGACTTTAAATGTCTATTTCAATTAAGAATCCTAAGCTTCTAAGTAAATGAAAAATACTCAGAAGTTAAGAGACTATGTAGACACTGAAAACATTTTGGTGAAGAAATAATACTGGTAAGAGAAACTCTCCTCAAACTGATTTAAGAAAAAAAAAAGAGTTTATCGACTCATGTAATTGAAAAGTCCAAGGGTAGAGCTGGGTTGAGCATAACTGGATCCTCTGTCTGCCTGTCTGTATCTGCGTGTGTCTCTCTGTTTTACAGCCCTGCTTTCCTCTCTTGTAGGTGCTTTCCATGAGGTGGTCACCAGCCTCTTCAGGTGTATGCCCTCCTAATTCAGCAGCCTTGGAGGGGAGGTGAGAATTTATCTTCTCCAATAGTTAAGAGTCATTGAGTTGAAATGCAGGGACCAGTTTATCTCATATGACTATTCCTAAGCCAACTATTAGATCCAAAGCAAGAAATATGCTGACTGACAATTCCTGTGTCTCATGTCCAATCCAGAGCCTGGAGGATAGTGGGGTCAGCTCCATCCTAATGAGAACCCACCTTCACCATGCGGAGGGAAAGAATTAAGTGTGTAGCTCTCTAACTAAAAGGGAATTGAGGTACTATTATAAAAAGTTAGGGGAATGGAAACTGGCAGGCAAAGACAATAGATGTCCACTACTCCTTGCTGGATTCCCTGCTCCCTATTCTCATGGCCAATCTGCAAGTTAACCTGAAGCTATAATGGACAGTTTTCCTACATACTGGCTACTGTGATGCTCGCCGGGGTCGGGGGGTGGGGCTGAGGCTTATTCTGTCCCCAAGGGAACCTGCTCAAGCCCAAACCAGGGCATCCTGGAATGTCATAGGTTTAATGTTCTTAGAAAGCCCTCAACAAAATAGGGATGGGATTTGGTGGACAAGTAAATACTCCAGCTTCTTTGCCCCTCAGTGAGGAATTTCTGAGCTATATAGTACACACTCCAAATTGAGGGGAAAATCTCCAGGGAATTGAGCCCTGTCACTCATAGTGGATAAGGTTTTTTTGCTCAATAGCCTACCCTTTCCTGGGTTTTCTCCTTCCTTTCTCACTTGTGTGTCCTGGGATCACCTCCTACATCAATGATCTGCACTCAAGTCTTCATTTCAGCATCTGGCTCAGGAAAATAGCAACTAGGAACCCTCTCACCCATAAATTTCAAAGAAAATTGGAAGTGTCTTTTATATCTTATTGGAAGCCAATTCTGAAGTTAATCTTTATCAGAGAATCAAAATACAGAGGGGGTGTTTAGCAGACACCTGGTGGAGCCAGAGTACTGGTTTCAAATCTCAGTTCTGCCACTTGCTTGGTGTATGATTCTAGGCAAGCCGAATAGCATTTTCTTGCCTTAGTTTTCTTATTTGTGAAATGGAGCTAATAATAACATTGCTAGGAACATCAAATGAGTTAATAAAGTAGTTATTACGTTACTTGATTAATCATAAAATCTATTATATGCCTCCACTAATAGTTGTCAGATAATTTTTTCTCTTTTCCTCTGTGTTATTCTAATAACCAATAATCATCAGCATAGGACTGTGTCAACATGTTTTATATCTGTTATATTGAGATACGGAATCTACCCGGTTTAGTGCTAGGCCAAAGGTAAATCAATCAATACTTGATGTTGATGACTATAATGGAAATAAAGCAAGCAAGAAAGATTCAAGTAATTTGCAAAGTAGCATCAAAACAACTCAGCAATAAATATTCTGGCTTGATTTGATAAAATTTTAATTGTATTTTTAAAGTATATTTTTAAAATTATAATGAAATATTAATTGAATATGAATACTAATCTTATAGAAAGTCTTGTACTGAAGTGGAATATAAAATACTGAGTTTAATAGATGAAAAAAATTCATTTATAGTAATTATATATGCATACACACATACAGAATTATAGTTATATATTGACAATTTATACCTGGTACATATTTACTCGAATATGATTTAAAGCTTTCTTTTATTCAATTAAATCTAATAGAATCATCTGCAACATCAAGACAGATTTTATGATTAACCAAGGTAATGTAATTAACTTCTTATATAAAAAGGTATTGGATTATTGTTGACTCATCCTTTCTTATACCCTAGCTCCTATACAAATATAAATTCTGACTCAGTGGTAAGGAAAGAAGATAAAAACTGAATTTACCACATCTGCTCAAGAAAGAGCACCTTTCTAGATTAGGGGCAGGTGAATTCTGCTTAGGCAGGTCCTTTCCATCAATCTGAAAGTTAGAGGGGCTGAAGGAAGTACTAGCCAGGTTGAGAAGGGGTTCTAGAAATAAGAGAATGAAATCTTTCTATGATTTGCACACTCATGCTCTGATTTCCGTATTTGTTTTTCATCCAGTACCTGAATCTGACATAATTTCTTTTCTTTTCTTTTCTTTTCTTTTTTTTTTTTTTTTTTTTGAGATGGAGTCTCACACCATCACCCAGGCTGGAGTGCAATGGCATGATCTCAGCTCACTGCAACCTCCGCCTCCCGGGTTCACACGATTCTACTTCCTCAGCCTCCTGAGTAGCTGGGATTACAGGCACACACCACCACATACAGCTAATTTTGTTTGGTATCTTTAGTACAGACGAGGTTTCACTATATTGGCCAGACTGGACTCGAGCTCCTGACCTCGTGATCTGCCCGCCTTGGCCTCCCAAAGCACTGGGACTACAGGCGTGAGCCACCACGCCTAGAGAACCTGACATAATTTCATGTTCACATGTAAGCACAGAATAATCTTCCAAAGCCCCACCTAAAAAATTATCTGATAATTGGATTTTCCTTCTGATAGTTAATTCCATTAATGAGAATAGCTTGAAAAGAATTTGTTTTCTTTGTCCAGTACATGTAGGACACATAAATCTCATGATTTGAGGATTTTGACCTGTATGACATTGTCAAGCAGACGAAATTTGCAAATTGACTCTTTATAACTCTAATATCTTTCCAACGCATGTATTTTAAAATGCACTTATTTCAAGCCTGGGGAACATATTGAGACCTTGTATCTACAAAAAATGAAAATACTAGCCAGGTATGGTGGCACACGCTTGTAGTTCTAGCTATTTAGGAAGGTAAGGTGGGAGGATTGCTTGAGCCCAGGAGTTCAAGGCTGGAGTGACTATAATCATGCCACTGCACTCCAGCCTGGGCAACAGAGCAAGGCTCTGTCTCAAAAAAAAATACTTATTTGTATATTACCTTTTATTCTATGTACTAACAAAGTAACCTCAGTAAGTACAGCAGTGTTGAGATACATCAGAACCAAGATTAATGCCCTCTCCCCAACACTGGCCACAGGACCTTGAACAAAATACTTATTTTCTTTATGTCCCAGTTTCTTCATATATAGAAATAATAAAGCCTACCTCACATTATTCTCAAGAAGATTCTGCAAAATAGTACTTCAAAGAAAGATACCAGGCACATGGAATATGTTCAGTACAGGGTAGCTGACAGAGCAGGAACATCACCATCTTGGACAGGCACTGCCATTTTAAAGTTCCTCTTGATCAAAAACCATCTAAATCCAACCCAAAGGGCATCAGCCAAATGGCTAAGGTCGGCATAATCATAAACCACAAATGACATCTCCAACTGGAAACATTCCAAACCTAAGGTAAACCCCTCCCTAACCAGAGACATGCCAGCCTGATATAACCTCCCCAACCAGAGAGATGTCAGCCCGAACCTCCCCTCTGACCAGAGACATTACAACCCCTCAATAAACTTCTCCTTCACACAGACACATTCCAAGCCTGTGATAAGTTTTCTTGCCCTGAACCCTTAAATACTCTTAGCCTGTAAGAGAGAATGTGCCTGACTGAAATCGGCCAGAAGCCCCTCTCAGGTTTATTCTCCAAAATAAACCTGTCTTTGACTGTTGAGCTGCTTTTCATATTTCTTTCCTCTTTCGTTAACTCTTAACAGTAGCTGTGATTCTTCTTCTTGTAATCATTGACTTCAAAATCCATGATAGCCAAGCCTTACAACACAGTTCCCTGCTTATTTGGATTAGTTTAGCTCATTAATTAAAAGCTTTGTGTATCCTGAATATTTTAATTGTTCACGTTTCATTGTCTGCAGGACTTCCTGATTATCTTTGTTACTAAGTAATAATTGTGTATTGCAAATATTTTCTTGAATTTATGTAAATCAATTTTAAATGAAAGAGCTGTTTACATTAATCAATTTAAATAAAGAATACCACTTCCCTGTAGCTTTCTTGTTAGCAGTTTTATTTTTAGTCAAAGGTAAATGCTGATACACACTAATTGCTTTAAGCCATTATGAAATGACAATCAATTCCGAACCACTGGAGTAGCCAGGTTTTCCAATCTGAGAAGGCATACTTTCTGTTTCTAGATGATACTTCTTTTTAGGCTGACTATATAAGTTTTTTTTTTTTTTTTTTTTTTTTTTTTTTTTTTTTTTTTGAGACGGAGTCTCGCACTTGTTGCCCAGGCTGGAGTTCAGTGCCTCGATCTCGGTTCACTGCAAGCTCCGCCTCCTGGGTTCACGCCATTCTCCTGCCTTAGCCTCCTGAGTAGCTGGGACTACAGGCGCCCGCCACCATGCCCGGCTAGTTTTTGTATTTTTAGTAGAGATGGGGTTTCACCATATTAGCCAGGATGGCCTCGATCTCCTGACCTCGTGATCTGCCTGCCTTGGCCTCCGAAGTGCTGGGATTACAGGTGTGAGCCACTGTGCCCAGCCTATATAAGTTGTTTGATAGATCTAGAAAGATTTCTCTAATTATTGAATTTTTTTTTTAGTCTGTGTTTGTACTGTACTTTTTATTCAAGTTTAAAAAAGATACAAGCTACCAGTGGAGCAAAATCTCTCAACTCTGTCATCTCAGTAAGCAGCAGTATCATCTATCCTGTTGCTCAGATCCAAAACCTAAGCCTCATCCTCTTTTTTCCTTTACCTAACATACCACTTCCTCTTTTCCTGCAAGAACTGTTGTCTAGGCATTTCTATTTCTGCTGCTACCACCAAAGCCAATCTACCATCTTCTGTCATGTGGTCTACTGTGATAGCCTTGTTCTCTCCAATCCATTCTCTTGAGTAGTTCCAGAGTTGCTTTCCTAAATTTAGAATATGCCATTCTTCTGGTTAAAATATGGTGACACCATCCTAATGTCTTAAATTGTGTGTCACATCTTCTTTAACATCTACTTACTTCTCTAATTTCATCTTCCATCACTCTTTTCTTTACTTGCTAAGTTCTACCCATATGAATTTTTGTTTCCCTTGGAATATTCTTAGCCCCAGTATTCAAATGAGTTCATTTCAGCTCAAATGCCATGTTTCTTTTTGTTTTTTGTTTTTTTTTTTTGAGACAGAGTTTTGCTCTTGTTGCCCAGGCTGGACTGCACTGGCCTTATCTTGGCTCACTGCAACTTCCACCTCCTGGGTTCCAGCTATTCTTCTGCCTCAGCCTCCCAGGTAGCTGGGATTACAGGTGCCCACCACCATGCCTGGCTAATTTTTATATTTTTAGTAGAGACGGGATTTCACCATGTTGGCCAGGCTAGTCTGGAACTCCTGACCTCAGGTGATCCACCCGCCTCAGCCTCCCAAAGTGCTGGGATTACAGGCGTGAGCTACCATGTCCAGCAATGCTACTTCCTAAGAGAAGTCTGCCTAGGCTATTCTGATAAATATTAACTAAACTAATTTGATTATTTACAATCATAACATCTTTTTTGGGGGGAGTAGATATCTAGAGGAAGTAAAGGGCCAAATTGTTTCTCTCCCACAACCTAGCTACCAGAAATCAAGTAAGTCTCAATATAAACTCTGTCTTAACACATACCGATATTTATTAGCAAGCAGCATAAAAGCAGTTACAAAACCTATTCTGCAAGCTTGCTAAAGTCCCAGCTGTCTGTTCTTTTCGGCAATATGAAGAGCTGCTTCTGACAATATTCTAATAGAAGATGCAGCCATACTTCCAACTGGAGTCAGGCAATGGAATCCTCAATTATCTGAACAAAGCATAGGGCCAGAAGCTCACTGCATTCAGATGCTCTGTGAAGGCAAAGCAACTAGGAATGCCTGAAGAATACATCCAGTCAATTCATTTAACTTGAGATCCATTCATCTGACCAAGATAACATCGTTTCTGATACTCAATATACTAAGTAAACACTTCTTGGTGTTGATCAGGGAGTGGATGCTAAAAGCTTTTAGAAGCTGTCTCTGACATGTGGGCTTTTGTTTAGAGTCCTTCAGCTGTGAACCACCCTTCTGATTCGCATACTCTAAGTGTGAGCTGAGCACAACTGACCAATCCACCCCCGTCCTCCCCCACCTCCCCAGGATAAGCAGCAAACCCAGTATGCATACACAGAACATTATTTAAAGTAAATTACAGAGCACACAACACATGCTGTCATTACTTTGCAGCACAGTTTTCCTTCCTCCACCTGACTTTTGACTCTCTACAATTAGTTCATTTAGTTTTGCTTACCTATACATAAATGTCTCATATGCTAGTAATTATGCAGTATACACTGTGAGCCTGTTATGTCCAAGGCAAGGTGGTAAAAAAACAGAAAAGAAAAATTAAAAAATTTTAAAAAATCCTTCTAGGACAAACCTACTAGGAGAAATAGAAAAGGTAAATCAAAAGTAAGCAAAAGTAGGATGCAGTAGATGTAAAGTGCTAAGCAATACCTGACGTTACCCGTTGAGAGAACTCCCCACCTTGCCGACAGGTGCAGAGGCTTCCTGTACCCCAGGATTTGTTAAGGTTCCTGACTGCCAGGAATAATTCTTTGACTCTCTTCCTTAAATTAAAATTAAACTATTTTTTAATTATGTGATAGATTAAATGAAATGACTAAAGTTTACCTCCCAGTGCCTTTTTTTAAATTATACTTTAAGTTTTAGGGTACATGTGCACAATGTGCAGGTTTGTTACATATGTATACATGTGCCATGTTGGTGTGCTGCACCCATTAACTCGTCATTTAACATTAGGTATATCTCCTAATGCTATCCCTCCCCCCTCCCCCCACACCACAACAGGCCCCAGTGTGTGATGTTCCCCTTCCTGTGTCCATGTGTTCTCATTGTTCAATTCCAACCTATGAGTGAGAACATGTGGTGTTTGGTTTTTTGTCCTTGCGATAGTTTGCTGAGAATGATGGTTTCCAGCTTCATCCATGTCCCTACAAAGGACATGAATTCATCATATTTTATGGCTGCATGGTATTCCATGGTGTATATGTGCCACATTTTCTTAATCCAGTCTATCATTGTTGGCCATTTGAGTTGGTTCCAAGTCTTTGCTATTGTGAATAGTGCTGCAATAAACATACACGTGCATGTGTCTTTATAGTAGCATGATTTATAATCCTTTGGGTATATACCCAGTAATGGGATTGCTGGGTCAAATGGTATTTCTAGTTCTAGATCCCTGAGGAATCGCCACACTGACTTCCACAATGGTTGAACTAGTTTACAGTCTCACCAACAGTGTAAAAGTGTTCCTATTACTCCACATCATCTCCAGCATCTGTTGTTTCCTGACTTTTTAATGATCGCCATTCTAAGTGGCATGAGATGGTATCTCATTGTGGTTTTGATTTGCATTTCTCTGATGGCCAGTGATGATGAGCATTCTTTCATGTGTCTATTGGCTGCATAAATGTCTTCTTTTGAGAAGTATCTGTTCATATCCTTCACCCACTTGTTGATGGGGTTGTTTGTTTTTTTCTTGTAAATTTGTAAATTTGTTTGAGTTCTATGTAGATTCTGGGTATCAGCCCTGTGTCAGATGAGTAGATTGCAAAAATTTTCTCCCATTTTGTAGGTTGCCTGTTCACTCTGATGGTAGTTTCTTTTGCTGTGCAGAACCTCTTTAGTTTAATTAGATCCCATTTGTCAATTTTGGCTTTTGTTGCCATTGCTTTGGTGTTTTAGACATGAAGTCCTTGCCCATGCCTATGTACTTTCTAATCATTATTTCCCTCTTTCTGCAGCATTACTGCAATTTCACTTGTCACCTAGGCTCAAAATCTGAGTATTATCTTTGGGATTTTTCTTTAAATTGCTGTCTTATCCAATTAATGACCATGTTCTCATGATTTGATGTCCGTCTGATAAGTCTCTCTAGTTCCACATTCTTCATGCTATTCTAGCTCAGGCTTTATAAGCCCCCACCTATCTGCAGGACTGTTCTGACTCTAAATCTTCCCTGAAATATAGTCTGCAACTGCTACATAATTCATCTTACTTAGGCACATTTCTAATCCTATTACTCCATTGATGAAGAAATGGAGAATTGAATTGATTTCTACCATTACAAATCATTGAATTGATTTCTACCATTACTAAATTAAATATTGTTAAAATTTAGCAAGTTTTCACACTCAAGACTAATCCTTTATTTAGATCTCCAGAACAACCCATCCATGAAGGTTCTATGTAATTAAATTAGTAAGGTATCATATTAAATAAGTTTTCACCAAAAATCCATTTATATAAAAAACTAAAATTCAGACAATAATTTTGATGTGGTTATTGTTTTATGGTTAAGAGAATGTAATTTTTAAAAGATTACTTTGTGTTTTCATTGTTTTACAGGTTATAGAAAAAAGAGTGTGATTAACTATGTCTTTACTGATAATACTAGAGTGTTAGGGTTTGAGGAACCATTTGAGAATCTCCAGGGACCATATATTAAGTGAAGAATCCCAAGTTTATTGTTTACTTCTGAATAATGTGGAGATATGAAATAAACCATGTTCTCAAAAATTCATATTGGGATTCTTGTGAATTATTTGGATAATTCTGTCTCTAATTTCCCTTTCCCAGTCAGTCATTGCAATAGGGACCATTCTGACTGAAAGAGCAAGAGAGGGGATTTCATTATCTCAAGTAGGTAACTAGGTTTAAAACATGTATATGTACCTAAAATATGTTAAGGGCAAGAATGGTGCCAAGATTCATCATGTGTCCACATCTGAACTCATTTACTCTGTCAACCCAGCTCTGAACTCATTTACTCTGTCAACCCAGCTCTTTCTCCCAGCTGCTCTGTGGATATAAATTCCCCTGTCTTTCCTGGGAGTATTTCCAAAAGTGTTTATCTTAGATAATTGATTGGAAATGCAGTTATACTTTTAATTATAAAAATATTTTTAAAGTTTAATTTTGAAGTAATTTCAGACTTACCAAAAATTTGAAAAAATAATGCAATGAATTTTTGTATATCCTTCACCCATATTCCTCAAATGTTAGCATCTTATACAGCCACAGTATGATTATAAAAACCAGGAAATTAACATTGACACAATACTGTTATCTAATCCACAGACCTTATACAACTTTCAACAGTTGTCTCATTAATGTCTGTTTTTTGGTCTAGGGTCACAAGTTTTATTTAGTTGTCGTGTTTCCTCAGTCTCCTTTAATCTGGCAGAGTCTCTCACTTTGTTTTCCGTGAGTTTTTTTTGTTTTGTTTTTTAACAGCAAAGTTTCTCAGGAATTTTAATGTGTTAATTCACATAGTGAATCTCCAAGAAGTGGTATAACATGATGCCAGTCAAACTTATGTCACTGTGAAGTCCTCCTCGAGGTTGAATTTCTGCGACAGGTATTTCCAGGGCACTCTGGGGAGAATGGGTCCAAGCTTTCTAGGAATATCCTAATACTTGTTTCTGCATATCTGATCCACCCTGCACATGCCATTCAGAATAGCCTCCTTACTTCAGGACTCCATATATGTCACCTGTTTACAAACTGAAACATAGTTCCTTATTTGACTTACTGCAAAGGCCCAAGGCCTTCACTTGGCATTCAAGCCCCTTCATCATTATCTTCAACCTTTCTTTCCAGCTTTAAGCCACTACTTCTGTTCATAAACACTTTGCTCAAGCCAAAGGGCACTGCACTCATTATTCCTCTGACTTCTTATTTTTATTTATTTGCTAATGCTGTTCCTTCTGTATAGAATTCCTTTTCCCTTCTTCCCATCCAAGAGTGAACGCCTTAGATGGAAGTTAAATATCACAACTTTTCTGAACACTACTTCTTTCTATGAGTTCTCATGGCACTGAGAAATTAAGTTTAGAACTCTCATTTTCTGTCCTAAGTTATGGCACTTTGACGGCCGGCTGGAAGGTACAGCAGGAAGGACCACGTCAATTCAACCTTGTTTAGTTGATCTCCATCCTTGCGTCTCTGAGCTCTCAGCATAGTGCTCTTACAGAGTAGGGGCTTCTGAATATGTTTCGCTGAATGAATGAAACAGCTTGTTTTCATTTAGAAAGATTACAAAAAGTGATATAAAATTTTATTAATGAAATTTATACAAATTGGTAATTTCAAGTGACATGGAAATCTATTTGAATGAACTCTCGTTATTATGAAAAGCTACTTTTTAAAATCTAATAGTTACTCTAACCTAAGGCTAAAAGTGAAAAATCTGCCACCCTCTGAATGACATTAAATTATCCCAAGTAATGCACCAATAAAATTAGCTTTCTTGCCTCTAATATTTCCATAAGCCCTAAGTCACCATGTTGGCTCGATTAATTATTAAACGGATCTCAGATTTTCTATGTTAATGGCTTTTGTACTAGATACGATTTCTAATTAAGTTTTTCATTTCTCTGATGAAACAATATTTAAGTTTACCAAATGTCATAACTCATGTTTGCATTTAATAATCAATATTTGGAGATTATTTGAAACTAGTAAGGCAGTAATAATTTATGAAGATGCACAAACATGTCTGTCTGGGATAATCATGAGCATCAGGGCTCAAGAGACTGAATTCTGTTGTTTAGCGATGGCATAAAATTTGTGGTTGGGATAACTGATTGGCATATAGAAAAAATACTAATCATATGCATACTGTTATGGAGAGTGTTATGGTATAAGAGGAATATAAGCTTTAAATGTTCACATGCTTTAAATTGTTAAAACCCATAGATGCTGTGGACAAAAGATAGATAACCATAATATTGGATTTATATAAGACCAGGCATCCGTGTAAGAGCTGTCAGTTGCTATCTGTAACGCAGATGTTTCCAAAAGATGAACATATGACGTTATGTAGATAAAATATACAGTGGATTGCCTAAATTCCTCTCAGAATTTATCAGTGGGAAGGTGAAGGCTAACTAAATTTAAATTTTAGTTCAGAAAATTTTGCTAAATATTATACATATATCTGTAACAGGCAGAGATATTAAGAGTAAATGTATGATAGAATATTATTCAGCCATAAAAAAGGAAGTTCTGATACATGCTACATGGGTGAACCTTAAAAATATGTGCTAAGTGAAAGAAGCCAAACACGAAAGACCACATTTATATGACATATCCAGTAGAGGCAAGTCTATAGAGACAGAAATTAGATTAGTAGTTTCTTAGAGCTGGGGAGAAGAATGCACAGGTTGTGATAGCTAAGGGGTGGTGCTTTCTTTCCAAGGTGATAAATATGTCTTAAAATTGACCATGGTGATGGTTGCACATATCTGTGAGTAGACTGAAAGCTATTGAATTGTACACTTTAAAATGATGAATTGTATGGTATGTGAATCATATTTCAGTAAGTCTGACAAAAATGTATACACATTTCACCAAGAGAGTATACTGCATAGACACAAATACAAAGAATGAAGTGATTTAAAATCACAGCTCACTAAATGGACAGTTCCAGGCCCCAACAATTTGACTGACCAGGTGTACCCTGGCTTCTGAACACAAATGTTTCTGCCAAAGCCCTTTGAATATTTTTGGCATGGAAATTCTCCCACAACCATAAACCCCTCTCAATATTGTGATGATCCAATAAATGATTCCTTGGGTGAGTGGAACTTTAGATAAACTGTTGCTTTACTTTTCTGAGCATGGAACTGAATATAGAGACCAGAGATGGTGTATAGTGAGTAAGTCAGTCTAAATCTTTAATAGTTCTATCTAGCACTTAGAAGCAGCTCAAAATTTGGTATGAGCAGAAGCCATCTATTTTATATAAAAATAGATTTTCTGGTAAAAGGGTAATCCTGGGAGGCTTTTGGGACAGGAGAGGTTGGTCATGATTTCTTTCCTCTTACTAGACCCTGGAAAGCGCTAGCAAGCAAAAGAGAAAAAAAAAGAGTCCAATATATTTAGCATTTGACAAATGTTGAAATAATCCATTTAAAAAATAAACAACAATGATCAGAAAGGCTGTTGAGAGATGTTTTCAAGAGTGAAAGGAAACATTTTTAACTATTTGCCAATCTTTTAACTATTAGACATAATTGTACTTTTATTTTTACTTTCTAATAGTGGAGCTGCAATTAAATCCCATCAGCCTAACAGGAGATTCATAGCTTTATGGATCTGACAGAGTTTACCCCCGAACCCTGCAAGGTGTTGCAAGGAGAAGTCCTCTTTTCTCACATGACCAGGAATTGTCTGCCAGGGTTTGAGGTCCACCTTCACTCACAAGCTGTGGGATCTTGGGCACATTTTTTAACTTCTCCATGTGTCTCAGTTTTCACACATATAAAATGACTATAATAACACTACCCTCATGGGTCATTTTGAGAATTAAGTGAGTTCATATTTGAAAAGCACAGAGATCAGCTCCAAGAGCATGCTGAGTTTGTTAAATAAATGCAAATGTTAACACAGAAATTTAAAAAAATCTTTTAACTATATTTACATTTTTGGAGAGGTACAATTAAAAGCAATTGGGATATATTTCAAAAGTTCAGTTTCACCTGTCTTTTGACTTACATTCTTGCACTCTGTGAGCATGTTACTGAAGCAACAGTAGTATTGTCTACTCTGACATTGTGCAATTTATTCTATAAGCATATGAACAGATAGCTATACAGCCTTTGGAGAACAAAGATTCTACAGGATACCTTGTGGTCTAATATTACTTTTTACCCTTCTCTATTAAGTTTTAATTTATCATTAAGCTGAATGTGTCCGATATGAAAGGCAGAGAACAGTGACAAATGTTGATGTGAACAGAGAGATACAATGCAAAAGGCATAGGGATGATGAAAAAACAATTCTCATAGGACCCCAGCTCCGACCATGGTGACAACCTCCAAAGGTTTGTTAAAGAATGTGACTTGTCACCTATCAGATATGAGGGAGAATATATTGACAGTGAGGATTCAAGACAATATATGTGTAAAATTAGCTGCAAAGAGAAATCAATAAGGTGAGTTTTAAAACTCTTTTCCAAGTTTGGAGATTAGGATTTTTCTACTAGTTATAAAAATGAGCTCCTTTATATGTGTGCATGTGTGTGTGTGTGTGTGTGTGTGCACTAATCAACATGAGCATATGAATCCATGTTTACCAGTAAATAACTAACACTGAAAATTAAAAAGGGACTTAAATTGGATATTATTGACTTATTAACCCCAGAACTGAGCAGTCCACTAAAATGAAATATTTTATAGTAACTAAGATTTATGAGTGCCTCTAAATGATCAAATAAAAGTTATGAGATTTAGGATTGGTTGATAATTTAAGAAAAGCAACTATAACATCTCTTCTGATTTTCTATACAAATCAAATATACAAATATGATAATTAAATAGTATTATTTAAAATATCATACAATGTGTAAAAACATTTTTTTGGGAAGGCATATCCATAATTCTAAATCTTTTTGTATCTGAACTTTCTTCCTGGATTATGTACTTGAATCATAAAAAACTGTTTCATGTTTTATATATGGTCTTAAAATTAACATAGTTATTACTTTCTATTCATCAAGTTGATGTACTATAAATTGTTATACCATGTCTTTAATTGCATATATTTATACATATCCAGATTTGCTGTTATAAATAACACTGAAATGAACATAATGCAGGTAGCTGTTTCTTTCTGTTGAATTATTTTCTTAGAAGAAAGCCCATTGAGTGGGGTTACAAGACCAAAAGTTATGGGCATTTTAATAGTCTTTGAGACAAAGACTGCTTCTACCAATAAGTGAATTACAATTCTATTTAACATTATCTTTACAAATTGCTAAATTAGTGAAAATAATTTTTTCAAAGTTAACTTGCATACATCAGGTTAGTATCAATAATTATATTTTATACCAAACTGTTTACAATTTGGATGTTTTTCCCTTATGTGAACACATTTGTTCATATTGTTCATTGAATTAATTACTAAATTTTCATGGTTTTAGTACTAATTTAAATGATCTCATTGTGTATTATGAATAATGACCCTTTCTTTGCCACATGTGATACAAATATTAAAATTACTTTTAAATTTCAGTTTTGTAAGCTTTCATGTTTCAGATGTTCGGGTGCTAAATGAGTAAAATACAGCACTGTAGGATGACATTAATTGATAATAGAGATTATTTCAAGCAGAAATACTTTATTCACATTCTCTAGCAGAAAAAGGAAATGCTATACTGTGCGTGCGTGCGTGTGTGTGTGTGTGTGTGTGTGTGCATCCTCTTTAAATCTGTGGTATTAAATTCCCAGAGTAAGAATGTAATTTAAAAATGCCTAAAATACAGTGCTTAGAATTCAACTAGACATAGTTTTTAATTTTCACCAGAAACTGTTTTGAAATCCCCCCACTGGAAGCAAAGCAACTAAGGTAGTCTAAACTTATTAAAATAACTCTCAAAATAAAGAACATGCGGAAGAACAAATTCAAAGATAGAGTTACAATCTTGGAGCAGATTGACTGTCCCTTTTCCTGTAGCTAGGTATCCTTACCAATCCAAACAAATTGCGTCTGCATCAGAAATAATTTGACAGTATGTTTTCTCTATAGTTTTTATCAAATGGTATAAAATAAAATCAAGACATAGCCTCATTAAATTACTTCCAATTAAAAAAAATTTTACATACTTTGGGTTTTGTAAATCTAAAATCCAGAAAATGTATACAACAATTTACTCAATAACTATGAAAGAGTGGCCACTCTGCACTCAGTACAGTTCTAGTTAATGGGAGATAAATAAGAAGTTAAAGAGTAGCTTTTAGGAGCACACTACTGGCTGTTGACAGGCTACTGAAATCTTTGTTCCACTGTAATAATTCTGATATTTTTTCATGAAAATATGAGAATATATTCAGTCCAACAAATGCTCTTGTGAGGCACAGGTAGGAAAGAATTCTGGGAAACAAGATTGAGGAAAATACATACATATTAAGTAAAAGTTCAGCCCTCCTAATAGGGATTTATGATTGCCGTGTCCTATGAAGATCACAGGAATTATGTTCTCATGCAGGAAACAGTTGTCTGGTGTGGGATTAAAGAAATGAGAATTCAGTAGATGGAGTGCCACCAGAATGGAGCCCTTTGGCCTTCAAAAGACGGACCAGCCTAAATAGGATAAGGACAAGCACAGGGCAGTGTAATAATAACATTAGTAATAGCAATGTGAAACTAGTATGTATTGAATGCTTCTGTGCTATGCCCTGCACAGAACATTTTACTGACATTCTCTTAACTTCCCAGATGAAGGGCATCTTCACTCTGGCTCCTACATCTTGTCCATGCATTCACTCCTGCTGGTTTTTGCTCAATAGATTCCTTTTGTGTTCACCCTTTTGGGACTTCAGAGTCTCTTGTTTGTTGATCATTTATTCATTCAACAAATATTTATGTGCCATCACTGCATTAGTTGCTGAAACCACAGACATGAACAAGTGAAAAAAGAACACAATTCTATCCTGCAAGAAGCTTTCCTTCCAGTAGATAGAATAGAAACTCAATGATTATAGTGTGCTCAGGTGTCAGGGCATCTAGTACAGCCTGAGGGAGTGAGTGGGAGAGGACTAGGAAATGCTCTCAGTAACACATACACACACACACACACACACACACACAGTTTTTTAGTATAACATTGTGTATAATAGCTATATGACATATGATTATAATATGTAACACATACTATCTATATATTATACTCGCTATAGTATATATATGCACACATAGATGTGTTATGTATACATCTGAAGTTATTTTCATATTTGGATAGAGTCCAAATGTCCATCAATATATTTAATAGAAGAGTATTAAATAAACAATGATACATTGAGTACTGATAAGGAAATAGTTACAAAATACATAAGAATAAAAAGAAGGGCTCAGAAGAGTGCATATCATACGTTAGCTTGTGTGGGGAGCAAATAAGAATATATAGTCACATTTTCTTGCACTTGCATAAAGGCACTTTGGACTCATGTACAAAAATAAATAAAAAAGAGTAAAACTGGATGCCTGTTGGAAACAGAGATGGGAGAACCAGGCATATGGGGCCCAAACGCCGGACAGAGGTTTTAATGTATACATTTGTATGTTTTCGAACCAAGTATATGTATTAACTACTTAACAAAATTAAATTAACATATCCTGAGGTGTTTTGGGGGAAGATGTCTGCTAGGAGCTAGGTGGATAAGGAGCCCAGGTGGGGTAGGAGGGAGAAGGGACTTGGGGGAGAACCCATTCCATGCAGGCCGCTGCCTGAGGATGGCACAGGAAGGGTTCTTTTGCTGGATGCCAGAAGGGGAGGGTGGGAGTTAGGCTGGCGCAGGTCACGAGGGCCTCCCTTGCACAGTAGGGAATTCAGATTTCATCCTGAAGGTGATGAGAATCACTGAAGGGTGATCGGAAGGAACGTGACTGATAAGATTTGCGCTTTGTGATCATCTTACAGGGAGCAGGAGGCATGCATGAAGTGTAGGGCAAAACTTGGTGGGGAAGATTATTTAGGAGGTTACTGGCCAGCTTCAGGTGAGAAGTGATGAGCATATGAACAGAGACGGGCAGTGGGCACAGAGCGGGGGACTCACCATCCCAGGGCCGGAGTCTGCTTGTCTTTGACTTCTCCACTCCAGCATGGATTGCATTTTGCTGCTCCCCCACAATACCATCCACAACCTTTCTATGGATTCCGCGCTGATTTTCACCTTGGTGTTGCTGACAATTTGCAGGAACTCTTCTTCAGGATTTGGTGACTTTAGGACAACAAGAACCTTCTCTGTGCCTAGCACTCTCCCTGTCGTTCTCAGCCTGAGAGCCGGGGGAGGATGCACGTGGCACCCCCCGCCGCCTCCCAGGGACAGAGGCGCCGGCAGAAGCTGGGGGCCTCTGCGCCAAGCAAGGCACAGGCGGTGGAGAGTGGGGATGCTCCCTGAGCCCCAAGCAACAGCCTGGTAAGGAACCCCGCCCGTCTTCGCCTTTCTGAGTCCAGTTAATTGTATTCGTTTCCGTCAAGCATGTACACAGTCTGTGGAATGCTTATGACAGAGGTGACTTTTCTTCCAGTTCCAAGCTCCACTCACGCGAGGCACTTGCTCAGGCTGTATTCATGGAGGAGATGTGTCGGTGGTCAAAGCACTCAAATACTTCCCTCTCATTCGGTGGAGAGTCGCTCCCCGAAATCACCTTCCTGGCCACCTCCGTCAGTCCCTCCCCTAGGTTATTCTAGATATTTCTATGCCTCCAGTAATGAAAGGGGTAATTCCCTGCAGCAGAGCCGCCGAGCCCCTGCCCTTTCTCGAAGCTGCCCCTCTATTTGCTTGGTTGTTGCCCACGCCCCTCGGGCTGTTAAATATTGCGACCATCACCCCTGTTTTTCAGTAATAAGGTAAACATTTCAGCACATATTGGGCAACAAGAAGGATTCTCCTGAATCAAATGTTTAAGAAGCACAATTCTGGCCAGGCTTGGTGGCTCACACCTGTAATCCTACCACTTTCGGAGACCGAGGCGGGTGGATCACCTGAGGTCAGGAGTTCAAGAACAGCCTGGCCAAATGGTGAAATCCGTCTTTACTGAAAATACAAAAAATTAGCTGGACGTGGCGGCGTGCACCTGTAGTCCCAGCTACTCGGGAGGCTGAGGCAGGAGAATCACTTGAACCTGGGAAGCGGAGGTTGCAGTGAACCGAGATCACGCCATTACGCTCCAGCCTGGGCAACAAGAGCAAAACTCCGTCTTAAAAAAAAAAAAAAAAAAAAGAAAAGAAAAAAGCACAATTCTAATAAGTATACATAATCATATAAAATAAGTGACAAACACAAGAAACCCATACAAAAATCAGTCACACCACTAATACATAATTGGATAGTTGTGAAACAATTTCTTGATATATTTTACTTTAATATAAAAAGATAAAATATTAAAAATCTTGTCCTGCAGGTGTGTTCCAAGAAAAGTCAGTGAGCAGCAACTAATCTTTTATTTCTCAAAGGCTGAAGAGTATAGAGCTATATGTGCAGGGTGGTAGCTTTGAATGTTTACTAAAATAACACGTGGAGAAATTCATTTATAAGGGAAAAGTACTTTTAGGTGGCAACACATACAGTTTATTTAGATTGTCCTTTAGGGAATGTTTTTATGTGACACTCCAGCTCCTTATCAAATAAATACTTGCTGTTCATTTGAATTGGAGTTACTATGGGGAAATGACTTTTGGATTCCAAGCGTCCTGCTGCATTGTAAAGGTCTGGCCATGCTATCATTCCACAAAATGGTTTAGCAATTTGCTACGATAATTTTTTAAAGGAGAGTAATCTGTCCACATATGAAAGATTTTAGAAAAACATTTTCATTGTTCAAGATGATTAATAAAAACTGTTAGTATCTAGTATAGGATAATAGAGTTCTTTTATAACTTAAAATAGCCTACACATTTTTAAAAGAAAATTTGCCTCCACATTTTTTCAAGACAAAAATTTAAACATATATATTTTGCCACAATTTTGTATGTAATGGCTACATTAACAAAGGATCAGAGAATAAGAAAAGACTGATAAGCATATATTGGCAAGTGACTGTATATTATATTTATACCTGTAAATATGATTGTAGAAACCTAGAATGATCAGATTCCCTGTTGCATGTCTGAAAAGAAATTCCTTCCCATCAAGGTGCAATCCCTTTCTTTGAGTTCAGTATCAAATTTGCCTTTCTTTGAACTAGAACTCTAAAAGATCTTTGATTTTTGTTTTATTCAGATCTTTAGTCTTTCTAGAAGATTGTAATTCAAATGTGCTCTGAAACATCATTTTAAAACTTGAGACATGCAAATTCAAGAATAGTAAATAGTAGATTGAGTAAATGAGGTAAGATCACTACACTGGTGGCCCTAGAAGAGCCATGCCTCCTTGTCTTCTCACCTTTTGATAGCCCCCTCTCACATTAACTACAGGCTGAGTCATAGATTTGCTGTAGCCAACGAAGCAATAGCAAGCATTACTCACGTAGAGGCTTGACAAATGCTTGCGTGTTGACTTCACCTTTTATTATTCAGCTACCTTGTTGCCTGAGAATCGGTCAATTTTTTTTTTTTCCCAGAAAGAGAAGCCATGTGCATGTGCAGGAGAATGGGGCCAACAGCCAGCACCAGAGATGTGAGTGAGGCCTCTTTGGACATTCCAGTCCCAGCAAAGCTCAAGATTGACAGGCTCACATCAGTGACCCTAGCCAATATTGTGTGGAGTTTATATGGGTGACCTTATCTAATACCACATAAAGCAGAAGAACTACCTGGCTGAGATGTGCCCAAATTCCTAATGCACAGAACTCTAAGCAATAAATTAATATTGTTTTAAGCAATTGCATTTTGGAGTGGTTTGTTACATAGTAGTAGATAATGAATACAGTAAGTGATAGCAAGGATTTCTTAAAGATTTTCTAGAATTAATTCCAAGGTACCTTCTTCATTGACATAACCACTCATATTTGTGTTATCTATTTATTTACTATTGAGTCTGTGTCTCTTATTCCTACTAAGCTAAGCTCAGTTGAACAGAACTGAGATGGTTGGTTTATGTGAAGAGTGGGTTGAGAATGGCTTTATTGGATATTGACTCAAACTAAATGATAAGTCCTTTTCGGGTCTGAAAGGAACATTGTTCTTGATGATGTTATACATCCTTAAATTAATTCCACTCTTCATTGTGGTCAAACTGTGAGTGGGGCAGTCTGGTGGAATAAAATTACTTTTAAGGAATCCCTGGCACATTAACCTTCTGTGGACTAATCACATCATTTCCTTCTCGTTTCTGTATATGGAATTGTATTCTGATGCCAGATTTTAGGCACTAAAATGCGAAGAGTCTCCAGTGGGATTTGTTTTTTAAGGAATAAATGAAATGTCAGGTTTATTAGACCAAGCAAGCCATTGGCTGTGGGTGTTTCCATCCTTCTTTCTCTGGAACTGAGGTGCATTAGTCGAAGAATGCATTAGTAGAAGAGCCTGAGGTAGTTAAGTGAAAAGGGACCACTTCTGGTGGATGGTGATACTGTTTCATTGAATAGTGTGGACTGTATCTTAAGTTAGAAATGATAGTCACTAACTGCTTCTAAATACAAAATGTCTAGATACCAAGAGAAAAAAGGTGTAACCTGCCATCAGGTATAACTAGTGGTACCATAATTGCTTCTATTTCTGTTGGATGTTCTCTGTGTGCTTATCTGTGGCATTTTCTATCAGGTAGATGTGGAGAAAAAAATGCCAGCAAAGAAGAGTTCTGATTAGATAATGACACAAAAGTGACACTTACAGAGAGTAGTATTTGGACAGCACTGTGGATGACCTCCAGGTACTGGAAGTCAACGATGCAGCCTGTGACAGAGACGTACGTGTAATCGTCCATCATGCCATGGGCTGAGGGAGGCAGCACTCTTCTGACACAACCAGGCCCATGTTCTCTCCACCATGACCGATGTACAGAGATATTGAATGTCATTAGATCGGTGTCCTAGGTGGGTAGGAGACAAAAGAGCAAAATGAGGAAATTGTATTACATCACGTCTTTGACTTTGACCTTAGGAAGAATTCAGGGTAGATGAAATTGCTACAGTGATTTCAATTTCAAGTGAAAAGTAACAAAAGACAAAGCCCCAAGTGGCTGCATGTATTATATGCCTAAACTATTGGGTTATAGTTATTCAATGGGGAGATAATCCTTTGATTACTATTAACATTTTAAGGGCAACATATATTTAAAAAATCCAGACATGAGATCTTCCATATACATTTATTTAAAAATAATTTCTACCTTGAAACTTTTGTCTGCATTTTCTTGTTGCTGCAACATCATGAATATCACTATCATAGGATAAATATTGTTGAATGCTTTTATGGCATGGTAGATGTTGTTCTAAGTGAATTTCACATATTATATTCTTGAATGTTCATGTAGGCACTTTAATGATCAAGCTAATTTATAGCAGGCTGAATAATTGCCTCCACCAATGATACTTAGCTTCTAATCCTTGGAACCTGTGAATTTTACCTTATAAGGCAATAAAGGACTGAGCAGATGTGATTAAATTAGGATCATGAGATGGGGAGATGATCATGGACTATCTGAGTGGACCCTAAATGCAATCGTGTATATTCTTATAAGAGGGAGGCAGAGAGAGATTAGACACAAGGTAGAAGAGGCAAAGGCAATGTGACCATAGAAGCAGAGACTGGGATGTGGCAGCCAGCAAGGATTGCTGCCAGCCACCAAAAGTGGGAAGACGCCAGGAAGAATTCTCCTCTAAAGCTTCAGAGAGAGTTTGGCCCTGCCAAGACCTTGAATTCAGCTCAGTGAAGCTGATTTCAGACTTCTGGCCTTCAGAACAGTGAGAGAATAAATTTCTGAGGTTTAAGCTATCAATTTTGTGATGATTTGTTAAAGCAGTCATGAGAAACTAATATTGGTGAGAAAAGTAAGTCACAGTGAGGTAATTTAATTTGTCCATGGTAGCATAGCTAGTTAGTGGTGGAGCTGGGATGTAATCCTGTGCAGTGTTTACTTTTAGCTATAATGCGGCACTCTCTCACATTACTTGCTGTCTTCCCCCTCCAAAGCCCTGATCATTCCTTATACTCTGAAGACAGCCAGGTCCTTCCTCCTCAGTTGTTTCAAGAAAATGGCACCACAGTCAATCACAAGAACAAAGAAGACAAACCTTAACTTTTATGTATATCAAAATACACTTTCAGAGCTCTTAATGGAAAAAATAGCCTGGTTTTTGATCCTTAAGAGATGCCCTTTAGTATTTCTGGGGTGTTAATGTATGAAGGGCTAAGATCATAATGTTGTGGTCATAAACAATAGATTGAAAAGAACAGATTAGGGACCAGGACCTTGACTTCCAAATAATCCAAAGACTGCAACCACCCATGTAGATTGGGTAGAAGAAGTAGTGGTGATGGAGAGAGGCCAAAGCAGTCCCCGGGCAAGGACACTGCTCTGCAGGGTAGCTGGGGATGCAGGAGCAGAGTCAGCTTTTGTTTATTTTCCAGCCTCCACTCCCTCCAACAGTGAGCTCTGTCTTAGTGCCAGGGGGCCATGTTGGAGCAGGGTCCGTACGTGACTTTTGCTGAGAGGTGCAGAGGCTGCCCGCAGACTATGCAGCACAACTGACACACGTCAGTGCATTCCAAGGTTCCTTTGAGGACAGTGTCCACTTCAGTTGCCAAGGAGACACCTAAATGCCTGAAATTGAGGTTGGAACTCTGAAAACTTAGAGGAAGCTAGTGGGAAATGGAAAGCCTTGAACTTACACATGGGTGGCACTGAAAGTAATCAGGGTGGAGCTCTCTGAAAAGGACAGTAGGGAAACCCTCTTTTTACACTGCTGTATATGGTAAGTGAATCACAAGGGTAGTAACATTCCCAGTGCATATAAGTAGGCAGGGTTACTATGCAGTTTTCGATTTTCTTCAATTCAAGGAATTCAAAGTATCATTATAAGTATGCCTCAAATTATATCAATAATAAAACATGTTATGCCTTTTTCCTTTTGATTGTTGGTTTTCTATTCAGTTACCTTCACAGTTGTAGCACTTTATTGATAATAAAACGTTTAGGTCATTTTTTTGGTTGTTGGTTTGCTACTTGTATCATTTGCAGTTACTCTCTGAAGGGAAAATATTATAGAGAAATAATTGCTTCAGCTACCAAATTCAGTTTAACGCAAGGCAATTTACCTGCACACAAACATCAGAGATGCACACTGATTGCTCCCTTTTTTGGTCATCAGATTTAATTTCTTACAGTTAGATGTGCTCATTACAGAAGAACTATACATTATTTCTCATCTTAATAGAATTCACCAGGTTCGAGATGAACTAGCATGATCTCAAAATTCATAGCGATTTCCATTCCTTAAGCATTCTTACCCAGCGACCTTTCCTATTGCAGACTGTGAGTTCACTTCAGTATGACTTTAACTAAAATTTATATTATACAAATAAAACAAGAGTCAATTTATGAACTAATCATACATATTTGTTACACTCATAAAACCTTTCAGCATAGGTATCATTAAATTTGTTGGAACTATAACATATTTATAAATGGTACTATTCCTCACAATGACTATATTAAAATTTGAATGAGAATATAAATAACATTAAATTATACTTAAACTTCAAACTTCTTAAGTTTTTTGTGTGGGAGCTCTGAAAATGACACCCCCAAATATAGTGATTTGGCATGCTGAGTACTTTGAACATGAAGGACACTGGAAGAACTTCAGAAGGAAAGTCTCTTTCTAACCTTCTTCTGCCCTTCTTTCTCCTGCTTTCCTTTCTCCCCAAGGCAGGCCATAGAAATTAGTATTCCTCTTCCCTAAGACAGGTCATAGAACCAGAACGAACCAGAACCCTTTTCTCCCACAGCTGGCCATAAAATCTAGAAATATTACTCTATCACTTGCCTTTCTGTGTAAGAGCTAGCAATAAAGAAATTCTCTGACTTACCTTGTCTAAAGGTAGACATAAGACTGTTACTCCAGAAAGGTCTTACCCTATACCTAGGAAGAAGAAATGCCACACAGAGAAGCCAAGAAGAATCTGAGCAGACAGGTCTTGTTGGGTTTCCCCATTCAGTCTCTTACCATTAGGTCCTACTTTTTTGGTTCAATCATATTTATTTTTTATTTTTGAGATAGTCTCCATCTGTTGACCAGGCTGGAGTACAGTGGTGAGAACATAGCTCATTCCATCCTTGAACTCCTGGACTCAAGCAAATTCTCCTGCCTCCCACTCCTGCATAGCTAGGACCATTGCTAGGACCATGAGCCACCATGCCTGAGTCTGTTCTTCTTTCTACATGGTTGTGCATTCTACATCAAATCAAAACATAAAAATAGACAGTTTTCCCTGAATCTTTAAGTCTTCATTTCTGAAGTCTCCCATGACATGTAAAACTTTGATTGAATAAATCTATAATGCTTTTCTCTTGTTAACCTCTCTTTTGTTTTAGGAGTGTGGACTGTGACCCTTTCAACGGGGAAAAAAGTATCACACCCTTTCCACACCTACACTGTAACATTTTATCTAAAGTTTGTGTCTGATTTCTATCTATTTCAGTACTAGATTAGAAACATTTTTTTTTAAACTTACCACATGACAACTCAGTTTTCTATACAAGGTATATCAAAGGAAACACCACACAGAAAATAACATTTTATACAGAAAAAGAAACACAAATCACTTTATTGTTGAAGCTTTTAGTTACCACATCAAAGTGTGTAGTTTTGAAATACATGGGTGATATAATTTGGCTGTGTCCCCCACCCAAATCTCATCTTGAATTGTAGTTCCCATAATCTCACATGTGGTGGAAGGGACCTGTTGGAGGTAATTGAGTCATAGGGGTGGTTTTCCCCATGCTATTCTAGTGATAGTGAGTAAGTTCTCACAAGATTTAATGGTCTTAGAAGGGGCTTCCCCCTTTGCTTGGTTCTCATTCTTCTCTCTCCTGTGAAGAAGGATGAGCTTGCTTCCCCTTCCACCATGTTTGTAAGCTTCCTGAGGCCTTCCCAGCCATGCTGAACTGTGAGTTAATTAAACTTCTTTCCTTTATAAATTATCCAGTCTCTAGAATGTCTTTATTAGCAGTGTGAGAACAGACTAATACAATGGGTTAATGCTAAACCATAAATCAATGAATTAATCTTAAAAATAATGTCAGTAGTTCAAATGCCATTTCTCTTTTACTTCTTGGAAATAGACTACTGTGTGATGATTTAAGCACATCACAGTTGAGAAGGTTGACAACTGATACAACTGGTGTCTTTGCTTTTGTCTTTAGAGTTAAAAAGATATAAACAATGGCATTTGTATTTATGCAAGCATATGTCCAGGGTAGCAGAATATGCCACCCCAAAATGTTCCACTTTGGCATGAGGATTTTTTGAGCTGAAGGCAACTGAGAAGAAGCAGATATATACAGATCTCTCTGTCTTTTTCCTATTTGCCTAAAAGCAAGACATAAATTTACAATGATGTCCCTCCTTCCTTCTCTACCAGTAAAAACTAAAGTTAACTACCTGAGATTACTTTAGACCTTTGTCATCCTGGAGAGGGCATCAGAGAAATCTACATAATGAACTTTACTAACTAGTTTTTATCTGTCATAAGTTTCCTATAACTAGCCTGCCCCACACTCTTCTTTCTTTGTTTTCAGTTGAAGATGTTATTTAAGCCTGAATTCTAAGCCACCTATTTAAGAATTAGTCTTTTAGTCCTGAGTATCACCTATATATATATATATATAAGATATACATGTTAATAAAATTCTGCTTGTTTCAAGTTTCTTATTAATCTGCCTTTTGTGAAAAAGAGTCCCAGCTAAGAACTCAGAAGGGTAGAGAAAAAATTATTTTTCCTGCTTTACATACGTGATGATCAAGGAATAGTTTGTAGAATAAGGAAGAAGAGGGCAAAGAGAAAACAGAGAAACCCAAAAATAAAACCAAGTAGGAGGGTTTGGGAGGTGTGAGGGCAGCCTAGAGACAAGACAGCATGTTAAGGTTGTAGGGAAGGCACAATTTTACCTTTACCCTCTTAGAGTTTTTAGCTGGGCCTGAGAATTAAATTTACACAAGGCAAATTAACAGGAGAGCAAAGCGTACAAATTTATTATCAGTTTTACCTGACATGGAGCCATCATAAGGAAATAAAAACACAAAGCTGCAATTAGAGTTGACAACTTATATACTTATTTGGAAAAAGAGTGGTAAATTGTGAAAATGTAACAAAGCAAGGGGGCTTGGGCTGAGGTAGTTGTTTACAGAGAAGTGGCTAGGAAGATAAGGGTTAGTTTAATACAGGTTGTTGGTGGAGATTTCTCTCAGCCTCGACTCTTCAACTCTGGTGATAAGAAGGTCTTCCTTCTTCCAGTGGAGGGGAGAAGACATTCCACATGGGAGTTTTATCTCCTGCTTTTAGGAAGGTTGGAGTGTGCTTGCTTGCTTGCCTGCCTTCCTTCCTTCCTTCCTTCCTTCCTTCCTTCCTTCCTTCCTTCCTTCCTTCCTTCCTTCTTTCTCTCTCTTTCTTCTCTCTCACTCATTCTTTTTTTTTCTTTCTCCCTCTCCCCCTTCCCACTTCCTCTTTAACTCAAAACAATCAATATGCCAGAATGGCATATATTGGAGTGCAGTGTTCAGAACTTCAAGGACAATAGAAAAGAGAATTTCAGGTAAGTCTGTAACGTCATAGACTCAAAGTCTCCTAAAAAAGACTACTAAATTTTCTTATTATTGGGGCAATAGACAACCTTACAAAATGCAATTCCAAGAGAGTTCTGGGAGTAAAAAACTGGATTACAAGGACATAAAGAAACTAAGAGGAGAAGATTTGGTGTTTTTTTTTTTTTTCATAAAGTTTAGGAGTCAAGGTAGTAAGAACATTAAATGGTGGCTTTAAGGGTGGACAAGGAGAAAAAGAAAAAGCACCTGATAACCATGTGTGAGGTATACCTTATATATTCACAGAGTTATGACTTAAAAGAAATGTATTCCATGGTATCTACCTTTTCCCTAAAATATATTTAAGTAAACATTAAATGTTTGAGCTCTTTCATTTCATTAGTGTGAATTCCAAACTTGCTCTCATATTCTCCAAATATTTCAATTAAAAAAGATACCCAGAATTATTTGAAATGTTGTTCATTAACTATGTATGTGCATATGCCTGCACACATTTTATTCATAGTAAGTGTGGTTGCTATATTAGAATCAGCTTATGTTCTAAAAAAAACAATATTCACTTCTTTACAGTATACCACTATACAATTTCTCATTAGTCAAGGAGCTAGTCTCTCTATTATTATTCTTTGCTCTTTTAATAATCTCCTTTTTTTGGGTATGTGTCTAATTTAAATGTAATGCTTTCTATTTCTAGAAATGGACTCCTAACTTCTAACAATAATCATTTTTTTGCCTTTCTCCTTAGTTGCAGCTCAAAAAGTTATTGCATTCATTTTTATATAGCCATCTACTTTCTTTGTCTTTTCACTTTTGTTTCCATCACAAGTCAGCCCATCTGTAAGTGAAAACGTGACCTTAAAGAGAAGCCCATATATACTTAAGAAACCAGATTTTGTTCAATTTTACAGAGTGTGCTTTGATCTTATATTTATATAGTAGAATTCATGCCAATTGAACTTCTTCTGAAATATTTTTTCGTCTCAGAATATAAATTAGAATAGTTAGGGCAAATGTCTTATTTTTCTAATTGTTTTCTTTTTCCTGAAACACTAAATATTTCATAGAGCACTATGGATCTATATAATAAAGAGCAAATAGAGTGATTGATAGGTTTAAGTGTTTGGAGCTTGTAATACAAAGGCTTAGAATTAGTTCAAATATATCAAAAATTATATGATATTTTTCTACATTAAAAGCATCTCTTACAGATAGGCTTAAAAGGTATTTACGTTTTCATTAGGAGTGTCTGTCATGTCCTGTTGCTTTCTAAAAAAATTTATCCTGCAATTTATGAGCAAGTCATAATCATTTGGACTTTTGCCACTGATGTTGGCTATAAAGAGCAGCCTACAGATTGAGGAGTGGCCACTGATCATTTTGATCTCCTCTTTCTTATCTTTACAACTAGGTATTGCTAGAATTTTTCAATTCTTTACCATTAATTATAGACAAGAGTCAGAGCTAAAGGTTATCGAGCCTTTTATTTTCATTTTGGGGCTTACTTCCTTAGATACGATCACTTCAGGGAGCAATGAAGCCTTATCCATCCATTTAACAGGTAGAGGGATCTTTAAAAAGTTCATGGAAAATGCTATTATTTTAAAAAAAAACCTATGCATGGATTTCAATTTTTTTGCACCAAAATAAACTCATACTAACTTGTTGTAATATGTCTGAACAGGCTCTAGTTTGAAGCAATGAGAATGTTAAGACATCAGTTTGAAAAGAGCCCCTATCAGAGCAACATAAATTCTGGTAAAATAAACACAAGAACAAACAACAAATTTGCAGTGAAGCTTGGGTGGAAGAATGCTGAAATCATTAATGCTATACAAAAAGTTTATGAGGACAATGCTCCAAAGAAATCCACAGTTTACAAATAGATAATTCTTTTTTTTAATTTGTGTATATATATATTTTTTTTTTTCGTAAATTATACTTTAAGTTCTGGGTTATGTGTGCAGAATGTGCAAGTTTGTTACATAGGTATACAAGTGCCATGGTGGTTTGCTGCACCCATCAACTCATCATCTACATTAGGTATTTCTCTTAATGCTATTCCTCTCCTAGCCTCCAACCCCCAACAGGCCCTGGTGTGTGATGTTTCCCTCCCTGTGTCCATGTGTTCTCATTGTTCAATTGCACTTATGAGTGAGAATATGTGGTGTTTGGTTTTCTGTTCCTGTGTCAGTTTGCTGAGAATGATGGTTTCCAGCTTCATCCGTGTCCCTGCAAAGGACATGAACTCATCCTTTTTTATGGCTGCATAGTATTCCATGGTGTATATGTGCCACATTTTCTTTATCCAGTCTATCATTGGAGGGCATTTCAAAAGCCAAAATTGACAAATGGGATCTAATTAAACTAAAGAGCTTCTGCTCAGCAAAAGAAACTAAACTATCAACAGAGTGAATAGGCAACCTACAGAATGGGAGAAAATTTTTGCAATTTATCAATCTGACAAAGGGCAAATATCCATTATCTACAAGGAACTTAAATAAATTTACAAGAAAAAACAACCCCATCAAAAAGTGGGCAAAGGATATGATATAAACAGACACTACTCAAAAGAGGACTTTTTTTTTTTTTTTTTGGAGATGGAGTATCTTGCTCTGTCACCCAGGGTGGAGTGCAGTGGCATGAACTGGGCTCACTGCAACCTATGCCTCCTAGGTCCAAGCAATTCTCCTGTCTCTGCCTCCCGAGTAGCTGGGATTACAGGCACATGCCACCATGCCCGGCTAATTTTTGTATTTTAGTAGAGACAGGGTTTCACCATGTTGGCCAGTCTGGTCTTGAACTCCTGACCTCAGGTGATCTGCCCTCCTCAGCCTCCCAAATTTCTGGGATTGCAAGTGTGAGCCACCGTGCCTGGCCAAAAGAAGACATGCATGTGGCCAAAAAACACATGGAAATAAGCTCATCATCACTGTCATTAGAGAAATGCAAATCAAAATCACAATGAGATACCATCTCACACCAGTTAGAATGGTGATCATTAAAAAGTCAGGAAACAACAGATGCTGGAGAGGATGTGGAGAAATAGGAACGATTTTACACTGTTGGTGGGAGTGTAAATTAGTTCAACCATTGTGGAAGACAGTGTGGCGATTCCTCAAGGATCTAGAACCAGAAATACCATTTGACCCAGCAATCCTATTACTGGGTATATACCTAAAGGATTATAAATCATTCTACTCTAAAGACACATGCACACATATGTTTATTGCAGCACTATTCACAATAGCAAAGACTTGGAACCAACCCAAATGCCCATCAATGATAACTCATTTTAAGAAGAGACAAGACAGTGTTGATGATGAAGCTCATACCAGCAGATCATTCACATCAATTTGTAAGGAAAAAAAATTATCTTGTTTGTGCCCTAATTGAAGGGGGTTGATGATTAACAGCACATACTATAGCCAACACCATAGATTTCTCAACTGGTTCTGCTTACACAATTCTGACTAAAAAAATAAAGTTGAGGATATTTTCCACTTGATGGGTGCCAAAACCATTGCACTCAGATCAGCTGCAGACAAGAGCAGGGCTTTTATTGGAAATTTTAAACAAGTGTGATCAAGATCCTGAAGCATTTTCTTGAAGAATTGCCACAGGAGATAAAATATGGCTTTACCAGTGTGATTCTAAAGACAAAGCACAATCAGAACAATGGCTAACAAGAGGTAGAAGTGGTCCAGAGAAAGCCAAAGTGGACCAGTCAAGAGTAAAAGTCATGGCAACAGTTTTTCAGGGTGTTCAAGTCATTTTGCTTATTGACTTTCTGGAGAGCCAAAGAACAATAGTATCTGCTTATTGTAAAAGTGATATGAGAAAGTTAGTCAAAGCTTTAGCAGAGAAACATTCAGGAAAGCTTCACCAGGGTCCTTCTCCACCATGACAATGCTTCTGCTCATTCCTATCATCAAACAAGGGCAATTTTGAGAGGTTGGCAGGAAAAAATGGCAGACAGCAGGCACAACTAACTTGTGGGTCCCACTCAGGAGCTCACATCATGAACTTTTGATGGAAACTCATATCATGAACTTTTGCTCCAAGGTCTACTGCAGGAACACAACAAAAAGCCAAGAGAATCCACAGACCCTTTGGTGGAAGCAGATTGAGGCTATAGGTTCTGTGAGAAAGCCAAAAAACTGTGAGTGCCCAATGGGTGGAAGAGGGATGTCCACCTCCAAACACACATCCTCACTGGGGAACCTGAAGGTCCAGATCATGGGAGAATTTGACCTTACCTGGAGCTGAGATGAATTTAGAGAGCTGAGGAAAATATAGGGCTAGAGGAAGCATTGAGAGAAGCCCTGTAGGAACTCTCAGTCCCCAGGGAAGCCACTTAAGACTTTGTCTCACTGGGGTCCTGTGTCTCGCCAGTCAAATTAGGGAAAGACTACAGGGAGAAGGAAACTTCCAGCTGAACTTTGTAACAATTTTGACTGAATGCGAAGTTTTCCTGGACAGAATCTGGGGGAGAGAGTGAACCAGGAATGCAGACACAGCACAGAAGCCATTGGCAGGTGGGGATGTGTGAAACTTGAGAGCCCTGCTTGCTTTCTCAGTGAGGAAGCTGGTAGCCTGGGGCAAGTTCTCAGCCCTGCTTAGTGGCTGCCTGGAAATAAACTTGGTGCTGTTGCGTGGGCACGGTGACATGGTGAGAGTGAGTCGGGGCTTTGGTGCTGCGTGGGAGCTGAGTGAGGCCTGTCACTGCTGGCTTTTGCCCACTTCCTTGGCAACTTGTATGCTGCAGCAGTGGTAGCCATAATCTGCCTTGGAACATAACTCCATTGGCCTGAAATCCACACCAGCAACCCCCACAGTAACCACAGCAAGACTTGCCCAAGGAGAGTTTGACCTCAGGCACACTTAATCCGCTCCCTATCTGAAGGTCTTTCTCTACCCACCCTGGTAGGCAAAGACAAAGGACGTAATCCTCTGGGAGCTCTATGATCCTGCCCACTACCTGAGAAACTTATCCAGGTGACCCTAGGGCAAGCCTATATCCTTCCTATACTACTGTTGCTGATGCTGTCTTGAAAGCTCTACCTCCTGGCTGGAAGCCAACAAACACAAAACCAGAAAACTAAACAAAAATAAAACCAAGGTCTTTCACAGAGTCCACTTCACTCCCTTGCTACGTCCACCAGGGCTGGTGCTGGTATCCATGGCTGAGAGACCTGAAGACCAATCACATCACGGAACCCTTTGCAGACACTCCTCAGTACCATCCTTGAGCCCAGGAGGCTCTGCTGGGAGCCTAGATCCAGGAGAGAAATAACAATCACTGCAGTTCAGCTCTCAGGAAGTCCCATTCCTAGGGAAAGGGGGGAGAGCACCACATGAAGGAGTCACACCATGGGACAAAACAATCTGAACAGCAGCTACTGAGCCCCAGATCTTCCCTCTAATATAGTGTACCCAAACAAGAAGGAACCAGAAAAAGAATTCTGGTAATATAACAAAACAAGTTTCTTTAACACTCCCAAAAGATCGCACTCGTTCACCAGCAATGGATCCAAGAAGAAATCGCTGAATCACCAGAAAAAGAATTCAGAAGGTGTATTATTAAGGTACTTAACGAGGCACCAAAGAAAGGTGAATGCCAACTTAAAGACATTTAAAAAATGTTACAGGATATGAAAGAAAAATCTCCAGAGAAATAAATAATGTAAATAAAACACAATCACAACTTCTGGAAATAAAGGACACACTCAGAGAAATGCAAAATGCACTGGAGAGTCTCAGCAATAGAATTGAACAAGTAGAATAAAGAACTTCAGAGCTCAAAAAAAAAAAAAAAAGAAAGAAAGAAAGAAAGAAAGAAAGAAAGAAAGGTTTTTGAATTAACCCAATCCAGCGAAGACAAAGAAAAGAAAAACTTTTTAAAGGAACAAAGCATCCAAGAAGTTTGGGATTATGTTAACTAACCAAACCTAAGAATAATTGGTATTTCTGAGGAAGAAGAGAAATCTGAAGGTGTGGAAAACATATTTGAGGGAATAGTCAAGGAAAACTTCCCTGACTTTGCTAGAGATCTAGACATCTAAATATAAGAAGCTCAAAAAACACCTGAGAAATTCATCACAAAAAGATAATCACCTAGGCACATAGTCATTAGTGTATCTAAAGTCAAGACAAAGGAAATAATTTTAAGAGCTGTGAGGCAAAAGCATCAGGTAACCTAGAAAGAAAAACCAATCATATTAACGCAGATTTCTAAGCAGAAACCGCACAAGCCAGAAGGGATTGGAGCCCTATCTTCAGCCTCTTCAAACAAAACAATTATCAGTGAAGAATTTTGTATCCAGTGAAACTTAACTTCATAAATAAAGGAAAGATGAAATTTTAGCAAATTGGCTTTCAGATGATAACGTGACTCTTAGCTATTCTGGCTAAATTCACAGATATCACTATATATGACACAGACTTCTTGGCATTTATCTTTCTTGCCTTTCAGCAGTTTTTGACATTACTAACTCCTGACTTTTTCTCAAAACATTCTCCTTTCCGTGACTGTATTCTCTCTTGGTTTTTCTTATTTCTCTTGGAGTATTCAAATCGAGCTAAGATTTTAGGAAAAGGTAAAATTCCCTGAGAAGAAATTTACCATAAGAAAGGGAATTCTGAATGGGTTCAAGCATTCTTCCTGACTTATCAGGGGAAATTCAAACATTCCTTTCTAAAGTAATTTATCTTAAAACTAGATCCCTCAGGTTTTCCAAAGATTAAGACTAAATAGTTCTAATAATTTCCCATAGTAAAAATTTGCCAAATCCAAAAGGAAAAAAAATTATATGAAAAACAGCCAACAGGAAATATGTAAACAGCACAATTTAAGAATCAGCAACTTTAGATTTTAGAATTATTACATAAAAAGTTTTGTTTGTTTGTTTGTTTGAGACAGGAACTTGCTCTGTCACCCAGGCTGGAGTGCAGAGGCTCAGTCTCGGTTCACTGCAACCTTCACCTCCTGGGCTCAGGTGATCTTCCCACCTCAGCCTACCAAGTAGCTGACACTACGGTTGTGCACCACCACACTTGGCTGATTTTTCAAGGCTTTTTTAGAGACGAAGTCCCACTATATCACCCAGGTAGGTCTTGAACTCCTGGGCTCAAGCAGCCCTTTTGCAATGGCCTCCCAAAGTGATGGGATTACAGGTGTGAACCACTATACCCAGCCCTTAAAATGTTCATAAAAATAAAAACTGGGATGAAAAATCACTAAAGGGAAGAGAATATTAAAATAAACAGGTATGTTTAACTTCTAGAGATTAAAAACATAATTGAAGCAAGAAATCAATAGATAGGTTAAAAAGCAGATTAGACAGATTTAAGAGACAGTCAATGATTTGGAAGATGTATTTGAAGAGATTACCCATAATTCAACACAAAGAGCTATATATTCAGAAAACATGAAAGGCCAATAGGCATGGAGAATAGAATGAGAAGGTTTGATACACATCTGATCAGAGTTTGGAGGTGAGAATAAGAAAATGAGTAGGAGGCAATATTAGAAAAAAGTTCTTGAAGAATTTTCAAACTTAATGAATGGTAGACATTTTCACATCCAGAGCACTACAGTAAAATAATAACATATTAAATTAAAAAAAAGAAGTTATTAAAACGCAGTCAAGAGAAAAACTTGCCAACAAAAGAATGTTTGATTAAGTGTGGTTGTCAACAGCAACAATGGAAGCAAGAACCTATTACTCTCTTGCTGATTTAACTCAGAAATATATACGTATAGATATATATCTGATTAAACTTTTATTTAAAATGATGAAACAAAAGCATTTCAGACAAATAAAATCTAGACTATTTACCACCAATGGAACTTCCTAAGTGTATTTCAGGAAGAAAGAAGGTCCTAGAAGATAGGCAAATTCCCATAAATATTATTCATATGAGACAAAAATAATGCCTAACTTATGAGGCAAAAACAGGGTGGAATTAAAAGTTGCTCATCAGTGCCATGCAAGATGGAAGGAAGGTGAGGTTTTAGTATTGTTTAGGTGGAGGGTAGCAGTAATGATTAATTTTAAATGTAAATGTGGGTGGTAAAAGTTTAGGGTGAAGTTTTATTAGAATAAAAGTAAAATGAGTATATGATTTTGAAGTAGTAGAGAATAAATGAAAAATTTAAAATATAATGATAGTGTCAGGAATAAAAAAACATTAAAAATCACAATGAATAGAAAGCAAAAGATAGATGGTAGAAGCAATAACACATATATGAATAATCTCAATAAATATTTATTTGACTAATTCTACAACTAAAAATTTCAGCTATGTGTCATTTACAAGAGGCTCATTTAAGCATCTGGACACAGAAGTATTGAAAGTAAATGTATAGAAAAATACATAATAAAGGTATAAATGTGATATAATTATACTAGTATCAGACAAAATAGACTTTATGGAAAAACATAAAGAGAATCCCCACATAATAATAAAAAAACTGTGAAAACTGTGTATACAGTACATTAGTGTCAATACATAGGAAACAAAAATGAACAGAACTGTGTGTAGTAATTGTCAAGTCCACCATCAATATTTGTCAGATGAAACAAAAATATTAGGGGTGCAGATTAGAACAAAATAACTAACAAGTTTGATCTAATACATGCAGCTAGAACCCTGGGCCCCTAAATTAGAAAATATACATTTATACATTATAAAATTACACATGAAGCATTTATGAAAATTATATTACATAGATAATGTGGACTGACAATAATGCAATTAAAATAAGTATCAATAGCAAAAAAATGTATAAAAGAATTCCACATTTAAAAACTTTTACATTTTGGTAAGACTTCATTCATTGAGAAGAAATCAAAAAGAAAAATGAGAAATATTTAAAACAAAAATAAATCAATGTAACATTATCAATAAAGTTTAATACGATCAACTCTATGCAAATCAATTTGAAAACTAGATACAATAAATAATTTTGGAGAAAAATATAATTAATGACATCTATTGGGGGCAGATAAGAGTTTTCTTAGTTTTCCTAGTTACGACTTTTGGGTCATAAGTGCAATATTCTTAAAAAATCTAAATTATTAAAACATTTTTTAAATTAAAAATAAAACCCAAGTGTACCCAATTGCATATCCGTCTGGTACTATACACACATACAGAAAGCATTTAAAGTGACTTTATAATATGGCATTTTGATTATATATTCTTAATGAGATGCATTCTATGGGCAAAAAAAAAAATGAAATCTCAAACCTCCCTCTGGAGTTACATTGTTCGTAGTTGTCTTATGTAGGGTTTCCTAGAAGCAGAATCTGACACAGGAGATTTGGTGCAAGTGAATTTTTGAGGAAGTGCTCTTGAAGAAAGACTTGTGAGGGAGGGATGAAAAGAAACTGGATCTGATCTCAGGTAGTCTGTCCTTGATCTGACCTTCAGTGGAGGGCTCTGGATCTTAAACCATGACTCAGTGGTCTCCTCCTCCCCACCAAAGGGCACTGGCTTTTGCGGTTTCGGGGGCTAACTTTTTGTACTATTATGTCAGTCAGTCAGCTGTGGCCTGCTGTCAGGGATGGGAGCCCGAGCTAACTTCCTAGGCAGGAAGGGTTCCCCCGGAGACATCAGCAGCCAATCACTACAGGAGCTGATGAGAGGTCACATTGGCTTTGTCAAGGGGATGAAAACAGGGTACCAAAACAGTATTTACTAGTGTATTTATATCAGTTTGGTATTTTAAAATCATTTTCCTTGTATTGAGGGTTAAAACAATAAGTAATCACATCAATGATTTAATAAAGATTTTCAGTGTAAGAGAAAAGACAGTTATAATATCAAAGAAAATAAATGTAAATACCGTATTATTGAAATTAAACTGAAAATATCAAATTTCACTCATGATTAAAAATAATTGTATAGAAGGAAGGGTGTGTGTGTGTGTGTGTGTGTGTGTGTGTGTGTGTGTGTCCTGTGATCCCTGTCCACTGAAATGGCTCGGAAACAATGTTGCTCTAGCAGAGCAATGAGCACTTCAGTTTTGCTGTTTGATACCATTCCTCACTAAAAAGCGCCAGGTCTTCCCTGGAGAAATGCCCAATCTAGGTTAGGTGCAAGGAACAAACAAGGGGAGTGTAGGGTAGATTTTTGTGCTTGAAAGCCTGAAAACTTTTACAAAGTCTTGAGTCACATTGAAAGGATGTAGGAGCCACTCTGAAGGCTCTATCATTGCCCAAAGTTGTAATAATTTGAGCATCAAAAGGAATGATTGAAGCCTACTAAAACACACTGAATCAGTGAAAATCTATGATTCCATAATACTTAAAAATAAACGCAGAAAATCTCAATTGTTAATAGTTAAAACAGCTATTAAAATAACACCTTACTTGAAAAATGAGTAATTAAAGGGAAAGAAGAATTTATTTTGCTTTTGCAGTAAGAAATTGTATATCAAGATAACTGAGTTGATGAGGTAAAAGTCTTCATTATTGAACATGTGAGGCAATAAATATAAAAAGAAAGGAAGAAATTTTTTAAAAACACAATCTCGCAAATTCAAATGAAATTCTTTAATTCTTACAAAGATTAGTGAGCAGTTTTTAAAATAATTAAGTAAATGGTTAATTCATATAGCACCAAAGTACATAATACAGATTTCTTTTTCATGGCAAGTAATACTTATAGAAATAATACATTAAATGACATTTAGGAAAAATATATAGCATTTAATATTTATAATAGAAAAGAAGAAAGGCTGAAATTAATGAGCTGAGCACCCAGTTTAAAAATTTTTAAAGACTAACAAGACTAAAGATGTTAGAATAAAAGATTAACATATTTACATTTAATTAACAAATATTTGTGCCTACACTGTTCTGGGGTTTGCAATTAATATATGAACAGAACAGGCAAGAATTTATGCTCTAGTGGAGCTAAATTCTAGTAGAGCAATTCAGAATATAAATATAACAAGAAATAAATTATATTTTGTGTTAGAAGATGAAAAGTATCTTAAAAGACAACAATAAGGATATTAGAAGTACATGTAAGAGCAGAAAATAATTAAAAATAAAAAATATAATAGAAAAGATCAATAAAGTACAAAGTCGGTCCCTTATAAATCTGATAAAATTAGCAATGCTGTGGTAAGTGATCAAACTTGGTATTATTTGTTATTGTCCAAACGTGGCATGTTGTTCACTCATATGCAGGACAACGGCCAATCTTAAACAGAACAATATGGCAGCAGTTAGCAGTTTAAAATGAGCATATGCTATGATTCTGCAATTTAACTCTCTGCATTTATCCTTGCTTTGTCACACATCCACCTGTGTACACATGTAATAGTGTTCATAGCAGTAGTTTATTTTCAAATTTAGATTGGAAGCCATCTAAATGTCTATCAAAAATTAATGAATTTGTATGAATGCAATCCATGCTATGTGAAGTGGAAATAAATTCAGTAGGCCTACATAGACATTAAAAAGGGTAATCTCTGAAACATAATGTTGACAAAAACAACTTATAGAAAAAATAAATACTGTGTTACTTCAGTTATACAAAGTTTAAAAGTTGAATAAAGATACTATATATATAATATATCATATGTCTATTATATAATTATGGATAAAGCTGCTGTAATAAACATCTAGGTGCAGGTTTTTATGCGGACACAAGTGTTAATACCAAGGAGCACAATTGCTAGATCATATGGTAAGAGTACGTTTAGTTTTTTAAGAAACTACCAAACTGTCTTCCAAAGTAGCTGTACCATTTTGCGTTACACCCAGTATTGAATTAGACTTTCTGTTGGTCCATATCCTACCCAGCATTTGGTGGTGTTGGTGTTCTGGATTTGGCCATTCTAATAGGTATGTAGTGGCATCACGTTGTTGTTTTAATTTGTATTTCTGTGATGAACTGTTACGTGGAGCATATTATCATGTGCTTTTTTCCATCTACATATCTTCCTTGTTGAGGAGTCTGTCCAGGTCTTAGGCTTCTTTCTAAATAAATCGTTTCTTTTTTATTGTTCAGAGTACATTGTGTATGTTGGACAACACTCTTTTATCAAATATTTATTTTGCAAATATTTTCTCCCAGTCTGTGGCCTGTCTTATTCTCTTGCCAATGTCTTTTGCAGAGCAGGAGGTTTTTTTTTTTTGTTTTTTTTTTTTTTTGGTTTGTTTGTTTTGTTTTGTTTTTTGTTTTGTTTGAGACGGAGTCTTGCTCTGTCGCTCAGGCTGGAGTGCAGTGGCGTGATCTCGGCTCACTGCAAGCTCCGCCTTCCGGGTTCACGCCATTCTCCTGCCTCAGCCTCCTGAGTAGCTGGGACTATAGGCGCCCGCCACCACGCCTGGCTAATTTTTTCTATTTTTAGTAAAAACGGGGTTTTGCCGTGTTAGCCAGGCTGGTCGCTATCTCCTGACCTCGTGATCCGACCGCCTCAGCCTCCCAAAGTGCTGGGATTACAGGCATGAGCCACTGCGCCCGGCCAGGAGTATTTTTTGTTTTGTTTTGTTTTGTTTTTTTGTTTTTTGAGACGAAGTTTCGTTCTTGTCGCCCAGGCTGGAGTGCAATGGCGCGATCTCCGCTCAAGGCAACCTCCGCCTCCTGGGTTCAAGTGATTCTCCTGCCTCAGCCCTCCTGAGTAGCTGGGATTACAGGCTTGCGCCACCCATGCCCAGCTAATTTTGTATTTTTTAGTAGAGACTGGGTTTCTCCATGTTGGTCAGGCTGGTCTCGAACTCCCGACCTCAGGTGATCCGCCCACCTCGGCCTCTCAAAGTGCTGGGATTACAGGTGTGAGCCACCGCACCCGGCCATGGAGTTTTTAATTTAATTGAAGTCCGGATTTTCAATTCATTCTTTTTTTTATGATTATTATTTTTTATTATTATACTTTAATCAATTCATTCTTTTATGTATTGTGCTTTTGATGTTATATCTAAAATGCCATTGCCAAACTCAAGATCATCTAGACTTTCTCTGATGATCTAGGAGTATATAGTTTTGCATTTTACATTTGTGTATGTGATCCATTTTGAGTTATTTCTTTTGAAGAGTATGAAGTCTATGTCTAGATTATTGTTATTTTGCAAGTGGTTGCCCAGTTGTTATAGTATCATTTGGTGAAAAAACTATCTTGGCTTCCATTATATTGCCTTTATCAATTCAAAGGCCAAATATAGACCCATATAATATAGTTACAAAACTTATATTTTTGCAAAACTTATCCAACTTTTGCAAAGATTATGTCAGTGAAAAGAAAAACTCATCCAACCGTACACTTACATGGGTACTTTTTATAGTATATAAATTACACCTCAATAAAACAGATTTTTTAAGTAAAAAACAAAGAAAGAAACAGTTTATCGATATCCACAGAACAACTTTGGATTTCAATTAAGATTTTGTTGAATATATAGACTAAGTTGGGAAAGACTGACATCTTGACAATATTGAGCCTTCTTACCCATGAACATGAAATATCTCTCCATTATTTATTTCTTGGATTTCTTTCATCAGAATTTTGTAGTTTTCCTCATAAAGATCTTATACACATTTTGTTAAATTTATACCTATATAGTTCATTTTGGGGGTGCTACTGCAAATGGTATTGTGTTTTTAACTTCAAATGCCACTTACTCATTTCTAGTATATAGGAAAGTGATTAGCTTTTATATATTAACCTTCTATCCTGCAACCTTGTTATAATTGTTTATTAGTTCTAGGAGTTTGTTATTGTTGTTTTTGTTGATCTTCTACATAGATGACCATGGCATCTGTGAACAAAGTTTTATTTCTTCCTTTCCAATCATTATATCTTTTGTTTCCTTTTGTTGTCTTACTGCCTTAGTGAGAACATCCAGTATGATGGTAAAAAAGAGTGGTGAGCTGGGACGTTCTTGCCTTGTTCCTGATCTTAGTGGGAAAGATTGTAGTTTTGCATTATTAAGTATGATGTTAGCAATAGAGTTTTTGTACATGTTTTTATTAAATTTAGGAAGTCCCCCTCTATTCCTAATTTGCTGACCATTTTTACCAGACTGCATATTGGATTTTGTCAAATGCTTTTTCTGCATCTATTGACATGACCATGTAATTTTTCTTCTTTAGCCTGCTGATGTGGTCAATTACATTAATTGATTTTTTAACACTAAATCATCTTCATATACATGCAATAAATCCCACTTGGTGTGGTATGTAATTCTTTTTGCACATTGTTGGATCCAATTTGCTAATATTTTGTTAATGATTTTTGCATATGTGTTCATGAGAGATATTGGCTGGTAGTTTCCTGTTCTTGTCATTTTCTTCTCTGGTTTTGGTATTACAGTAATGCTGGTCTTAGAGTATGACTTAGGGAGTAACCTCACTGCTTCTATCTTCTAAAAGAGGTCATAGAACAATAGCATAATTTCTTCTTTAAATGTCTAGTAGAATTCACCTGTGAACTCATCTGGGCCTGATGCTGTCTGTTTATGAAGGGTATTAATTATTGATTGAATTTCCTTCATAAACATGGGATTATAAATATAATAAATATAAGGATGTAAAGATTAAATAAAGGGATGCAAGAATAGTTCAATATATGCAAACCAAACAATGCAATACATCATATTAACAGAATGAAGGATAAAAACCATGTGATCATTTCAACTGATGCTGAGAAATCATTTGATAAAATTCTACATCCTTCCATGATAAGAATCCTCTAAAAATTGGGTAAAGAAGAAACATACGTCAACGTTAAGAAAAGCCATATAATACAGACTCACAGCTAGTATTATACTAAATGAAGATAAATGGAAAGCCTTTCTTGTAAGATCTGGAATACAACAAGGATGCACACTTTCACCACTGAACTAGCTAGAGTAATAGGAAAAGAGAAGGAAATAAAGGACATCCAAATTGGTAAGGAAAAAGTTATGCGTGTTTGCAATTGATATAATCTTATGTTAGAAAAAACCTAAAGACTCCAACTGATAAACAAATTCAGTAAAGTTGTAGAATATAAAATTAGCATACAAAATCAGTAGCATTTCTATATGCCAACAGCAAATAAACTGAAAAAGAAATCAAGAAAGTATTCCATTTACAGTAGCCCCAAATAAAATAAATACCTAAGATTAATTTAACCAAAGAAGTGAAATATCTATACAATAAAAATTATAAAACATTGAAAGAAGCTGAAGAGATCACACAAACAATGAAAAGATATGTCATGTTCATGCATTGGAAGAATCAATGTTGTTAAAGTGTACATGCTACCCAAAGCAATCTACATATTCAATGCAATCCTTATTAAATATCAATGACATTCTTCATATAGATAGAAAAAAAATCCTAAAATGTATATGAAACCACAAAATACACAGAATAGCCAAAGCTATCCTGAACAGAAAGAGCAAAATGGAAGGAATCACATTACCAGACTTAAAATTATACTGCAGAGCCATGGTAACCAAAACAGAGTGGTATAGGCAGACACATGGACCACTGAAATAAAATAAAGAACCCAGAAATAAATCCGTACATCTACAGTTAACTCATTTTTGACAAAGGTGCAAAGAACATATATTGGAGAAAGAATAGTCTCTTCAACAAATTGTGTTGGGAAAGCAGAATGAAACTCTCCTATCTGTCTGCATATACAAAAATCAGATCAAAATGGCTTAAAGAGTTAAATCTAAGACCTCAAACTATGAAACTACTAAAAGAAAACTTTGGGGAAACCCTTTAGGATGTTTGGGTGGGCAAAGATTTCTTGAGTAATACCCTACAAGCACAGGCAACCAAAGCAAAAATGGGCAATTGGGATCATATCAAATTAAAAAGCTTCTGCACAGCAAATGAAACAATCAACAGTTAAGAGACAATCCTTACAAAGGGTGAAAATATTTGCAAACTATCTATCTGATTAATAGCCAGAATGTATAAAGAGCTCAAACAGCTCTATTGGAAAAAATCTAATAATCTGATTTAAAAATAGGCAAAAGATCTGAATAGATATTTTTTCAAAAGAAGACACAAATAGGAAACAGATACATTAAGAGGTGCTCAACATCACTGATCATCAGAGAAATGCAAATCAAAACTACAATGAGATATCACCTCACTCCAGTTAAAATGGCTTATATCCAAAAGACAGGCAATAACAAATGCTGGTGAGGGTGTGGAGAAACAGAAACCCTTGTACCCTGTTGGTGGAAATGCAAATTATCACAACCACTGTGGAGAACAGTTCAGAGGTTCCTAAAGAAACTGAAAAAAAAAAGCTATCATGTGATCCAGCAATCCCATTGGTGGGTGTAAACCCGAAAGAAAGGACATCGGTATATCAAAGAGATATCTGCACTCCTATGTTTATTGCAGCACTCTTCACAATAGCCAAGATTTTGGGGCAACAAGTGTCCATCAACAAAAGAATGAATAAAGGGAATGTGGTATGTATACACAATTGAGAACTATTCAGCCATAACAAAGAATGAGATCCTGTCATTTGCAACAACATGGATGGAACTGGAAGTCATTATGTTAAAAAAAATAAGCCAGGCACAAAAAGACAAATTTCACATATTCTCACTTATTTGTGGGAGGTAAAAATTAAAACTATGGAATTCATTAGGATATAGAGTAGAATGATAGTTATCAGAGGCTGGGATGGGTAGTAGGGTGTAGTGGGGATGGTAAATGGTTACCAAAATATAGTTAGATAGAATGAATAAGAACTATTATTTGATAGCACAACAGGGTTACTACAGTCAACAATAGTTTTTGTACATTTAAAAGTAACTAATACAGAATAATTGGATGATAACACAAAGCAAAGATAAATGGTTGAGGTGATGGATATCTCATTTACTCTGAAGTATTGTACATTGTATGCCTGTATCAAAATATCTCATACACCTTGTAAACATGCACCTACTACGTACTCACAAACATTAAAAATAAAAAATTTAAAAACAAAAATAATAAATAAGTATAGGGAGGATAAGCATACTTTCTTATGTATAATCGAAATAAGCGAGACAGTATACAATACTAAAAGGAAATGAACCGTGCTTAAAAACAACCTAATTTCATTCCTTCAGTTAGCTTGTCCGTGTCATTTGGTTCTGTTGGAAGGGACCAAATAAAAGCTTCCAGTTTCCTACCAATAACTCAAGAAATCATTAGTCCTATAACACAAAGTGATGTGAAGAAGTCTACTTTTACTGCTGGACCACCTTGATGGAATGCAGAGAAAACACAGTAAGAAGTTAGAAAAAATCTGTAGTTTGCTAGAAAGCATTTTCGTTTAAATGTCATGCTCTTCTTCTCTTATCTGTGATTATTTCTTAGTTGGTCATTCATTATCCATGCTTTCCTTTATACTGCTTTGTCTACTTTTAAAGTGTGTCAGATCCATAGGCAGAATCAGATATATCCTTGTGAAAACAGCCTAGCAAAAGCTTCAAAGAATTTGAACACCTAAGACATTTAATAAGGGATGCTTTAAGTATTCTATGTGACAGTATAGTTTACATCTATGAGTACTGTGTGTTATTGCTGTATCTGAATATGATAAGATTCAGCTACAGGTAATTTTTTTAAAAATAAGTATACATTTCATTAGTAATCTATGAGTTTTAAACACCTGCAGTTTCCTTAGTTAATTACTAAACCCATTCAACACATCCGGCTTTGTGTTAATCAATAGTTATTTGATTACGATGTTTTCCCTTTTATGCTAATTAGGATTTTAAGACTATAAAATTGTGCTACCTTTGTGATTCATGCTGGTACTAATGTGTTACATTTATAGTTTGGTGTACTTATAAATCATGCATGCGTATGCATGTATGCACACATTTTACCTAATTTACACAAAACAATTTTTTGTGTGTGTGTTTTTTGTTAAATTTACCACCTGGGAAGAATATATGCTTATTTTTCAACTTAGGTAGAAAAAGATTTCTTTTTTCAGAAAAATAATAAATGTTGTTTTAATGTGATAGGATTTTTTAAAAAACATATAATTATTTTAGTTATTCCATTTTTGAAGCATAGCTGAATAAATAGAACAAAATTGTTATTTTTTGACCTATGGATGCGGCAGCTGATTGGTTTTGAATCCTCTGCAAAATAAGACATTTTTCTTAATTGCTTCCTTTGCTGAAATAATTACCAAGGCTGGAAACAGTTCTGATTAATTGCAAAGTTGAAGATGGTAAAAACCTCTCTGGCAGGTTCTTATTTGTCACCACCAATCTCAAGTTGTTGACTAACCATCTTGGATGGCTGTAGGAGACAGCCTCTTGTGATCTGGAAGTTTCAGAGACAATGATTCAAATACAACTCCCTGGGTGGATTTTCACTGTAGCCATGAGATGTTTGTTAGCCCATTCTTGTTGCCTGACTCTCCATTAGAGTCATGAGTGTTCCATACATATTTTGATGTGTCTGTGTGGGAAGGAGGGATGCTATTCACTTTGCTATGGGGGATGGGATGAACTGAGATGAAACTCCCACATCTGCCCACTGTAGCTACATTTATTTTAAGAATATTGTCTCTCTTCACGTCTCCATGGACTCCTTGATTTGACGGTAAGTAATCATACCAATCTTGCAGATTCTTCATGCCAACATTAGCTGTATGCCTCTCACCTAAACAAAATTATTACTAACCAGATAGTTCATGAGTGTATAAGGGCCAATGGCCACAAAGGACTTATCTAAATCATGAACATCATTTTGTAGTATTCCTATTTAATTTGTTGGGAGGAATGATAATGAGGGTTATTTCATTCTTCAAAATTTTTAAATTCATGGCTGCATCATGGAGGTATCTTTCGTAGTGTTTTAAGGAGCCCAGAGGGCTTCCAAGCCACTACTTAATTCATTAGAAAATGAATGATTTTATTGTTACTGGCAAAGATTAATCTCAACAACTTGAATTTCCTTAAATGAAGCAAGGCACTTTTAGCTTTTCTTTAATTAAAGTTGAATTTGAAATTTTCCAAACAATATTTACATTCTTTTAAATTTTCAGATCATGGGGAGACCATTTCTTCTATGAGGCACTGGTCAATTTCTGGTTGTTCTCCTTACTGATAGTGGCTAATCTTAAAACATCCTCTTTTCTCCCCAAAATTAGACTTAGCTATGCTTTCCATAAACACCTAGATGAATACAAATATTCTTATCCAAAGTGGAAAAGCTCTTCCCTTTCACAGACCTGTCTCTAGCCATGAAACAACTCTTCTATCATAAGTTAGGATTATATCCACAGGGACACTTGCCAGGTGGAATATTCAAGAGACGATGAGTAGATTATTATGGCTACATGTTTCAAGGTGTCTGAAGTGACAACAGTTGAGGCCACAACCATTGTCTATGTTCTGCCCTATTTCACCTTTAAATAACACACAAGGAGTCTTCAAATGATGTAGGTTTCCTCCTTATGAATGTAATAATCTTCCCACATAGAGATCATTATAAATTGAAAAATCTCACTAGGTTATCAAGATCTCTAAGAATGAATGCATATTTTTTTCTTGTTCATATCTACAATACAAAGGCAATTTACAGTCATTGTTCTCTACTCTAAGGCAACACTTGGCTGAAGAAGGACTTATAGTGCACAAAGCCAGCAGTTGTACCACAGACCCAGTGAGTGAGACTTAAGAAGCACAGTTTGGCTGGTGTTCTAATCATAGTCTCATCGTTAAGAGGAAAAAAAGCATCTCAGTTTGCCTAGGAAGCTGTTGCCTGAATTTTAAACTTGAATCAAAGGAGAATTGAAATAGTAGAATTTGCACTCTTTATATATCCTTGAGGAGTTTAATTTTCACTTACCTGCTTAACATTCTCTAATTTCAGGCCAAGCACAAAGTAGCAGTATGATAATACCTTAGGCAAGTTACAAAAATTTCAATTTAAAACTCTCATAGTTTTCTTATATTTTAGAATTGAGGCAGTCTTCAGCAAAATATTATGCTCTCTGGTATATTTGGCTCTATTTGGGGAAAGTCATATTTTAAATTTCCGGCTTCTATATGTGACTCTGCTACAGGGATATTTTACTCCTGGACAGATGGGGCTACGTAAAAAGTAATGAATAGAGTAGCATGTGTGACATAAATTTTATAAGGGCAAAGATTTTCCTAGCTATTGCCTCTCCACTGTTTCACACCATCTCAGAGGTCAGTATATGCTCTTACGTGGCTCTCTATAAAGACGCATGAAGTAAGCGATGCGGCAGATGCATAATATCGACCACATGTAGTTCAAGTAAGTCTGGACTGTAATTGCAAAAACTCCAAAGTACAGTTAAGTGAAAGGGTGCTGAAAACATATCAGCCACCTCTTCTATGAACAAGTTAATGTGCAAGTTAACTTGAAGAACAATTTCCCTCTTATTCTCAACTCCTCTCCTTTGTTCAGGATCAAAATAGTAGCTTCTTCTGGAGCCCTCCAACAAATGGAAACAATTTGCAGTAAGAGGCCATATAACTTGATGGCTTGAGTCAGTCATCATTGCCTTTGGAGAATATGCTATAGAAAAAAGTTTTCAAGGAGGAAAAAGGGAATAAATATTGCCATTGTTAGCTTAGTCAGAAAGACTGACTGCCTGGGCACAGGAGAAAAGAGAATTTTATAACATTCAATAAACCTGGAATCCATGGGTCGGATCCATGCATTATAAACAATTAACAAAAAACAGAATTCAAATTATGAAATCATAATTCCATTGGGAATTTTGACAGATATTTAATAATTCATGGTATTGTTTGGGCATTTATTTTACTCATGACCATGAATTCTGCTCTGAAATTCAGAGAGTTGTAATAGAATGTACCACACACAATGCATATTTATTTATTAACATTTAGAAATGAATATGTTTCTGTAATTTAATGTAAATGTATAAATGTGTTAAGGTAATCATCATAAAATATCAGGAATTATTACTGAAGGCATTCTGGACTATTTATGTAATTATTCTCAATATTAAAAAATGTTCTAACTTGGGATGTATGAATTATAGCTTCTTATTTTTATAAATACTTCATTTTGACACAATCCTACATAAAATGAAGGCTTTTGTTTAGTGTCTATATCTGAATTGTGATAATTCTTGCATCTGATAGAAATATCGGCCCGGCGCAGTGGCTCACGCCTGTAATTCCAGCACTTTGGCAGGCGGAGGCGGGCGGATCACAAGGCCAGGAGTTCAAGACCATCCTGTCTAACACGGTGAAACCTCGTCTCTACTGAAAATACAAAAAAATTAGCCAGGCGTGGTAGCGAGAGCCTGTAGTCCCAGCTACTCGGGAGGCTGAGGCAGGAGAATGGCGTGAACCTGGGAGGCGGAGCTTGCAGTGAACCGAGATCGCGCCGCTGCACTCCAGCCTGGATGTCAGAGCAAGACTCCGTCTCAAAAAAAAAAAAAAAAAAAAAGAAAGAAATGTATAAATGTATGCAGAAGATTACAGGAAATGTTAACCAACTTATGGCATTAGTGTTGGTGATAGTTATGACTTACCTGTCAGGCATAGTATAAGACAAATTGATTATTTGCTGAAAATCAATTCAGAACAAAGCCATATGCTCAGAGGAAAAAGCCAAACAAAATCTCAGCTAATTACAGGACAATGATTTATAGGACTAGATCATGTCAGAACTTTTCAAAGCTTTTTATGGTGGGTTAAAATGTTGAGGCTAGTTCCCAAGAGAATATAACCAGGGTTCTGGTCAACACAAATTTAGCATCAAGAAAAGCATCCATTTTTGGTAGATTAGTTTCTTATGGTTCCCAGATTTTTAATGAAGTAATGGGTCACAAAAATTATGAGGACCATTCTATGCCTAATATCTCCCTGGGAAATAATCACAATACTCTACTCTTTTTGGACTTATGAGATGAGAGTGGCAGCAACAGTGCTTCCCCAGTGACATTTGTCTATTGTTCTTGTTAAGCTTTGGTCAGCAGTCCTGAGCCAGGCCATAGTCAACCGCACACCTGCTTTTATCCACTAATGTGAGCCCTGCTTTGTAAAGAGAGTTTACTATGAACTCAGCATCCCAGTGCACCAAGAAACAGAACCCTAATCAATGGAGAAACCACCATTGGCACAACAATATGTCTCCTTATTACTCTTTGGACCTTTCCACACTGTAGTGTAATTTATCTTTTCGTAGCCTGTGTTGCCCGCTGATTTTACATCTCTCAAGAGCTAGCATGAAATCATCTATTTATGTGCGATGCCTACCACAGGGTCAGATATATAATGAGCAGGTAATAAATATTTATTGAATGAATTATTTGGTCTTAAATAAAACAACATGTATACTTTAAAATAAAATGATCAATTCCACATATATTAAAGAGTTAAACATAAAATGTAAACTATAAAAGAATTAGAGAAAACCAAAATGAATATCTTAGAGTGAGGAAGTACATTATAAAAAAAAAAGTAAAGGAATATAGCAAAGAAAATGGTTAAAAATAGATATAAATTTGCTCTAGATGACAGCCAATGAGACTTGACATTGGAATCAAGAATTGGTTGCCTCCTTGTCTGTGTTCTGCTAAGCTACTTTGAAAAAATGGTTTTACCACAATTGAATATTTTAAATGATGTGTTAAAAAGAACAATATTCCTATAAATAATACTGTGCTTACACAGATAAATTAGTTTAATAAATTAAGGAAAAAAGATACATGAATTAGCAAGGTGAATTGAAATGTATTTTAAAAAATCATCAACAAATAATGATTTGACTGTCTTGGAATTTAGTCAGTTAACCTGGTGTCCCTTAGATGTGATTCTGGAAACAAAGTACTGGGGAATTACATACTATTAAATATGTACAGTTAACTTCACAGTTATATAATAAATAATCCTTCTGTTTATCTCAGCCTTTATTGATAAGGTTGTTTTACAAGTAGTATGCCATATGATATGGTTTGGCTGTGCCCCCACCCAAATCTCAACTTGAATTGTATCTCCCAGAATTCCCACGTGTTGTGGGAGGGACCCAGTGGGAGGTAATTGAATCATGGGGGCTTGTCTTTCTCATGCTATTCTCGTGATGGTGAATAAGTCTCATGAGATCTGACAGGTTTATTAGGGGTTTCCACTTTTTCTTCCTCATTCTCTCTTGCCACCACCATGTAAGAAGTGCCTTTCACCCTCCACCATGATTGTGAGAATTTCCCTAGCCACATGGAACTGTAAGTCCAATTAAACCTCTTTCTTTTGTGAATTGCCCAGTCTCAAGTGTGTCTTTATCAGCAGTGTGAGAATGGACTGATACACCATACTAACCAAGTGATTTACCTATGGTTAAGGACGCTAAGAAATAACCTAAAGGCAGTCATGTTCTCAAAAAGCCATATACTTTGTTCTTACACCTATCATTTTTGCCATCTGATTCACCATCACAAAGATTTTTTGGGAACTATTGTCTAGTAAATTAAAAAGATTCAAAAATCTATTCATAAGGTTTATTTTCTATAGTCATACTGAAACAGACATACATAACAAATAATAAAACTAAATACTTGTTTAATAAGAATCTCAATATGTGCATATATTAATACTGAACACTTTTAAACATTAATTTGACCAATTTAGAATTCAAAATTAGCACTTGATCAAATTAGCTGGATAATGATTATTCATTACTTGCTACTGTAAAAAAAAAAACCCTTAATTACAATAAAGCATATAAAACACAATAAGCCACACAACTTTGGTTTTATTCAAAGTCTCCTGTGTTACAATACCAGTCTTATAGGCAGACGTCACTAATTGATGAAAGCAACACATAAAGCATAGGCAGACATAAAAAAAGTCACCTTCCAAATTTGAGAAGCTTAATATGTTATAGTTAATATCCTGATACTTGTAGGAAAATAAGTGAAGTAGTTCCAAAATATTAAAGAATACTTTAAATAGAAAATGAATATTCTTTCTATAAATAACTGTGACTACTCAGCAATAGAAGCCACATGATTACTTACTGAATTGTGACCTCTTCACACTCTACATTCTGGGTATGAAACTCTTTTCAGCTCTAGTCAAGCCCTTGTTTGCTATAACATTCATGCTACTTCTTGATCGAAAGCCCTTTCACATAGTAATTTTTAAGGTAGAATTGAAACTATGATAATTCAGTCATTGATGTAGCTGCTTTGGTAATTTAGGATATCAGGCACATCTTCAGTAACAAATGTTAATGTTTAGGTAAATTTTGGTTGGGTTTTATTTTTTTAAAAGATACAGGGTCTTGCTATGTTGCCCAGGTTAGTCTTGAACTCCTGGCCTCAAGTGATCCTCCCACCTCATCTCATAAGTGCTGGGATTATAGATGTGAGCTACCATGGCTGGCAGTTTGGATTTCTTGAGAGGTAATTCCTGACAGCTGTTATTCTCTAAGTTTTGTTTTGTTTGTTTTTTTTTTTCTTCTCAGAATTCCAGTTTCCAGGTCAAAGGGAGAAACTCTGTATATCTATTAATGTTCTGATGCCAGCTCTTTAGAATGATATTAATCTCTCTGCCACAGATTCATGTATTTTTTAACCTACTTTAAAAATAAAGAACAAAAAGGATATAATGGCCCATTAGGAAACATCAAATTCTGATCATTTTGTTAATGTTCTCGCTAATATGTGTTCTATAAAATTGCTCACTTTTATAACTAAGATGTCAGTGTCATGGGTTAGTGATCCACATAGCTTCTAATGTACAACTGTCATGAATCCATTATCAGAAAAGGCTAATGAAGCACCCTAGCAGATAGATCAGAAATCTTGTAGGTGTAAATTAACCCCTATCCTTCACTGCTATATACAGTCTTACAGGTTTAAAGAACATTTATTCACATATATTATCATATTTGATTCTTAAAACCATTCTCTAAAGTCGGGATGACACGTATTATCATTTTCACTTGTTTGTAGGGCCTGGCAGGAAAGCATGGTGTCTTGTGTATCATTGACAAAAAAGGGCTGTGGAAAGGGGTGTCTTCTTATTGGGAGGTTCATTGACTGTGCAGCTACAGGAGGGACACCATGGAAGTAGAAAAGGAGGAACAGGATCTACACTCATTCAGTCAAAACAACCTTGAGTGATGTTCCATTTTTTAAATGAGGAATAAGTGTTTCAAGCAAATAGCAGTTCCATGGCAGGGATGGAAGGCAAACTTGCTCCAAGAATGCTGCCTTGCTCCCTGTTCTCTAAACACCCCTGTGCTAAGTGCCTTTATGTCATCTTCATAGCAGACAGGAAAGGTTGTTGCCACCCTGCTCCTTTTATGCCCCATCCCTGCATGGCCTTGTGCCTCAGAAAAGGTGACTCTACCCTCAGCTCCAGAGTGTCCCAGCTGTTGGTCTAAGGGTAAACCTATTATCCCATTAGGTGACTTCTTCAGGAATTGGCTTGAAATCCAACTCCCACCAGGCAGCAATTTAATTAAATCCACATCTAAGGCAGTGCCATAATTTCTTCTTGACATTGTCACAATAACGTAACAATGACAACAACAAATGTATCTGTAGCACTTACAGTGTGACAGACACAGTTGTTAGCACTTTATGTATCTCAACTTAATCCTCACAACACCGACAGCATAGATAATATCATTATGTTGACCTTGCAGATGAGGAAACTGAGGTACTGAGATATGAACCCTTGGAAATGATGCAGTCTTCCTGTTTCCAGTCTTGCACCAACACTGAAAGGCTGTCATTCTCAGTTACATTTGAATATATTTAGGGTCAATAAGTTTAAATAGCTTGCTTTAATTGAAAGCCCACAAGGAGCAGAGAAGCTAAACAGAGACATGGGAAGAACCTAGGTTTTTTATGACATTATCACATTAGTCAACCTGGACACTGGCTCTACTTCTGGACTTTGTGATGTGCCCTTGATATGGTTTCGATTTATGTCCCCACCCAAATCTCATATTGAACTGTAATCTCCAATGTTGGAGGAGGGTCTTCATGGGAGGTTACTGGATCATGGGGGTGGACTTCCCTCTTGCTGTTCTTGTGATAGTAAGTTCTCCTGAGATTTGGTTGTTTAAAAGTGTATAGCACCTCCTACTTCTCTCTCTCTCCTCTGCTGCCATTTGATAATGTACCTGCTTCCCCATTACCTTTCACCATGATTGAAAGTCTCCTGAGGCCTCCCCACCCATGCTATCTGTACAGCCTGCAGAACTGTGAGCTAATTCAACCTCTTTTCTTTAAAAATTACACAGTCTCAGGTCTTTATAGCAGTGCAAGAATTAACTAAACAAACAGCACTGTTAATGACCTTAATGTTGGAGGCATTTTGTGTCAGAGTTTCTCATACTTGTAGCATAAAGTTTTGCAAGTGATCCAAGCATCGTATTTTAGCACAAGCTGTGAATGCAGGTGCTTGTGTTTGAATTTTGGCCCTGTGATTTTTGGATCATTTGTAAAAAAAGAAAAATTGCACCTATTTCATACTTGTAGTGAGGCTCAAATAGTATAATACACATGAAACACTTAGAACAGTGCCCTAAACATAGCTTGTATTCATTAAATATTAACTATTGTTAACATGACTATCTTATTCTTTTATTTTTTATATTAAGCCTTGGTATTTTTCTAATCTATAAAATGTGAAGAACAATAATGTATAGGGCTATTTTGAGGATTAAATGGGACAACCCATATAAAGTGTTTAGCAGATTTTCTGGCTTTTAGAAAGTGCTCAATAGGTATTAGCTACTTTATTTCCTATTAATTTTTAATTTTAATAAATAACATACATATGATATAAAAGATCAAATAAATACAAAGATTTATAGCTAAGAAAAGCAGTCTCCTGTATTTTTTTTTCTTTTTTATTTCAATGAAGTCCCCTCTATTTTTGAGTTAGGTACCCTAGTATGTTATTTTACTTTTTAAAAATATCATATACATTAAAAATAATGCTGTCATCCTTTAAAGATTTACACTTCAATAAACCTATCTGAATATAAATCTTACACTTTTTAAGATAAATCAGAACCAATTACAGTCTGTGAAACTGTAACATAAAAAAGTCATACTCTTGTACAAGCAATGATTTATTTCTGAAATGAAAAATGGAGAGGTATGGCAAATTATATTGCCTGCTGATCCATAAACTTTTATCGATGAAACATCCAATACAAAAATTATGTTACATCTCTAATGTTACATCCTTAAGGAAATATTATACTATCTGGATAAATTGAATCTGATCTATCACAATCTAGTGGTTTTATATAATTCTGGTTGAAAAAACTATTAATAAAAGCAACCTGTTTCTAACCAAATTCCAAATACATTACAATTAGCTTTACAGCTTCCTCAGAAACCTAATGAAATTTATACAGAAGCAATAAACTAAAACTCCATTTGCATTATTAAATTTAGTAATAGAATGTGAGAGTCTATATATCAAAGTTCTATTTAGTGACACATAAACCATAGAAATGTTTACTTCAATCTGTTCTTGATTTGAGAAATAACAAGTCTCAATATATAAAAATTTATTGAAGGGACTTTTTTACTAATTGAATGATGTCCAGTTTATAATAGACATGTTGTATAACAAAACGCAAACATTAATCTTGGTGTTTATTAGTGACATTGTTGTTGCTCAATAAGTGTTTGTTGGATAGATAAGAACACAGGGATAGATAAAATGCTCACTCAAATTATTGTTAACTTTTTGCAATATAGATTTTTTAAACTGATGAAGTTATCTATATGTTGCATTACTGGAGGAGGAAAGAGACATTTAATTTCATTAATTTGTTAAAGGCATAAATCTGTAGCATGTGCAAATGCTGTAGTTCTACGTTTTGGATGTGTTTAAAATATTCATTTATTCAATCCTACAAATACCAGGTAAGTGTCTACTACGTGCAAGCTTTTGTCATATGCTATGAGAGTCAAAAATAAAAACCAAGAAGCTGACAGCGGACCCCAAGTGTGTGTGCACCCTGGTGGCAGCCCTGCACTACCCAAGGTCTCCCTGCTCCTTACTCAGACCTCAGGTGCAAGCAATCCCAAAAGGACCCATAGACCCTCTGAAGGAAGCAGACTGCTCCTGCATGACCCAGGAGACACCCCAAATACTGTGAGTGCCCCCACTCTGGAGACAGGAAAGGGAAACTCTCCTCTACCGAACACACACTCCCACTGGAGAAGCTGAGGTTCTGTTTGTGGGAGAAGTTTCCGACTTTACTTGGAGCCGAGTCAGTTTAGAGAGCCAAGTGAAATACAGTGGTAGAGGGAGCAGCAGAAAGGCCCTGGGAACTGGCTGGGTTCCCTAGCAGGCCATTCCTGCCTGGCACCACAGGGATCTGTCAGGAGAGTGGCCAGGGAAGCAGGGAGTAAAATCCCACAGGGAGAAGGAAATCTCTAGTTGAGCTTTGTAATAATTTGAATGGGGTGAGAAACCTCCTGGCCAGAACTCAGGGGAGGGCACAAACCCAGTGTGCAGACTTCACAGGGAAGAACCAAGCCCTTTTCTTTCAAGGCTGAGAGGCGGGTAGTCTGGGGCAAGTTTTCAAGCCCTCTGCCTGGAAACACACTCAGGGCTGTTGGCAGGGTGGTGCACGCTGGGAGTGAGACCAGCTCTTTGGTTTGTGTGGGAGCTGGGTGAGGCCTGTGATTGCTGGCTTTCCCCCACTTCCCTGATAACCTGCATGACTCAGCAGAGGCAGCCATAATCCTCCTAGGTACACAACTTCAGTGACCTGTGAATCTTACCCCCATCCTCCACAGCAGCCACAGCAAGACCTGCCCAAGGACAGTCTGAACTCAGACACACCTACCCCAACCCCCACCTGATGGTCCTTCCCTACCCACCCTGGTAGCAGAAGACAAAGGGCATATAATCTTGGGAGTTCTAGGGCCCTGCCCACTGCCAGTTCCTACCCATACTACCATAGCTGATATTCTCTGGAAAGTGCCACCTCCTCGCAGGAGGCCAACCGCACAAAAATAGAGCATTAAACCACCAAAACTAAGAACCCTCACAGAGTCCACTGAACCTCCCACCACCTCTACCAGAACAAGCACTGGTATCCATGGCTGAGAAACCCATAGATGGTTCACATCACAGGACTTTGTGCAGACAACCCCCAGTACCAGCCCAGAGCTGGGTAGACTTACTGGGTAGCTAGGCCCAGAAGAGAGACAACAATCACTGCATTTCAGCTCACAGGAAGCCACATCCATAGGAAAAGGGGAAGAGTACTTCATCAAGGGAACACCCCGTGGGACAAAATAATCTGAACAACAGCCTTCAGCCCTAGACATTCCCTCTTACAGAGGCTACCCAAATGGAAGAGACCAGAAAACCAACCCTGGTAATATGAAAAACAAGGCTATTTAACGCTCCCAAAAAATCACACTAGTTCACCAGCAATGGATCCAAACCAAGAAGAAATGCATGATTTACCTGAAAAAGAATTCAGGAGGTTAGTTATTAAGCTAATCAGGGAGGGACCAGAGAAAGGTGAAGTCCAATGCAAGGAAATCCAAAAAATGTTACAAGAAGTGAAGGGAGAAATATTCAAAGAAATAGATAGCTTAAAGAAAAAAACAATAAACAATTCAGGAAACTTTGGATGCACTTTTAGAATTGCAAAATGCTCTGGAAAGTCTTAGCAATAGAACTGAACAAATAGAAGAAAGAAATTCAGAGCTCAAAGACAAGGTCTTCCAATTAACCCAATCCAACAAAGACAAAGAAAGAAAAATAAGAATATACAAACAAAGCCTCCAAGAAGTCTGGGATTATGTTAAATGACCAAACCTAAGAATAATCGGTGTTCCTGAGGAAAAAGAGAATTCTAAAACCGTGGAAAACATATTTGGGGGAATAATCGAGGAAAACCTCCCCAGCCTTTCTAGAGACCTAGACATCCAAATACAAGAAGCACAAAGAACAACTGGGAAATTCATTGCAAAAAGATCTTTGCCTAGCACATTGTCATCAGGTTATCCAAAGTTGAGATGAAAGAAAGAATCTTTACAGCTGTGAGACAGAAGTACCAGGTAACCTATAAAGGAAAACCTGTCAGATTAACTGCAGATTTCTCGGTAGGAACCCTACAAGCTAGAAGAGGTTGGGGGCCTATCTTCAGCCTTCTCAAACAAAACAATTATCAGCCAAGAATTTTTTATCCAGCAAAACTAAGCATCCTATATGAAGGAAAGATACAGTCTTTTCAAACAAACAAATGCTGAAAGAATTTACCATTACCAAGCCACCACTACAAGAACTGCTGAAAGGAACAAATCTTGAAACCAATCTAGGAAACACATCAAAACAGAACCTCTTTAAAGCATAAATCACACAGGACCTATCAAACAAAAATACAAGTTAAAAACAAAAACAAAAAAGAAAAAGAAACAAAGTACACAGGCAATGAAGAGCATGATGAATACAACAATACCTCATACTTTAATACTAACATTGAATGTAAATGTCCTAAATGCTCCACTTAAAAGATACAGAACCACAGAATGGATAAGAACTCACCAACCATTTGGTGCCTTAGGGAGACTCAAGTAACACATAAGGACTCACATGAACTTAAAATAAAGGGGTAGAAAAAGGCATTTCATGCAAATGGACACTAAAAGTGAGCAGGGGTAGCTATTCTTATATTAGGTAAAACAAACTTTAAAGCAATAGTGGTTAAGAGAGAAAAAGAGGGACATTATATAATGGTGAAAGGCCTTGTCCAACAGGAAAATATCAAAACCCTAAACATATATGCACCTAACACTGGAGTTCCCAAATTTGTAAAACAATTACTAATAGACCTAAGAAATGAGATAGACAGCAACAAATAATAGTGGAGGATTCCCATACTCCATGACAGCACTAGACAGGTCATCAAGACAGAAAGTCAACAAAGAAATAATGATTTAAACTACACCTTGGAACAAATGGACTTAACAGATATATACAGAAGATTCCATCCAACAACCACAGAATACACATTCCATTCAACAGCACATGGAACAATCTCCAAGACAGACCATATCATAGGCCATAAAACGAGCTTCAGTAAATTTAAGAAAATGGAAATTATAACAAGCACTCTCTCAGACCACAGTGGAATGAAACTGGAAATCAACTCTAAAAGGAACCTTCAAAACAATGCAAATACATGGAAATTTAGTAATCTGATCCTGAATGAGCTTTGGGTCAAAAATAAAATCAAGATAGAAATGTAAAAATTCTTCCAACTGAACAACAACAATGACACAACCTATCAAAAACTCTGGAATACAGCAAAGGCGGTGCTAAGAGGAAAGTTCATAGCCCTAAATGCCTACATCAAAAAGAATGAAAGAGCAAAAACTAACGTTCCAAGGTCACAAATCAAGGAACTAGAGAAACAAGAGCAAACCAAATCCAAACCCAGCAGAAGAAAGGAAATAACAAAGATCAGAGCAGAACTAAATGAAATTGAAACAAAAAATAAATACAAAAGATAAATGAAACAAAATGTTGGTTCTTTGAAAGGATAAATAAAATTGAGAGACCATTAACAAGATAAACCAAGAAAAGAAGAGAGAAAATCCAAATAACCTCACTAAGAAACAAAACGGTGGATATTACAACTGACACCACTGAAATACAAAAGGTAATTCAAGGCTACTATGAACACCTTTACACACATAAACTAGAAAACGTAGACGAGATGGATAAATTCCTGGAAAAATACAACCCTTCTAGCTTAAATCAGGAAGAATTGGATACCCTGAAGAGACAAATAACAAGTAGCGAGATTGAAATGGTAATTTAAAAATTACCAGCAAAGGAAAGTCCAGGACCAGATGGATTCACAGCTGAATTATACCAGCCATTCAAAGAAGAATTGGACCAATCCTTTCGACACTATTCCACAAGATGGAGGAAGAAGGAATCCTGCCTAATTCATTCTATGAAGCCAGCATCACCCTTATACTGAATCTAGGAAAGGACATAGCCAGAAAAGAAAACTACAGATTGATATCCTTGATGAACATGATGCTAAAATCCTTAATAAAATACTAGCTAACTGAATCCAACAATATATCAAAAAGATAATCCACCATGATCAAGTGGGTTTCACACCAGGGATGCAGGGATGGTTTAACACATGCAAGTTGACAAACAGGATACACCATGTAAACAGAATTAAAAATAAAAATCAAACGATCATCTCAATAGATGCAGAAGAAGCATTTGACATAATCCAGCATCCCTTTATGATTATAACTCTCATCAAAATCTGCATACAAGGGACATACCTTAATGTAATAAAAGCCATCTATGGCAAACCCACAGCCAACATAATACTGAATGGGAAAAAGTTGAAAGCATTCCCTCTGGGAACTGGAACAAGACAAGGATGTCCACTCTCACCACTCCTCTTCAACATAGTACTGGAAGTCCTAGCCAGAGCAATCAGAGAAGAGAAAGAAATAAAAGGCATCCAAATTGGTAAAGAGGAAGTCAAACTGTCATTGTTTGCTGAGGATATGATCATTTACCTTGAAAACCCTAAGGACTCCTCCAGCAAGCTCCTAGAACTGATAAAAGAATTCAGCATAGTTTCCGGATACAAGATTCATGTACACAAATCAGTAGCTCTTCTATACATCAATAGTGACCAACTGGAGACTCAAATCAAGAAGTCAACCCTTTTACAATAGCTGCAAAAAATAAAATAATTAGGAATATACCTAACTAAGGGGTTGATGGACTTCTATGAAGAAAATTACAAAACACTGCTGAAAGAAATCATAGACAACATAAACAAATGGAAACACATCCCATGCTCATGGAAGGGTAGAATCAATGCTGTGAAAGTGGCCATACTGACAAAAGCAATATACAAATTCAATGCAATTCCCATCAAAATACCACATCATTCCTCACAGAATTAGATAAAACAGTTCTAAACTTCATATGGTATCAAAAAAGAGCCCGCATAGCCAAAGCAAGACTAAGCAAAAAGAACAAATCTGGAGGCATCACACTACCTGATTTCAAACTATACTGTAAGGCCATAGTTACCAAAACAGTATGGTACCAGTATAAAAATAGGCACATAGACCAATGGAACAGAATAGAGAACCCATAAATAAACCCAAATATGTACAGCCAACTGGTCTTTGACAAAACAAACAAAAACATGAAGTGGGGAAAGGACACCCTTTTCAACAAATGGTGCTCGGTAACTGGCTAGCCACATATAGGCAAATAAATCTGAATCCTCATTTCTCAGCTTATACAAAAATCAACTCAAGCTGGATTAGGGACTTAAACCTAAGACCTGAAACTATAAAAATTCTAGGAGATAACACTGGAAGAATCTTTCTAGACATTGGCTTTGGCGAGGATTTCATGATGGAGGACCCAAAAGCAAATGCATCAAAAACAAAGATAAATAGCTGGGACTTAATTAAACTAAAGATCTTTTGCATAGCAAAAGGAACAGTCGGCAGAGTTAATAGAAAACCCAAAGAGTGGGAGAAAATCTTCACAATCTATACATCTGAGAAAGGACCAACATCCAGAATCTACAATGAACTCAAACAAATCAGTAAGAAAAAAACAAAGAATCCCATCAAAAAGTGGGCTAAGGACATGGATAGACAATTCTCAAAAGATATACAAGTGGCCAACAAACATATGAAAAAATGCTCAACATCACTAATGATCAGGAAATGCAAATCAAAACCACAATATGATACTACCTTACTCCTGCAAGAATGGCCATAATCAAAAAATCAAAAAACAGTAGATGTTGGTGTGAGTGTGGCGAACAGGAAACACTGCTACACTGATGGTGGGAAAGTAAACTAGTACAGCCTCTATGGAAAACAGTGTGGAGATTCCTTAAATAACTAAAAGTAGAACTACCATTTTATTCAACAATCCCACTACTGGGTATGTACACAGAGGAAAACAAGTCATTATTTGAAAAAGATACTTGCACACACCTATTTATAGCAGCACAATTCACAATTGCAAAATTGTGGATCCAACCAAAATGCTCATCAATCAATGAGTGGATAAGGAGACTGTGTTTTATATATATGTGCGTGTGTGTGTGTGTGTGTGTGTGTGTGTGTATGTATGTATGATGGAATACTATGCAGCCATAAAAAGGGATGAATTAACAGCATTTGCAGTGACCTGGATGAGATTGGAGACTATTATTCTAAGTGAAGTAACTCAGGAATGGACACTCAAATGTCGTACGTTCTCACTGATATGTGGGAGCTAAGCTATGAGGATGCAAAGGCATATGAATGATACAATGAACTTTGGGGACTTGGGAGGAAGAGTGGGAGGGGAGCAAGGGATGAAAGACTACAAATATGGTGAAGTGTATACTGCTTGGGTGACGAGTGCACTAAAATCTCACAAATCACCACTAAAGAACTTACTCATATAACCAAATACCACCTGTATCCCAATAACTTATGGAAAAATAAAAATAATAAATAAGTAAATATTAAAAATATGCCATTTTAGTCTTTCATTAAGATAGATTACTGGGACATACTTACAAAAATGATAGCAAAGGGGTGTATATTCTTAAAAATATAAACCACAAGGATGGGGAAATCAGGAGCAGTAAAGGGCACAGTTTCGGAAACTATAAACGAATGAATGGAAACTGCCATCAGTAGGGAAGGGTAGGGACAAACCCAATTTACACTTGCAGAATCATTGAAAGTATCCATTACTTTTAGAAGGAAGACGAAGGGAGTGGTTCTGAACTCTGGCAGCTTAGGTAGAATATGTCTGAGAACCAAATATATATCTGATGTTTCACTGCTGCATGTCCCTCCTCCCCTAAAAATCTGGAGATGTATTCACTAGAAAGGGAAAATAAGATCTTCAGCTGGGGAATGCTACACACAGTTGTGTGTATGTACCATACTGACAACATGGGGATTCATCATCAGATGCATACTGAATACTGAATGCAAACACCCCCAGCTCTTTCTTCTACTTGGAGCTGGCTTCTAGACCCCTTCCTGTAGATAGAAATTAGAAGTCTTTCCTGGGTAATTTGATCCACTCTACAGCAGAAAAGATAAAGACAAAAACTATTGGGATTCCCCAATAAAATACTCACACAGGTCAACTTACAATGTAGCTCAGAGTGGAGAAGTCCCATCATGTGTTTATCAGGAGCAATCAGGCTTTAAATCCCTTACTTACAGGAATGCATAGAAAGTCAAAGATGAGAAAAACCTGTGGAAAGGCTCCTGCCATAAAGATCAAAACAAACAAACAACAAAATATCTAAAGCAACTTGGAGGAAACACTATGCAGGGAGAAAAATCAAAACAAAGCTATTTGTAACATGCAGAAACCATGAACAGGTTGCTTTAATGCAGAAAACTCAAACAACAACAAAATATATTCAATATCAGAAACATAAGTGCACAAGCGAAAAATTCAATAGAAAGATTAGAAGACAAAATTTTAAGAAACCTCTCTGAAAGTAGAGTAAAAAAATTAACAAATAGAAAGTAGAAAAGTCAAGAAATAGAAGAACAGTCCAGAATACCCAATATTTAAGTGACATAAATTCCCATCGAAAGGCAAAGGACACAAAATATGGAAGGGAAAAGATTATCAACAAATAATTGAAGAAAAGTTTCCAAAAAAAGTCATGAATTTCCAGAGAGGACTGGCTAAATGTCCAGCATGAGATGTCTTGCCTGTAAAGAGCCCCGCTTCCCCGGACTGCGCCAATTGCTAGGTCCAATGTTGTCTCTAAAGGGCTCTCATAATCCCTCGAATCAAACTATAATTCAGGGTCTCTGTTCAGTTGGTCTTCTCCTCATTAAACTCTCTCAGTTCCTCAAAATATGAAAGACTAAACTCTGAAATTCTTAGCGATAATTTAGTTGAAAAATGATAAAGTAGTATAAAGTGAAAGAGAAATTGTTCATAATCTCATATTTATGCAACTTTTTAGAACATTCATATCCATATCAAATATGACGTACCTTCAGTACTATCAACTTTTATAAAAAAGATGTTTTATGGTTCTGAGTTGTGCCAGGTATTGCCAGTAAAAAAATGGGAGATTCTTAAAGCCTTTCATTCCATTTAACCAAATCATTGTTCTCAGCAACAAATGAGCCATTCAATAAGTTCTTAAGGACTTTCAGACACTTTGGCATTGGATTTAAAGTAAAACCCCTCCTAAAGAAAACACAAATAAGTAGTAAGGATAATCCTTTTTAACTTCTTAGATTCCTTCTATTAATCATTTATTCACTCAACAATTATTTAGTTATTACATAATTTTGCAAGTTATGCTCTAGCGCCAACACTATCAAGAAAGAAAAGGGAATTCTTGGCCAAGATGGTGGTTGGACAAATATGCTCTGGTTCTTTCCTCAAATGTCATTGAAATGTAAATAAGAGTTTTAAGAAAAGTTTATAAGCTTGCAAGGAGGAATCCTGGCTTTTGTTCCAGGTGGAAATCTAGAAGGCTCTCTTTGGGATATCTGACCAGCTGGAGAGTCAAGCCAAATCTGTCATCTTACTATGAAGGAGACTGGCAATAAGACTCACAGCACGTATTAAGAGCTTTTGAGCAATTCTTATCCCAACTTTTACATATGAGCCTACAACTAAGAATTGTTAGACGTTTGAGTAAAGCCACAAAAATGGGGAACAGAGACCACAACAAACAGGAAGAAACATACAAAGTACTTGAAAGAAACAGACACCCTAATGATGAAGATAGCTCTCCTTCTCTAGAAAAAAGGACTATTGTTCATATCTGCAGAAAGCCAAGATAAAATATTATAACTATGGAGGAGGATTAAAATACTATAAAAAGGGAAAATTTAGGCAGAAAAAAATGATCTTTTAGGTATGAAACATATTGTAATGTAAACTAAAATCTCATTTAGAAAGTTTAGAAAATACAGTTAAAAAATCTTCTAGAAGATACATTATTTTAAAAGATGAAAATAAGAAAGAAAAGATAAGAAAATTAAACATTCAACCAGGGAAGATGGGTAACCAAATATGGATGTTCCTGGAACAGAGGAAGGGAACTGAATGAGCAATAAAATATTTTGAGACCATTTCTCAAATCAATTATCGTAAGTTGACATATTGAAAGAGTCTATGGAGTAACCAGCACAGTGGATGAAAATGGACCAATATCCAATCAAGTCATCCAGAAATTTTAGAGTATATGAACAGAGAGCAAATGCTACAAGCTTCAGGGTAGGGTAACAGTCATAAACAAAAGATTAGGATATAAATTGGCTTTGACTTTCTTACCAGTGATACTGGGTGCTAAAGAATATAGAAAGAATATAATGAAAAAATGATGTTATGCCCAGCATTTTACACCTAGACAAATAATAGATCAAGTGTGTAGCTTAAATAAAAATACATTAAACATAAAAGTCTCAACAAATGTACTTCCTGTGCACACCAAGATGTGCGCCACTAAATGAGAGAGAAAACCAAGCAAGAGGGAGACAGGAAATCCCCAGGATGTTTCCGCAGGGAGATTTCTGAATGAGAGCTGGGCACATAGCTTAACAAATCCAGATTGCATTACCGCAAAAGATTTTAGGAGGGAGTTCTCAAGAAATGAAACTGGCAATTAATTTCTAAGTAATTAGTAATTAAATTGGAATAAAATTGGTTAAATAGCTGATATATCTAAATGTTTTGAGTTTTTTTTAGGCAATTTGTGGGGAGTTGGGGAATAATTTAATGGTACATACAGGAAAATATGTAGAAGCCTAGCTTTAATAATTATCTTGCTAAAATGTTCTGTTGATCTTAAAAATCTAAATTAGATAATAATATTGTTAAAACAAAAATGAGAATTTGCTTCAGAGAATATCTAGTGAAAGATGACCAAAAACAGTGAATATCATAAGATTAAGCAGTGCTATTACTTAGTTAACTGTGGCTTTAGGTAATATATTTTTAATATATTAAAGTAATGAATGTATGTACTGCTAGCAGGGTACAGGTAATTAAATTTATTAGTAATGATATGAAATAATATTTCTCTTTCCCAACCCCCACCCATAATGAGCTATTTTGGAATATATTACTCTAATAGTGCTCATTCCCACGATGCTACAGAATGAAAGGAATGACATATGGGTGTAAACGGAGGCGATCATTAATGCTGACAATTTGATTCAGTGCAGCATAATTCCCTGTGGGTTTTATTTTTAATCCTTCTATTATTATATGGCTTCATTGACATTTACATTGACATGTTGTATATGTGGTCATAATATTTCTACAGAAGGAATCTTAAATTTAATCTAGGAATCCAAGTGAAACCAAACAAAGTTTCCTAGAACAAAGTTCTGGAAACTAAACCTTAAATGTTTCTAAGTAGGTTCTACAACAACAGAACTATTTGAGATAAAATTAAAATCAAGCCATCTAGAATTTTTCAAAAATAGATCTGTGAATAAGGATAGCATGTTGGTGACATAATTTACAAGAGTGGTTAAAATGTAGTGCTAGTCTCCAGCCTCTAAATTTCAAATTTGAAACCATCTAGAAAACCACATAAACGATGTTTACTTTAGTCATTGGTATTTACCCTTGGTAATACAAGTACAATAATTATTAATTTGATCAGGAAACAAATTTTCCACAGAAATTTTGTCTTTCTATAATATGTGCATAAAAATCTAACTTTCAAGATTGTAATAACCAAACATATGCTTCTGTAACGTCCGTAATCTCCATATTAAAATATTTTTCCAATGCCTTTGACCCCATCCCAGTTTTTTAAACATTATAATTGTGTATTCTCCTGTCTTAAACTGGATACTTTCTGAGTGGAATGATACAAAAAATATTGGTTTAGAAGTTGTATATTTATGTCAAATATAATACACATGACATACTCAAATTGAGAATGACATACTCAAATTCTTCGAATGAGCATATGCCACTGTAGAAGAATTGAGAATTACAGAAATTTATTAGATACTATATATTTACCCGACTTTGAGCATCCTTTGGTTGCAGGTCAAGTGTGAAGACACTGTGGGAACGATCTATAATCCAGATATGAGGACGAGAGTATAAAGAACTAAATCAAGCCACGAAGGATGGAAACGATACATAACGCGAACACAAGCGCAGGTGGCTACTGTTAGCCGCTGGGGAGCCCTAGCGCAATTCGAGGAAAAAGACGCCCCCAGTGGACAGATGCCGCACTGCGCATTCTGAGTATATGGGGTTAAGTGGAGCGTAGGTGGACTTCAGCCCCCGGAGTTCGCGCTTTGGAATTGCAGCAGAAATGTCAGTTCCAAATGGCCATGCAAGACAGGCTTCAAATAAGAGGTGAAATCTGAGATTTTGAAGAATGTGCAGCTCCTCGGTTGGGAGAGAAGCCTGGGAAATATTTGTTTTTCCCTCTGGCTCATTGCCAAATGATGGAAACAGGGTTCCAGAGACCACTTCTGAAAAGAGCTAATTTGAATAGCTGAGGTAATTGTATACGTCACATCATTTTTTTCCACATATAATTCTGTTGCATAGCATTCTAGCGACCCCATTTACTCAATACTGAAAATAGGATTTTACTTTAATTTCAACATAAACTGAGCGCAGGAGGGATCGTTAGTCACTGGCCTGCGAGGATACTTCCTTGCTTGATGTTTCACTGCCTGCCACGTCTTTCAGCTGTCTGGTCATTTTAAGGACCCCTTGTGCTCTCACAACCCATAAAACTTGTAATGACTAAATTTGAGATTTTTCTAATTGAGAGTTACAAAGCGTGACTAAAGCTCATGTGGCCACAGTAAACTGTTGGACACAGGCTCTGCATTTTTGAAAAATGGCTGGTCATGTGTAGTAAGGAGGGAACATCAGATGCAACACCAAACTGAGACTCCACTGGTCTGCTGCCATGTTTTAAAATGCCCAGATGGCCAAATCCTAACATCTATTGCATTATAGTGGCATTATGAATTAAATTGAGAGAAAAGATTCTGGGGCCAAAAAGTGGTTCTAGCACAGTGATAAAATCCCTAAGCAACAAACAGGGATTAATAAAAGGTAAATCTGGCTGGATTTAATGCTGACCTTCAACAAAATAATTTACTTTTCAGCAACCACAGATGGGTTTATAAGAGAAAAGACTAGCTATGTATAATTTTACAGTTAAGATAAAGGATCAAAATGCAAACATAATATTTAGAAATAATTTGTTTCTGGCCAAGAGCACCATGAAGCAGTTAAGGTACATAAACTAAATGGATGGAAGACAATAGTATAAAAATACAATATTTTTCAGCTTAGAAAATATGGTCTGATGATAATTTATTTTGCATAAAACAAAAGGTCTAACTTCTTCAAACTATGTTTGTTGAAGAATCAGTTAACTAGACAACACAAAACAGTTAATTATCATTTTAAAACTGGCTTCTAAGATAAATTTCTTTTTTTAACTGAGTAAATACAGCTTCGCTGCAAATCATGTATTTAAGCTTTTTATACAGAACCTACTTTTGCATCTCCATTTTCTTTGCCAAAGGTGATGATTAATAGGTGATTCAAGGTTTAAATAATACATGTCTGCCAAATTGACCATACTTATTGAATTAGGGGATGAATGGAAAAAGAGATTATATTTCTGGGAGTCTGCAGTGCATTTCATAGTTCATAAGACACTTCCACATTTGAATGAAATTATCCTGAGGCAATTCTGGAAAATATTATTTCTCCATTTTTTAGCTAAGGAAATTGCAATTCAGGGAGTTGTAACAACCTGACCGAAAGCACCAGTGTTTAAGCACAAGATGTGGAATCTGCGTGGTCTTCAGGTTCTTTGCCTCTTTATTTTACCCTGTGTAACTTCTCTGAATTGTCAAGTACATTTGAACCTCCAAAATTGTCTGAGAGATTTCTTCCTACTCTTTACATTTTTCTAAGTTGACCATTTTTACATCATAGAGACATAACCTAAACTACCTAAAGTCATTCTGAATTTTAAAATCACCATCAAGCAACTAATTTTTTTTTCGAGACAGGGTCTTGCTCTATTGCCCAGACTGGAGTACAGTGGTGCAATCATAGTTCACTGCAGCCTTGAAATCCTGGGCTCTAGTGCCTACTTTAGCTTACCCAGTAGCTGGGACTACAGGCATGTGCTACCACATCCAGCTAGATTTTAAAAAGAAATTTTTTAGAGATTGAGTCTTACTACATTGCCCAGGCTGGTCTTGAACTCAAGTGATCCTCCTGCCTTGACCTCCCAAGCAATTAAATGTACAAATTTTCTTTAACATTCTTGTTCTTAAAACAGCAGATTCTAAGTAATAATTCATTGGTTACTTATTTTTTCATTCTGCATAGTAGATAAGTTTGAATAACATAAGATACTATGACTTTACCCTTCTGTGGAATTCCACTACAGGCTACAGTTCAAGACTAATCATAACTCCAGGAATGTTAATAACACCCAAGCAAGTTTAAATATCTTCCTATAACAACACCAAAGGATAGGACAAGCATGAATAAACCATGGAAAGGCTTTTGAAGATCTTAAGTTCAACTAAGAGACCTCTTCTTTTCTCCCTCCTCATCACTGCCAAATGATAGAAAAGTAGGTGGAAGAGAAGCAGATATTTAGAAGCATTCAATATGCAAGTTTGTCCAATTAGCTACAGAAGCAATCATGTAATCAGATTTTCACAATATCAAAAGCAGTTTATTTCATTAGCACTGATTCCATTTTGAAGGGCAATGCCATTTAAAGACGTTTTTAATTGGTCATCATTCAAAGTTTAATATAGATTCTCAAAGTAATTGATTTAGAATTAAAAGTATAATTACAGAGAAATCTAGCAGTGTGCTTTATAATAATGCAGCATATCATACTAATTTCCTTGAACTTGTTTGACCTTTTTTGAACAGCTTTTGTGTAGCTATATCAAATTAATTTCCTAGTTTTCAAAAAGTAGGAAGAAAAATTATGCAAACTATTGATATGAATCTTGAAAGAGATTTTAGAATAAATTATTAAGCGATAATGTGTAAATATCCCGAGAAAGGTCACAAGAAAGCCAGCGTGTTTCTAATGACAACAGCATATCCGAATTTATTTCTATGATAGGGTTAGCAGATGAAGAACCTAAAGAAATAATTGTCCAGGACTCATTCTTAAATTGGGAAAATCTTAAATTGTTCTTATTCTTAATATAGAAAAATATGAAATTCGAAAACAGTTAAGTAGCTCAATCGCTACCTCAATAGTGCTTATTAGTGCATTGATGTCAATCACAAGGGAGGTTTCTAGTGGATTGTTGCGTGGTTCCGTCCTTTCCATTATCTTTTTCAGCATTTTCCCAATAACTTATATTTCTTAAATAAAGAAATAACATACTCTCCCAAATTTGTAGTTGAAATTAACTTTATGATTCATGAATATGCTGAATCAAAATTGCACTGACATGATATAGCCACGAGCTAAAATCTATCAAATTGTTATTTAGTTGGAAAAGAATGAGGTCCTACACTTGGTTGTACACAGTAGAGTATATGTAGCGTAATTCTGAGGAATTAAATTTGGTAAGAACTCCATGAGAGTCATTAACATAGCCTCAAAAACATGATCTTAAGGTGACTCATAAAAGCAAAATATCTAGAGCAAGTGAGAGGGTGTGTGTGCTCTCCTTTGTGTTGCAGGGACCACAGCTGAAGTTTTTGTCCAATTCTGGCATCCAATCTGCAGGAGGAGCTTGAGTAGGGGACTCAGATGAGAGAAGAACTTGAACTTCTGTTCTATGTGGGACAGTTCAAAGTCTATCATGCTTCACACATACTAAGCACTGGGTGGGACATGACAACTGTCTTCAAGGATTTGAAGGTCTGTTATGTGGAAGTCAGGTTTAAGAAAAGTACTTGAACATTTTCTTCTCATGGCATCATTACTCTAAAATAATGCTTATTCCATTGATGCTGTTTGTAAATAGTGGGAACTTATTCTCCCCATTTTTACTTTGTCCCTTATATCTTTTTTTTCTATTTCCCAGTTTGTACTGATTTAATCTGTTACTTTTAGATCCACTTTATGATTACATTATTTTATTACATTATGTTTTCTCTTTCAATAATTGTTTTTGAAATGTGTATTATATTTAAAAAGGTTAACAAAATGAACAAGATTTCGTTCTATATTTTATTGGTATTGATATTCAGCCTTAATTATTTTATACTTTGCCTTTTCATCTTATTTTCAGTTGTCTTTCAATTTGCTAGAGTATATCTTTGAGTAATTTTTCAGGAATGGCAACTTTTTACTCCTCTGACTAAAATATGCTTATATAGAAATTACATCTTTTGCAAAATAAAAGCTACCTACTAGTCACTTGTAATCATTGCTCATCTTAGTTAATGAGTATTAGTTCATTTGTACAAAACATATGAAGAACCTAATATGTGACAGACACCATTTTGAAATTAATCAACAAACATCAACTAAAATAGACAAAGACCCTTGCCCATCAAGAGCATATGTTCTAGAAGTTGGGAGATTCTAGATGTTGGGGGGAGGGGAGAAACAACAAAAACAAACATAAGTAAGCAAGTTATGAAGAATGTGAGAAAGTAACAAATATTATGTAAAAAAAAGAATTCAGTGGAGGTGGACGAAGTTTGAAATTTTAATTAGGGGGTAATGAGGATAGTCTCATTGAGAAAGTAACACTTGAGAAAAAACTTGAAGAAAGGGAGGCAGAAAGCCATAGGGTTAACTCATGGAAGAGAATCCCAGGCTGAGGAAACAGCACATGCAAAGGCCCTGAGGCAGGCGTGCTCCCAGCAGAGGGACCGCAAGGCAGCCAGCATGGCTGGAACAGAGTAGGCAAGTAGTAGGGCAGAGGATGAGGCTAGGGAGGTAGTGGGGAGGTGGGGAAGAGATAGCTCTGTAGATCATGTAGGGCTCTGTTGGCTGTTGAAAAGACTTGGCTCTTCCTCCAGGTGAAATAGGGAGCCATGCAGAGTGTTGATTAGGGGCTGCAATGGTCTGACCTATGTTTTTAAAGGATTACGCCTGCTGCAGTTTTGAAAATAAACTGTAGAGAGGCAAGCATGAAAAGATTCAGCCCAAGTCTCTTCCTTTTATTCCCTGCAAAAAGGAAGCAATTTAACAGTGTCATTTTGCATTTATATATGTATTTTTGAGTCTTATTAGGAAAAAATGTAACAGAGCATATCAAAGAGAAATCATTGAATTCTATGACTACAGGAAATCTTGATAAATAATTTATTTCACCTTGCTTCAATCAGATAGTATCCCCACAAACTAGATCAGACATACATGAATCTGCTTTATGTTAGAACACTTCTAGTAAAAAAATTTCACAGCTTCTTCTAATCCACACTCTCAAATCTCACAAATGTCTCTCAGAAATATCTTCCTCACATCAAATTAGAATTATTCGTTTTGTACGTTACAATTTATTGTTTCTTTTTTTTTTTAATTGGGAACTTAAAGCAAAGAGAACTAAATGTAGAATCAAAAATGCAGAATTTCTATCACATTGGATTCTAATCATACAGTGTAACCTTTGTCAAATGACTTTGTCTTTATGCATAAATTACGTAACAGATGCAGACTTTCCTTTAGCTCCTAGGAAGGAATGAACTCTTCAAGTCCGAGATATAATTAGAATCATTGTTGGTATTATTCTCTTCTCATTAGAAATGGAGAATTAATCCAATCCTTACTAGGATTTTAACTCAGCAAGATGGTGCATGTTGCCTATAGATATGAAATCTTCAGGGAGCATTAAGTCATTAATTCTGAGTCTGGGGAAAAAACACTCCCAATTCACCAAAATCTTTTAATCCAGATTTAGATTCATTCTTACTCCATTACAATGAATGACCTATAAGGAAAAAATTCTGACAATAATTTAAAAGTTTAACAGAACAGTTCAGTATTGTTAACATGGATTCCCTTGAAAAATATACTTCAGACACGAAAATACAGTGATCAAATTAGATATCTGATTGAGTGAAAATTAACAGAGGCCATTAAAAATTAAAAATCAAAAGCTCAGTTCCCCAATACAAACATTGTATGTTTGTGTATATAAAAACTTGTATATTTATTTTTGCGTTTTTATATATACAGAAATAAGTGCACTATAAGTGTGTGCATACATATAAAATATGTGTTTCTTTAAAAAAATTCCTTCATTTGGGACCATTCATTTTAAGGTGCAGAAAATACTCCCTTAATTTAAAAAATTTTCCTATTGTATGCTCTCCAATGTGAGAGAAGAGCAAATGGCAGAGATTACAGCCTTGACCATGACTACCCTCAGTGCTCTTAGACATATGTCACGCAGTCGACAATTCTGAGCCTTCACTCTCCCCTGAGTTCTGCTTTCAAAACTGAGGAGAGTACAAAAAAGCAACATGTCAGCAATAGCTAGCATTGTGCACAGCATAGAATCCATGTTTATTATTCCCAAAACTGAGTTATTCAGCTTCCCTCCTGCTTTCCCAAGGCTTGTTATTAAAATCATTCATTCTTGGCTCTGGCCTCAATTTTGGATTTATTGTCAATTACTCCTTCTGCCCTTTCAAACTCTTGCTGCGTATTGCAGATTCTGTTTTCAGAGATACCCAGTATTATTCCTTGCTCCATAGGCATTGACAATTTTCTGCCTCATTATTATTTTTACCTCATTATTATTATCACCAGCCAGGATTATCTCAATACCCGTTTAACCGATCCCATGCACGTGGCTTTCTCTCTGATTCACTTTCCATGCTGTTCCTATATTTATTTTCTTAAAGCTTTGCTTCCATAATTCGTTCATTGAATGTCACTAAACCATTGCCTGATGTCATGTACTGTGTTAGGTGTGGGTGATGATAAAGTAAATAAGACTTGGCCCTTTCACCTGTAGAAATTGCAATTAAGTTTGGCACAATGACATGTCATGAAATAATTGTAATACAGTATGATTGGTGAAACATTTTGAGCATGTAAAAAGTGCCATGATAAGGCAAGGAAGGAGGGATCAAGGCTAAGGTGAGAGGATTAGAAAAGTCTTCAGAGAGGAGAAGGCAATATGAAATCCGCATAGGGATAGATGCACTTGCACTAGGTAGACACTAGAGAAAAGCTAATTGTAAGCAGAAAGAACAATATTTACAGAGATATGGAGATATAAAATGTAGCAAGTTTGAAGATCTCTAATTTTTCCCAGGATTACTGGGGTTTAGGACGTGAGTTAAGAAAGGCAGGATTGACCAGAGAGTTTGGTCAGGGACTCCTCAAGGGTGGTTTTTTTCTGGGGAAAGCTGTGTAATTTGAACTTTACTCCATATTTCACAGATAATAAAGCTATGAGATAATATTTGGTTTTAGTGAGATGACTTTGGAAAGTGTTCTACTCATTTGCTGGATGGGTCAGGAACTAACAGCAGGGTAACCAGGTAGTTTAGTTCAAGAATCCAGGTAAGATATGATCAGGGCAGTCCAGGTAAGGGAAGCAACGACAGAAGATTGGGGAGAAAAAGCCTCATTCTAGAGTTGTAACATAGAGGAGGTTCTACTGGAATTGAGGGAGACGTCCTCTCTCTTTCTTTGTCTGGTCAAGATTCTGAATCCACTTTGATATGATCCATTATTTTGGCTCCCACATATGACTGAGAAGATGTGGTATTTGTCTTCTATGAATGGCTTATTTCACTTAACACAATGATCTCTAGTTCTATCTATGTTGCTACAAATCATAAGATTTCAGTCTTTTTTTGTGGCTGAATGACATCCTATTGTATGTATATAGCATATTTTTAAAAGTCTATTCATCCATTGATGGACAGAAGTTGATTCCATATCTTGGCTATTGTGAATAGTGCTGCAATTACCAGAGGCTAGGAAGGGTAGTGGGGAGAATGAATGAGGAGAATTTGGTTAATGGGGACCAAAACACCACTAGATAGAAGGAATAAATTCCAGGAGTTGATAGTATAGTAGAAAGACTATAGTGAACAATAATTTATTGTGTATCTCAAAATAGCTAGAAGATTTGGAATGTTCCCAATACAAAGAAAAGCAAATATGTGAAGTAATGGATATTCCAATTACCCTGATTTGATCATATTATACACATATCAAAACATCACTTGTACCTCCAAAAATATGTATAATTATTATATATCAATAAAAATATGAATTCAATCTTTTATGATTAATGCAACTTTTTTCTTTTTTGTTGTCTAGGATTGATCAGATTTAGCTCAAGTCATGATGTACTTCTGTATAAATGACATTTGCTCTTTTCCTAGAGTATATTGGTCTCATGTTTCCCCTAGGTTCGTGATATTTTTAGTTGGATTTTTCAGAGCCTTAAGATTAGTTAGAGTGCTCCAAGGGCTTTGCAGGAGGTGATTAGAAAGGTTGGGATGGAGACCAGGGGCAAAGTTTGGGTACTTTTATCCATACTTTAACAAAGCAAGCTCTTCTTTTATTTGCTTTATGTGTGAGGTTCCACATAAGATTTTGTTTTTAGAAAGCTGCTTAAATAACCCTTGCTTAAGGTGGTGAGCAGAACTTATGAAATTTCAGTGTTCATTGTGTGTACTGTTGTCAGACTTGGAGGAAGAGCCCAATTCATATCGTGCCAAGATGCAGATGGGCTAAGCCTTTGCACTGACCATGGAGAAATGCTATATGCCATATGACTGCAAGTCACATGAAAACAAGATTTCTGGGTCTAGTGCATAAAAAGGTCAAAAGTTACATTGAAAGGCATGCTCTTGCCAGTCTTTCAGGATAACACACTTGCCTCTTGTAATGAGGTGTATAATCTTAGGTTATTAGAAGCAAATTATGGAATGCTTCAAAAAATAATTTTTTACTTATATATGACTTGATCAAGATATCATTAAGACATCAGTAAAACCATCTTCCAATTAAAATTAAGTGAGGCAAATTATCTCTGTCCTTCCTACACAATTTGAAGCACCCAATGAGCCACAGCCACAGCTCATAAATAGAGCATTCAGATACTGATAACATATTAGGAAATATAACTGACTCAGGACCTGCAGACTCAATGTAAGAAATGAGGGAAAGAGAGGATGTTCAGGTGTTTCCTGACTTCCTGACTTGTGTATTTGAATGGATAACAGTGGTCTTTAACTAGGAGAATACACAGGAGAATGAGGAGCATAGAAGGCAAAATAAGGAGATTGTCTTTGAAACAAGTTAAGTTAGAACTGCAGATGTATGTCCAGGATGCAGTTACATAAACAAGATCACAGCTCTCCAGAATCTGGGAGGGCTATAGATCTGACAGCCATCAAATGACATTAGTGAAAATTAATGAAGTGGATGAAATTGTTGAGGAGGTATTTTTGAACAACAAAAGGCTAAGCAGAGAATGTCGAGTGGCCTCAAATTAACAGAGGATGGAGACAGAGAACTAAAACAGTGAAGAATAAACATTAGAGAAATAATAAGTACACAAAGAAAGAGTAGTTATCATTGAATGCACAGAAGGGGGCAGTTTCCAGAATAAGAAATGGGGATCAGTGATCAATGCTGCACAAGAGAACTGCTATAATTCTTGGTTGCTTCAACTGATCATAGATTCTTTAGTGTGGAATGGAAGGTCCTCCCAGGTGTTATTTCTAGTCCTCTTTCTCATAAATCTTGAGTGTTCTTCTAGGCCTGCACACACAAAATCTTTGTTCTGGCAGCAATTCTCTTTGCCCTTTATAGAACCTGTGTTGTGCTTTTCTCAAATTGCTTCTTATACCTGGATGCATATTTACACATTATCTTTGCCAGTTGTGCTTCTACTTATCTTTGAAGTTTGTGGTAATTTGATTATAAAAATGGACCCTTATCTATGCCCTTTACAATACAACTTTGAAGATCCTTCCTTCAAGAGGCTGAGTGCATTTCTCCAGCTCCTGAATCTGGGCTGGCTTCTTCATTTTCTCTGGCCAACAGAATGAGAAATGTGAAGTCCGCCAGCTCAAGACTAGGCTTCAAGTGGCCTTGAGATCCTTCTCTCTCGGAACCTGCCATGACTGGACAAAAAGCCCAGGATGGCCTGCTGGAAGATTATGCCGAGAAAAGCCAAGATCATTATAGGCCAGCTAACAGCAGTGCTATCTCCAAATACATAAAAATGCTCAAAGATCAGCAAAGCTGCCTGCCTAACCTGAAGCTGGCCATGGACACATGAATAATTTAAAGAGAGTCCAGAAGACCTATTAGCTTGCTCTTCGATTCATGAGCAATAATAATGGCTATTATTGATACTTCAGGCTACTATGTTTTAATGTGGCTTGTTTTGCAGCCACATTAAATAGCTAACTGACACAATGTGCCAGCTCATACCTCCTCACTTCCATGAAACCTGCCTTGATAAATCTTGTTAGAAACAAAATGAAAACAAAGTAGTTTCTTTCCTTTTGTACAGGTGAGTGGCCTGAGATGAGGTGACAGAGGAAGACAGAACCCAGAACATGCAGGACTTAATAGGCCTTATTAACGATTTTAGAATTTAACATTCTCAAATATTCCAAATTTTTTTCTCACTTGGATTAAAAAACAAAATCCACAAACCAATAGCAACAACATTGTAGTTATGTTAAAAATTCTTGAATCTTGAGACAACTGGAAATCTACTTGAAAATATTCAAGAATCCTCCATTTCCTTTAACTCAGGCAAGTCCACCCAGATGGCAGCCACCCTAGCGCTCAGCCTCAACATCCCCCGCTCTGCTTGTTGTCTAAGCCGTACAGTTGGAACAGCGTCAGGATCAGACACGGTGGAATGTCCCCGCATCTCTCCTCTTTCTCGGGTTACCTTCTAGAGCACAGGCATTTAAGATCCTCCAAGCTTTCTTTCAGTGCACCTCTCTACAATAACACCTGCTTCAGGGCTGAAAGCACTTCTACAATGTAGGAGATAATGGGTAATGCAAGATAAAGAAGGCCAGCTGCTACTTAGCTTCAAGAACTTCTCATAAGACAAACACTGAACTACGTACTTGAAACTGTGAAAAACTCTAAAATACGTGAATGTTTTTAATGGCCTCTGAGAGTCGGACAACTTGATCCCGTGTTTTAGATGGCAGGGATTATAGCCCTGATACGAACCTGCATTATATTAGGGGAACAAATCGTTGTTTTCATAATTTATTCCTTGGCTTCTGCTCAGGATCTAAAGTATCAGGGCACATAATGGAAATTGGTAAGGAAGTTACCATCCGCAGTGTCTCCTTCCACCTGTGCTGGAAGCAATGAGAATGACAATTGCTCTTGCATCCTTCCCTTGTAGATACTGCGCGGTGAAGCTCATGACTTTACACTTTCCCAGAGGTTAGCTTATTCAGAAAATCTCAAGCTGGTGCCTCATCAGTGGACCGTTTTGCTCATGTGGCATGTGTGCAGCTGTCAGGGAAAACCTTAACAGCTCTGCAAATTGAGAAGCTGGCTGGGAGTGCCTCTGTCACAGGATTCCAGCTCCCACTTACCCAGCCTCTGGACAACCGTCTACTCTTCAGTGCTGCCAGCCAGACTGACTGAGGCAGAGACAGAAACTTCCACGGAGGCGCTAATGCTGAATACTCCATGCTTTCCAGTGACGAATTTGGAAAACTTCCCAGATTGTACATCTGCCGTAGCATAGTAGCGTGTACTTCCGAGAATAAAGCTTTCAAGGGAGACAGTGAGAACAATCACATGTATTCACAGAGGGAGGGTGATATTTCTTCCTTTTTTCAAGGACAAGTGCCTGCCTCGTTACCCTCTGGCCCTGGCATGGTAGCTGCTGAGGAAGGTGTGTAGTCAGGACTGGTCCAGGGGCACGGGGCCCCGTTGTAAGAAGCCCTGTAATTGGTGCATGGCCCGGTTGGGAGAAACCTCATGATGGTGCATGGCATTTCTGGGTGAGGCGCTATGATTGGTGCACAGCCCTGCTGGGAAAAACTCCGGGACTGGTGCCTGAGACCCTGGGAAACACCCTGTGATTAGTGCGCAGTCCCACTGGCTCTTCTGAAGCAAGCTAATTCAGATGGGTGGGGTGGGTCAAGAACGGAGCCGAACTTAAAGACACTCAGTAAGGTGAAGGAGTCTTCTTTCCCTCTTACCTCCTTTCCTTAACATGTGCAATTTTATTTATTTATTTATTTATTTATTTATTTATTTATTTATTTATTTTCAGTGCGGTGGCCAAGGAGCCCAATGCCAGTGAACTTCCCTTGGTACAGCTGAGGAAACTGAGATATGATGTAATTTTTCTCAGGGCTCGTTCAGGTCCAACTGAGACTTTGTCAATTTCTTTATTGGGAAACTCATCTGACTCGATGATTGAATCTCAAAATTAATATTCAAATTTATTGAATTCCAGGGTCAAAGAGATAAAGAAGAGGAAATTCAGATAAGGGGATAGGAATTCTGGGCTAAGTAGGATTTTCTGAACATTCTTTAAAATGCGTTCTTCTAACATAAAGGCACAGTGAACTCCAAGGAGATTTATTTTACAAAGAAAGGGAAAGAGTATTTTGGGAACAAGCACATCATCTACTGAGGTTTTAAAACCTGATACATCAGTACAACTTTGGTTGTTAAATGTATATTAATGGGGTAAAGAGTGCAAATTCATTGTTTGGGAGCTTCTGATGGGGTCAATTCCAGGCCTGAAATGCAAAATGTACAAGTAATCTCCAAGTGCAAATTCTTCTTAAAACCAGAAGAAAATGAACAATGTGAGATAAAATCAGACTGATGGCTTAAATACTGAAGTGTGCAGAAGGAGGGAGAGACCTGGTCTCTGGGGGCTGTGTTCTGTGAGCAGGAGCCTAGGGCAGCTAGACAGAGTAAGCATGAGACTATAGGTACTTAGTGCAGATGTCTCCTTATAAAGGATGATACCCAAGCACTTTTTGTTGCATCACAACAGCAGTAGGTCTAGTGATGAGGAGAAACTTAGAAACTCAATCTAGATATAATGAATTTTAAAAATAAGTTTCCAAAAGGAAATAAATTGTAGTTTCTCTTAAAACTTATTTTCCTTCTCAACATTGAAGAAGAAAATATAATAGCAAATAAAAATTAGCACGTAGAATGGGCAAACTATAAAAGTAATATACATACTTACAGTTGTTATTGTATACATGGAAAGAGACAGAAATAACATGAAGAACTTAAAATAATATAAATTCTTTATTAAGTTTAAAGTTAACATAAAAAAGGATTTTTCAACATTCCACATTGTAATAGGAAACATTAAGCCATCAAATAACCATGCTATCTGAAGAATAGATAAAGACTTTGGAGTGTTTATTCTTGATATAAAAAGACTCTGTAAGGGGAGAGAATACGTTATGGTTTTGTGTGTGTGTGTGTGTGTGTGTGTGTGTGTCTGTCTGTCTGTCTGTCTGTGTCTATGTGTGAGATTGAAAATAGATGTTTTTAATGTTTCCTGTTGCATGTGCTCTCTTTATACTAAGTAGAATTTTTACTTGACAGAACTTCTCACATTAGTAATTCAATGTTTATACTGGATACACTATCTTTCCTTACGCCAAGGTATAAATTTGTTTTATTCTCTGCTATACTACCAGGGTTTATTCCAGGATTTGGAATAAGATAAATGGTCAATCAATATTGTATGAATAAATGAATGAATGAGTTTGGACTGTTACTGGATGTTTTAAGGTGCACAGATTTAATGTTTAGCAAACATCTACTACAACAAACAGTATACCAGGTATTTATGTATATTTATTTCACTTAATCTTCCCAATAATTTTGAAAGATAGGTATCATCTGCTCCATTTTGTAGATAAAGAAACTGAAGCTTCTAGAGACTATCTGAACCATCTCTGGCTGTTTAGATCCAAGGCCAATATTATTCCCGTCAGCTTCTGTTACCCATAATGGAAACAGATGCTTACTCAATATAAGAATGAACTTTCTAAGAAGTCTAATGATTCTTGAAGGAATGCACTCTCTTATGAGGAACTGAATTATTTGTCACTGAAATTATGGAATCTGTTTGACCATCTGTCAGGAACATATAACAGAGAAGATAGGAAAAGAGGTTGAATTTGGAAACTTCTAATGTTCCTCCCAACTCTAAAACTTTAATTTACTGTCTAGCCATATGCTGAAGTGGCAGAATAATATGGTTCTTCCTCTCTTGGTAGTTTCCCCTTTTTCTTTTCCTTTTAAAGCAGATGTTTGCTATTGTGCTTGTTGCCCCAGGAGAAGAATCTACAGAACAGCAATCAGAGAAAGCTTGCTATCTTTTGGCTTTCCAATCCAAAAGCCTAAACCTTCAAGGGAAGTTGAAAGCTTAGGGACACAGACAAAATATTTGAGAGAAAGATCAAAAAAGAGAGCAGGGGTTTCTGACAAATTTGAAAACGATAATGTTGACTGGTGAATTAGAATTAGATGAATGAAATATGGAAAATTAATGGCCAGCAGAGTGCTTTTGATGCTTCAGAGAAAGGAGTGCTTTTACACTCATTTTTGGGTAGAGCCATGTGGAAGTAGAACTGTTTCAGAAAGAGGGGTTGGAGGGCTTGGGAATACAAGAGAACACATCTGTTTTCAGGTAAAATCCTGAGTAGATAGAAGGACCCAGCAAAACATTGTCTGGAAGGATTATCTAGGCAGACACAGTCAAAGATAGCATCAGATTACTCAAGGATGAAAGGGACAATCCCCACTCAGGCAACTTGGCTCCTCAGGACACTCCCAAACTTGGACACAACGCTGGGAGAAAGAGCAGTCCCTGAAGGGACGAGAATAGTGTAATAGGGGACTTGAAGATTTGTTCTGAAGCCTGAAGACTAACCAAATAACAGATTGAACATTTCATTTTTAACTCTTCACATTCCTGTGTTTTCCTTCTGTTTTTTGCTGGTTGAAATGAAAACACACATATTCCTCTAATGAGAAAAGTTTAATTTGTGTCCTGAACAATTCAAATGTGATCATGTGATGGAGTTTGCACTTTAAATTGGTTAATAATTAGAAAATTTATGTAAAATGCACTCAGTAAAAACTGATGTGCTCTTCCTCTTCCTTTTCATAATCATTATTATCATAGGAAACTTTATGCTTATGTTGCCTTATGTAATTATATTGTTTGATACAAGTAAATTAGAGCTCTTCACTGATTAAATTGCATTTGTTACCTTCCTATTCTAAATATCTGTTAGCCTTGGGTAAACACCAATCCTGTCATACAGATGACATCTCTAAGGGATCTTGCAGTTTTTGTGCTAAGTAATTAACCCATATGCATGTGGTTGTTTACTTAATATATTTATAATGTTCTTTGTGTACAGGGAGATATAAGGCACAAGAAGTAATGGGTATGTGTTTATTAAAGTATAGTTATTGAAAATGGATGTTAGTTTTTAGTTTGAAGTAAGATGTAATTGAGTTGAGAGTGTTGTGGGCAATAAAAAGATGGACTCGAAATGAAAAAAGTGGGATTAACTTGCTTATTTTGAGAGACTGTCTTCATCTATTTTCCATTAATTATTCTAGTGTTAAATGTTTAAAAAAAACCCTAGATTTGGAATCTTATATTAAATTACACCCTTCTGTTTCCCCCAGAAGGTAATGGTTTGCTGCAGTAAGAGTAGTGGTGAAGAGTATCTCTCTACCCCTTTCTCTAAAAACACTTTTTTTTCTGCAGGCTGTACAGAGATTGTCACACTGGGCAGAGTCCTTTGTGAAGCAGACACCAAAAATGCAAGAGAATAAATTGGGAAAATGGGTGAAAGATAAGGCACAGGAGAGTAGGAATAGGCAGGGAGAGTTTTCAGTACGCAATATAGGTCTGACACCTTGGACAGGAGAGAAGGAAGGAGGAGAGTTGGGTTTGAAGGGTTTGGATCACCTTGTACCTCTGAACAAAGACCGATGCAAGATGGTCTGCTAAAGGAAGACCTCATTAGGCAGAAATAGTCTGGTTTGTGCCCTTGCTGTGATCAGTGATTTGCTAGGAGCAGACTGGGGAGAACGTGGCCTTGGAGAGTAAGCCGTGATAGGTCCTGAAGGACTGGTAGCTGCAGGCTGTCAACTAACTGACTTCTTCAATGCAGATTTCTCTCGAAAGGAGATCTGAATGGCATCTGACCATGGCTTCCATAATCACCATTATTTAATTTAAAAAAATGTAACTAATTATTAAAACTTTATGGATACAGATATAGAGTCAGTTCATGAGGAAAGCTTTGGAGAGAGAAAACAGGAAGGGGATGGGATTAGACATATAGACAAGAAATACTTGACCTAAATTATCTGCCAATTATCTGAGAACACTTTATCCAAAAGACTTAATAGTTGCGCAGTCAGAATGAGTCATTTTTCCACACCATACTTGCTAGAGAAACTTAACTGTTCATATGTACACTTTTGCAGGTAACTTCTTTTATATGGATTCTATTAACATCCCAATTAAACCTCTTGGGGCAAGTATTTGAATGCCACTGTGACTATCCGTAGCAATGAAGCTTAGACAAAAATAAAATTCCCTACTTGACTAAAAGAATAAGCAAAGAAGAATTAATTTTCCTGAACTTGCTTTGTTAAAAGGAAAGAATAAGGGAAGTCCTCGTGATTTATTTAAAATGATTGTTATTGATTACTTTTCCAACATGAATGAACCAAGCAAGTGGTTCAGAAGTAAAAAATTATAGCTTATTAGAATCACTTTCCTCAGTTGTGAGGAATACACAGATAGTAAAACTGAATAAAAGGGAGGATAGTTTACAAATCAGTGACTGAAAATGAGGACTGAACCCTTTTAACATCATTTTTTTCTAAACCAAGTGACATAATAATAGAGACCAATCAGAAGATCTCACCCAAGTTCCAGTCTTCTTGAATCCAGTTTGATCCCTTGAGCTCTGGTAAGTTTAAACTATATATTCCCCAGAGAAAATATGAAAACCCTTTCCTACCTGCTATTTTGTCATGAATCTCGCCAATGTTAACCTAAGCCTTCTTGGGCAGAAAACCATTGCTGCAGGTAAGAGCCTGTACAACAACTTGGCAACACTGTCTTCTGGAGCATTTGAACATGGGATGTTATGTGTACAGCAGGCTCTTGCCTTCCTGACTATGCGAGTCTCTTAGGACTTCCATAACAAATACCACAGACTCAGGGGCTTAAACAACAGAAACTTATCTTCTCACTATTTTGGAGGCTAGAAGTCCAAAATCAAGGAGTAGACAGGGCTAGTTTCTTCTGAGGAACTCTCAACTTGTCTTGTAGCTGGCCATCTTCTTCTGCTGTCTTCATATGGTCTTCCTTCTGCACATGTCTGTGTCATAATCTCCTTTTCTCATAAGGGCATCAATCATGGTGGATTAGGGCCCACCCCAATGACCTCATTCTAACTTAATTACCTATTTAAAGATATTGTCTCTAAATACAGTCAAATTCTGAACTACTGGAGATTAGGGCTTCAACATAGTAGTTTTGGGGCTACAAAATTCAGCCCATAACCCTAATTTATATCTGAGAACAGAGGTGTTAGGTAGACCTATATTCTTCTCTCATAGATCTGACAGCTTTGAGCCAGCTATGCCCCATCCGGTTTTGCAGAGAAGTACTGTCTCAGCAGCATGGCTTTACATCCTTCTCGTCCCAATATTCTCACTCCCCATACACACTCAGACTAACAAGGTGACATGGAAAGGGAAGAGATACCGCTTTGTCAGGAGAACAGACTTTGTTAGGGTGTGGAAGGGAGCACTTTATTTTTCCAAATCTAAGAAAGGAAAACCTGAAAAGAATAACTCATTAGAGTTAGATGTGCCTATAAGAAGAGGAAATTGACACTTCTTCCCTAGCTGGACATCTGCATTGACACCAGAATTTCTGTGCTGGTGGAGTAGGGAATGAAAACACTGGGGAGAGATGGCATGGTGGCTTCTGCCAGGCCAAGGTGAGTCTCACACAACCTTCAACTTGAATATTCTTGGGTTTCCAGTTTCTAATATGTAAGGTGGAGTCTGAACAGGCCTGTGGACCTCAAGTTGATAGTGGATGTCTGATGAGATTGTTGGCTGCAGTCTGTATTTGAGAGGAATGCAAGGTAAGGTTGTAGTGGGAGTTGGGCAGAAGATGTGGCTAAATCTCACATGGAAGCACTAATACTGGGGAGACTAGCTAAGAATGAGCCTTGACTAGTTGACAATACCCCATCCATCTTTGTCAAACCATGCACCAGCCAGGTCAACAGCGAGACCATCCAGACAGGAACTGCCTCCTCATTCAGGGAGGCCTCCTAGAGCTGCTTTACTTCATCTCTTTCATTTTTGCCAATATGTGGGCAATACATGTGAGGGAAAAGCTTGTGAGAGCCAGACCAAATCCCCTTTCATTCCATCTTCTCAGGGTGGGGCAGAAGGAGAGAGGGGTTATGAAATGCTTATGAGATTCTGGGTTTTAAGAACTCTAAGTGACTGTTTTAATAAATGAATGAAAGTCAAGATTATAGCTATGATTCTATTATTGAAGCTCACCCAGCAAGTGTGAAAGGTGAGATTCAACAGAGTACTTTGGGGCACTTACTGACAAATAATAACATAGTTTTATTTTTATACCCTAACACATTATGATTTCTCAATAAACTAGCTACTCCTTGCACATAAAGAGCTAATAATATCTCATTTCCTGCTGCATGAGAATTTGACCTTTGGTAACTCCTTAGTATTGTTTTCCTGGTAACTTGATAAAGACATGTACCAACTGCATTGTGAAGCAACAGCGAGTATCATTAAAAACTGACCCATAGTGGCCAGGCGTGGTGGCTCATGCCTATAATCTCAGCACTTTGGGAGGCCGAGGTGGGCGGATCACGAGGTCAGGAGATCAAGACCATCCTGGTTAACACGGTGAAACCCCGTTTCTACTAAAAATACAACAAAATTAGCCGGGCATGGTGGCAGGCACCTGTAGTCCCAGCTACTCAGGATGCTGGGGAAGGAGAATGGCATGAACCCAGGAGGTGGAGCTTGCAGTGAGCAGAGATCGTTCCACTGCACTCCAGCCTGGGCAACAGAGCTAGACTCTGTCTCAAAAAACAAACAAACAAACAAACAAAAAAACAAACAAACAAAACCTGACACATAATTGGCAAATTACTACTTGGAAATTATAAATTGGATCAGGTGCTGAGCAGGGCCCTAGAACTTCCAAGAAAATATGGCTTTTGTCTTTAGCTACCAGGGTGGGTAGAGAAAGACCATCAGGTTGGGGCAGAGTTAGGTGTGTCTGAGCTCAGATTCTCCTTGGGTAGGGCTTGCTGCAGCTGCTTTGAGGGATGGGGGTGTGGTTCCCAGGTCAATGGAGTTATGTTCCCAGGAAGATTATGGCTGCCTCTGCTGTGTAATGCAGGTTGCCAGGGAAGTGGGGGAAAGCTGGCAGTTACAGGCATCACCCCACTCCCATGCAACTTAAAAGGCCAGTCTCACTCCCATATTGCACTCCCCACCCTCCACCTCAAAAGCATCTAGTTCGTTTCCAGGCAGTGGGCGAGCAGCACCCCAGGCTACCAGCCTCCTGACTGAGAAAGCAAGCAGAGCTTTCAGGTTTCATGCCTCCCCACCTGCCCACATCTGCACTTTGTATTCAACCCCTCCCCCACGTTCTGTCCAAGAAACTGTGCAATCGTTTGGAATTGTTACAGAGTTCAGCTGGAGGCTTCCTTCTTCCTGTGGTCTTTTCCCAGTTCCCCTGGCAGCCCTCCCCAAGGACCCCTGTGAGACCAGAAATGGCTTCCCTGGGGACTGAGAGAGCCCACAGAGCTCTTCCTGCTGCTTCCTCTACTCCTGTATTTTGCTTGGCTCTCTGAATTATCTCATCTCCAGGTAAGGTCAAGTCCTTCCTGTAATCTGGATCTTTAGGTTTCCCAGTGAGGGTGTGTGTTCAAGGGGGAACGATCCCCTTTTCCTACTTCCACACTTTGGACACTCACAGTATTTGGGCTGTCTCTCCGGGTCCAGGAGCAATCTGCTTCCTTCAAAGGGTTGGTGGATTCTCTTGGCTTTCCTGGTATGTTCCTGCAGTAGTTCTTGGAGCAAAAGTTCATGATGTGTCTCCACATGCTACTCTGTCCCTCCGAGTAGGAGCTGCAATTTAGTCCTGCTTCCTATCCACCATTTTCCTACTTTCTATCTCTTTAAAAACCTGGTTTCTTCTTTCCTCATTTGAAACTCCTAATTTGTCTAAGAAAGCAGATGCTTCAAAGGCAGCCTGCCTCTGAGAGCAGTTTTGAGCCTGATTCTTATAATCCTAATTTTAAAGACCAAGATAAGTTTAAATAATTACTCAAGATTATACATTTATAAAGCGGCATGACCAATATTCAAGTATGTTATCTGGGAGTATATATAAAGTCATATTCTAATGACATAGAAGATCATTAGAATGATTTTCCCTTTAGTGATTTATATACATAAACTTATTTATTAAACAAATACATAAAAATAACATGATTTTCTAACACTCTGTTTTGAAAGTCCATCTCCCCTGCCTTCAACCCACTTAATCACTTTGAATCAAAAAGAAGATAAATGGCCACACGGTCTGGTTTTTCTTATACCACTCCAGAATAGTTTTACTGGTAAACCACAATCTGAAAAAATAAGGAAATTAAATTTGAAAGCCTATGTTTTTGAGAATAAAAGAAAAATTAACTGAGTATCAACTCTATGTCTAGAACTCCCTAGAAAAGACTAAGAATCTCAAAGGTAGACTAAATCCATGAAATGAATATTTTTTCTTTAGGAAGGGAAAGGGAATGTGAAAGTTCATTTACTATAACCTCTCATTCAATAATCTCAAAGTTCTTTCCAAAATACATCTAGTCTAAGGCATCATTTAATAACACTGCAGTTACAAACACAATTTCTAAAGCATTATTAGCATTTTATCCACTTTTTAAATGGATATTCAGAGCAAGTACAGATTATTGAGACAGGATTGGCACTGAGTATCTTGAATGGTTGCTCTAATCAAGTGGGACGATTCAGGTGTGGTATGGCATGATTCAACATCAAGGGGCTAAATAGTCACCAGAATTGCTGTTCTCCCTTATTGAAATAATTCTAATTTTAATTTCATATTACAAAAGTTTATGTTCAGTTGCTACTGTCTCATAAAAGTATAGGAAGGAAATCTCAAAAATATATATGAGGTTGCTCGATTCACTAAAAACAATTACTTATCTTTATAACTTTCCTGTACAATACCAATTGCTATAATTGGAAGCAAAATTGGTTACAATTAAATAAAAATCAGCAAGGAAAATTTATATAACTGAGTGGATAATTATTTTTCAAAATGATTTAGTATAAAAGTTTGGTGAAGCATTTTTGTAAAGAGACATTAAAGTGCACACACACACACACACACCAGCCTTCAAATCACGCATTACATTTTTCTTTACTGAATTTTAGGGCAGAAGACATTAGAAAATCCTATCATATAATGTAAGGGTTCTACAGAGTATGTCCAAAGAAATAATGAAGTCACTTTTGTCCCATTTCTGATAACAGCATAATACTAAATTTCCCAGTATCTTGACATTTTAATATTTTAAACAGGGAAACAAAGTAAAAGAGAGACTAATAGACAAAATCCTTTTTAAGTCATGAATGGGTCAATTATAAGATGTCTTTTACTATCTATATTAGTTTTCTATGCCTGCTATAACAACTGACATAATTTCAATGGTTTAAAACAACACAAATTTACTATCTCACAGCTCTGCAGGTAGGAAAACAGATGGTTTTGGCTGGAATTGTGCTTAGAGTTCCACAAATCTAAAATCAACATGTCAGCAGGGCTGTGTTTTTCTCCTGGAGGCTTTGAGAAGAATCCACCTCCAGGCTCATTTCGTTTAGTGCTACAATTCAGTTCCAAGTGCTTGTAGGACTGAGTTCCAAGTTTCCTTGCTGACTGTTAGCCCGGGGTTACTCTAAGCTTCTAGAGGCTTTTGCATTCCCTGGTTCTAGGTCTTCTTCACCTTCAGAGTCAGCAATGATGGGTCAAGTCCCTCTCATGCTTTCAATCTATCTGACCTCCCCTTCAACTGCATCTTGCCAATCTCTCCTCCCAGCTGAAGACATTCTCTGCTTTTAAAGGATCATGTGACTATTAGATAAAGCTCACCTAGATAATCCAGGATTATTATTTAAGGTCCCTGAACTTTATTATACCTGCGAAGTTATTTTTTGCCATGTGATATTGCTTGAATCTGTGTCCCCACCCCAAATATCATGTTGAATTGTAATCCCCAGTGTTGGAGGTAGGGCCTGGTGGGAGGTGATTAGATCATGAGGTTTTTCTCATGAATGGTTTAACACCACCCCTGCTATTCTCATGATAGTGAATGAGTTCTCATGAGATCTGGTTGTTTAAAAGTGTGTAGCACCTCCTTGCTCTCTCTCTTTCCCTTCTGCTCTGGCCATGTAAGATGTGTCTGCTTCCCCTTCACCTTCTGTCATGATTCCAAATTTCCTGACACCTCCCCAGAAGCAGAAGCTGCTATGCTTCCTGTACAACCTATGGAACCATGAGCCAATTAAATCCCTTTTCTTTATAAATACCTAGTCTCAGATATTTATTTATAGCAGTTCGAGAATGGACTAATACACCATTCAAGGCAACATGTTCACAAGTCCCAAATATTAGGATGAGGTCATCTTTGGAGGATCCATCTACTTACTGTGCTGCAAAGAGTTGGCCATTTTTCTGTCCTATTGTCTCTCACGTCTGCTAGATGCACCCTTTCACCTCCCACTACAAACTCTGGATGTGTCCCCTAGGCTTTGCTTACTTCTGTATGGGAAGCATATGATGATTCTTGTCAGAAATGGCCTCAGTTTCCAAGGTTCCCATTTTTAGTGAATCCTCAAATCTACTCTTCTGCCATTTTGTGCTGCCCCTTTAATTCTGACAAATGACCTCTTTGCTGCTATTAGTCTGGATATTGGAATATATGATTTTCTCTGTTCTCAACCTGTCTGGGTTGAACAGCATGGCTTTCAAACTTGTCAGTCCCAATCTGGGATCTCTAATTATCTCTTTCTGGAAGGTCTCTGGTTCTGGCCTGTTACTCATCCTTTACCACAAGGCACTGTTGCTCCTTTTTTCATATATCTTAAGAGCTACCACTTGGTATGGAATGTTACAAAAATGTCCTGTTTGTGTTCCAGCCTTATTCACTAGATACATGACACATTTATTAGCTAAATTAGTATTCATGTGTTATGTGATAAATCACAACACTAACTCAAAATAATGTTTTCAACAATCTATATACCTAGGTTAATAGAAAAAAATTTATATAGCATGGATTAACTATTTTCTAGATATTTTTGATAAATTATTCAATGATAATATATAATACATCATTATATTATATTATCAATATAATATGATATATTATCAATGTAATGATATAATATAATGATGTTATATTATCAATATAACATCAATATATAATAATGATGGTACTAATATGTTTGAAATGACTGGCCTATAAAATATTCATCTTGGTGACTTGGGCCATTTTAATTAATGAACTTTATTAATATTGTAATGATCTAAGAAGCTATTCGATAGTTGGTTATTATGCAACCAGTAAGAGTGGGAGAGAACAAAATGTCAGTATTGGGTGGAATTGAGCAGCCCGTATCAAATCTCTTACTCATCTATTTCGAAGATTGCATGATATCATAAGCTCAATCTACAGTTTTTTAAAAATGTCTACCCAGTGTAATTCACTGCAGCACAAATAAGGCAGAAGTAGATTCTTCCTTCAAGTTTCTTACAGCCTATTAGAGAAGGTAACTGATACCTCAGTGCCTATAATTCAAGGTAGAAAGTGATAAACATCTTAGCAAAGGCACAGAAGAAGCATTAAAGGAAATGAGAAGAGAAAAATGACTCCACTATCTGCCTATTTTAGGGTCCCTAACCTTTATTACATCTGCAAAGTCTTTTTAGCCACTCAAAATAACATATTCACAGCTCCCAAAGATTATGGTGTGGTCATCAGTGAGGGACCTAGTCTAGGGTAGACACTTCAGAAATATTACTGAGTGTGTTAAGCTTTCTCACTGAATTTGAATCTTGGTATGTTTGGACTCAGAAAGGGAGTAAAACTAGCAATCGAGTCAAATAAAGAAATGCAAACCACAACAGAGACCAGCCTAGCTAGACCAGGGGATAGGGGGACATACTATCTTGTAGTTAGGCCCAATGTTAGGGGTACATCTTCAAGTGTAGCACCATGGCCTAAGGAGGAGTCCTAGACATCAGAGATGCACAGGTGGGTCATTCTACCAGGTAAATCACCTAGAAGAGCGGAAGTGAGAGGATTTAAGATTGGCATATAATTAGCTTTTGGTGTGACCTCAGAATCAGTGCAGCCATGGAGCCTGCCGCTTACCTCACTGACCTTCCTTTTATGAGTTACCCCAGGAAATGAGCCCATCCAGCATCCTGGAGCTGGTTCCATATTAGGTGAACATATTAGATGATTCAAGTGGACCCTGAGGACACAGGGGACTACAGTGCATGCTGCAATGAGCCTCCCATGGCCTTGTCATGATCAAAGCACTCTTGCTATCTCTACTGCACCACATAGCTCTCAATGGGGTCCTTTTCCAAGAATTGCCCTCTGTGGAAGAAAGTAGTGTATCCCTGAGTTATGCCCCCTTCTCACATCCAATACTCTATAAGAGAGTGCAAAGGCCCAGCATCCTTGCCTTGATGAATTACTCTGAAGGTTAATGCCAGCTGAAGAGTTCACCGAGGATGGCACAAGGTATTATCTACTGTGAATCATAGGTTGGTACAAAAGTAATTGTTGTTTTTGCCAACCTGATATATCACCGCTCAGATCTCTGCTAACCCTGCGTCCCTACCTTCCTTACAGGTGCTATTTCTGAGAACGCACCTCAGTAGTCCTCCAGACAATGTCCATTTCAGAGTCTATTTCCTGGGAAATCAGACCGATTGAATATTTAAAAAATTCAAAACAAACCAAAAAATATACAAGACCCCAGCACTTATGCATCATACTTAAAAATTTCTATATTGGGCCGGTGCAGTGGCTCACGTCTGTAATCCCAGCACTTTGGGAGGCTGCAGTGGGAGGATCGCTTGAGACCAGGAATTTGAGACCAGCCTGGGCAATATGACAAGATTCTGTCTCTAGAAGAAATGTTAAAAAAAAATTAGCTTGGCATGGTGATGCACACCTGTCATGCCAGTTACTCAGGAGCCAGAGGTAAGAGGATCACTGGAGCCTGGAAATCGGAGGCTACAGTGAGCCATGTTCATGCCACTGCATGCAAGCCTGGGTGACAGAGCAAGACCCTTTCTCAAAAAAAAAAAAAAAAAGACTGTTATTAATATACTACACCACAGTTGGGTTATGGATACATAAACCTCATATAACTTAACCACAAAGTTAGAGATATTTTTAGTTTTTAAACCTTTGGTAATTTAATTTGACCCATAAGATAGTATACTTTGTTTTTGTTTTTAAGACGGAGTCTTGCTCTGTCGCGGAGGCTGGAGTGCAGTGGTGCAATCTCCGCTCACTGCGAGCTCCGCCTCCCACGTTCACGCCATTCTACTGCCTCAGCCTGCCGAGTAGCTGGGACTACAGGCACCCACCACCATACCCAGCTAATTTTTTTGTATTTTTAGTAGAGACGGGGTTTCACCGTGTTAGCCAGGATGGTCTCGACCTCCTAACCTCGTGATCCACCTGCCTCGGCCTCCCAAAGTGCTGGGATTACAGGCATGAGCCACTGCACCTGGCCGATAGTATACTTTCAATATCTGTCCTGTTCTAAGCTAACAGGTGTGTTCTTTGGAGTCAGACAGATCTGGGTATAAATTTCTGTCTTTCCACTTGCTAACTATGTATCTTGGCACAAGTTACTTACTCTCTCTGAGCTTCTGTAAGGTGAGGATCAATGTTACCTAGCTACCTCATAAGATTTTTGTGAACATTAAATGAAATATCCTTCCTGCAGAAATCTAGCTCATTGCCTATCATGTAAGAGGCAATTTTTGAATGTTATGGAAAAGCTGCTCTTTTGCTTATAATCTTCTTCAGAGAATAATTGGAACAGAATAGCAGGGAATGTATTGTTTGTGGGTGGGTATTTTAAATAAATATAAAGGATAATAGAGAAAACAATGTCAAATAAATCCCCTTTTCTAATTTAAAAGCAAACTCAAAATAACAAGGTCCATACTAGAAGGCATGGTTGGCCTGGCTGTGGTCTATCTATGATGGCAGGTAGATTTGATGAGCCTGAGATGACATGTCCACCTGCTTTTATAAGGAACTTCCTATGAGGTGAGTGTCACCTCCTCTGCCACCAGCATGCCATTGCCTGGTGGTCCTGAAAGTGTACCTTGCAGCTGTCAGTGAGCAAGAGAGGGGAACAATAGCTGCTGGTTCAGGTGTTCTTCCTTCCCAGCCCACACTGGAATCTTAGAGTCCCCAGCCCTCAAAGCCCAGCATGGAATTTCCACAGGTGTCTGGCATACCACTGGTGTGGGTGGTTTAAATATGGTTGCCCTACTCTTGCTACTTTCCATCACCTGCATAAATCAGGCCACCATAAAGTTTGGATGAATTTCTCAAGCTTTAGTCAGAAGAAAAATGCATATACTCTGTCTAAATAGAAGGCCATAAGAAAAAGCATTAACTTTGATTTGCAATAAATTATTCAATTATTTTTGTGAATACCTATCATAGTGATTTATAAATATGGGTGTATAGATCATGAATAAAGGAGCATAAATCAGTGATATTTGGCAATGTAATTGAATTGACACAGGATAAAGGTCTTGCTACGGTGGGAAAAAATCACTTCTAATTTTTACATCACTTTGCAGTCTACAAAGCTCTTTGGCATATATTAATGCATGTAATAATCCTTTAAGATAGGTAGGTTACATATTCATAACCTCATTTCGCAGAGGGTCATACTGAAACTCCAAAATATTAACATGAAAAATATAATTAACTTCCATGCTCCCAGACAAAAGCTGAGCAAAGACTACACTGTTCCTCAGCACTTGAAGGAAGCCTGTGCAGACGCTTCATGTGGACGCCTGTGTGTCTTACAATTTAGTCTAAGATTTGGGGAGGAGAATGTTGACTGAAGAACTGGATGCCAGACCTGTCCCCCACTTTAATTATCCTTACGTGGCGGTTTTGTGATTGGCGCAGCAGAGCAAGACCATCTGTTCTTCTCTGTAAAGTAGGTAACAATTTTAAAGGATTTTCACAATCCTAATGCCTCTTCCCTTCCGGCTAGTCTCTCATTGGAATATCTTCTACAACTGAGCTCACTCCCCATTTACAGAGATTTGCTGGGCATCCCTGCCTGATTGTCCACCTGGTACTAGCTGATCATGTCCAATCAAAATCTACCCCTCCACATGTTAAGCAAATTTATAGCCAGGCACCAGAAACTTTTAATTGCAATTAAGTAGTTAATTATTCACTTCCTTGCCATTTATTACGTTTAGTGTTTCTAACAACAGTGATACCATTCTCTCGCCCCCATCCCCAAGCAGGATACCTGCAATCATTCATTTAATTAATGCAAATTGTGGCAGTTCTGGGCACAAAGAGCTTCATTAGTAGAGGGAGTCTGACACATGGACAAATAAGAACAGGATGGTGGATGTTTGCAAAAATAGCATTGATCTTATAAAGAAGGTAACAGTTACATCTGCTTCTGAGGAAATAAACAAGGACTGCTGAGCTGTTTTTTGCATAAGTTCACCTGGCAGACAGGCAGCAGGCAGGAATTCCAGGTCTACAGACAGCATGAGCCAAGGCCCAGGCCACAAGAGTCCGACTTATTTGGGGAATTTTGAGTTCCTCCATATGTCTGGATGTGGCCAGAGCGATAGGTGGAGGAGGTTCAGATTGCAGGCATTTGTGTGTGTTTGCTAAGAAGGGTGGACATTATTCTCTACCCCAGTAGTTAGCCCTGGCTGCATAACTTCACAACAAAGTAACATCGAGAGCTTTTCATAAATAAGTCCCCTCCCTGCCAACACACCAACAAACAAAAGACTGATTTAATCCTTCCACTAGAACCTGGAAATTATTTTTTATAGTGCCAGAGGTAATTCACAGGTGATTTCTAGGTTTTAAACCAGAGAGCAACACATTCAAATACAGTCATATGCTGCAGAATGATGTCTGTCAACAATGGACTGCATATACAATGGCAGTCCCATAAAATTATAAAACCAAATTTTTACTGTACTTTTCCTGTTTGAATATGTTTAGATGCACAAATACTTACCATTGTGTTACAACTGCCTATAGTATTCAGTACAGTAACATACTGTACAGGTTTGTAGCCTAGGAGAAACAGACTATACCATATAGCCTAAGCATGTAGTAGGCACTACCATCTGGGTTTGTGTAAGAACACTCAATGACTGCATAATGATGAAATTGCCTAACAACACATTTCTTAGGATGTATCCCTGTCATTAAGTGATGCATGACTATAGCTAGCTCCCCGACACTATGGAGGTCACCTAAGAGAGACAAGACCCTAGGTAGATATTCTGCTATTTACTTTAGCTCTTCCATCTCTTTGGTCCCTTCCTTTTTCATGTGTGGCAAGTCATAAAGATTGTACCCTTGGTTTTCTTGAAACACTTCTCTCTTTTCTGTTTTCATGATGGTTTCTTGGTCATTACTGTACATTCTGCTTTATAGGGACTTGTTTACTCTATGCATAGAAAAAATAAACTAAATTAATACTTTTCAATTAAATTTGAAATAATGAATTAAGAATTGCCATTGTCTTTAGACATGAAGAATTTTGCTTTTCAGCAGTTTAATAAGGAATTGTGAGAAACACAAACTTGATCTTAATATTTCCCCACAGTGTTTACATGCATAGACCTCTGACGCTGGAATCAGACAAAGATGGAGTTGAATCCCACCTCATCATTTACTAACCGTTGGACCTTGAGAAAGCTGCTAGACTTTTTTGAACATTAGTATCTTTTTCTGTAAAATCACATGGCTATTGCAAAGTATAAATAAGATAACATAGGGCATGTGTTATGACCAGTAAACCAGTTGGCTATAGTAGATACCCAACAGGTATTACTTCCATTTACATGTATTAAAGTATTTAATTCTATAAAAACCTGTAAAGTATGACATTTACATGGTATATAGGAGAAAAAATCAATTTTTTTAGATAAAATTGACTGTATAGAATTAAACTTTAAATGGACACATACTATGAATATAAAGAGATAGAGTAAATCCTAGACAAAAAGACTTAATTTAAGGTTTAAGTTTATCTAGAGAATAAAAGAGTCATTCAGGAAAAGGTATTAGCAGCCATAAAGCCTAGGAATGGGGGAGACAATGAGGCAAACATGGTCAGTGCCTGTCTAAGCCTGTGCCTGATCAAGGACTCATCCACTCACATCTTGTAGACAAGGTGAGGACATCTGACTATAATGACCTGATGCCATAAATATTTGAAATATAAAACTAACCATGCCTCTTTTGGTTCCAAGTATAGTAAACATCCTTCTGATAATAATGTGGCTTTTCTCATAGCTGGCAAGTATCTAGTCACTTTGAAAACAAAGATGTTTTTATTTTATTGGATCAACAGGCTTTTTGAGTTCTACATCAGAGTCTCATAAGTCCTGTTAGTGAGGATTAGTGTTTCTTGGTCTAATACTTCTAGGGCACTCATGAGGCCAACATTCTGAGACATTCAGGGACAAGCCACAATGAATAGTTTTCCCTGGCCATTATATGACTTCTTTCTGTTGCTTCACACACCAAAGCTGTTGCACAAAGTGATGGATGGCATGGGTGAACCTTGAACCACACATCTAGCTGTAGTTCTTGTTCCTAATTTACAGTGGAAATACAATGGAGGTGACTGGACACTTGTTGGTTGCCTGAGCTGTGTACTTTTCTGCATTTTCCACTTCCCAATAGCTTCTTTTAGGGATTCATGTGGTTTTAGAGAAGCTGAGGCCATTATTGCTCCAGAGATGGGACACATGACCTACACAAGTCAATCAGCACATCCCAGCAATCTGGCTACAGTGATTGGTTTCCGGTGGGCATGTGAGCTAATCCAGACCAGTCAGACCGAATCCTAGGTCTTCTTCTTGGAGTTGGAGGACAAAGGTAAGTTAACTTCCTATAGATGATATGTGGGTATGACAGTCACACCTGGGACTGCTGAAGTCATTTTTTTCTATTATGTGGGAAGCTATCCTAAAGAACATACCATAGAAGGAGGAAAAAAAACCAAGACAAATTCAAAGAGGCAGAGACAGAACCCCAGTAATAATTTAGTCCCAAGAATCAAACTATGCCTGAAGCCTGACTCATGTGTGACACACACGTGCACACACACACCCCAATCTAATAAATCCTTCTGTATTATTTAAGTTTAGTTTAGTTTTATACTACTTGGAAAACAAAGGGCACTTATCATTAATTTTTATTTCCTCATTTTAAAAATAAAAATCTAGGAAAGTAATAAAATTATAAAGTACATAGTTTCCTTGTATTAAATTACCCAGAAAAATATCATATTTTCATTCTTTTAAAATAATTCTAACACTTTAAGCAACTTTCTGATGTCATGAAGAAGAGATGTTTATTGTGCTTACTTATCTCTATTCTCAAGTCAATACAATCTCGGCACTAAGTTTTTATGTTTAAGCATCTAAATCTGAAACTATTGTTTGTCAAGAATGCCTGAAGGATATAACAGAATGTTCTTGGCTATAAACAAGTTTTTTCAAAGGAAAACGTTGTCATGTAGGCTCTCAAAAAAAAAATCTCAAATCATCAAGGGAAGTAGGATAAGAGGTGGTCTGTTCTCATCTGGTCTCATCCTGGGAGACCTGTCTCCCACACAGACTTAAGAGTTTCAAATATGTGAGAATGAAGACAGCATGCTAAACCATTTCAAAAGTGCTGAGAATCTTAAATAAAACAATAGGAATTTATGGGAAGCCACTGGATATAGCTTCTTTTTTACATAAAAACATCTGTCATGCCACTATTTTTTCACACAAGTTCACTGTAAATGTTCAATTTTTGAGGACTGGAACAGATACCTCACTGGGTTTTGCCTGTGTATACGTGTGTGTGTGTGTGTGTGTGTGTGTGTGTGTGTGTGTGTGCTTGTATGTGTACATAAAAATAGGAAACAGAAATCCATTTCCATACTTTAACTTGTTTTGGACCCCCATACCACAGGGATTTAAAAGAAATCTGCCACCATTGCCTCTGTCAAGGCTTTACTTACCTATTTTTGAAGCCTCAGAAGAGAATTCCTTTTGGTCACCTGCTTACTCAGGAAGGAAAGAACCTGGTCTCTTTTACCTTCTCTAGTGAGCACCTGAACTGCCTTCCCAAGGGGACCATATGCAATGGTGAAAAGGCCATATACAAAAGAAAACTGGGGCCTATTAGGAAGAGACTACTCTCTAACCAACCAACGCAGCACACATTTCCACTACAGTATTTATAAATCCAGAGAACCTTACTTACATCCCTGCCTCCCCAAATAGAGAATACCAAAGGAGTTAACAGTATGGTAACTGCTTTCTTCGTTGTGTCGGAAGTGTAAAGTATTGGGTCAAGAAATGTATATCTCAAGGATAAAAAACCTATCCTCTTCAAGACACGGGTACTGAGTAGAAACAATTTCTTAAAGGAAATGTCTATGATTAGATGTTCTTTATATTGCAAGTAGAGGAAAATGCCTGGGGACTCCCATGCTTGTCCTGTTCTCTCATTTAAATACATTGAGCCCCTGAAGCCACACACACATAATAAAAAATGGGCCTCATAAGAGAGAACGGCTGATTTCTTTAATCCGTGAGCAAGAAATGGGGTACAGTGTTTTTTATAATAAGTATTCATTCTCTATGTCTCTTCTCGTCAATGGTTTTTTGTTGTTGTTTATGGTATAGACTTGATTCTAATTGTGTTGTCTTTGCTAATCTGGATTATCCAAGACTAGCTGAAAAACATATATTTCATCCTTAGACTAAAACTTTTGTGGAAAAAAACATTGGGAGTTTGCTTCCACTATAATCAAGAAGCACAAAACTGGTGGGAGGAAAAGGAAAGGAAAATATATCATTTTAAAAATCAAGTGACTCTCCAGTCAGTAGCTGGTTTCCTTAACATGCAGAAGAACATAAAAGAGGAGGCAATCACACTTCCTTGTCATGCAGCTGTTTGTAAATGTAATGCACTCATGCAGTATCTAAATACTCAGTGGGTTTCTGACAACCCCATCCATCACAACACAGCCCTCACCATGCCACTGCCCCAGATGGAAGGATACAAAAGCACGGTCATTCAAATAAGCCAAACAGAAGAAAAAGGTGGATAGATTGTGAAGCCACTTAGGTCTTTGACATAACTTGGCAATGAGTGTCTTTTGTACTGTTTTTTTTGTGTAGTCATGATTATACATGCTAACATGGTTACACATTATGTAAAAAGTCATTTGATAAAATACCTTTCCCCTAAATGGATGAATAAAATAATTTAGAAGATGTGTCATTTTTAAGAGGTTTATTCTGAGCCAAATATGAGTGACCATGGCCTGGGTCACAGTTTCAAGAGATCCTGAGACCATGTGCCATGAAGATGTAATTTTGGTCCTCTTGGAAGCTGAGGCAAAGTTAGGAGTGCGGGAGGTTTATTAGGAGTTAATGCCTGTGAAGGTAAAAGAGGAAGGAAGCAGAATTGAGGACGAAAAGCCTTCAGATGGAAATGCAGATCTCATAAAGTTTAGGTCAAATGAACAGGGAACTCTAAAGCAGGAATTGTCCACTGGAGGAGTTCTGTGTTGGGCAGAAGTGGCTAATGTTAACATCCCAGTCATGCTCAGTCATTGGCTGGGGACTCCCTGGAGTGAGTGAGGCTTTGCCTTAAAAGATGAGGCAAATCTTGCATGAGACGATCAGCTTACAGTACTCCTTGATAATAGATGACCAGGGACATCTTGAAGGGAGATCTGAGTGGTAGACCTTTCTGATTACCAAGGAACAGAAAATGGTTAGTCTAGGATTAGATACAGAATTAGTTGCATTTATTGAGATCCAAAAATAAGTGCTATTGATTTACTTTGTCATTGTTATGACTGCTATCAAGAGGCACCATCCTGAATTTATAGACAGATTGAAGGAAAACTTGACAATTAGTTATAATGACTATTCTCTTTAAAAAATGAATGAATTTACTATGAACTGATTAAAATTTTAAAAATATTTTTTAAATTAAGGAATACATATATAATTAATTGATTAATTAATAAGTATACGCTTATATCTCTTTCCTTCACCTTTCACAGGTTTATTTTTAAGCAAATTGCTTAGGCATGTCAATAGTCAGGGTGATGTGGTGTTAATTTTGTAATTTTTATTCTAGACGTGTTATCATAGATGATTGCGCAGTGTGGAATCTTGAATAAGCATGTTCTTACGAAACGTATCATTTAGGAAGACAACATGCATGGTGTAATGGAAAGAACTCTGGGCAGAAAGTGAGAAGGCGTCAGCACTGGTCTTGAATTTTCCTTTCATAGTTAAAATCTAAGTTCTAAATTCAAAAAAATAATTTACTCTCTACTAAAAATTCCATTGTTCCTTTTATCAGTATGTCATAGACAATACCAAAAGGTTTTAAAGCCTTTAAGGATCCTTTCCATTTCTCAACAAATATTTAATGAGTACAGAACTGATGTTAGGCCCAGTTCTAGGCACTGGGGATGCAAAGCAAAGTCCATGCCTTATTGGAGTTTATGGTTTCATGGGAAGGGCATCGAGAAAAAGAAATGCAATTTGTGATGGACACAAGTGCTGTGAAAAACAATGAAGTACACCAAGGAGGCAGAGAATGCCAATGTGACTGTGTGTGTGTGTGTGTGTGTATGTGTGTGTGTGTATGTGTGTGTGAGGTGGGGCCTGGATTTACGTAGGGTGTTCAAGGGCATCTTCTAATGGAGAAGAGAATGTTGGAGCCCAAATCTGGATTATGTGAATGGGAAGACAGAGGAGATGCGGGGGCAGAAGGAATGGCAACTGTAAAACCCTGAGGCAGGAATAGCTGTTTCCTGGTGGTAAAACCCTGAGACAGGAATATCTGAGTTTCCTGGAGGAACACCTTGAAAGTAAGTGTGGGTGGATGATTGTAAAAGAGGCAAGTTGGAGAGGTGGGGTGCAAAGGCAGGGTATATCATGTGAGGCGGTAAAGGCCATGCATGGAGTTTGAGGTTCATGCTAAACTTGAAGGAAAGTCCCAGATATTTTTAGATAGGATGGCCTGATCTGATTTATTTTTTAGAAAGATCACTGTGGATGTGGTGAGGAAAGCACCAGCGGGGTGGCGAGCATGGAAGCTGGAGGCTAATGCAACAGATGAGTAATGAGGATGGCTTAGACAGGAATGGTGGTAATGGTCTGCTTCATGATACATTTGGAAGGTAGAGTTGTCTTGAATCGAGGATGAACTGGGCATAGGATGTGAAGATAAGAAAAGAAGGATAAGAATGACTCCTAATCTGAGTTACTGCATAAAGTGTGGCGATCACATCTGTGGGTTGGTCCTCATTTTTGGTTCTGCTAATGTAAGCAATGAGTGGGAATTTCTTTATATATATATATATTTATATATATATATACAGATATATATATAAAGAATATATATATAAAGAATATATATATATAAATATATATATATTTTTTATTATACTTTAAGATCTAGGGTACATGTGCACAATGTGCAGGTTTGTTACATATGTATACATGTGCCATGTTGGTGTGCTGCACCCATCAACTCGTCATTTACATTTGGTATATCTCCTAATGCTATCCCTCTCCCCTCCCCCCACCCCACAACAGGTCCGAGTGTGTGATGTTCCCCTTCCTGTGTCCAAGTGTTCTCATTGTTCAATTGCCACTTCAAGGCATGAAAAGCGGTGTGCTGCTCTGTATTTTCTACTCAATACTTTATTCTTTACTTACTCACTAACAACACAGTACTTGACCTTTGATAGGAGTTAAATTTTTTATATATCCTACAGGATCCTCTTTTGGGGAGATAGAGGGAATTTAGGTTGTAATTGGGCATGTGCATCAGAGGAAAGAAAGGATTGGCAGTGATGACATTCAATCAAATCTAGCACCTCACTTGAAGTGGGTTTGATGAATAAGCCTCCTTTCCTTTGGTAAGGAGCTGGAACAATTTTTAGATAAGGATTCCTTGTAGGAACTTGGTAGCATTAAAGTTCTATTTGGCACCATAATATAAAAATTATCTTTTTGAGAAAGGCACATAAATATAGTGTTAGGACTTCCTTTAGAACAATAACCCAGGACAGAACCAGGTCCTTCGTTACCTGAGGCTTCAAGGTAAGGGATAAATAATTATACATACAAAAATTAAAATGAGAAATTATTTAGTATAAGAAAAAAATCACAAAATGACAGATATTTAAAGCTGATAAAACTACAAACATAACAAAATATGCATACATAATCTTCCTTCATAAATGCACTGCCCAATATCTCTCTGTAATGCTTTTTCATACTTTTTTTGGTTACGTAGACTTTGATTGTCTTAACATAAAATGATAATCATATCATTTGGATATAAAGATAATTCTGTTTTTACTTTGGCATGGTTGATCAAACTTTGAAAAAGTTTATAGTTGGAATGCATAAAATGTGTCTTCTCACACACATATATTTACTGTGTGTATGGTTACAGAACTTATACAAGCACAGGAGTTCTAATGAATGAATGAATTAATTAATTAATTATTTTGAGACAGAGAGAGTCTTGCTCTGTCGCCCAGCCTGGAGTGCAGTGGCGTGATCTCGGCTCACTTCAACCTCTGCCTTCTGGGTTCAAGCAATTCTCTGCCTCAGCCTCCTGAGTAGCTGGGATTACAGGCGCCCACCACCACGCCCAGCTACTTTTTGTATTTTTAGTAGAGACGGGGTTTCACCATCTTGGCCAGGCTAATCTTGAACTCCTGACCTCATGATCCACCTGCCTCAGCCTCCCAAACTGGTGGGATTACAGGCGTGAACCATTGTGCCCAGCCGAATTCTGATAAATTCCATGTCACATAATTTCCGTAGAAAATCATGTGGTTTGATGGTTAAACGTTTGAAAGACTAGCTTCCAGCTCCATATCCTTCCAACATTATCCTCCTCCCCTACTCATGGAAACTTATTGCTGGGCACATAGACACCTTTGCATCATAGTGAGCCCTGACCCTGCATCACTGTATCAGGATGCTGGGGGAGAGGGCACAGGAAGCCACCAGACTATTCTTGGAAGCCATTCCTATACTGGGAAGGCTATATGAAGAATGATCTATGAACTTCATAAATACACCCCTTTAAACTAAAACTGAATACATTCTCAGCTTAATTTCCCTGTGGCCCAATCACCAAAATGCCCACGTTCACTCCAGTGCCATCTTGTCACCCAGAAGTGTGACAGTAATGGAAAGGATAAGAGAAAGTGGTCTTAATTTGCATAAATGATTTTGGCAAATTATGCAAAGCAGGTGATAGTGTGAACACATTGGTGGGACCTCTCCCAGCAGCTTGGAAGGGGCATGTACAGTAAGGGGCTCTGAAATGTATGCTCCTTTTTTTTTTTATGGTAAATCTCTTTTACTCAAAAGTTACAACTTGTCTTACATAAGGCCTAAATAAGCAGTAAGCTATGAAAGGGCTTCAGACTGATAGAAGGGAAATTTGACCAAGAGTCTCTTAGAACATTAAAGAGAAACAAGAATAAATAGTCTGCTTAGGAGATAATAAGATTGAGATGTTTTACTTTAATGTTTCTTAAACCTATTATGTGTATGTGCATGTGAATTTCCTGGAGTTCTTGTTAAAATGGAGATTCTGACTCAGTTTTGGGGTAGAGCTTGACATTCTGCATTTCCAGTAACTTCCTAGGTGCTCACAATGTTGGTTTTAGTAACACATTTTGAGCCACAAGATCGTAGAATAAGTTCAAGTAGAAATTTCAAAAGTCTCTAGAATTAAAAGAAGAGTTGAGGTTGGAAATAGAGGTTTTGGATGTCGTCAGCGTAAGCTCATCTAAGTCATAAGGATATTTAGAGATGAGAAAAGGGCCAAGGACTGAATTTTAGGTGACATCAACATTTAGAGCATTCTTTCTCAGCTGGAGTTCTTGATCTGAATCATAGAAAATGACCTAAGTGACTCTTTGTCCCATCCCAAGTATGTTATCTAAACACTGTAGATGCATAGGGGGGAGAAGAACATGAGTGGAATCCTTCCGGCATTACAATCTCATGTTCTGGGGAGCTCTGGTTGAGAAAATATGACTTAAAATACAGGAAAAGGGGAAATGGTTTATTACAGTAGACTGAGAGTGCCTGGCTGGGAAGTTGCAGTAATATCAGGATTCCAGGGCTTCACAGAAGCTCAGTAAGGAAAATGTATCAAAAATGAGAGAGGAATCCACTATATGAAAAGTTATTAAGAGACTGATGAGAATGAGGACAGATAATTGATTATTGTACCCTCTTCCCACAAAGTTGAGGTTGAGGAGATCTTGACAAGGGCAATTTCAGAGGACAGGGAGGTAGACGGTTTGATTTGGGTGGGTTCAGGAGAAAATGGAATCACAGGAAATTCAGATGGTGGGTCTAAACCCTGTTATGGCACAGAGAAATGGGTGCTGGCTGAACCTCAAACTGGAGCAGATTGGGAAGTTTGTTCATTAAAAGATGGGAGCTTTTATAGCTCCATCTTAATCAAAGTGATCTGGTATACTTTGATACTTAATCAAAGTGATCTAGTATAGAGGAAAAACTGTGGATTCAGAAGTGAGAGGTGAAATTCTTACAGGTAAAAGCTTCTGCTAGGAGAAAGGGGATCTACCAGGAAATAGAGGTGTTGGCCTTGGGAAAGATCATGCATGTTTCACTCATTGTAACAGAGGAAACAGGGTATTCAGGGTAGGGCCCAGATATATGATGAAAAATAGTGAAAATGTAAGTAAGGAAAATATATCTCCAACAAGATCAATTTTTTTTCATCCTGTGCAATACTCTTCAGGGTTATGCAGGAAGCTCCATATAACTCCTAAGATCCATTGGAATTGTTTGAATTTATTCAATCAGCAAATACTCATGGAGGATCATCTGGGCATCACGCACTGTTGCTTTACATGGTTAACTGGACTCATTCACAGATCCTTTATTCTTTTGTATTACTGTCCCACAACATTCACTTGGGCTGTTTTGTGAGCCTATCGGAAAAAAGCAGAAAAGAAGTAGGGAGATGATGTTATATAGAAAGCACTGTTTAAGATTAAGATGTGGGAGTGTGAGTTCTGATGTCACTATCCCTGTGTGCAGAGATAAAGGGTGAACAACCCTAGAATTGTCAGTATAAGATATTACACAAAGTGGGTATTCAGATGTAGTAGATTGTCTCATAATCTCTCCCTGCCCCAGTGTCACCTAACTCCCCAACATCCTAGTGGAAAACTCTTGGACATCTTATTCAGCTGCTTATTAAACTATCGCATCCTATATTGTCAATCGAACCTACTGCTGTCTCTTATGCCTGACCTCTCATTTTCATTTCGACACCTACCTCTGTATCTCAGCTTCTCATAATTACTGCCTGAATTACTACAATAGAGTAATAGAGACAAGTAAGTATCTTTCCTGCTTCAAACTCATTATTCCTTAAGCTGTATTTTAAATAACAGGCCAGATCATGCCACTCTCCTTCTCAAGAACCACTGTTTAAAGAAAGCCTAAACTCAATATGATATCCAAAGCCTTCATATCTGACATTTTCAACTTCATCTCTTCTTCCACTCATCAAATCACTCTCTGCTTTGGGCAGCACAGGGCACTTGCTCCCAATACCCTTTCTTACGCCTTCCCATGCACTTTCCTGCCTTATTCATGTCTGTAATTCTATTTCTCAAGTCTAAAATATAACTCAACTTTGTCTTGGCCTTTTGCATTACTTCAAAGGTTCATATAAAATTCTGTATTCTCTGCAAATTCTTCTGAAATATTTCAAGTCAGAATGAATTGTTCTTTCTTCTACATCTTCATAGGAGTTGAATGGTACAGCCATTACAGCACTTATTTATGTCTTGTGTCATAGATATATGCTTTTTAAGAGAGGGACAGTGTTTACTCATCACTGAATCATCTCCCAAACACATTCACATATTGTCTTTTAAAGTATTTTGTACATAGTTGGTATCCAAAGAATTTTGCTTAAATACATCAACCAACTAATCTACTAAGTAATTTTTAAAAAAGGAAATAAAAACAAATTTGGGTCACTCACTAGATTGTATGTGCTATAAAGGTAGAAGCTTTTATTAACTTTAAAAATTACCACTACAAAGAATAAAGCTCACCTCAATAACTACTTGTTGGAAGAATGATTCAAAAGATTCTAATGATCAATGTATATCTGAAGGTTAGGGGGATACGATGATTCTAGTAAAAAAAGTAATAAGCAAGAATTGCTAAACAAAGGGGAAGAGAAAGAGTAGAATTGTGGAGTCAGTCATGGATGGATTATTGGTGGTTGGGATTTCTAGGAGACGTGCACTTTCAAGAGAAGCCTAGAAAGACACTGTGACCCTCATCCCTGACTGAGAGAGGAGCCATGAACACGATGAGAATGTTGACAGAAAATCTGAGTTGAGGTGGTTTTGTCCACTCCCATTTGGACAGTCTGGTGAGAGCCAGGGCTGCATTTTGCAGAGACCTCAGTGAGTACCCAAGGCAGCTCAGCCAGTCTGGGCCTGATGGTGCTGGGGTTAGTGCTCCTCAGCCTGCCTGGGCTCTCGTGCAGCACAGAAGAGATCAGAAATTTCTGTTCCCTATTGAAAAAGGGACAATTATAAAAAGCTGAGGAGCTTTCAGGGGGCTCCTTTTGGTGGGGGCTAAGTGACCTTGAATCTAAGGGCTGATGGACAAGCCTCTCAGAGTCACATAGTGACCTTGGTGGGTGAAATATACTAGTAAGACCTGGAGACCTTGGTAGGTGAAATTTACTAGTGAGAGCTGGAGACCTTGGTGAGTGGAATATACTGTCAAGAGCTCCATTCAGCCAAAGAAGGTGCTGGGCTCCCAGGAACATGGCCTGGCTAAGCAAACACACCTGGAGCTACAACAGGCAGGACTTTAACAGGCACACAGGCAAGACTCCTTAGTTAAGGCTGAATCCACCAGGTTTCAGCAGATACCAGCCAGAGGACAGCAAGGACCAAAGAGGTAGTGCAGGGGACACGAGCCCAAGCCCTTATATGAGACATGGGACCCTTCCCCATCATGACATCAGGAGAATGAGAAGCTTTCCTTATAGCCAGCAACCAAGTGGGGAAGGAGGAAGAGAGAGGGAGGGAGGAACAGGTCTGTTAGAGTGAAACTCTACACCGACAGACTACTTACCCAGTAGAGATGATCTGGACTGAAATAAACTGGAAGACTGCTAAGTTTAAATCTCCCCCACCTTCTTGGCCCCAGCCCAGGGAAGTAGAGGCTCATGAGAAAGATTCAAACAGCTAGAGAAAATTAAAAAATGCTCTTTATTTGCTTTATGAACCCAGTGTGTTAAAACTGTGACCTATCAATTTGGAAGTCAAGAAGCTGTGAGCTGTGAGAAGAGAAGTTTCAGGAGGAAACAAGCAGGTGGCCTGTGGCACAGACAGAAAAGTGCATTACCAACCTCATGATCATGATGGCCCAAGGAGACCTTCTCTCGATTGTGAAGGGTGGAAAGAGAGAAAACAGCAGGAAAGGCCAGGTCATGGCATGAGTGCTGACCCAAGAAGTGAAGATAATCAGCCTGGAAGGATGGCGTACGTGCTTCAAATCTGCTTTCAAAAAACTGAATAATGTATGTTTCTCTATTGACTCTAAATTTTGGAGCTCTAGCTTACTCAAATTGCTTGTGTTGAGTATCTGGAAAAGCACTAGAAAGGTGGTAAAAATACTTCATGTGTATCAACCCCTGCCATTCTGCAGTGGATTCTATACAGAAGAATAAGGTGGGGAAAGGCTACAAAAGCAGGAGAAGTCTCCTGATGCCTGAAGGGACCCAAGGGATGGTCCCCAGCTGGGCTGGCTGAATGGGTTCGAGTTGCAGCTTGGCAGCTGCTCACATTCTGTCTCCCAGACATCTCCTTTGGCTGAGGTATGTGGACTTAGAGGATGGCTTGAAGAGATGGTTTCTCAGTGTGTTTTAGTATTTAGTGGACTGGTTACTACTGTACTGTAATATGCCCACATCCAGAACTGGGTTAAGACCCTGAATCTTTCATATCTAACTACCTTTGACTTGATTTCTTTTCTTTGTGAATCAAGAACAACCTATCACCTTTTGCCTTTAGTGGTGTACTGTCTGTCCTACCTTTAATCATTTCACTAACAGTTTTGGTATCATATTCTCCTGATGCATTAAGAACTTCTTATACAATGAAGTTTTCTGGGTCTTCGTCTCTACTAATATAACACCAGGTGTAATTGGGCTCTTCACTACTGTTAGAAAGGAAAAAAAAAAGCAAGCCTAGTTTTTAAATGTATAATTCACACATGGATACCTCATCTCTATCCATATACTTAATTATAGATTGTAAAACTAATTATGTACACTTTGGCATTTCCCTCTGATGCTCCTTCAGATATTCTACATTCATCTTCACAACATCTTTGTAAGGTATGACCAAAAGATCAATTATTTTCCTCTAATGGGAAGAAGAAATGGAAAGTAGTTTGCCAAGGTCACTCATCGTTAGTGCTGGAACTTGGTGGCCTGAAGCCCAGGTCTCATGATTGTTGCTCCAGTGCTCAATCCAGGAAGTCATGTTGCCTCCCCAACCAAGTTGGTAACTTGGGAGTGGCTCTAGGTCAGATAAGCAGGCAGACCTCCCCCTGAGGCATTCACCAAGTATATTAGTCCATTTTCACACTACTGATAAAGATATACCTGAGACTGGGCAATATACAAAAGAAAGAGGTTTAATGGACTTACATTGCACATGGCTTGGGAGGCCTCACAATCATGGCAGAAGGCAAGGAGGAGCAAGTCATGTCTTACATGGATGGCCTCAGGCAAAGACAGTGCTTGTGCAGGGAAACTCCCCTTTTTAGAACCATCAGATGTCATGAGACTTATTCACTATCAGGAGAACAGCATGGAAAAGACCTGTCTCCATGATTCAATTACCTCCCACTAGGTCCCTCCCACAACACATAAAAATTCAAGATGAGACCTGGGTGGGGACACAGCCAAACAATATCAGCAAGCCAGAGAGGATGCAACCAAGTGCATGGTCAAACCTGTTCTCACCCTTCAACCAGAAAGCAGCATATACGCAATAGATTACACAACAATCAAGAAGCAGCCCCCATCTCCATCCAGTGCAACAGACCATGCTGGAGCACCTCTGCCTTATAAAGCCCTTGTTGTTACAATGATAGCAAAAGCAGAGGTGCTATGTCACATTAATGGCATAGTCAGTCACATTAAGCTCCTTAAAAATAAAGTTTAATGTATGTAAGGCTCTAAGGTATTTCTCATGGCTCATCCCATTTAATCCTTACAAAAAATTATGAGGTAAATATAATAACCCTGATATAGAAACTGGCAAGTGCCAGAGTGAGGTTCTAAACCCAGTTCTGTTCACTCTACCCTCCCATTGCTAGAGCCGGAGGCTCTTTGTGGGATGTCACAAAGCAGGTCACTACCACTTTTGGGGACAGGAGAGACAAACTCGAGTAAATGACTCTTGGAGGCCAGCTCAGTAGAGAAGAGCAAGCAAAGTGGAACAAATTGCCCTTGAGTTACCTCTCGACTGTGGTACTAATTTAACTTTGTGACCTTGGCATAGTCAAGCCCAGTGACGAAGTGATTCCATAGCCATACAAATGATTTCTGACTAAAATGGGCACCTGGAGGGTGAAAAATAATGAATTTCCATATGAATGAGCGGATTATGGGATATGCCTCTCCAGTGGGCTGGGCCTCACTCTCACTTTTTGTCACTCTTTTCTCCTCATCACTGCTGCATTTTTAAGGGCCTTAAATAACTCCTGCATTCTAGATATACACTCCAGTGTAAATATGCAGAACATTTTGACACTTAAAAATATGTCCATAGCGAAGTAGGACAGGTTGGAATTATAGTAGCCTGGAGGCATAAGGAAGAGAAAGGAGTAATACTTTACTTTCTGAAGTTACAAGGAATAGTTTTACCAGCCAATTGCTGCAGAGGGAGGATAAAATTACTAATCAAATCAACAAATGCATAGGCTAGAAAACAAATAAATTATTTCAGCACTATTTCAGAAACCCATGTTTCATCAATGATAAATCACTAAGTAGAAGGGAAGCTACGAGTACTGTACTTATTTTAAAGACTCAAAATATGACTCAACATCTTCATGGAGTGATATATTCATTTATTCAAAAGTGAACCATCATAATATATGAATGGGTATACCGCATTTACATATAATATGCCAGGCAGTGATAAATCAGAACTACGAACACCCACTGCCTCAGTTCCCCGATGATAGCCTCAACTAATTTCTGCCTGATAAAGCAAACAAGTAAACAAAATGATTGTCCCGGTTTCCTAAAGAGTCTTGTACTGAATCCTCACCGCGAAATTAAATTTTGCCAAAGGCTGATGTGCCGTGTTTATGATGTCTGCCTCTTAACTGACAGAGGGCTGTGGGTGTAATAAGGATCCTTAATGCCCGGGGAGATTAAGAGATTGTTACAAGTTTACCCCAAAGCCAGTGTCAGAGAACTGGGTCTTCATAGCATGATTTCATGACTTTGTGAGAATACACTCTCAAAATGTTACACAGAGCACATTCAGTTTAATTCCAAAGCCAAACATAAGTACTTGGGATTATCTATGCCTCGGCTGCCCTTCATTAATGCAAATAATTAAAAGCTGAGTGTAAACACAGAGGCACATGGACTGCTGAGATAAAGCGAGAGATCTGCACTCTCTTCAGCCATTCTGTTTTCCTTTGTCTTTTTGGTTATTTGGATGTTTACAGAGCTCTCCCCATTTGCTCCACTAAATGCCTGCTGAAGGACAGGACAGGTAGTTTCATTCCCATTGTGTAAATGAGGAACTTCAGGCTCTAAGGGACACGAACTTGTCCAAGGTCATTCAGAAAAGAGCAAAAACCAGAATAGACTTCAGAGTTCCTATTTCGTGGTGCAGGCTTTTTCTGCTATACCTTCTCCATGGCATGTTTTTCAGAATGCACCAATAGTTGGCACCATCGATCATGCAACAAGTGTTTACTCAGAGCTCACTGCATGCGTGAGACTATTTTAGGTACCACAGATAGAATGATGAACAACAAAAAGACCCAGCCTTTCTGACACTAAGAGATTGATAATGCAATATGTAAACCACAAAGTTTTATTCTTTTTTTTCTTTCAGCTTTCTACTCATAGGGGAAATTAATACAATTGCAGGATTAACTTTGAACACAGAAGATGATAAAAAGAAGATTGCTTACATATTTGTGAAAGTCCTGTTCTCTTGCTCTTGAGATTGGCTAAGGGCACATGATAGGATATGATTTGCTTTTTAAATAACACATATGTAAAGTGGATCCAAATGAATTATAATTAAACATAGAGTATTGACCAACCAGTCTATTAAAGTGAATATTAGTAATGCTACATTATTTCAGTTTCTAAAATGGATTCTGATATCTTAAGAAGTTTTATTGTATACTTATGAAATATTGAAAAACGTATTTTGGGCAGTTGATAAATGATGGCAAATTTCAGATATACTCAGATAGTTACTTTGCAAGGTAGAATTCCATATATAGGCAGCCATTTTAAACAGTACAACAATTGAAATGTTTAAATACTGTTTCTAGCCTGAACAAAATAGCCAAAAACAGTGAGGGTTATAAATGGAATAAACTGTAACATAGCCTCATCTACTGGAAATTGACGTTTCTAATGTTTTAGCTTAGAAAACACAAAGAATACCCTTTTGTTGAAAAATGATTCATTTCTCATGATAGATGTTTTTTAAATCTTCAATTATTTGGTAACATGTTGATTTAGTAATCACTTCCATTGTCTTTCCTTGTTCATAAGTGTATCAGTCCTGAACAGCTAGAGGTAACCTCAGGACACCATTACAGGTTTCTCTTTAAAATAAGAAAATAATTGGTGGGGCCAAGGTTACAAAAGAGCTTATAGGAAGCCTGAGAACTCTATTTTGTTTGGGGACCAGGGGAGTGGTTGTGACTAGACATTTTACAGTAACCAACCATAAAACAAACACTCTTATCGCAATTCGCAAATTCAAAACCTAAAATAATGTATGTTTTTGGAAAATGTGATTTTTAAATATAAAGACCATCTATAAAGTGAAGCTCTAATTTACAAGACTAGTTGGCCTAAGCCACAGAACTCCAAATAAGATTCTCTAATGCTATGGACCTACCTTCCTTTTTTTCTTTCTTTCTTTCTTTCTTTGTTCTTTTATTTTTTATTTTATTTATTTATTTTTTTATACTTTAGGTTCTGGGGTACATGTGCACAACGTGCAGGTTTGTTACATATGTATACACATTCTCAGCAAACTTTGTTTCTTTAATTTGCTAATGTTTCCTGATGTATGAAGTAACAGCTGCTGAAATTCTGCAAGCCACAAAAATACTCTGAAGCATAAAAATCTATGTCCTGATTTTCAAGGCTGAGATGAGAATAAGTTGTTGAATCTGATTATGTAAATGGGAAAACAGGGAGTGTGAAGAGTGAATCAATATTAGTCATGGCACAAAATGGCAGCAAAATCGGCTCCTGAAAGGTACTGCAGCTTTCCATGAAGGCGAGGCCACTGCCACAGCACTTCTCTCAGCTTCCACCTTCTCCTTGAGATCTGTCTCTGGAGCCATCACTCTGGTCTTTGTGGGGGATAAGGACATGAGGTTTGGCCAGAGATGATTCTTGTTTAATTTCATTTGGATATTCAAAGAAAATGGGGCTAATTTTATTTCTAACACAGTCTTTCCTAGGGACCAAGTATTTCAGGGTTAGTAACTTCCCATACCCTATATTTGCTCATGATCCACCATAATTTTATGCCCCTTTGTTCTTCATTACATATTCTTCATAGGTGATCTACCCATGTTTGCAAACACCTGTTGTTTGGACACCAAAATATACATCATCATCCCCTTCCTGAATTCCAAACCTGTATATCCGCCTGCCTGCAAAACTTCGCCCACTGGATGCCCAAAATGGGCATCTTTATCTTCCTCTACCAATCTGCTCTTTCTCCTGTATTTTCTTTGAATATTAGCAGATAGACTATCACCAACATAGTTGTCTAAATTAGAAATTTGGAAGTTATTTGCATTCTTTCTCACTTTGCCTCACCAGTTCTATATTTATTCTACCTGTTTTTTATATGGATATATTGTCCTTCCCTTTGTTCATCCCTATAGTGACTATTTAAAATTCAGAAGCTTATAATACCTTATTTGCACTACCACAGCCTCCTAAATGGCCTCCTTTCTTCTAATCTTACTTCCCTCTAATCTATTCTCTATCCTGGAATCAAAGTCATATTCTAAAATTAAAATCGAATTATATCACTTTCCCATCTAAAATATTTTAATGACAGCCTATAATAGAGAGTAGTGACTGTCAATATTTTTGTTATTAAAGGTTCATTCATATATATTTAAAGTATATGCATGAGGCAGAGGTGGACTCATTCTGGTTGAAGAAAGGGAGTGGAACCTCTGGACCTCCTTCAGCTCAGGTCCATCTTGGTCTCCTCCACACCCACTCCAAGAGTCTGCAAACAGCTGGATGGTCATCATAGCCTTAAGCTCCTCTGTTTACCCCTTATACAGACTCTTATAAACTCTACCAATCCCCAACAGCTGCATTTATAAGTTTCTTTTTGTCACATCTGAATTGACAGAAAGAGTGACTATGAATATAGAGCCCTTGGCTATCTTTGACCACACACTTTCATCCTTGTTCCAGCCTGGACTACATCTACCTATAGCAATAATCCTGCTATCGTCCTTCCCCATAACTATGGGGATTCCCATGGCCTCTCTCTTATTTGAGATTTCCTGTTTCCTGTTTCTCATGAGTTCCTCTTTTTTGTTTGTTTGCCTTGTTTTTAATTCATTCCCTTGTTTCATGGAAAAAAGCCTCCTGTGTTTCATGAGAATGTGTGTGTGTATGTGTGGTAAATTTTTGAAAATCTTGTTTGCCTGAAAATGTCTTTAGTATATCTTCATGTGATTGATAGTATGGTTTGGTCTATATTTTAAACGAATAATATTTTCTTTATAAAGTTCAACTTCAAGGACACTACCATTGTCCTCTAGCTACTGTGGAACCATTAAGAGATAAAGTCAATAAAGTCATTCTAATTTTTGATCTTCTGTAGTTGACCAGTGGATTTTTTTTCTTTAGAAGCTTGTATCATCTTCTTGTCCCAACTGCTCTGAAATTTCACAGTGATGTGCCGACAGTGGATTTGTTTAAGCCATTGAAGCTTTTGAGTGTGACAACTTATGACCTGTCTTAGGAGAGTTTCTTGAATTATTTTCTGCTTGCCTTTTTCTAGAACTCCTATTATTTAGTCGTTGGATTTTCTTAACTATTCTTTTAACTTTTTTATCTTTTCCTTTCTATTTGCCTTTTCTTTCCCTTCCAGTCTTTATGAGAAAAACATTTTATTGACTCATTTATTGAATTCTTTATTTCTGCTGTAATATTTTTAATTTTTATGAACTCAATTGTAGTTTTTTTTTGCATTATTTTAAGCATTTCATTCTTTTGCTGATGTTACAAAATATTCTCTTATTTCTCTTAGGATGTTAGTGATAGGAGTCCCCTAGACTTTTCTTGTTTCTCTACCATCTCTGTTGCCTCTAAGTTTGTTTTATTTATGCTGTGTTTAGGTCACTATCCTTCATTTCAAGGGCTTTCTGTAAAAATCTGTAATCCCTTGAATTATATTATTAAAGATGAGGGATTAAAACCATGGTTAGAACCCTTGAGTCCACAGAAAATGCTTGTCAATTTTGAGTTTCTCTCTAGGGTGACTATATGTAGTCCTAACCCAGAATATCACAAGGTTTCTTGTTTTTGTAGAATAATTCTGGAATAAGATCGTACAGGTAACAAACTCCACCCTCTCACAGTGGAACAGTAGGGCTGATGGACCCTTTTTCATCATGAGCCAACCACACATATTCCAGACTTGGTGCAAAGTCTCTTCCTCTGTAGACCCTGCTTCGATGCCATCCTGCTCCCAAGATCCAAACAAAATTAATTGCATCCTCCTTGTTCCTTTCAGGACACTTGTATATTCCTTTATTTTTGAACTATCAGGTTGCAATAACTTGCTTATGCATCCCCTTATATTTTTATTTCTTTGAAGTGAAGAGCTGGATCTTTTTCAACTTTTCTACCATAATACTTGGATGAGTACCTATTATGGACTGAACTGTGTCCCTTCTGCTCCCCCAAAACTCCTACACTGAAGCCCATCATAATGTGATGATATTTGGAGGTGGGGCCTTTGGGAAAGAATTAGCTTTAGATGAGATCATGACAGTAGGGGCTTCATGATTGGATTAGTACCCTAATAAGAAGAGGAACCACAGAGCTTGCTCTGGTTCTCTCTCTCTCTCTCTGCTACTTAAGAACACAGAAGGTGGCCCTCTGCAAGCCAGGAAGAGGGGCCTCACCAGAATCTGTCCATGCTGGCACCCTAATCTCAGATTCTAGCCTCCAGACCTTTGGGAAAATACATTTCTGTTACTTAAGCAACCCAGTCTATAGTACTTTGTTATGGCAGCCTGAGCTGACTAATCTAGTACCCAACACAGAGAAGAATCTCACAGTAACTCTGAATAAACCAAGGTGGGGTTATTGCCCTGAACACAAATTCATAATGACAATAGAGAATTTGGTTCAATGTGCCCAAAAGAAGAAAATCACATTCCCCCTTTCCTGGTTCTGTTTCTTTCAGGCTCTTGTTATCAATGCATAGTAGTTCAGATCTATGGCTTCAGGATCAGACCTGAGTTTTGACTTTGCTCTAACACTGGTGGAGGGACCATGAGCAAGTTCATAACTTGTCCGTGGCTCAGTTTCCTCCTCTGTAAAAGAACAATAAGTATTACCTATTTACCTCAAAGAGCTATTTGGAGGATTACAGGTACAGTGCTTAGAAGAGCTCTGGCACAAATTATTTTCACTAAAAAGTGCAGTCGTAAAGCTTGAGCATCCACATCATATGCCAGGGTGATCCAGACCAGCAACCAGCAAGCTGGTATATATCAGACTATTCCCAGTTTACCCCAAATAATCTCCCTCTTTAAAACCTCCTCAGAAATATTTTTTTGCTAATTATCTTACTAAAAAGGAGAATACATGGACTTTATGTCTAATAAAGAAAAATGGGAATGAGAAACTTTTCTTATAATTCTAAAAACTGTTATCTTTATTGTGAGAACAAATGATTAATCGCACCTATGTCTGGCAGTGCTTCAGCCAAGCCACAAGCCAGCCAGTGTGGGGAGAGCCTTTGCATAGTTTATTAATTGGTCTAAATGCCAAATTCTCTTAAAAGTTGAATGATTATTCTAATATTAAAGGCCAAAAGTTATTGAGATAATATCACATAAAGTGTTGAATGACATTGTGGATCTGCCATAAAAATTGCCAAGTAATAGTTCTCTTAAACTGCTGTGGTCTGAAAGTTTAAGCCCTCTCAAAATTGATACATTGAAACCTAATCCCCAAGATGATGGCATTTGGAAGTGGGGCCTTGGGAGCTGATTAGGTCAGGGAGATGGACCCCCTATGGGTTTAGTGACCTTCTAAAATTTTGAGACCCTAGAGAGCTTCCTTGCCCCTTTTGCCATGTATGTTAGGCCATTCTTGTGTTGCTATGACCTGAGACTGGATAATTTATAATGAAAAAGAGGTTTTTCTGGCTTATGGTTCTGCAGGCTGTACAAGCATGGCACCAGCATCTGCTTAGCTTCTGGTGAGGGCCTCAGAAAGCTTATAGTCATGGCAGAAGGTGAAGTGAGAACAGGCATGTCACATAGCAAGAAGGGGAGCAAGGGAGGAGGGAGGTCCTAGACTTTAACAACCAGAACCCATGTGAACTGAGTGAGAACTTGCTTATCACCAAGGGGATGGTGTGAAACCATTCATGAGGGATCCAACCCCATGATCAAATCACCTCCCACCAGACCCCCACCTCCAACATTGGGAATCACATTTCAATATGAGATTTGGAAGGGACACATGTCCAAACCATATCACCATGTGAGAACACAAAAAGTGCTATCCATGAACCAAAAAGTAGGCCCTCACCAGACACCAAATGTGCTGTTGCCTTTATCTGGGACTTGCAAGCCTCTAAAACAGTGGGAATAAATTTCTGCTGTTTATATGCCATGCAGTTTCTGGTATTTTGTTATAGCAGCTTGAATTGACTAAGACACAGACTTTCTACTAGGAAGACAATGATCTGTCAATAAGATTTAATGAGATGAAGATTAGAGAGTAATGCAAATTGCTCCATTATGAGACTTGAATCTTTTTATTCCTGTTTGATTTTTTGGGTGTCTTTCTTTAGCAATCAAATAATATAAGGTGCTAAGAACAATGTGGCACCTTTTTATCATGCAAATATGAATATAAAATATGAATAAAAATTAAACTATAAGTTGAATAAAATGAAAATGTATCAGCATTGTTCTGTAAAAAATTGCACTTTTCCTAAGAGGGAAATAATCTTGCAAATGCATCCTTTTATCTTTTCGAAGAAGTTTTTTTTTTTCTTTTAGGTACTGATGGGAAATAAAAATTATACTCAAGTGAAGGTTTATTAAAAAATACACATCTTATAGAGAGTCTCTGAATTTTTAAAACAGTTTGAAATGCTCAATTAAGATCATGCAAAAACAAAACAAAAGAATTCTTGTTAAAAAGTCTTGCAATAGAAATTTATATTTTTCTCATAAAGAAAATATTATTTCAGCCAACATAAAATAGCTAAGTATTATTTTTCTAGAATATTCTCAATGGTGCTTATGCCAATCATATATTTTCTATATATATTTAAAAATATGGCACCAGGACTGACCTTTATTTCTATCCTCATCTATGCAATAAAATAATGAGAATAGCATAGCAATGGCAGGCATCTGACAAGAGCCTGTGGTCTACCTGAGAGCTCAATATTCCCACGTCATACTTTGGTCCTTAACTGGTGATAATCAGAAATGTAGGACTCAATATCTACATGCTGTATATTGGTATATAATTAGTTATGGAAAATGTATCTTTATTGCCTTACTTATGAAATGAGATCCACTAAAACCCATCTCATCCTCAAAGAATGTACAATCGAGAAGAATAGAAATAAAAACACAGAAGCATACACAACTAATACTAATAACAGCAGACAATGTGTCCTTAGAAAACATAAATTAAATTCTCTAGGAGTATTTAGGAATGTGTTTTTTCACTGCCTGCTTTAACTGATGCTGGCACATTTAATTAGTTTGGGGATTATTTGCTTGATGACGGATTGGAGCAAAGAGTGACTATAGGCACCAAGACCAATTAGAGCATTGTTACTCTATTGCGAGGCAGAAGTAGTGAGCACCTGAATTCTAGAAAATAATTTGAGTAGGAAAGAAGGGTTGATAAGAGAAATGTTGTGAAAATAAATTGAGACTGTGATGACAGATTTATTACAAGTTCATATAAAGAGTTATGATGAAGCAAAGAATCCCACAGAACTGATAATAAATATATCTGCCTTATAGTCACCAGAAGAGAAGGACCAAACTTGGAATCAAAATGCAGTTTTTTTTTCAGCCATCAGAAAGAAACTGTAGAACTCCAGATGGAGTAATTCTTGTGGGCTGATCCTTGCTCAGGTAGGTGGGGAGTCTCAAATGAATCTATATTTAATAAAAGCCCACTGGCACAGGATTAAGTACTTGGGAAAAATAGAAAATTAAGAGCAAATCTATTATCACGGGGACTTTGCAGTTGTTTAAAATAGATGGGGCCTGTTTGGACTCTGGAAGCACTGGGGAACCTTCCCCCAGCCCCTGCCCAATGCAGCACACCTGTTCCTCAGGTGAGGCCCAGAAGAGGGTGGCTCTGAGATGCCAACACTGTTTTCTGCTTTCTCCCAGGAGCACTCTAAACATTTAGTTCATTTTCCTCCCTCCTTTCACAAGTAGATAAAACCGTGTTTTAAGAGTTGAAGAAAGAAGATGAAGAGGCAGTGAGAATGCCCCCAACTTCTGCCAGCACCGCTCAGCTGACACCATCCTTACTGAGGGCTCCAATAACCTTTGTCATTATATCTAATGGATTTTTTTGCTTCTGTAGTAATTAGGCATCTTTCGGGTACAAATGACAGAAAAACAACTCTACTTGGCTTAAGAAGAAAAAGGTATTATTCACAAAATTTAAATATATTCAGTCTTCAGTTCTTTACCAATTGTTCCAGCACAATCCCTGGCATGAAGTCCCATTGGCCTGTTTGGCTCAGGCCACCCCTATGCTTAGAGGAGTCACTCACAATTGTTTGCAGTTGGACCATTTACTGACCCTGGGAATTACTGGGTGGAATTCACTCAACCCAAACCAAATAAACCAAGAATAGGCAAGGCATGGTTTCCCACAGGAAAATCAAAGTACCTTACTAGAATCACAGGAATCCACAATAGACATTACAGTTTTTATTTTATTGGATTTGAAAGAAACATTTGACACTGATGATCCATTTTTGAAATATGCTTTTTTCTTTCAATCTTTGGCATTATTTGTTTTCTCCCACTTATCTTACCAATCATTCTCAGGCTTCTTCACAGGATATACCAGACCCAGTTTACACATTATCCAAAATTGTTTCAGATCATCAACTGCTTGCTCTAATTCCTGGCTGAAGAGAATCCATTGAGGCTTACATCACTGCATAACTTACAAAATTCCAGCTCCGGATGCCATTGCTCCATCTCCCAACACCACCCTCTGTCTCAGCCTCTTCCAGAGCTTACTGACTGACCTGTGGCAAGGCCTCCCTCAGGTTCATCTTGGGGAGGGCATAAGAAGCCCCAGCACCTTGGCTCAACCAGCCTGGACCCATGGAGGCTCTGGTTTCTCCAAGAGCTGCCTAGATTAACTAAGCCCTAGAATGGCTAAGAGGCAAATGTTGATCAATGAGAGGCAAGAAAAGGGAAGAGGCTGGAAGACAAACTGTACATTCACCTTTTTGTTAAGGGGATTCCTTCTGTAAGGTAAGGTTTTCCTGAAAGTGTCTCAGTGACTGAGCACCAGGCTGTGATTCCTATGAAGCTAACTAGGTGATATACCCCTGTGTATTTACTTTCTTGACTTTCTTACCTCACTTCTATTTTTCTATTTCCTCTATCCTGCCATGGTATCCTCCTGCAACCCCCATAAGGGGTTAGCGTGTAGCTTTGCTTCCAGCTTGCTTCTTAGGGAACATGGGCTAAGACATAGGACTATTTTTCTCTGCTCATCACACATTTATGGTGCTCTGTAGGGTTCTCCCTCGGTCATTTCTCCCGACACACATTCTTCTAGAGAGACAACACCCACTCAATAAAATTCAACCGCCAATTGTAATCTCATGACTCTCAGATCTCCATCTCTATCCCAGGTTCCTCTCTGGAGCTCCAGATCCACGGATCTACACGGATCCATGTCTTACAGGACATAGTACTTGGACGGCTCACAAGTATTGCCAACCCATTTTGCCCAAAACGTATCCATCTGTTAATCTCAAACTGCCCTTCCCTTGATGTTTTTCTTAGTGACTGCACCACCATGCACCCAGCTGTCTAAATCAGAAACCCGAGAATCACTTTGGTCCCTCACTCTTTCCTACTTCTCATTCTGTACATCCTGTTTCTCATAGGCCTTGACGATATTACCTCTAAATCCACCCCACCTGCATCAAGTTCTTTCCATCTCCACTGCCATAACCAATCCGAGCCATCCGCCTACCTCACCTGCATTCCTCCAGTCCATTTTGCATGGAGCAGTTTCTTTGAAACATCAATCTCAAAGACTCTTGTCTCAAGTAAAACTGCTTTAATGAAACTTACTTTAGATTTTATGCCTTATTCCCTAACTTCATCTCCAGGCTCACTTCTTGCCTTTCGGCAATCGAGGGGATTCAGGCTTCATTCATCCCTACTGAATTTTTATTTTCTCTTGGATCCATGTTCTTTCTCACCTCTGAGTCTGAGTAAGCTATTTCCTCTCCTTAAAACAGTCCTCCCTCCTCTCCACTTTGCTAACTTCTGCTAATCCTTCAGGTTTCCCCGTGGATATTCCTTCGTCCAGGAAGCCTTTCTGGATCCCCACCCCTTTCCTAGTTAAGGTCGGAGATCCCTGCCAAACCCACACCGCACCTGTAGATTTGTTCTCACAGCACTTAAAGCACTTAATCAGAGATACTGTTGAATTCTCCTTTCCGTCTTAGGCAAGTTCTCTGTCCACCTTGCTCATAATTGCTTTCCTCAGAACCTGATTGGCTTAGAGATTAGCCTAATGGATGAACAACTTTAAAAGTAGTTCTGCCACTTTGCTTTTCATCTGCATGGAGTCCCAGAACATTTACTATTTTCTCTCAAGAATTTTAGACAACTGCTCTATGCATTTATGCCTTTGCAGACTCTTAACAACTTTGCTTACAGAATCGCAAGGGATGGTATCAAAATAATTCTAAGATGTCAGCTCCGAGGTGGAAGTTTTCATTGAATAGCTCTAAGAAATTACCATATGTAGATGTGAATGCTATTGTTATGAATCTCAACGTTTGTCTTCCTGTCTTACATTCTAATATTTGGTGAAATACAGAGTGTAAAAACCCACACACGGTCTTTAAGAATTGACTTCATAGCAAGTGAGTAAATTAAGAACTCATCCAAGTTGCTTGCCAGGGCCTTTGTGCTGGGAGCTGGGGGCACAAGTCATCTTTTTACTCATTGATGCATCTTGGAGCTGACATTCAGTACCATTTCTTTCCATGATTGTCTATCTTGGAGTTTTTATTTTGTGATTGGCCTGTTCTACTGTACCTTTAAAATATTTTTGGTCATTTTTTATTTTATTTGATACTGTTACTTTACATGTTATATGCATGGTTTCCGTAATAGTTTTTGCTCTGTTTACAACTTATTATCTGTTGAATAGAAGATGCCGATGGTGATTTTTAGGGTTACAAAATGTAATACGGGCTCATATTATGAATGAAAATTGTTTAATGGAATAGATTTGCAAAGAAATCAACTTTATGCAAAAGCTAAGCCTGTTCAAAGTGGATAAATACAGTGGTTTATTATAAACATTAGAAACATAAGAATTAAATTTTACATTTGAGTTTTATGTTCAGAACAGGATATTATAGGTTCAAATAAGGATATATTTTATGTCTAAGCATATCATCTTCTGCACTAGTTCTCTTTAGTATCTTAAATGACTTATTTGGAGTTGGGTGAGTAAATGAAAAGGCTCCACAAGCACAGATTCCAAACCTAACTCTCTGCTCTGTTTTGCAGTTTTGAATGTAAATGAATGCCTCCTACATTATTAGCAGGACTAGGTTACATCTCTAAAAATTCACTTTCTTAGTTTTATTTTATTTAAACCTCTTAATTGTGGTTGGTATGGGGGATGGGAGGATAAAACTGTTTCATGGAAAGACACATGACCAGAGATGTCCAGGCAGCAGAACATCTGCATCTGTTTTTTTTTTTTTTTTTCCAGAATGAGGGAAAACGCCATTTGATTTTTAGGCCATTGCATCTATGATATATAATAGTTATTATATATAATAGCCATTGCAATATAATAACTCCATCTCCAAAGATTTTGGTATGTATTTCAAAGTAATAAGTTTTGAGATTTAATAATCAACTAGAAAACACATTTTGAGAGCAGTATTATTTTCGGAAAGTAGAATATAATTTCATATGAATGGGTACCTAAATTAACCAGAACATAGTTTTTGAAAGTTGTTTTGTGAGCTAAGCAATTGAAAATTTGAATTTCTTAAAAATTGCTTTGTGGGCTAAACAAGGGAAAGTTTGAATCTCAGATGATCTGCATCACAAAATTGGACTGATAAGAGCAGTAGCTGAGGATGAAAGCCCCAATAGATGTTTAAATGCCCAAAACAAAGTTGGTGCTCAGCAGTAATGATGCCCTTTACAAAATCCCTCCCAAAATTCTACTTAAGAGAAGACCTTTGAGCTTTCACATAATCTGTCACTTCATATACACTTGATTAATTTAAAAAATCTTCAATCCACTGTTGTATCTGATTTTAAAAGGGGAAGGATTTAAAAGTTGTAGTTTGTGGTTGTTGTACAGGCAGCCTTTTTACTTCTTGATTACTTTAAGGATAGTTATCCTAATTAATATTTAAATTAAGCCTCAGCAAAACTGAGTATTCTCCCTACATCTATCCCTTTCCAAAAGCAGTATGACTTCATTACATTTATCACAGAGTCATAAATAAATTCTGTCATTCACATAGTATCTGGTAGGATTTTTCTCTACTTACAAACTGCAAAAATATAGAATAAAAATTTGGGGTAAAAGGAAGGTTTTGTCCAAAGTATAAACATGCAATAGCTTCAAAGAACTGCAGATTTGGCTTTGCCCCAGAACTATCCTTATTTTCCTGCTGTTCAATTCTGTGATCTGAATCCATTGAAGAGTGGTCCGCTGTTAACAGCCACCCAAGCTCTATTCTTACACTCTTTGGCTCCACCTCCCCTGCTGGCTCTGAATTAGCGCTGGAATCAGATCATCAAGAGACCACTGCGATTTGACTTAGGTGACAGATAACCTAATCAAGCAAAGTTAAAGACCTTTCCAACAAGTAATATTTGCTACATAATTTCCCTCTGGGTGTTCCTTTAATCTATTGAATGAAAAAATGCAACAGAGTTCACATTTTCCAGAGATGATATAGCTATGGATGGCCTGCCTGCATAAAAAACAACAGAGTAGAATGCAGACAACTGCACAAGCAATTAATTATGCAAACAAATTGATCAGCAACCAGTTATTACTCATCTGTTTTGTGCTTAACACTGTGCAAGGTGCTGTGGATGATGAAAATTAAAGACCTTCCAAATACATATTAATTTCTGAGGAACCATCAAAAATCAAAAGTATTATTAAAGAAAATGCCAGTCAATATTTATAATCAATAAGCCGCCACTACTTAACCTTTTAGTCACAACCAAAGCTAACCAATCTATAGTTGTCCTTTCCACAGACTTCATTATGTGAACATCTGATTCACCTAACCTTTAAAAAGTTCCTAAAAGTAGTAGTTCTGAATTTCCAGAAAATTGTGGATATAGGTGTAGAGATAGATATAAGGGTAGACATATTAAACACAGATTTATTATTTGGGTAGTCTAAAAGTGTCATTTTGAAAGGCTTAAAAAAAACACTATTAGCCTTCTTCAAAAAAAGATCTAACTATATTTCTTAATCAGGATGTTGCACCTAATTTATTTGTATCTATCAGGGTCCCAAAAAGAAAAGATGGTACACTGAAGTCAGGATATTTTGAGGAGACCTTTGTTTGCAAAGAGAATAATCATAAAGACAATAAAAAGACCTACGGGAACTACAAAGAATGGTGCAGGAGCCTAGTAGCAGCAGGAGCAGTGAGGATGTCACCCCTCCTAAAGCTGAAGGGACTAAGAGAGTGAGAGTTTAGCCAGAAAGAACCACATGGAGCAATGGCATGAAGTCAAGGGACCCCAGCAGCCTGAAGTGGTTTCATAAAGAGTAAGCTGGGAGAATAAAATCCCTGGCTTCATCTTCCTCTTTCTTTTCCATCCATTACTGGGTCTTCTTATTCACCAAAACTAACTGGAACCCAGAGAGCATGGGTGTCCTTTAATAGAATCCATGAAAATGTAGTCTGAGCATTTAGGGGAAAGAGAAGGGTGAAAATCAAGTGGAAGATATCTGGCATTTCAGTGAAAGAAATTTTGCATCACAACAATTACTTTATTAAAACATCAAGAGATCCAACAACTTATATATAAAAAACAACAAGAGATCCAACTACTTATATATAAGAACAAGAAAAGCTCTTAAGAGATAGAAAGGCATGCTTAGTAACGTTCGGAATGTGGATAGGAAAATTCCACAAGTGGATGTTGTGCAACAAAAGCACACACAATGGACCTTCTGAAGCAGGGTTTATTTGAGGAACAGTTGTGCAGGTCCCTATTGCCCCCTATGTTCTGAGACAGGGAATCCACAGTTCCTTCAGATATAGGGAATGTGGAGAGGGGATCCAGGCCTTGGATTAAGCTGCACAATCAGGGAACCAACAGCTCTGTTCCCAGCATGATCAGAGGGCAGGATCAAAGCTTGACTCTTGCAGCTCCTATGATATAGTGGGTTTTGGGCCCAATTCTCCACATCGGTATTCAACTAGGATTAACTGCCTTGGACATTCAGCTTTAGCCAATTTTCTTGGAGACTTATATGTTGCCAACTCCTCCTTTGGGAGGCCAGCCTGCAGAAAATCACTCCTGGACAAGTTACTCTTCACCTCTTTAAGTTATGTTTTAGTGTGTTAACTTCCTAGCTGATTGTGCATTATTTTTATTCTTAGCACATTAAATTTGTAAAGTCATATCTAACTTGTAGAATAATGTTACTATACTGGAGGTGAAAAAAATACAACTGTGCATTTAAACCACTATACTCTAATTGAATAAATGTGGTTACATTATTTTATTATTCTGGTGCCAAGTTATCTTAAAGAAAGGCCAAAAAAAGATGCTATCAAAGGATTCTTTTAGCACTAACATTCATTGGTCATTTCCATTTATTTCTAGAACCAAAAAATGCTCCAAAATTATGATCTGAACAAAAACCTGAAGGTGTCCCTTTTGTGCTTAATAATATATAAATTTCAGATAGTTCCAATAAATTTTTTATTTTATTCAATCTTATTATAGAAAATGCATGCCTCTTTTTGTATTTACTAACAAGTCTTTCTGTTTACAATATGTTAGCATATAAACTAATTGAGAAAAATGGTAATATATAAAAAGGAGGGAGGAATCTGCCTACATAAAGCTCATCATTATTTCATTTGTACTTAACACGACTTTGGACAAAGTAAACTACCTACTTTGTCTGCAGGAAAAGGAGCCAAGGGAAAAGCTCCTAAAGAAAAGAGATTAACATTTTTTAAAATAAATTATTAAGGTGTGAATTAAGTGGGTATATTTGCCTTACCAGATAGAGCAAAAAGGTGTATATTCAGTTATTTGCTTTGTTTGCTTTGTGCATTATATTGTTTAGCATTGTACCAAGAGACCAAGAAAGGGGGAATAAATTATAAAAATGAGGCTGTCCTTTGAGAACCTGGCAGTCAGAGGTCAGCACCAACATTATCCAATGTCAAAATCAGAAGCCTAAAAGACAATATTAAATACAAACTACTCTATAGGTGTGAGAATGTGTTATGATAATAAATATAGAAAATGATATTATGTCTTTGTAATGGACTGTGCCCATTAGTATCCTATGGGTATACGTTTTGTTGAGAAATACAAAATTCTGACTGAGGTTTCGATGACAGTTCTGCTATGTCATGCTACATGGTGACATGTAGGAACCTCAAGCTTACCAGTGACAAACTGGTTTCTATTTCAATAATGGGTTTCAAGTGGTAAGCTCAGAACAGATGGGTGTAGGAGCATTGTTTTTGTCATCGTTATTTTCTCAACTTCTAAACTTTAAATAAAAAACATGTATTATCTTTATTTTTTTAAAAAGCATTTTTCCCAGGAGTGCAGTGCGGTTGCATGGTCTGATTTGTTTCATCCATATATCTCTTGGCAGGTTGCATCCCAGCATTCTCAGAACATGTTACCTTGTGACCCACCACTCTGGGCAGTCAATAAGGGCCTCTTTTATGGCTACTATTCATTTCTAAATGAGATTAAAAATACAGGTAAAATTTCTGAAATTAATCTTAGCCAAATGCATCATAGTCTTAGAGAAAAGACTTTCAATAAACATATAAGATTTGTAGCACAGAAAAAAAGCTATATCTAACTTTTTCATTTATTCGTTCTCACACACATTCTCTTGAAAATAATTATGTGATTTCCATATTCAAGAATAGGTTACTCAGATAACTAACCCCTTCCTAATCTTGCCTCTCACTTTATCAATCAATGAGCTATTTAACTTGCTAAGTAGCATCTGAATGCCCAGGAAACATTTCTCTGTGTCCAGGAATTTTGAGTCTGTCTAGAGTCAGGCTCTTAAAGAATACAGATGTTTTTCTGACTGCTGGTTGTCCTCCCAACCACTTATCAAAAACCTACAAAAAGCAAATGTGCTACAAAGAATTTATGGATTACTGAGAGCATTTCTGTTATTGTGATAAGGTATTTCATAGCTAACTTTTTAGCTGCAATTACATGGAAGAGTCAGCCTACATTAAACAGAGTTCAGCTTTCCTGACAGCTATCAAAAAATCCTTCTGTTCCTTAGGTCCAGCAAGACACACAGCAATAGAGTGTGTCTTTATTTATGAACAAAAATCAAAGCAATTATTAAAATTTTCATTTATTTTTCAAAGCTTTCTGTTAGCACAATTACATAACTGTATTTGGGAGCTTCTTTTATCATCTAGAAGAGTGCTTATCAAATTTTGGTGGTGTAAGGATCATCTGAGCATCTTGTTAAAGTGTAGATTCTGATTCAGTGGGTCTGGAGTGAATCCATGAACCCAAGAACCAAGATGCATTTCTAATAAGCTCTAAGATAGTACTTGTGCTGCTGGTGTTAGGACCAACTTTGAGAAGCAAGGGACTAAAAAAAAAAAATAAATAAATGAGGCTTTTCTATTTCTCAGGCACAGTGTCTGACTTTTACTACCATAATGCTGAGGGTTAGACATTACTGGGGTTAAAGAATGTGGACACAAAAACATGACTGAATAGAACTGGCCCTAGTTTTCAGCTTCGATTTAAGAAACTAGAAACAGCCACCTCACACCAGTGCTTCTTCAGGTCCTAGACCAGATTCGATGAGTAGAGGACATATTTGAGTAGATGGAGAATTTAGACCCACCTCTGGGGTGCTCAGAGGAATCCCACGGATACCTTTAGTGATATGAGGGCTAAGCCAGACGTGTTTGCCAGGCTGGGTGCGCGCAGAGGAAAAAGAGCAATGATTTCTATGAATACCTCTTTTAATATGGGTCAGGGCAGAGGAAAGAAGGGCTAGAAACATCTCCTCAGGCATTTAATTCACAATGGTAAATTCAGTCTTCAATCTGAAAGTTCACAAATCTTTATGAGATACTGTATTAGTTCATTCTCACACTGTTATAGAGATACTACCCAAAACTAGGCAATTTATAAGAAAAGAGGTTTAATTGACTCAGAGTTCCTCATGCCTGGGGAGGCCTCAGGAAACTTACAATCATGGCAGAAGGGGAAGACACACGTCTTACATGGCGGCAGGTGAGAGAGAGGGCAAAGCAAAGGGGGAAGAGCCCCTTATAAAACCATCAGATCTCATGAGAACTCACTATCATGAGAAGAGCATGGGGGAAACCGCCCCCGTGATCCTATCACCTCCCACTAGGTCTCTTCCTTGACATGTGGGGATTACAATTCAAGATGAGATTTGGGTGGGGATACAAAGCCAAACCATATCAGGCACCTACTTGCCAGGTCACGGAAGTATGCCCTGGAGAAGATACCAATTAGTACAACCTTGGGATTCCACCTTTGAGAAACTTGTAAATGATTGGGAAAAATATGATTTTCACATACAAAATGGTTAGTAATAATGTGATGCAGTGCTAAACGTCAAATTAGAGATAAGGGCTAAATTTATGACTACAAAGTTTGAATGGACATTTGGTAAAGCTTAGAAGTCCTACTATAATTTCCTGGTACATTTGTGTTCCCATTCTCCAAGATGATTATTGACTTATATTTCTCTCCTCAGTGTCCAAAAGCTCTTTTCCTCATCAGTTATGGCCCCCCTCATTCCTTATTAATAAAAAGGGAAGTAATCAGAAAAAAACCACTTCACTTCTCATCACTAAACTAACTCAAATTTATACTCTCTGCACCCACATCCTCCCCCTTTTCTCTTTTTGCTTGTTCCTGCTGATGACCAACTTGTCTATTTTTATCACTTCTAATCCACTCAAAAATCTTGATTTTATGATTTCCCCTCTCTTTTGCAAGGTCAATTTCTTTTTCTCAACAACAACCTCGACTTGCAATTATGCTTTAATATTGTCTGTACATAATACAAATAAGAAACCAAAAACTCCGTGTAAACTATGTCTTCTGGGCACTGCCTCACTTTTCAGCTCTTTTCTGTACAACTCTTCCAAGCAAGTTACTCCTTTTTCATTTTGTCCTCATCTCTCTTTGTTGAGAGGGATTCCTTCCAAACCCTGTGAGTTTCATTCCTTTTCTGTCTCTCTAGCCACATGGGTTTCATTTTGTCAAATCTGGTGGTCTATTTTCTAACCTTATCTCATTGGAACTTCTAGTAGCATTTGACATGGTTGGCCACCTCTCTTCTGGAATTACTTTCTTCTCTTGGCCTCCACATCAACACTCTCTTGGTTTTCCTTATATCTCACTGGAAGCTTCTTCCCAAAGCAATTTCCATATTTTGGAGTTCCCAGGGCTCAAACATTGGTCCCCTTCTATTCTCTGTCTGCTTTCCTGTGTCTGTCTGCCTCAGCCTACAGTGATCTCACTCAGTTCCCTGACTTTAAATCAAAGGGCATAGTGTGAGGTTTTGAGTTCTTTTTTTCTAATTTTGAGATGTAAGAAGAGTGATGAGATAGTACACTTGCAGAGAAAGTTACAAATTTCTTCAGGGCAATTTTCTAGAAAAGCCTAGGTGTAAAAGAGTCTGAATTAGTTTAGAACACTACATTAAGAAAACAAACAATGAGGCCAGAATTGCCTTTGGGAGGAGCACAGAGATTGTCAAGCCCCTAGTCTCTTTTGTGAACATTTGGGATTACAAGACCTATCTACCGCTGCACTTACAGAATACTGGTGACTGAGGTACACAAAAGCTATACTGGGGTTTAGGGAAGGAATATATATGGTTGTGGGGTCAGGGTTAAATCAATAGCAGTAGGAATGGGCTGGCTTTTTTTGTAAGTATTAAATTGGGGTAGTGTTGAAAAAAAGAAACAGCATCAGCAATACTAATAAGTGATGCCATTTTTGGCATTTGGGGTAAAGGAGACGAAGATACACTCTAGTTCTGCACCCACACAATAGTTATTCTTCTCATTAAATCTACTCCTCCAAGGGCATGTAGACGTTTCAATCACAAGTTGCCAAGATAATACAGAAGATTTTGAATGGTGGGTGTAAGTCAAGTGTTGATGATACATACCATATCCTGTCTCTAGCTTTGTTTGCCTCTCTGTGACTCTCATTTGAAAGTACTGCTCTGCAACACTAGTCCCTGTATGTTCTACATATGTAGAATGTACTTCTCAGATTAGGAAACCCTGCCATGAGGTTGAGGATTAATAAGAAAAATGGAGAAAGTGTTTTTTTCAAAATGACAAGTGTGAGAAAAACAGTGGAGATGGGTTTTTATCCAAAATCAGTCCTCCTCCTACCATCACTGCTTAATTTTTTGTTTCCCTGAGGAGCTTGCAAACCTTATTAGCATGAGCCAATCATTCACTTTCTTTGCAAGGTCTTTAAACAGGAGTCAAACATACTAGGAACACTCATAGTTGGAGGAAGTCACATTTCCAAGATTTTACATATTTCCACAAGGCAGAAAATGTTATTCATACACTGTGAGCTGTTCCACAGCTTTAGAATATTAAAGCCCCCAGAGATAGTGAATCAACTGGCGAGTCCTTTAGGAATGAATGAAGAACTGCCATAAGTACATTTCTCTGCCTTCCCAGAATGGTGTTTATAATGTGTTATAGGCAGAGGGGTCAACATAAAATAGGTTGCATATCTCACCTTGTGGAACCTGACCTTACATGTTCCTGTGTGTTCTTATTCCTCATCTCCCCTCGTTGGCCTCACTCTCATGTGTGGGACAGAAGGACCCCACTCCCAGGCCCCAGACACCGGAGGCATCCAGCCAAGCCCTGGGAGGCTTCTTTCTGCTGTACTATTTGAACCATCGCTGTGCAATTTGAATCTCCCAAATGAATTAATGACAAATGCCCAGGAATTCTAGTACCCCCTTGAGTCAAATGAAGTAAGCCTGGAAGTCCATTTAGGCTCGTCTAATAGTAGCAACAAAGGACTAAGGATTCCTAGTGATGGAACACTAAATACAGATAAAGAGAACATTCCCTGGGAGCATTATTGCTTGGCTTTATTATTTTTTTCTGTGTAAGACACTTCAGGCTGAAAGAGCTTCCAATTTCTCAGCAGTAAACTGATTAGTGTCTCCTTACTGCAGTTTACTTGCGGGGCCAGAAAAGAGCAAAACCACCTGGTCCAGCAAGGTTTGCAGAGATAGGAAGCTCATTTATTTGCATGGGCATCCTACTGCCCAGGTGCTGTGTTTCCTCCACGGCTTGCTTGATCCATGCATTAAGGGGTGTCACTAGGAACTCAGAGCAGCCTCAGGGATGTTCTTCAAAGATGCCAGGAAATGGAAAGGATGAAAAGTCTTTGGGAGAGACACTGAACTTTATCCATTAGAGGCAAATGTTTGTTTCATACCTAGTTATGTCTGCTGTTAGATTTTGTTATTTAAAAATTGTTTTGTCAACAGAGTCATAAACTTGAAACCATACCTTTCCAAAAAAATAATGGATTCCCACTTTTCAGAAAAAACTGATAGCTGTAGTTATACATGTGAAATGGAAAAAAAATTTTCACGTAAAATAAGAAAGCTCATTTACTACAAGGAAGCAAAAATTCAACTTTCAAGCAATTATAAGTGAGAGAGTATAGAGTTAATCACAATAAAATGAGTTTAGGTAACTATTAGGCATTTTCAAATATCAATTTAACATCACTAATTACTATTATTATACAGTATGAACATAAGATTAATTGGGATTTCTAAGTTTTGTAGCAAACTGTATACCAGTGACATGATTTTTTGTTGTTTACAATATCAGTATAAAATTAATTCAGTTCTCTATGTGTGAGGAAATTCCTGACTAGAAAAAGAAGTTTCATCAATGAAAGTATGCCCACTAAAATGCTCCCCTAGAGGTACTTACAATACACAAACACAAGATTATTCTCTACGAGACCTTTTATTTTGCCTTGGCATTGCCATGGGCATGAATTTTCAACCTCAACATTGTTCAGAGATTTGTATTTTAAAATATGCTCTTTACTACTGTAAATTTCATCTTTTGAAAGTACAAGGAGAAACATTATTGTCCATTTTACACCATTGTTAATAACTTATACTAGGAAAATTCTGATGAGAGCTATTGATAGCATGTGTGCTTAAGGGTATATATATGTGTGTATGTGTGTGCATGTGTGTATGTAAGTCTTCACAGGCTACCTTATTTCTATAATTTTTGGAAACTCAAAAAATGAGTATGTCCCTTCATTTAATAGTTCATCATGAGACTGATATAGAATATTTTGTGGATTGCTGCATCACAGACTGTGAAATGAGTACAGTAAATAAGTTAGTTATTAAGAGCTGGAAACTTGGCCTTCTCAAAGTACAATTCTCAACTTCAATCTATTTTTGAAACTGTAAGAAGGAATAAAATCAGTTGTATATTTTCTCATTGCCAGCTGGAATCATCTTCAGCTACCATCACTTTGATTTGAGTTTCTTATCACACGGCTCCATTCTGAACTTGGTGCAGACTGAACTTGTATATGCAGACTGCTTGGGCAGTGGTCTATTCTGTGTAGACAGGGCAAAGTCACCACTCAGATATTTTGTCTTGGATTTTTCCAAATTATAGTAAGGCTTCTGCTAAAATTCTGTCACTGATTAGTATCATTAAGAGACAACAATATGGGAATATGATAAAACTTTCTGTCGTAGTCCATTTAGGCTGCTATAACAAAATACCATGGTCTGGTGGCTTATAAACAACAAAATTTATTTCTCACATATCTGGAGGTTGGAAAGTCCAAGATGAAGGTTCATGCAGATTTGGTGTCTTGTGAGGGCTGCTCCCTGGTTCATAGACAGCACCTTCTCACTCTATCTTCACATGACAGGAGGGGCAAGGGAGCCCTCTCACAGTCTCTTTTATAAGGACACTAATCCTGATCACCTTCCAAAGGTCCCACCTCTTAATACCATCACCTTGGGGTTAGGCTGTCAACATACTAATTTTGGGGTGGAAAAAAATCTCCTGACCATAGCACTTTCCTAAGCAGTTCCCAACAATAAATCCATTCAGGCATGCTGTGCAGAAGGAAGTTCCCGAGGTCACCAGCTGGTGGAAGGGAGGACCCTCCTTTAAGAAGCACAGGATTTGACTTTGCAATTGTTACCTCAAACTTTCACAAATCAGGCCTTTTATCATCAGAATCTCTTCATATGTATATATGTTTCATACTACAATTTATGGAAAGCTCAGAGTAAAATAATGATTGAGAGAGCTCACAACTAGACACTATCTCATGTAGCAAGGCATGTATTTAGAGCATTTAAAATATTTTTCAGGTGTTTCCTGTGTTTGCCTGGTTTATTTGATCTTTGATTTATTTTTTATTCTTCGGATGCAGTCCATACCCTGTCACAGTCCCTCCAGTGCCTAAGGTCTCTGCAGAGGTGATGTTTGTTTCCTCCCTCATGCCCACTTTCTCATGGTTGACCCATGCCCCCGACCCCCCAGGTAAATTAGAATCCCCAGGTTCTCTCTTGTCTTGTTATGAATGTTGAGCTTTTATCTTTTCCTTCTCTGAGCTTAGCCTCCTATGTAAAACAGCATCCTAAGTTTTCTTTCTGTCTTTTTTCTCCTCCTTCTTTCTACTTTCCCTGCTTCTCTTCCTCTTTTCTCTTCTCTCTCCATGTTCACCATGCTGTTCCAAGGCCAGTTATAAAGTCCATTCTTGTTTGGTTTATCCCATACAAGTAACTCCATTCACTCACCCTCCTCTTTCTCTTCTTTGTTTAAAGGCAATTTTGGAGAATTTTCACCACAAGTCCATGCAAGCATGACTTTGCTCCTTTCCATCTCTGTCTCTCCTCTCCTAGCTGTCCCTGCAGAGCCCCACCAGGGCCCACCTCTTCCCATCTCTGAGAAGTGCAGCTACTACTCTTTGTGGACAAAACTTTCTGAGAATAACAGTTGTCTATGTAATTATGTTATCACAATGCCAGGGGTTTGGTCTAGGTCCTGTTGCTTGCTGCACAGAAAGCCAATCACTGAGACGAACAAGTATTGCCAGGGAAGAAGCCTTTAATTGGTTGTTGCAGCTGTGGAGAAGGGAGGTCAGTCTCAAATCCATCTCCCTAATGTACTAAAATTAAGAGTTTGTATAGCTGGAAAGAAATGTAATCATGTGTGGGAAAACAGGAATTAGGGAGGGATATGGAAGAGGAGCTGGTAACCCAATAGCAGGTGGTCGCTTAGGCACTCATGATGGGTAAGGTGTCTAGTATCTCATTGTCCAGATGAAGTGATCTGGTAAGTTTCAATTCCTTGATCTATGTGGGAGGCCTGATTGTTGGTTTCCTGAGGAAAAAAAAAACCTCAGATAAGACATTTGTAAGTTTCTCAAGTTTTAAGATGGGGAGGGTCAATTTCTATGTTTATTCAACAGAAACCATAAATATATGTTCTATGAGACAATTGGGCTGGTTTCAATTGCATTTCTTATTCCTTGGTTTCAGTTAAATTGAGCATACATGCCTACATTCACCCTATTTTTTGTTTGTGTTTTAGAGAGAGGAAGGATAGTCCAAAATCTACAAGTTAATACTGAACCCTCCTACCCTTATTGCCCGCATCAGCTGTACTCTCTTAGATGCGAAGGGACAGAGAAGTGGGGAGGTTACCAGAAATGACAGGCACCTCTTGTAGGAATGGCTGCCTTCTTCATATTCTTTCCCCCTCCAAAAGCTAAGCAAAGGCCTCAGGGGTTTCTAACAGGTGGGGTTCTGCCAGTGTGAGACACGTTGGCCTTCAATAAGGTGGCTGAAGTTGGAGGGGTCCATGACAGACAGCGTGGCATCTGTGCTCAAAGATGAGCTGGACTTTTGGCAGCTTTGTTCCCAAAAGGTTGTGGGCACGACTTCACCAGGCATTTCATAGACTGCCCTCCAGCTCACTATTTCTCTCTGTTATCTGTGGTGCCCCTCTCTCCTGCAGCCACTGATGCCTGCCCTGTGGGGGCTGTCATGCAGATGAGAAATAACATATGCAGGGGCCTGGCATGGTGAATACTATTATTGTTACTATTGTATTTTACTGCCCAATGCAGAAACATGTGACTTGACAAGTAAGTCAGAACCATAAATGTATATACAAATCCCCCGTCCAAGAACAGATTACTGAGATAGTAAGCATTCAGGACCCTATGTTAGTGACAGACAGGGTTATCAATAACAACGCAAAAGACATAGTCATATGGAAAATAAGGTGAGGGTGAATCTTCAAAACTAGTTTTATTTTCCCATTTTCAAAATATTCTAAAATGATAATGTTCATAACAGTCCTGCGAGGTGCGAATTAATTTTTCCTCATTTTACAGATGTAGAAACTGAGGCTTAAAAGAGATTCAGTAACTCTCAATCACGTAGCTAGTAGGTGGCAGCATAAGGATTTGTAGTTAGGAGTATTAGGCTCCCAAGGCCCTGCTCTAATCCCATACTTCACGGCCTCTACACACCCAAAACAAGGAACCATTGATCCACCCTGCTGTGCCTCTGCAGCCAAGTGCCACTCTGCCTCCATTCCCAGGGCAAGCATTGCAGCATAAAATAGAGATGGGGCATTTCCCCTAGGCAGAAAACAATATTTTAGGGGCATATTTTTATTAAATTTACTAAAAATCAGCATGTGAATGTACTCTCTCTGTGAGAAGCATGATCCTTCAGGAACACTTAAACTTAATTCTTAATTAAAGACATTTTTACACACCTGTCATCCTAGCACTTTGGGAGGCCGAGGGGGGTGGATCACCTGAGGTCAGGAGTTTGAGACCAGCCTGGCCAACATGGTGAAACCCCGTCTCTACTAAAAATACAAAAATTAGCCAGGCATGGTGGCACACGGCTGTAATCCCAGCTACTCGGGAGGCTGAGGAAGGAGAATCGCTTGAACCTGGAAGGTGGAGGTTTCAGTGAGCCGAGATCATGCCATTGCACTCCAGCCTGAGTGACAGAGCAAGATTCTATCTCAAAGAAAAAAAAGACATTTGTAAATCAACTATCTTAAAAGATTACTATTCAAATAACTTTTCTACTTCAAACCCAGAGAAACTTTGTTTTCTGCTCAGATTTGAAGGAAGAAAATTATACAAGGTTTATAATAATATATGTAAAAGGTATCTTGATATTTTCATTTTATACTCTAGTCCAGCATTTCTCAGTTGTGTTCTCTAAAGGGTTAATAAGCACTTCAATTTTTGAAGACACAAAAATTTCATATTAGCAGATTATATTAAAAATATATAAATGTTATGTTAGAAATATGGAGATAGATGTGGGAATCTACTAAATCAATATAAGTGGTTGCTCTTATTTATGGGATCACCTTCCTGTAAGAAAGAGGGTCATATCTGAGAAATGGAGATAGCCACTGAGAGGCCACCACATGAAGGGAAGCATCAGGGTTCACTTGGGTGTGACCCACTTGCAGTGTTTCTGAATGTACCACAAGGGGCACTGGTGCATGTCATTTCAGTGTTCACTGGGCTATGCACATAGTGTTATAATTTTAATATATGTATTATCCAGTGCCTAACTTGAATCAGACATTGTGATAGACTTGATGATTAAAGCATCGATAAGACACTGTACTCACCCTTAAGTGACTTAAAACCTAGTCAAAGAGACTTTCAAACGAGGCATGAGCTAATGCACAGATATTAAGATGGCAGTAGGGTGGCTGAGAGCTCTGAAGAGAAGAGAAATTTTTAGCAGAAACATTTTCAGAAGAGGTGGCACTCAAATTGAGTTTTGAAGACAAGAATTTCATTAGGTATTAGGGGGAGCAGGATTGTTCTGGAGATGTGAAAGAACAGAAGTCTCTGGAAGCTAACATAAGTTTGGAACAGATGGAGTGACAAATACATGTGGGAGAAGGTTAACATGAGAAGTGAAAATTTAGCAAGGGCAAATTCACGAGGGACTCTGAGTATCTTGCTAAATATTTTGGCTTTTCTTTCAAAAGCTGTGAGAAGCCACTGAAGAGTGACAAATACAGAAATGGCATGACCATATTTTCATCTCAGGAAAATTATTCTGACATCAGGACATTGTGGATATAGACAGTAGGGAGGGTATGGAAAGATTTTTCATGTTTCTGGATTAGGCGATGGGTGAAGGACAGCATCCCTCACCAAGGTGAGAAATATCAGAGATGGGGCAGGGTGGAGAGGGGATTGCAAGGTTAATCTCTGACATGTTAAGACATTACAGAGGCGACATCGAGGAAGAGTAGGCATAGCTTGAAACACTGGTGTGGAAGTCAGGAACAATGTCTCTCTGGAGATGTGGGTTTTCGAAAGAGTTGATGGTAGTATGGTCAAAAGTTTCTAATCCTACAGAAAGTTCTAGTAAGAAGGAACCTGACAGCGGAGAGGTGTTGGCTTGAATTTACATGAAGTGGTTATTAGTGGCCACTGAGAGAGCAGCTCCATTGGAATGGCAAGGGTCCCTTTCTTTGGGTAGTAAATGGAAGACTTGGAAATGGAAACAGTAAAAACGTATTTCTCTTTCCAGAAACTTGGCTGATAGAAGAGAGATACAGGATAAGAGCTGGAGGAAAGTTGCTTTTCTCTTAATATTAAAAAAGAAGCTTGAGGCTTGTTTATATGATGAAAAGAAAGATCTAGCAGTTGGGGGAGAAAAACAGATGAAGAAATATGTGATTTCTAGAAGGAGTTGAAGGTTTTGGGTGGAGGCAGATTTCTCTGAGTCAGACAGAGGGAGTGCTTTCAGAAAGAGAAGGTAAGCTGAGGAAGTTCACAACTGATAGCATTTAATTCAGCTTTTGAAATAACAAGCAATGTTTGCAGAACTTGGGGGTGATGAGAGTTCAGTGAGTGACTTGGGGAAAGCAATCAAGATGGAAGAACTGGAGTAGAGGATGCATGGTGTTCTGGATACACACCCCATCACAGTTTTAATCAAGCACGTTTTGGCGATTTGCTGAATACACTTGGAAAATTTAGAAACACTTTTTTTAAGGATCAGATCTCCTGTCAGCCTTTAAGAACCAAAGCTTCCTGATTACATGATTATGAAGTGCTACTTTTAATGAAGACTCTCAGTTCTCCAATACTAATTAGGTTAAATCCCATTATAATTGTCTGCTGTATGGCTTATACCTCATTTTATTGCAGAGCATTATTTGTGTTCAGTTGGAAGAAAGGGCTCCATCCTACATATGTTTTTATAGTTCAGGCTCTACTTCTTGCTCAAACAATTTTCTAATGTACAGTACTCCCCCTTTATCTGCAGGGGATGCATTCCACGACCTGCAGTGGATGCCAGAAAAAGAGAATAGTACTGAACTCTATATGTACTCTGTTTTTCCTACACACACATACCTATGATAAATTTTAATTTATAAATTAGGTACAGTAAGAGATTAACAATATATTACTAATAAAATAGAATGACTATAATATATTATAATAAAAGTCATGTGAATGTGGTTCTCTCTTTTTCTCTCCATATTTTATTATACTTATTGTACTCAGCTGTTTTCAGACAACATTTGACCACAGGTAACTGGAACCATGGAAAGTAAAACCACAGATAAGTGGAGACTACAGTAATTGCATTAGAAAGATTAGTATGCACCTTTTAAAAAATCCATAATGAATCAAACCTTTGAATACAGATCCATATATAAGGTTTATAAATTCATATGCTTAATGAAAAGAAACAAATTGAAAATACTGTGATTAGTATTTACCAGTCTAAAAAAGCATATGTTACCCCAAAATTCCTGGGTTCATCATAGTTCAACAATTTTAATTTTTTAGAGTGATGATTTTACATTAACTATTTGCTTTCCTTAAATTCCCTCAGAATCAACAGAAAGCATGTATTTGCCTACTTATTCTATGCATGTCTTTGCATGAAAATAATGCCTAGCATTTATGGAGTGCCTACTATGTGCCAATATTGTTCTTGGTGATTTTACTAGCATCATCTCATTTAATCTTCCCCAAAATCTTATGAAGTATGTGCTGCTATGGATGTATTATAACTTCATGAAGGCAAGAGCATTGTTCATTGTGTTCACTGCTGTATCACTATTGCCTACAACAGTGCCTGGCATAGTAGGCATGCAAAATATAAGTATTCAATAAATAAAACTCCATTTGACAGATGAAGAAACTGAGCCATAGAGCGGCTAATTAACTTACCTTACTCACTAGGGTTATGGTGTATATTAGATAAGGAAATATAAAAAAATCATGCAAAAAAGGGTAGAGGTGAGGATGAAATACATCCATACAAGTGAGGTGTTAAACAAAGCCTGGCACAGAGTCACCCTATCCAGGTGATTTGCCAGCATTACTAGAATTATCTGATTACTTCCCATCAGGGACAGGCAAGACCTGATTCATTTCTCTACTGCCAACCCCTGGGGCTATGTCTTACATTAATTAGGTAGCACACAAAAATGTTAGGAGGGAGAAAATGTTTACAAATAGATATTTGAGAGCTTAGTGAATTATTTGCTTTAATAAAAGGAAAATGAATTTCAGCTACATATTCAATATTCATTCAACAAATATGTATCAAGGATGACTACATTGCAGCCACTATGCTAGGTGTTCAGAATAAAATATTGAAGAAATTTTAAAAAAGACAGTCTTTGCCCTCATAGAGGTTGCTATCCTGGGAGAGACATAGACACCAATATATGGGTGTAAAAAAATATCATCTTGAATAGGATGTTGTCTAAAACCATTACTTATGCATGAGAAATCTATAAGAACTTCTTGATAAACTGGAACACAAATGAAACTGATAACAGTGATTAAAAGCATGAGCTATGCAAAGACATTAAGAACATTGCACATGTATAGATTACAGATAAATAATACTGAGAAAAAAGGATAACTGCTTATTAATATTTGGAAGACAGTAACAAAACAGGCTAGAAGAATTACTTAACAATGATTTAGCATTGTATAATAAGAAGTAACATTATACAGTCAAGAAATGAAACATTTAGATTGGAAATGAAAAAACTTAATGATGAAACTCATTAGATAATGGGATCATTCGTCAAGAAACATCCTATTTTCAAATACAGGTGATGACAAAATGTGCAAAATTCGCTGTGCAAAATTCGCTATGCAAACCACAGATAAACCCAGCGGGAAAACTTTAGTACATCAATAATGCATTTTGTTGTGCAGCAACATATACAAGCACTTAATTCAGTGTAGAGATAATGACATTTTAGCATCTGACTGACATAAGCTTGGATGTGGGCCCGCTTTCCTCTCCAGGCCCATGCCTTACGTGATGTTTCCCAAAGCTGATGTGCAAGATGGCTTTATAGGCTTCATCAAGCCCTTTGATCTTTGTGGGCTTCAGCTTCCCACTCTGTGAAGCAGTGTAATAATCCAAGTCACCATGAATGGAACGTAACCAGCATTTATAGATCTCCCATAGTGCTTCCGATGGCAAGATACCTTGACAGATCTGGGTGGCTGTGATGATAATGGACTCCATTTACTGAGTGCCAGGAAGAAGGCCTGTTGGATGAAGGATCTTATTTAATCTTGATCACAGCCTTTGCAGTGGGTGCTGCTGTTCTTAAGGATAAGGAAACCACGTCCCAGTTGGATTCGGGAACTTGTTTAAGGGCACATGGCCAGTAAGGGGTAGAAGCAGTCTACTTCTGTCTCCAGTACCCTGCTGCCTCCTACCACATTGGTCTTTCCTTCAAACCACCATGAAACTAGCAATCTAAGGATGACAAAAAGTGTATTTCTTGTCCTCTATTTTACCAGGAAATGATGAGTTTTTCAAGAGAAAAGGAGATTTTTAAGCTTGAAAACGGTTGTGAAAGGTAAGTTGTAATTACTGAAATCACCATCATCCTCTCAGTCATCTTGATGAACAGTTTTATCAGGTCTTGCATCAGCCACATTTCAAAGTATGTGAAACTCACAGAATCCTACAATCTTTCTCTCTGGACCCTTTCCCATCCCAGCTCCAGAGTACCTCATGTTCCAAGAAGTCTTATTCTTTACCCTTACCACAGCAGAGGGAAAGCTCTCCCATCACCCACCATCCCTGGTCCCAGCCAGGTCTATGAGGAAAGCAGCCTGATTCTGGGGTAATTTATAACAGGCTGTAAATAAGCACTTAGACCCTCCCAGGACATAAGCATTTGAATGATTGCATCAGTGTAGTAAATAATAGGTAGCATTTGCACAGGGCACTATTTGTTAAAAAGACATTTAAAGACATTTAAATACATTTACTTGTGTGGGTGCTGTTACCTGTATTTCTCAAATAGAAAAATTAAATTTTAGACAGAGTAACTGGCACAATTAAGTGCTAGAGCCACAACTTGAACACCGAACTTCTCATTCACGATTGTGTATTCTGTCCATTATATCTCCCAGTTGCCCCGAGGCGTTGGGGGAAAGAAGCAGGAGGCTTTTCTTGAGGAAGATAACTTTCTTCCTTAGTTCTTTCCTAGCTCTGGCTACCAGTGCACCATTCCTTTGAGCTGTAGCATGTGCAAATCATACAATTAGCAATTTGGAAAATGCCTTTAAAAACTTGCTAAATTCCCCTGTATTTCACTGACATGTTGAACAGATTTAATTGTTAAATTTGGCAACATAGAGGCAACAGTGGTTGACTTACTGTCTGAAATTAGCACTGAGACCCTATGGGAAGGTGCATTCAGCAAAAGTGAATTATTATTTTGCTGTTTCGTTTAAGGTGTGCTGGGTACTATTTTCCACACTTTACATATGCTGTCTCATTTAATACTTATGACCACCCTAAGATAGAAAGTGCTATTAATGTGTTCTTTTCATAGATGAAAACACTGAGGCACAGCTAAGTAACTTGCCTGAGAGTTAGCAGGTGAAGCTGGGATGCAAAGCCCAGGAGTCTGTCCCCAAAGCCCCCGCCTTTAGACATGTGTCATAATGCACTGTTGTCTCCTTCCTCCACCCTGGGAAATACTGCAGTTTAGTGCTGAATAGGACTTCTGGAATAAATTTCTGGATAGTCTGAAAACAACCATGACCTCATGCCTCTGATGCTTTTTTAGTATCTGTGCCCAGCGGGCCACACAATGTGTTTGCTTGGTAAGAATGATCTCTGGATTCTTCACTGATCTGAATTCAGCCTCCCCACTCACAGCACTTACTGAGTCCAGCATGAAACACCAGTTTATGTCAGGAACAAATAAGTCCTTTGCTTTCCATCTGAATGGGGCTTTTCTCTGTGAAAATCAATGGGAGTTGAATCGTTCTGAAGGGCCTGTCTGAGATATGTTAATGGCAGAATCAGTGGATACCCTTCCTACCTATTTTGGTGATGAGAAGAATCTCCAGGTGGTCTCTTCACCCCAGTGAGGAGAGAGTGCTTAGAAATTAATGAACAAGAAATGTCTCAGAGGCAAGAGAACTCAAACACTAGCCTCTTCAAAAATAAAGCACACATGAAGTATAGCACTCATAAGCTATGGTCTTTATTCAAGTCTCAGTTTCCTCGACGCCTCAGTTTTCTTACTTATATGATTTTTTTTGTCAATTATGTCATGTTAACACATGAAAAGTGCTTACAACAATTTTTGACATCACTGTAGTAAGTGTTCAATAATTATTTGTCTTTCCTGCTCCAAGTCTCCTCTGTGGATAGTAAGAATGGTGGGAAAACAGTGGTCATGGCTCAAAAAGAATCCCAACAAAGGAAAAAGGAAGAGAAAATGGCAATTTCCAATTCCTTCTCACTCTTTCACTCCTTTGCCACCTGTCTCCTTCTATTAGGTACCCTTCTCAATCCTTATGCAAATTGAAGTATTACCTGTAGTGTAATTCATACAGTTAATTTCTCTGTCAGAATTATTGTCACATTTATCACAACCTGATGAGGCAGGGACTATTATTGTCCCCATTAGCAGATGAGAAACCTGGAATTTTATGTTAAGCAACCTACCTGGGTCACAAACTTGGTAAGTAGTGGAGACAAAACTTAAATGGATCAGAAATGTAGTTTCTGGTTTTACATAACTCAGTGTAGCACAGTGCTTAAGTAGATTTTGAGTCAAAAAAACCTGAGTGGGAGGAGTCTAGGTTTCTCCATTAATTAGCCATATGACTTCAGGCAAACTCTAGCTTCCTTATCTGTTACATGTAGATAATGGTGCCTATCTTTTGGACTGTTCTAACAATTAAATGAGACAGCACTTATGATAACACTTAAAGTCAGCTATGAAAAGAAGCTATGATTATCTTTCCCTGCTCCTACACCTTACCACTACATTACTAAAGGCCACTGTTCCTTTTACCCAGTATATAATGTCTATCTTTTAACCAAAAGTTATAACAAATGCTAGAAGGCAAGAAATACAGTTTGAAGAGGTTGAATAAGCATCATAGCCAGAGTCAGATATGGCAGGAATGTTGAAATTATCAGACCAGGAATTTTTTTAAATGATGAATATGCTAAGGGCTTAATGGAAGAAGTAGAAAACATGCAAGAAAAGATAGACGATGTAAAAAGAGCAATGGAAATTCTAGGTTTTAAAAAATTTCTAGTGATAAGAAAGACTAACAGAAATGACAAATGTTTTTATGGACTCACTGGTAGACTGGATACTGATGAGAAAATAATCTCTGAGTTTGAGAATATGACAATAGAAACTTCCAAAACTGAGAAGCAAGAGAGAAAAGATGGAAAAAAAAAAAAAAGCAGAATGTTCAAGAACCATGGGACAACTAAGAATGCCATAACATTTGCATAACGAGCACACCAGAGGAGCAGAAAAAGAGAAAGGAGCAGAAGCAATATTTGAAGCAACAATGACTGTGAATTTCCCCAAAACTAATGTAAGACACTAAACCACAGATACAGGAAGCTCATAAAACTTCAACAGATAAACGTCAAACAAACAAACAAAACCTACAACTGGTTATATCATATTCAAACTACAGAAAATCAAAGATTAAAAAAAAAAACCTAAATAAAGCCAGAGGAAATGAAAGCTCCTCTGCAGAGGAGCAAAGAATTACATCTGACTTCTCAGAAAACATGAAAGTAAAAAAGAGAGAGTAGAGTTAGATATTTAAAGTGTTGAGAGAGAAAAAAAAAATACCAACCTAGAACTCTGAAATTTTCAGAAGTGTTTGAACCACAGCAACTCCATCTTGAATAGGGGTTGGACAAAACAAGACTGAGACCTACTGGGCTGCATTGGCAGGAGGTTAGGCATTCTTACTCACAGATGAGATAGGAGGTTGGCACAAGACACAGGTCACAAAGACCTTGCTGATAATAAAGCATGTGGTAAAGGAGTTGGCCCAAACTCATCAAAACCAAGTTGATGATGAAAGTAACCTCTGTTCATCCTCACTGGTCATTACACAATAATTACAATGTATTTTCATGCTAAAGGATACTCCTACCAGCACCATGACAGTTTACAAATGCCATGGCAACATCAGTAAGTTACTGTATATGGTCTAAAAGGGGAGGAACCTTCAGTTCTGGGAATTGTCCACCCCTTTCCTGGAAAACTCATGAATAATCCACCCTTCGTTTAGAATATACTCAAGAAATAAGTATAAGTATAATCAGTTGAGTAACTCACACTGCTGCTGTGGCCATTCTTTTATTCCTTCATTTTCTTAATAAACTTGCTTTCACTTTACTTTATGGACTCACCCAGAATTCTTTTTGTGTGAGCTCCAAAGATCCCTCTCTCGGGGTCTAGACTGGGACCTCCTCCTGGTAACAAAATTATCCTTCAAAAGTGGAGGAGAAATAAAACGTTTCTTATACAAACAAAAATTCAGAGAAGTTGTGGCCAGCAGACCTGCCTTTCAAGTAGTTCTTTAGAAAGAAGGAAAATCATTTAAGCCAGAAATTTGTACCTACGTAAGAAAAGAAGAGCATCAGAGGATAAGTGAGTAAAACAAAACTTTTATTTTTATTATTCTTAATTGATCTAATAGATAACAGTGTGTTCAGAATAATAGATTCAAACATATACATACACACAAGCATATACTTATGTATAAGTGAAAGAAATGACAGCAATGGTATAAGGATGGGATAGAGGAATTATTCTTGTAAACAAATACACATATACTGTTTTATTTAAGATCATTTTACATTTTCCTAGGAAGAAAATGCTATGGTGGTTATATACATAAATTTTATTTCTAGTGAAGGGTTTCCTGATCTTAGGTTGTTTATAGTATCTTTCCTTGGTTGGTCAAAGACCTCTCCAGCTTAAACGAATAAAGGGAAAGTAGTGAAGTGATTAATGTACATACTAAGCTAGACCTTTGGAGAACTCACCAAAGAAATATAGGCAGCCAGGAGAGTTTGTGATTCCTTTGAAACTGATTCAAATGGACTGTAGTTTATTTTCACTCAATATATTCAATCATGCCTCTTTTCTCCTGGCGTCATTTCATCAGTACATTTTTTATTTGACACACACACAGACTCACACACACACCACACACATAACGTTCTTCCCTTGTGAACATATTAATTTTATCTTATATGAGAAATAAAAATACAATTTAATTAATTAACTCAAAATGGATCATGGACTTAAATATAAAACATAAATCTGTAAAACTTTTAGAAAAAAGTAGGAGAAAATCTTCAGGATTTAGAGCTAGCAAAGAGTTCTTAGACTTGACATCAAAAGTACTACCAGTAAAAAGAAAATAAATTGGATCTTATAAAAATTAAAAAGATTTTCTCTGTGACAGGCCCTGTTAAGAGGATGAAAAAACAAGCTACACACTGGGAGAAAATAGTTGCAAAACATATCTCTGACAAAAGACTAGTATTTAAATTATTTAATGAAATCTCAAAATTTCACAGTAAAAGAACCAAATAATCCAATTAGAAAATGCGCAAAAGACAAGAAGAAGCATTTTATCAACAGCAAATAAGCACATGAAAAGATATTCAACATCATTAGCCATTAAGGAAATGCGAATTAAAGCCACAATGAAATATCACTACACACCTATTAGAACAGCTAAAATAATAATAGTGATAACACCAATGCTGGGAAGAATGTAGAGAAACTAGATCACTCATACATTGATAGTGGGTATGTAAAATGGTACAGTCATTCTAGAAAATAGTTTAGCAGTTTTATATAGAACTAAACACACAACTACCAAATGACCTAACAATTACACACTCGGGCATTTATCACAGAGAAATAAAAACTTAGGTTCACACAAAACCTGTACATAAATGTTCATAGCAGTTTCATTCACAATGGCCAAAAGTTTGAAAGAACCAAGATATCCTTTGGTAAATGGTTAAACAAACCATGGCACATCTACCATGGAATACTACTCAGTAATAAAAAGGAGTGATCTACTGATACATGTAAGAAGAATTATGGAGAGTTATCCTGAATGAGAAGAGCTCATCCCTAAAGGCTATATGCTATAAAATTGCATTTCTATAACATTCTTGAAATGCCACAATTATAGACATGTAGGATACATTTTTGGTTTCCAGGGGTTAAGAATGGAATGGCAAGAAATTATGTGTGGTTATAAAAGGGTAAGTTGAAGGATCTTGCAGGAGGGCAATATTTTGTATCTTGACTGTTCAATGCTTTGAAAGATGTTACCATTGGGAGAAACTTAAATATAAAACATAAATCTGTAAAACTTTCAGAAAAAAGTAGGAGAAAATCTTCAGGATTTGGAGCTAGCAAGGAGTTCTGAGACTTGACATCAAAAGTACTACCAGTAAAAAGAAAATAAATTGGATCTTACCAAAATTAAAAACAGTAAAATTAAAAAGGGTACACAAGATCTTCTGTATTATTTCATGCAACTGCATGTGAATTTACAATAATCTCAAAGTGAAGTTTAATTAAGACATGGTTTTCAAATAACATTTATGACATAGGAAAATGCTTTTATTATATGAAAAAGTGAAAAATGCAACTATATTTTAAGTAATGAAACATTTAAAGAAAGCATATATTTATATTTATGCTGAGCTTAAGAAATGGGAGTACTAAAATGTTAGGTTTACCTTTGAGCAATAAAATAAAGAAAGATAGATTTTTCTTTCTTCTTAACAATTAAATGTATTTTTCAGTTTTTAATATTACATTTTTATATTACATTTATTAATAAAATCAGTAACAACAAAACAGAACTGCAGAGGTCATGATCATCCATTCAACTCACAAATCAAAACTTCACACTTTTCCTAGTAGAGTGTCAGAAGAAATGGCAATTTATTGAAAACCTGGATTTGATATTAAATAAATGATCCTTTCCTACTCTCCAGAATGATAACTTTTATAATTAATGGACTAATTTAACTGCAAATCTTCCAGTCAGTAATATTAATTAAAAAGAAGACATGTAAATGACCTTCTGTAAAGGACTTGTCTCTTAATTTACCCACAAATGAGCACTTGCGATTACTTCTTAATCAATACCAGGAAGTCAGCTAGAATTAATACCAGGCCTCTTAGTTTCAGCCACTTTTAAGAGCACTCAGGATCACCACATTCATACTCTTCAAGGCCAGCCCTATATTTTCCTCTAATTTACCTGACCTTTCAGACAGTAAGTGAATTTCAGGCGTTTATAGGCTTGGCCTGAATAACTGGCAACTTTCATTACTTTGAAAATTGACCAAAAGCTTTGGGAAATGTCAGCCTTTCCTGGGTTATTGTTCAATATGTTAATAAGATCATTAACATGTTTCTTAGCTGAGAAAAAGACCTGATACATAAAGAAAGTTGTAGGAGGCTGGAGAGGGATGAATAAAAAACTGTATTTTTATTTCTAGGAAAAAAGTAGAGTTCTTTCCAAACTACCTTTCTTTTTGTGTTAGATGTAGCATAAACAGTGGCTAATAGGTTTCAAAGAATTGATACTTAAAGACAAATGCACTTGCCTCTTTTGGGGAGGTCTGGGTCTAAATTAGCATATATTTGAAATTACCCCTGCATCTCTTAAATTGTTGGTTGAGGAAATTGCTAATATACTTCTGTACTGATGAGGTTCAGGACACACTACCCCCAAATATGGCATATGGCATATGGCATATGGCATATTGGATCTGTTAAGCTGAGGGAATTTGAGAAACAGAATGTGCATGGAGAACTTTCTGACCATCACTTTAAGTAGGTCATAAAACCTAGGAAGGGCTTTCTGACCCTCCTGTGAAGATCATAAGACCCTCATTTGAGAGGTGCCCACCCTATACCTGGAGGAAAGAAGCATCCTTACATCTGAAGACACAGGGACACAGAGACGACTGAAAGGAACTGGCCTTGCTAAGTCTCCCCAGTTTATTACCACGAGAGCATACCCCTGTGTCCTATCATATTCTTTTATGACTTTTCACTCTTCAACAAACGTATCATAAAAACACTCAGGTTTAACTGTTTCTTTGGGTCTTCATTTTCTTATAAGGCTTCTGTGTCAGGTAAAACTCTTTTGAGATAAATTTATGTGGTTTCCTCTCGTTAATCTGTGTTTCATTACAGGGACCCAGCCAATGCACCTAAGATGAGTAGAAGGAAAAGATATTTTTCCTCCCTTACAGTATATAGCATATTCTTTCTGTTCAAGGATAGTGCTCGATTAATTCAATTTATTTTACAAGGGTGTTGATTGTTGTTTTGGACATCTTAACTAGCAATTCAATGATTTGTCAACAGTTAGGAAGACCCTAAAAGCCAAAGGCATGTTCGTTCAGTGGTTTTACCAACACGCATTAGTGGTTTCAGGCTTGAATATTTCCAGCCTTTTTTTTTTTTTTACAATATTTGAAGAAATTTATTCTGAGTTAAATATCAGTGACCATGGCCTGTGACACAGGCCTCAGGAGACACTGAGAACATATGCCTGAAGTCGTCAGGGGCACAGCTTGGTTTTATACATTTTAGGGAGACATGAGACATCAATCAAATACATTTAAGATATACATTGGTTGGGTCCAGAAAGGTGGGACAAATTAAAGCGGGGGCTTCCAGGTTGTAGGTAGATTTAACAATTTTCTGATTGGCAATTGGTTGAAAGAGTTATTATCAATAGAAAGGAATGTCTGGGTTATGATTAGAGGTTGTGGAGACAAAAGTTTTATCATGCAGATGAAGCTTCCAGGTAACAGGCTTCAGAGAGAATAGACTGTAAATATTTCTTATCAGACTTAAGGTCTGTGTTGATATTAAATGCTGGTCACATTTTCCTGAATTTCAAAACAGAAGAGGCCAGCCCCTTCTTAAGGTAAGTGACCCAGTATGGGATTGTCAAGTTCAACTTAGCTAAGGTAGGTACCAATGAGCTTGTAGTCCTAGCCACCACAGTGTTTTCACAGATGAAAGCAGGTGATTGCATCTTTACACGAAATCACCTGTTACACTGCACTGGTTACATTAGGATCCGATTTCTCCAAGTTGGAATCTGAGGCCTCTGAACACCATTACCACCAAATTAGAATGCTTAACCCAACAGCACCATGGTGGAAACAATTGTAGGTATCTCTTCTCTTTCTCTTCACTTTCCCCTTCCATTTCCCCTTTTCTTTTCTTTTCTTTTCTTTTGTTTTTTTTGAGATGGAGTCTCACTCTGTCGCCCAGGCTGGGGTGCCGTGGCGCGATCTCAGCTCACTGCAACCTCTGCCTCCTGGGTTCAAGCAATCCTCCTGCCTCAGCTTCTGGAGTAGCTGGGATTATAGATGCCCACCACCATGCCCGGCTAATTTTTGCATTTTTAGGAGAGACAGGTTTTCACCAAGTTGGCCAGGCTTGGCTTGAACTCCTGACCTCAGGTGATCTGCCTGCTTCGGCCTCCCAAAGTGCTAGGATTACAGGCGTTAGCCACAGCCCCTGGCCTTCTTTCTTTCTTTCTTCTTTCTTCTTGTTTCTTTTAGTGGAGGGGAAAGCAATGCAAAACAAATAAACACATGGGAAAAGAAAAAAAAAAGCCACCACAACTAATTGTCCACCACGAGCGAGCGAAGCAATCATGAGGGACTACAGCAGTTTTGAGACACAGCAGGATGAGACAGCTGCTTTGAACTGGCTTGACTTTGTGATTCCACTTCCTCCCTTCACTCCCTGCTGGATCGACTCATGAAGTTTTGGATCCTGATAAGTCAATTAAATGCTTCCAACCCCAAACCTGAATCACATCCCGGAAAACATCCATGGATGTGGGTTCTGGTGTTCCAAATTTGACTCTCACTTTAGCCACTCATTTTGTGTGTCTTCACTAGAGATTTTAATTTCTCAGAAATAGGATTTCCTCAACTGCAGACGAGATGAATGGTGCCATGAAGGACTAAATGGGGAATGTGAGTTGAGCTATGACGATCTGCAAGGTCCCTTGGCAGATGTCATGATAAAGATCACCAAGGAATGCAGCACGTGGAATGGCCAACATTTTAGATCCTAATGACAGAACCGTGAGAATATAATCTTTCGAATAATTCCAGACGAAAGCCATATGAATGTTGGTTTACAGTCTTTGATGCTTGAATTCACAGAATTACTATGCTAAGTCTTCCTATCACTTTGTATTATGTAGTTCTGGTGTCAACTACTCAAAGAGAGTATTGTTTAGTCATAAATCTCTCATGTCTTAGCCTTCCCTCTGCCTAGATAAGACAGAACACTTCTCCTGGGGGAGGACAAGAAGGTATGAACACAGTAATATGTTTTCCCATTTTCTTTTTTTCCATTTGGTGTTTCTCTTACATACCAGAGGAAGCTGTCAATAATGACTATAATCTTAATCTTGGAGTGAGCAGCTCAGGATTAAGCACAACATTTTCCAGATATCATTTGGCTGACCAGGATTAAATTATTTACTTTCTATAGGCTTTCATCTTTCTATGCAACAGGAGAAAGGGCACTCTTTGGGAGACTGATGTTAGGAGGAAACAAGCTCCCTGAGTAAATTTGCCTGGTACCCAGCAGTCCTTCAAGCTGTTGCCTTTGTTTCTTTTTACTTGGCTTCAAGTTCTTTGCACTTATATTCAGTATCTTTCTCATTCTGGTTTAACTTTATGACCTAGTGTCAGAGTCCTTCCAAGAGCTCTTTTCTCAATGGGTTAGTAATTAAAGATTGCATGATTAGTGTGGTCTAATAAAAACGTACATATCTGTGCCCATTCTTGGCAGAGCTTCTAAGCCTTGGGATTTCCTGGGTAATGGGAGTGTCTTTTATCATTAATAAGGAGCTCCTTTTGACCTTATCTGAGTGTGTTAGGCCATTCTTGCATTGCTATAAAGAAATATCTGAGACTGGGTAATTTACAAAGATAATAGGTTTAATTGGCTCACAGTTCTGCAGGCTGTAGAAGCATGGCACTTGCATTTACTCAGCTTCTGAGGATGCCTCAGGGAGCTTTTACTCATGACAGAAAGAAAAGTGGAGCAGGTGCATCACATGCCAGGAGCAAGAACAAGGGAGAGAGAGGGAGAAGGTGCCACACACTTTTAAACAACCAGATCTCCCAATAAATCATTCACTATCATCAGGACATCACCAATGTGATGGTGCTAAACCATTTATGAGAAATCCCTCATGACCCAAACACCTCCCAGTAGGCCCCAACTACAACATTGGGGATTACATTTCACCATGAGATTTGGAGAGGACATCCAAACTATATTGCCGAGTTTATTTTAATGAGGTGACCTTTGAGGACCGTGAGGTTGGATCTTTTCAAGATGGGAGCTGGTTGCTAAAGGAAGAAACCACATGATTAGAGGGTTGGAACTTTCAGCCTCACTCCTGAAGTGGGAGGGGAAAGGGGACTGGAGACCGAATGAATCACCAGTGGACGATGATTTAATCAAGCATGCCTACGTAATAAAGCTTAAAAAACAAAAAACAAACAAACAAAAACCCCTCTTGAACTATGAGGTTTGGGAAGCTTCTGGGTTGGAACAAATCAACACATCAACACATCAAAGTGCTGCCCGTGGTACACTGGCAAGAGGGCATGGAAACCTCGCCCTCATATCTTGTCCTGGGCTTTCTTCCGTTTGGCTGCTCCTGAGTTGTATCCTTTGTAATAAACCAGTAATCTTTAGCAAAGTGCTTTCCAGGACTCTGTGAGTCATCCTAGGGAGTTATCAAACCTGAGGAGTGGTCGAGAGAACCCCTGAATTTTTAGTTGGCTGGACAGAAGTGTGAGTAGTCTGGAGACCCCATTTGTAGCTGGAATGAGATGTAGGCGTAGTCTTGTGGAACTGAGCCCTTAACCTGTGGGGTCTATGCTAGCTCTAGGTAGTGTCAGAATTAAAGGGAGTTGTTGGACCTCCATTTGGTATTGGAGAATGGGTTAGAGTCAGAAAAAAAAGCAAAAACCCACAAAATTAGAATTTTCCCAACAATAAAAATGTGAATTTTCACATAACCTATTCTCATTTAAATTAGAAGAATTTCAGGAGAGTTGGGGTAAGATGGTGGAATAGAAAACGCCACCGATCATCCCTTCAGCAAGAACACCAAGTTAACAACTATCTACACAGAGAAAACACCTTCATAAGAATCAAAAATCAGGCGAGCAATCATAGCACCTGGCTTCAACTTAATATTGCTGAAAGAGGCACTGAAGAGATTAAAAAAAAGTCTAGAATCACAGATGCCACCCTTTCCCTATCCCTGGCAGCAGCAGCAGTGTGGTGCTAAGAGCAGCTCTGGGCACTGGGGGAGTGACAACACAGCAATTGTGTCACTGAACTCAGTGCTGTCTTGTTAGAGCAGAAAAGAAAACCAGACCAAACCCAGCTGATGCCTGCCCATGAAGGTATCTAAATCAGCCCTAGCCAGAGAGGAATTGCAGATGCCACAGGTCAGAATTTGAGTGCCTGCAAACCTCCCTGCTAAGGGCTACTACACTCTGTGTCTACAAGTAAACTTGAAATGCAGTCTAGGCCACAAGGACTGCAACTCTTAGGTGAGTTCTAGTGCTGAACTAGGCCCAGAGACAGTGGACCGAGGGGTCATGTGACATACTGAGACACCAGCTAGGGCAGCAAAAGGAGTGCTGGCACCTCCCCTCCCCTAACTCCACACTTCACAGCTCGCCACTCCAAAAGAGATCCCTTCCTTTTGTTTGAGGAGAGGAGGGGCAAGATTCAGGAGGACTTTGTCTTGCTTCTAGGAAACCAGCTCAGCCACGTCAGGATAGGGCACTGGGCAGAGTCATGAGGTCCTACCTCCCAGACAACATTCCTAGGCACACCCTGTTGCCTTGAAGGAAAGGACCCAGTCCTGGCAGCATTCACCACCTGCTAACTGAAGAGCTGTTGGGCTCTGAATAACAAGCAGCAATACCAGGTACTACCTTGAGTGCCTCAGGTGAGCCTCTGAGGCTTGCTGGCTTTAGATGAGACTCAGCACACTACCAGCTGTGGTGGCTATGGGGCGAAACTCCTTCTGCTTGAGAAAAGCAGAGGGAAAAGTAAAGGGGACTTTGTCTTGCACCTTAGGTACCAGCAGAGCCTCAGGGGTGCAGAGCACCAAGCAGGCTCTTGGTGTCCCTGATTCCAGGAATTGACTCCTAAATAGCATTTCTGGACCTGCCCTGGGCCAGAGGGGAGTTCACCGTCTTGAAGGGTGAGTCCAGGAAGCATTCATGACAAGCTGATTTAAGAGACCTTGGGTTTTAAGGGAACATTAGAGGTAGTCTGGCAGTACTCCCCATGGGTCTGTGGTAGCAGTGGCTACGACATGAAGCCCCTCTGCCTTTGGAAAGGGGAGAGAAGAGTGGGAAGAACTATATCTTGTGGTTTGAGTGCCAGCTCAGCCACAATACAATAGAACACAAGGTAGATTTGTAAGTTTTCTGACTCTAGTTCCTGACTCTCAGATGGGACTTCTGGACTCATCCAGGGCCTGGGGGAGCTTGTTACCTTGAAGGGAAGCTCACAGGCCTAGTTGGTTTTGCCACCTGCTGATTGTAGATCCTCAGGGCCTTAAGTAAACATAGGCAGTAGCCAGGGAGTGGTTACAGCAAGCCCTGAGTGAGACCCAGTGCTGTGTTGGCTTCAGGTCTGACCCAGCAAAGTCATAGTAGTGATGGCCACAGGGGTGCTTGTGCCACTCCACTCCCAAATTTAGGTGGCTCAGGGCAGAGAGAGAGACTCTGTATGTTTTGGAGAAAGTAAGGGATGAGAACAAGAGTATCTGAAAATCCTGAGAATTCTCCCAGATTTGATTCAGGATAATCAAGGCAGTATTCCTATGAGTCTGCAAGAAACACAGAGTTACTGGGCTTGTGATGCCATCAGCTCAGATCACAATACCCAAGTCCTTTCAAATATCTAGAAAGCCTCCCCAAGAAGAATGGCTACAAATAAGCCCAGACAATGAAGACTATGATAAATACCTAACTCCTCAATGGCCAGATACTGAAGAACATCTACTAGCATCAACACCATCCAGAAAAATATAACCTCACCAAATGAACTAAATAATGCACCAGGGACCAATCCTGAAGAAATAGAGATGTATGACCTTTCAGACAGAGAATTTAAAATATCTGTGTTGAGGAAACTCAAAGAAATTCAAGATAATGCATAAAAAGAATTCAGAATTCTATCAATAAATTTAACAAAGTGATTGAAATAATTAAAAAGAATAAAGCAGAAATTCTGGAGATGAAAAATGCAATTGGTATATCAAAGAATGCATCAGATTCCTTTAATATTAGAATTGATCAAGCAGAAGTAATAATTAGTGAGCTTGAAGACAGCCTAATTGAACATATACAATCAGAAGAGAAAAAGGAATAAAAAACAATAAAACATGCCTAAACAATCTAGAAAATGGCCTCAAAAGGGAAAATCTAAGTCACTGGCCTTAAAGAGCAAGTAGAGAAAGAGACATGAGTAGAAAGTTTACTCAAAAGGATAATAACAGAGAAAGTCCCAAACATAGAGAAAGATACCAATATCCAAGTACAAGGTTACAGAATACCAAGCAGATTTATCCAGAGAAGACTACTTTAAGGCAATTAATAATCAAACTCCCAAAGATCAAGGATAAAGAAAGGATTATAAAAGCAGCAAGAGAAAAGAAAAGAATAACATACAAAGGAGCTCCAATACGTCTGGCAGCAGACTTTTCAGTGAAAACCTTACAGGCTAGTAGAGAGTGGCAGGACATATTTAAAGCCCTGAAGGAAAATAACTTTTGTCCTAGAATAGTATATCCAGTGCAAACATCCTTCAAACATGAAGGAAAAATAAATATTTTCTCAGACAAACAAAAACTGAGTGATTTCATAAATACCAGGCCTGTCCTACAAGAAAGGCTAAAGAAAGTACTTCAATCAGAAAGAAAAGAACATTAATGAGCAATAAATAATCACCTGAAGGAACAAAACTCACTGGTAATAATAAGTACACAGAAAAACACAGAATACTATAACACTGTAACTGTGGTGTGTAAACTACTCTTATTCTAAGTAGAAAGACAAAATAGTGAACCAATCAAAAATAATAACCACAACAACTTTTCAAGACATAGCAATTACAATAAAATATAAATAGAAATAATAAAAAGTTAAAAAGCAAGGATAGGAAGGTAAGGTATAGAACTTTTATTAGCTTTCTTTTTGCTTGCTTGTTTATGCAAATAGTATTAAGTTGTTATCACGTGAAAATAATGGATTATAAGACAATATTTGCAAGCCTCATGGCAACCTCAAACCAAAAAACATACAATGGATACACAAAAACTAAAACGAAAATAATTAAATCATGTCACCAGAGAAAATTACCTTCACTAGAGGAAGACAAGAAGAAAAGAAAGAAGGAAGAAGAGACCGCAAAACAACCAAAAAGCAAATAACAAATTGGCAAGAGTAAGTCCTTACTTATCAATAATAACATTGAATGTAAATGGGCTAAACTCTTTAATCAAAAGACATGGACTGACTTACTGGATTAAAAAAAAAAACAAGACCCATTGATCTGTTGCCTACAAGAAACACACATCACCTATAAAGACACACAAAGACTGAAAATAGATATTCCATGCCAATGGAAACCAAAAAAGAACAGGAGTCATTATACTTATATCAGACAAAATATATTTCAAGACAAAAACTATAGGGAGTGACAAAGAGGGTATCTATGTAACGACAAAGGGATCATTTCAGTAAGAGGATATAACAATTTTAAATATATACGCACCCAATGTGAGAGCACCCAGATATAGAAAGGAAATATTATTAGAGCTAAAGAGAGAGATAGGTCCCAGTATAAAAAGCTGGAGAAAACATTTGCAAACTATCCATCTGATGGGATTAATCACCAGAATATATAAGGAATTCAAACAGATTTATAATAATAATCTAATAATCTGATCAAAAAATAGGCAAAATATTTGAATAGACATTACTCAAATAAGACATACAAATGGCAAACAGGCTTATGAAAAAGGTGTTTAGCATCATTGATCATCAGAGAAATGAAAATCAAAACTAAAATGAGATATCATCTCACCACAGGTAAAATGTCTTATTTCCAAAAGACACGCAATAACAAATGCTGGCAAGGATGTGAAGAAAAGGGAAACCTCATATGCTGTTGGTGGGAATGTAAATTAGTACAACCATTATGGAGAACAATTTAAAGGTTCCTCAAAAAACTAAAAATTGAGCTACCATATGATCCAGCAGTCTCACTTTTAGGTATTTACCCAAAAGAAAGAAAATGAGTATATCAAAGAGATATCTGCACTCCTATGTTTGTTGCCCCACTGTTTAAAAGTGGGAAGATTTGAAGCAACCTAAGTGTCCATCAACAGATGAACAGATTTTAAAACGTGGTACGTATACACAATGGAGTACTATTCAGCCATAAAAAAGAATGAGATCCAGTTATTTGCAACAACATGGGTAGAACTGGAGGTCATCATGTTAAGGGAAATAAGCCAGGCACAGAAAGACAAACATTGCATGTTATCACTGTATGGAATCTAAAAATCAAAACAATTGAATATATGGACATAGAAAGTAGAAGGATGATTTCCAGAGCGGGAGTCTGATGGGGGGAAGTGGGGATGGTTAATGAGTACAAACAATAGTTTAAAAGAATGACTAAGACCTTAGTACTTGATAGCACAATAGGGTGACTCTAGTCAATAATTTAACTGTTAAATAAAGAATGTAATTGGATTTTTTTAACTCAAAGCATAAATGCTTAAGGAGATAGATACCTCATTTTCCATGTTGTGCTTATTTCATATTTCATGCCTGTATCAAATAATCTAATGTGCCCCATAAATATATACAGCTACTATATACCCATAACATTTTTTTAAAAAAGAAATTAGAAGAATTTCAAGGTGAACATATATAACTGGGTAGAATTGACTCTAAATTTCAAAAATATTTTCTTTTTAATTCTCAGTGCTAAAGACTGTCTGGCTGATAGTGGAAGCAAGTATTTCATATTTAGCTTTTTTCCCCCACTGAAATTTCAGATGTATCTATTAGAAGTACATCAACTATTATGCCAAGAGTTTTATGGAAACCAAAAAAGAGCACAGTAGAATCACTATTCTACTATGAAACTAAGATTCTACTATGAAACTATATGTACATAAGAACATAGTAAAAAACGTAGTAGGGCTCATTTCAACCAACCCCTTCTGTATTCAAAGAGAACAATGAACAGAATCTTGGCATCTGGAAATAAGACATTTGGAGGGCAAGGACAATATATGATGCAACAAAGTAGGAAACACAAGGAAAAGAGAAATAAGCAGTGTGACGTTATAGGGAATAGAAAGTAAGAAAGAAAAAGGCTAGTTGAGAAGTGGGAGACAGGATGCATTTTTAAAGCATCAAAAGTATACTCTGCACAAGGTCTCAGTTTTCTCAGCTGTTCATCAGTTTTCTCTGATGTAATTATTTTTGCATTTTTACTGGTAAGAAAACTTTGAGTTTCTGAGACAATAGCACATGTGTCAGAGACAGAATTAAAGATTCTGTCTGTGACACACCTCTGTCTCATGCACCACCTCTACTACTATCTACTATCTACTCTGCTTTGAAATTGGATATTTGAACTGATTATTCAAACTCATTATTCTCACTTCAGCCACTGTCACCCCCTCATCCAAGCACTTTTTTTTTTTTTTTCTGAGACGGAGTTTTGCTCTTATTGCCCAGGCTGGGGTGCAATGGTATGATCTTGGCTCACTGCAACTTCTGCCTCCCAGGTTTAAATGATTCTCCTGCCTCAGCCTCCCAAGTAGCTGGGATTACAGGCATGTGCCACCATGCCCGGATAATCTTATATTTTTAGTAGAGATGGGGTTTTGCTGTGTTGGTCAGGCTGGTCTCGAACTCCTGACCTCAGGTGATCCACCTGCCTCGGCCTCCCAAAGTGCTGGGATTATAGGCATGAGCCACTGCACCTGGCCACCACCTTTGTTTCTTACCTGGACCACCATGATCTCTGTGGGTCATCTTACTTTCACTCTTGTCCCCTACACAGTAATTTCTGATCCCGTCAGTCCCCTATGCTCAGTCGCATCCAATGGGTTTCCATTATACTGAGACCAAATCCAAATCATGTTATGACCTACACGACGTTCCTGTAGGATCTTGCCATTGCTCTTTCTTCGGCTCTCCTCTACTGGCTCATGGCGTGCTAGCAACATGACTCGGCATCCTTTCAGTTCTTTGTGCATGCCAAACATGTTCCTATCTGGGAGACTTGGCATTCCCCCATATTTGTGCTCTCTTCTGCCACCAAGGCCTCTCAACTCCTTCCATTCTCATGAAGTTACTCTCTATCCTTTTATTTCCTTTTATTTTGTTGTTTTTTTCTCTTGATAGCACTTAATACAACAAGCAATTATAGTGTATATTTATTTATTTATATATTATGTCTCTTTCCCCAGAATAAAAGCTCTTTGAGAGCAAATTCTTTTTATCCCCCAGTTATATTCTCAGTCCCTACAAGAATACTTGGCAAAGAGCAGATGCCCAATAAACTTGTTGAACAAATGTGTCTGATTCTAAAGCCAAGAAAAGAAAATGTTAATGAGTTGGAACTCATTTTAAACAAAATCACTGAAAAGATTGTATCTAACAAAATATGTAGAAAATAAACATTTTCCAGCAAGTACAATGCCTTCAGCACATTTATAACAGCATTATTTCTCACTTTACTTACCTGACAAAGTGTTTTGATGACTGCTGTCATGTTCTGTAAAGCACCTCAAGCTACTTGAGGGAAAATACAATATAAATGCAAACTAATAATAAAACAACTCTATGTTTGGTGTAACAAAGGGCACAAGGTTTTTGATGATTTAGTGAAAAATAAAGTAGGGAGTTTCTAAAGGTAAAGAAATAGATCAAGTCGAAATCATTATAGCCTGACCTGAGCAGCAAGAGGCTGCTCAGGTGTAAACCTATCACAGTTTAGACTTAGAGATTAATTTCCTGATGTTTGCAACAAAAGTCAAAGCTTACTAAGTTGAAAACATTCTGTTATGCTGCCACAATTATTATATTCTAGTCTAACATTTAGTCAAACACTCAAACACAGAAAACCATGATTTTATTGTCCATAGCATAGCTATTTCTAAATCATTGGACATTTTTCCCCCTATGAAAGTGTATCTTAATTTATATTAAAAATGCTATAGACAATGAATGGACAATAAAACTATATGATTTCATTGATTAGATCCCCCCAAAGCCAAGACTGTATAAATAATTTAAAACTTTCTTTCTGTAATAATTATAAAAATATTTGTGACTTCTATAAGAAAGTTTAAGGAAGTTAAAGTTTACATGCTATAATTGCAGATGCTTGCTTGTTGCATAAAAGAGAGTATCTTGGAAAAGTTGAATGTGATTTCCATTTCCATTCCAAATCTATGCTTCCCAAACTCTCATGTAAAATAATGCATGTTTGCCAAGAGTGGCAAGAGTATCGTTTGCCATAGACGGCCAAGCGAGGGAAGCCTGCTGAGCCACTTCAGAGCTGTGCCAGTTTTCAACATAAAGTTTTAAAATTAGTCCATTCATGTACATTTTTATTTTATTGATTTCTTTAATTGAGAAAGCCCCACAAACATTTGGGCAAAACCAGAGCTATGGTCTAATACTAATCTCTATTATTAAACAGTTCAAATTTTGGCTTTTATGATCAATTTTTAGCATCTTCAGGTTTCACCTTTAATACGTGACACAGGAAACCAAAACCAATTTATCAATGTTTTTCTCCTTTTAGGAAAAAGAAAAGTGTGGGAAAGAATGATTAAAGCAAAATACAAGAATTGCCATCACTTTATAAAGGAGCTTATAGACTCAGCCAGGTGGGCAAATATAGAAAGGGTGAAAAGAAGAAGAAAGAAAGTATATGTCTTAGTTTTTAGATTTATTTTATTGCTAACAATGACACACATAAGGAGTCTTGATTTGTTTCTCATATTAAAAGTTTAACACAATTTTTTTAAATAGTTACATTGGCATATGTGATTTCAGATTAGGAATAACAAAATTAGATTTGCAAGATTATGCTTGCTAGGAATCCTTGGAAAAGTTAATAAATTAATGTAAATATTGAGAATACATTTCAACGTATACAAAAAGCCTATTTTTGGTAACATTCAGAAAATGATCACTCATAGGTTATACTTCATGGTGTTTAAATATGAGACACAGTATTTTATAAATATTCTTTCAATAGCAGTCATCCTTCAGGATACTATATTGGTTTCAAATTTCTCTGGGGGCCAAGGCTACCTTCATTTCACCTTTTCACAAATTCAAATGTGAAAAAAAATGATTGTTACTGACTTAATACCAATAGGAAAAAGAAGTGGAAAGAAATTACACTAATAAAAAGTGGATTTCCCTTTAATCATTTTCTTATGAAGTACTGAAATGTAAATTCCTGGTGCAGGATGAAAGTGATTATAACCCTCAGGATTGCACAGGAAGAAGAAATATATAGACAACATTTTTTTCTCCAAGAAATAAAAGCTCATCACCATACTGTCATGAACACCAAGTGCATTCAAGCACTGAGTGATGCAAAGGTGCTGAATGGTCCCAAGAGAAGGTGCATCAGCCTTCCATGACAGTGCCCATTTGTACACACATAGTTGGCCCCAGCAGGGGGTGTGCATTCAGGGATCTTCCACAGCAGAAATATAGACGGTCTCTGGGAAAATCAGTTCTTCATAAACTTTATAACCTCATTCCAAAATCCAGGTGTCAGTTTACAGCTTTCCAGATTGACATTTTAAATCAAGAATATGTCACATGTGTACAATAACTGGCCTAATCTTTTCTGTAAATTGTTGCCTGTGGTTTTCAAAAAAGACAGCAAATTGCTGGCAATTGATAAGGTGTCTCCCTGTATGGCTAACTTCATTTCTACATGGTTAACAAATCAGTCTTCAATTATTCATGTGATCACCCAATGCCCAATGTCTAGGCTCTTCTGACAGTCATTGATTTCAGGGATCAGTAGCCTGCCTGCATTTTATACTGAACCAAAATTAATATAATGCTCTTGGCATGCAGCATTAATTGTATGTAGGAAATAACTACACCCACTGTCTCAGTATCTCAGCTAATGATGAGCACAGCTCACTACACAATCACTGCTTCTGATGTCCTATGCTGCCTTGAAGCAGGACAGAGTATCTTCTCAAACTAATACTTAAAATGACTTGATGCCCTTAATATTTCAAATACACAGAGGAAGTGTTTTCTTCATTAATTCTATAATTACAGGACAAAAATAAATGATGAATTATATCTACAAACTGAAACATCAGATGGCCCATTTAAAAATGATTCTGTCAAGCCATTGCACATTGTTCTGGAAACAGGGTCAAATCAAGTCCCCAGACAACTCAACCAAATTGAATTTCTGTGGCTAAAATAAGTGTGGGGATATAGTGCTTGTTCTGAAAGGACTTCTTTATGCCATTTTTTTTCCAGCAGCATACTTTCTTAAGGGGATTTTGCAGGAAGTGTATTTACCCTTCCTTGAAATACTTTTTGAATCAGTATTGACTCTAAGCTAAATAGTGCAGTTGTGCACTGAAATGGTCTTAGAGTTGAGGAGCACATTTGTCTATTTATGCTTAGGAAAATTACAGATAACCTCAAAAGGAACACTAGTAGACTAGCATTTTTTCCCGAACTGTGCCTGAACAGATATTTTCAGGCCACTGATTGTTACAATCTGTAACTCGATACCTCCCTTGTTTAGAGCATGACCCTACAGGATCACCTCTCAAGGGTAGTGACCTTAGTCCTGATCCATGTAATCCTTGGAGGTTCTCTCTTTAATATGTGCTTGCCAAAGGACAATCTGAGAAAAGAGGGTAAGATGGAGATGGTGGATCGACGCACATTTATTATAAGGAATTTTTAAGAGTGGCAACGAAAAGCACTTTTCTCACTGAAGGTAGGTCAATTACAGCATATCTGTGAAGATCAGCATGTTATTTGCTATAATGTTCTTTGCTCTTAATTCCCTCTTCCTTAGGAAAACTGTGTTCCCTGCTTTAAAATACCAAAGTTTGTTTTCCTTCCATTATCATAATTCTCACTACATTTTATTGTGAATACTCATTTAATAGAAAATTTGTTTCTATTACAATTGTTCCTCAGTATCCACGGGGCATTGATTCCAGGCCCCCTGCAGACACCAAAATCTGAGGGTGCTCAAATCCCTGAAATAAAATAATATAGTATTTGCACATGACCTGTGCACACCCTCCATATACTTTGTAATCTCTAGAATACTTGTAATACTTAATATAGTGTAAATACTATGTAAATAGATACGCTACATTTTAAATTTGGTATTATTTTTTATTTCTGTATTGTTACTTTTTATTGCTTTCTTCCAAATAGTTTTGATCTGCAGTTGGTTGAATGCATGGATGTGGAACCTGTAGATTCAGAGGGCAGACTGTATACTAAATACTTTATGGGGGCAACAACTGAATGTAGCCCTAGTTCCTGGTATAGTGCTTTGAACCGAGTAAATACTAGATAAAATAGACTATAGAATGATATAGGCACGGTTTTCAGTTGCATATTTCAGACCCTCAGACAATGGCTTGAACACATTTTCTAATGTAAAACAAATCCGGTCATGGGCAGCTCAGGGCTGGTCTGAAAGCTCCGTTGAGTTATTAGGCTCATTTTGTTTTCAGCTCTACCATTCTAATGCATGGTTGACATCCTCAAGGTCACATTAGAACCTCCAAAAAGGAATACAGCCCCTTCTTACACCTCGATTTTGAGGTGTCATTAAGACCTACATGAGACTTCTGACCCACAGAAGAAATGCAAGAACATATTTGTATTCTTTAAGTCACTAAGTTTGGGTCAGCTTCTAATTCATTAGCTCTACAGCAGCCCTTCCAGAAGTTCCTCACAATCCTTCTGCATGTATCACAATGGCCAGAACTTACTTAGATGACCATACCTACACCTACAGAGACAAAGAAATAGAGCTTTTTAGCCCTGCCACCTGTGACGAGAGCAGGATTTTCCTAGACTCTTGACCAGAAGAAGCGGGAATAGATTATGGACGATAACCAGAAACTTCTGCCATCATTTGTTTAATGAAAGAATGATTTGATGAATATAGTTGAACACTTAGAAAATTTGGAAAATGATATGATTTTTACAGAAAGCTATACTTCCCATTTGTAAATTAATTTAACAAATGGATATTCTTTCTTTTTCTTTGAAGTTTGCTAAATTTCAATTAACTTTTGTCCTTCCCCATCCAATTCTAATCCTAGAAATGTATGCTTTTAAATTTCTATTCTTTTAGAAAATTACGAGTTACTAATATTTGGGTTCCATAAATAAGTTCTCAGAGCCTTGAGTTAAAGTGGCTCCTACAAGAATAAAGTAGAATTATGTGTTACATGCTTTTATTGTTTTTCAGCTTCATCTGTTATTTGATTGTGAGATATTCCATCTGGTTTCTGTAGTGGGATGAAAGTTTCAGACAAAAACTAGCCTTTAAGTGAGCATAGACAGCTGGATGTTTCAATATACTGATTTTAACATGCAAGCACACCGACAATTACTACACACACAGCTGTGTACTGTATTTTTCCTGTCCTACTGTTATTCCTGAATCAGAAAGCAGGCAAAAGTGAATCAATGCTGAGGGCTTCCAAAGGGCAAAGGCGATTCTAGCTCATTCTTGTTATCAGACACTCGGATTCTTCCTCTTTTTTAATTCTGTCACCTTGTTGCCTCCATTCAGTGGCCTCTACTGGGACCAGCCAGTTCTGCCTCATCTTCTGGACAATCTTCACTCTAGTAACTTTCTCACTATTTTCTATTAGTCCTCAGATGGGACATGGAAGGATGGAATCTCTCCTGTTTCCTGACTCTCTTCCTTGGGCAGTTCTGTGCCGCAGCAGACATTCCAGGCAGCCCTGCTGTGCGGCAGACACTGGCTTGTTAGGAACTTCATACCAAAGGGTATCTTGTTACAAGGGTTTCTGCAGAAACTGTCATTCTGTTAGTGGCTTCCTGCAGATAAAACAAAACCTTTCTCTCTTTCCACCTCTCTCAGCTTTGACACTAATCTGACCAATCATTTTTCACATATTTCTTCATATATTTGATTTAATCTTCTCAGAATTCTCTCTACCTTGCATTCTCAAACTTATCCTTCCTGAGTCAGGGATCCTGACTCCTATGCTAAGGTAGCTGGTACAATATCAAAGTTGCAGTGACAACCACAACCAGAGGAAGCACAAATCAGATGCACAGATGCTTCCAGGGCCATATGTGTGCAAGACACTAATTAAGTTCAATCTGAAGCCTCAGCCTATAATTCCTCATGCCATTATAGCATGGGGCTCAGAGACAAACTTTCTCTGTGCAAAAATAACTGTTTAGAAATGATTAATATTATCTGTGTTTTTTTTCCTTCAACTGTCTACATGGAAAAATTTTATCCGAAGAATTTAAATGACTTAAGTTTTGCCTCTGTAACATACGTGGGAGTAGCATTGAGTAATTGTTATCTGAGGCTCCTCTGCTCCTGCAGGGCACTTCAGCTTAATACTCATCAATCATAATCTCACCATGTGGTGCAGTTTTATTTTATAAGGCTATCCAGTAGTACACACTGCTATTCTGGTTTTAAAAACTAAATAAATGTCACAAAACGTGTTTATCAGGGTCTCTTTTATAATTTGTTAATTGTTGCAAATGTCACCAGAAATTCTTCATCATCAAGACTGTACTCTTAATTGACATGTCACAACACTAAGATTTTGCATTCGAAGCAAATCAACATCACAAGAAAATCCAAATCTTAATGTCACTTATAAGAATAATGGTTCTACGTATTGTTCTTCTACAATGATCTTATCTTCAATCGACTGCATGAAAAATTCTGCAGCAGTAGTTTTAAATTGTCTTCAAAAACACAGAAAAGCATTTGAATATAAGCTATAAAAGTGTGGTTTCTTCACAGCACCAAAATTCTCTTGATAATGATGCTTACGTGAAAATTCAGCTCAGCAGTTGGAGTCTACTCAGAATGGCTTAATGCTATGTAATGTTCTGAAATGTTAACAAATTTTCATGTATTAGAATAATTATAGACTCATTAAAAATAAATATTGACTTATTGAAGTTAGTGGAAGAATTTGCCATGTTTGGAGATTCATCAGCAGAGGCCACTAGCAGTAGCTGGAACAGACCAACATCATTATGAGATCAGGATCCTTCAAACCCTCCAGCATAATCTTAAGACTGGTTATGTAAGAAGACCCACTACCTCCTGTTTCTTGTCCCAGAGTAGAGTTGGGATCAGGGAGAGGTCAAGGCCTAAAACAAGGTCAGCTTTGGTAAGGGGAAAGAATAGATGTGAATCAGACATGAAACAAGCTTTTTATGACCAATGTTGTCATAGACTCTGTATACAATGTTTTATGAAACAGAAAGAGGGTTTGGGGCAGAAGATTGGGGAAGCAGTTTATTCAAAGAAATAAAACCATTTCATGATTATTATCCCATGAGTTGAGTCAATAAACTAGATACAAAGGTAAAATGTTTATCTTTAAATATTGATCTCAGGTGTGTTTTCATTAGAAGAAGAAAAGATAAAATACAAAGAGCAAAGACAACATATTTCTGGATAGTGTTTCAATTATATTTGCATAGGCTTTGTTCAATAAGTGATTCTAATCATATAATAAGAAATACAGCTACTGTTGATAGAATAATATATTCATCTACTCCTTGGTAAAAACGATTTGAACCCTTATGGAAAGGCATAAGATTACAATACAAATTTCTGATTAAAAACTCTTAATACTACCCAGGTTGTGGCAATTACTTGGTAGTTTAGATTGTGTTTTATATATGTCGTTGGCTTATAATGTAGCTTCAAATTGGCTTTTTAGGATAAAGATTTTTGAGGTATTTGTATTTGATGAAATTTATGAAAAATATAAGACTGAGCTTAACCTTGCTTGTGATTTTCTTTATTGTAGAAAAGCTACAGGAGGAATCAAATTATCTCACTATAAAAAAGAAACTGAGGACTGTATTTTTAGAAGTTATGTTCACTTAGACTCATGCCAAAGGAAAAGACGTAGCTTAAATTTTTGGAATAGGAAACTCACACCTATATTTACATTTCCTTGCTATTTTTTAAAAGAATATAATTGCGTCTCTTTGGATAAAGATTGTGCAGGAACCAAACATAACAATAAACATTTTCAGGCTTTTGTTCTCATTTAGATTTAGTACCTGGAAGCAGATTGTGATGATTCTCCCTTTACAGATCCTTAATAAGTGGGCAGATACTCACAGCCACTACCACCACCATCAGTCAATATTATAGACAAAAATATTCCTTTAGCTCAGCAGGATACATACCTACTAATATGTTAGTTCAGAACCTGAAATATTTTGTTATTCTAGTGAAATGAATATGTATCTTTCCCAAAGTGTCCATTGATATAGATAGATCCATTTACTTCAGGATACAGAATAGTGCATAGGATATTATTCTTGTAGTTCCAGAAGTGGGCATAGTTTGGCTGTGATTCTAGGATGCTATTTCTGTACAATTTGCCAGATATACTATTTCTGAATATAGATATTCTGTACCCTACCTCCATTCCTCTTTAAACATCACATTTTAGGATTCATTTTGAAAAATGTCCAGGTAGGAAGATATCAAAAAGAAAATATAAATATGACTTAAAAACTTTACTAGATTCAGTAGGTTGTATTTGTTTAAATAAAAAAGGAAAGATGCTATATATCCTTGATTTAATTTCAAACTACCATCAGAAAAAGAACTCTATGAGATGCAAAAATATTTGAATGTTTATAAAAGACAATGGATAGATTGTAAGCAGCTGAGGGAAACTGAGAGTTCTGTTTCCTCTGCAATTGTTCATGTACTGAACTCTGAATTGACGGTCTAAAATATTTTACTGGAAATTGCCTGCCCAAAAGCTAAAGTTGATAGAAGAATCCAACCTTGAAGGAAAATGAATCTTGATCAAGACAAAAAATTTTCCCAGTAAGTGCAAAGGAACAATTCAAGGTAAGTAATAAGAATGAGCCTTGAAGAGGAAGAACTATTTCACTGATGCTGCCTGGCTGCTCAGGTGAACTATTCAACTAAAGATTTAAAAAGAGGACCCTCATGAATGATGGTGTCAATTTAAGTCAAAAAATTTAAGTCAAAAGAGGACAATAAGGTGCTATTATTGCCTTCTGAGGAAATGGCTTAAATTTCTCCAAGAATCAAAATGCCCACAAGTTAGAAAAAGCATAGCTGTTAAAACATGTCATAGAGAAACAAATGCAGGTGGGTTTTCCTTCTGTGTAGGAAGCAACTTGCTATAATGGGAAATGAAGTGACCTTCGGAAGGAAGCATTAAGACCTGACATCTCAGTTTACTGCTATGTGCCTTGAGCAAGTTAGCCTCTCCTGGATGAGGTTCCTCATTTATAAAATAAAGATACTAATGTCTACCTCTGAGGTAGGGTTAAAATGGAAAAAAACTGATGGGAAGCCCCTGTGCTGTGTAGGAAACCAGTAAGAGTTAGTCCATTTTCCTCCCCTGTCCCCTGCCTATAAGATTTTAGAAGGCCCCTGATCAAAGCTCATGATTAATATAAAATAAGTCCTTGTAGAATGTCTTTCATTCATTTTTATGTCAAAGTTATGCTTATGCACAGTTGTACAGGTTCAGAATTCTATGAAAATGTGACACATTGAAAATTCTCTAAGACTACTAATATGTAAGTACCAAACCTTTCAAGATAAGTCAATTAGGAGAAATATTAACCTAAATTTTCTAGGTAAAATGTACCTAGAAATTTTTAAATTATTTTAAATGTAAAATAATTAAAAGATGCCATTAAGACAGATTGGACTAATTTCTTTGGAATAAAAGTATTAAAACTTGGGTTCTTTATCTTTAAGTGTAGCAAATAAGATGGGTTTTCATATTTAATTCCAAATGTATTCCTCAGGAGGAAAAAATTATTTCAAGTCTTGTAACTTCCAAACAAGCAGCAATAACTTATTAATTGTGCCCTTGATGATCTTAAAGTGTGGCAAGAAAAACAGCCTTGGAGACTTCCAAAGATGCTTAAAGTACTCCTAGGGGAAGTGGTAGGGACACCAGGAGAATCTGGCTGCAGATGTATGTCAAAAAGCTATTTACATGTTGAAGGAAATGATTTAATTAATACTGTTACAGCTGTGAAGTTAAAATGCAGATCTGAGGTCCTATCACAAGGGACTCTTTCATATTTTTAAACGAGTCACTCAGTCCTACAATTCTTCCCTTTTACAGCTCTTGCATAGTAATAAATACATCCCAAAGGTTTTCAGGATGAGGATTGTGATGTCTGTTAATTTCTCCAATAATAATAAAGATGATGATGTTGAAGGTAATAATGAGAACCACCATTTACTGAAACCTCACAATATGCCAAGATCATTTCTAAGCCCTGCATAGGTATTATTTAATTCTTTCCACAACCCAGTGCGATTATTGTTGTGGCTTTCTTCATTTTGCAGAACAGGAAATTGAGGCTTCAGGAGATTACCCAAGTATAGACAGACACTTTTAGTTACCTACCCACAGTCATTCCCCACCCCACCATACATATACACATTCCTTAAAACAAGGCATCCATTACCTTCAAGTGCTGAAAGGCATGGGGAGAACTAAAACACTCAAGCCTGCGGTAACAAATGCCTGCTGCAGGGCAGGCTGGCAGATGAGACAAAAGGAAAGGGAATATCTGGAGGCTGTGATCAAGACTCCCATAATATGCAAGAGGCATAATTGTTTATGCCCATGAGAATATACATTACTAGTTGATAAGAATGATTAAGACATGCTCTGTGGTGGCCATGGTTGTCTCTCTTTTCTTGAGACTACCCCATTTTGTTTTGTATTGAAATTAGTTTTTTCCCAGCTTATGGAATCAGTGAGACCTCTAATCTTGAACCCTGTCTTCCTGTGGCAAAGAGGCAGATGTTGATCCAGCTGGGATCATTACACCCTCCATCACACCCTAGTAATTTAAATAGTGAGCAGGTGGACAACAGCTGGATCCTGTTTGCATCTCAGCTGTGCCTTTCTGACAAGACAGTCATTCCTCTGAGCCTCCAGTGTCTACCTAAGCTCCTAGCTGTTCCAAACCCAGTCCTCCTGCCTCCTACTTCTCTGACCTCTGTTGTCCCTCCAACACAGTGTCCCTTCTACGTGAATTAGAAGGGACATGAATTAGAGAGAGGAGACAGTTAGAGGCTGGCTAGGCAGACACAGAGGGAGGGTCTAAGGAGAGAGACAGAACCCGCGGGAATGCATCTGCACTGCCCCTATGTAGCAGGGTGGAAACGTGGTTAAGAACTTCCTCTTATACCAGGATGTCTGCTCAGAAGGGACTGTCCCAACTTAGGTGAAGGCAAAATAAATCCACTAAATGTCCTTAACTTGACCCAGAGCCAATTGTAATATCATTAACATTGGAGTTATGTCCCCACCCTCCCTCTATGGGTTTCGCTTAGGCACTCATGAGTAATAATCAACATGGAGTCACTCTGGCCAACCTTAGGCATACACAGATGCAACACCCACAGGGGGCAGCTTTACTTCTCTCATTAAGGCAGAACACACAGAAGACTACCTTGTTTCTGCCACATAAAAGACCCAAACTCAGCCCCATTTCTGGCAATCCACTTTCGGTTCCCCTCTTGCTGTTGAGAGCTTTTCTGTTGCTTAATGAATCCTACTCTGCCTTACTCACTCTCCGGTGTCTGCATGCCTTATACTTCTTGGTCATGGATCAAGAACTTGTACCTTGCTAAACTAAGGAGTAAGGAAACTGAAAAAATAATTTTTGTCAAGTGATACCCAAGAATATTAACACAATCCGTGATGACTAGTTCATAAGGAGTTTGACGTTGGAACTTTTAGTTCACATCCTCTGTGATTGATTCTGTTACTCAAAACTTTCCTCCTGAATTCTCTAACATAAATTTTTCTCAATCTTTCCTAAATTAAAAGTTAAACATAATGAACAAAAACAAAACTAAAATGAGATATATAATATACATTATATATATTTGAACAGATTTATTCTAAAATCATCTGTAAACCAAATGTATGAGGTTAAGTCATAGACTTGGGAAGACTGGATTGCAGAGAGATAATTCCTATTATAAAGTATATACAAACTAATATAAAGTAGTATGTGCCGAAAATGATGATATTCTAGAAATAGATCTTATAGAAATGTATTATATCATAAAAAAGCAAAACCAGTGAAAAGCCTACTAAGTAAATTTTGTTTTTGCCATTGGTCAGTTATTGGTAAAAAATACCTATTCAGATTTTCACCTTGAAAAATAGAACAAAATTATGTTCCATAGAGACTAAAGCCTAAAAACATCATCACTAAAACACAAAAAGACAAACCCTATTAACAAAAAGTGAAAATAAAAGCCGACTATCAAACACATTAGGAGATATTCAACTTTGAAGAAATAAAAAAATTATTCTTTAAACAAAGAAATAAGAATTTTCTTTTCACCATGAAAAGCGAAATAGCCAGGCTATTATACACACTAATTAAGGAAACTCAGAAAGCCGATACCCATTTAGTAAGATGGACACATGAAGCAGAAGCGGCTTTCCAGGCCCTAAAGAAGGCCCTAACCCAAGCCCCAGTGGTAAGCTTGCCAACGGGGCAAGACTTTTCTTTATATGTCACAGAAGAAACAGGAATAGCTCTAGGAGTCCTTTCACAGGTCCGAGGGACCAGCTTGCAACCCGTGGCATACCTGAGTAAGGAAACTGATGTAGTGGCAAAGGGTTGTTCTCATTGTTTATGGGTAGTGGCAGCAGTAGCAGTCTTAGTATCAGAAGCAGTTAAAATAATACAGGGAAGAGATCTTACTGTGTGGACATCTCATGATGTGAACGGCATACTCACTGCTAAAGAAGACTTGTGGCTGTCAGACAACCATTTACTTAAATATCAGGCTCCATTACTTGAAGGGCCAGTGCTGTAACTGTGCACTTGTGCAACTCTTAACCCAGTCACATTTCTTGCAGACAATGAAGAAAAGATAGAACATAACTGTCAACAAGTAATTGCTCAAACCTATGCTGTTCGAGGGGACCTTTTAGAGGTTCCCTTGACTGATCCAGACCTCAACTTGTATACTGATGGAAGTTCCTTTGTAGAAAAAGGACTTTGAAAAGTGGGGTATGCAGTGGTCGGTGATAACGGAATACTTGAAAGTAATCCCCTCACTCTAGGAACTAGTGCTCAGCTGGCAGAACTAATAGCCCTCACTTGGGCACTAGAATTAGGGGTAGAGAAAAGGGTAAATATATATACAGACTCTAAGTATGCTTACATCGTCCTCCATGCCCATGCAGCAATATGGAGAGAAAGGGAATTCCTAACTTCCGAGGGAACACCTGTCAAACATCAGGAAGCCATTAGGAGATTACTATTGGCTGTACAGAAACCTAAAAAGGTGGCAGTCTTACACTGCCAGGGTCACCAGAAAGGAAAGGAAAGGGAAATAGAAAGGAACTGCCCAGTGGATATTGAAGCCAAAAGAGCTGCAAGGCAGGACCCTCCATTAGAAATGCTTATAGAAGGACCCCTAGTATGGAGTAATCACCTCCAGGAAACAAAGCCCCAGTACTCAGAAGAAGAAATAGAATGAGGAAACTCACGAAGACATAGTTTCCTCCCCTCAGGATGGCTAGCCACCGAAGAAGAAAAAATACTTTTGCCTGCAGCTAACCAATGGAAATTACTTAAAACCCTTCACCAAACCTTTCACTTAGGCATTGATAGTACCCATCAGATGGCCAAATTATTATTTACTGGATCAGGCCTTTTCAAAACTATCAAGCATATAGTCAGGGCCTGTAAAGTGTGCCAAACAAGTAATCCCCTGCACTGCAGGCCATACATTTCAATCCTTGTATCTTTAACCTCCTTGTTAAGTTTGTCTCTTTCAGAGTCAAAGCTGTAAAACTACAAATCGTTCTTCAAATGGAGCTCCAGATGCAGTCCATGACTAAGAGCTACCATAGACCCCTGGACAGGCCTGCTAGCCCATGCTCCGATGTTAATGACATCGAAGGCACCCCTCCCGAGGAAATCTCAACTGCACAACCCCTACTACACCCCAATTCAACAGGAAGCAGTTAGAGTTGTTGTCGGCCAACGTCCCCAACAATTTCCTAGGCCAACTAAGAATCCCTAAGCCTAGCTGGGAAGGTGACCACATCCACCTTTAAAAACGGGGCTTGCAACTTAGCTCACACCCGACCAATCAGAGAGCTCACTAAAATGCTAATTAGGCAAAAACAGGAGGTAAAGAAATAGCCAATCATCTATTGCCTGAGAGCACAGTGGGAGGGACAAGGATCGGGATATAAACCCAGGTATTGGAGCTGGCAATGGCAACCCCCTTTGGGTCCCCTCCCTTTGTATGGGAGCTCTGTTTTCACTCTATTTCACTCTATTAAATCTTGCAACTGCAAAAAAAAAAAAAAAAAAAGAAAATAGCCCCAAAAAACCCCAAATGGTGAAACAGATTAACTTGTGCTAATGACACTCTAGATACTCATATTTTACAGCTAATGGTATGCTTTTTGGAGAAGAAATTCAGCAAAATGTATCAGAAGCGTTTAACATCTCCTGTTAAAGAAAGAGCAGAAAAAATAACTATTCATGATTGATGTAATATTACACAAAATTTAAAAATATTAACCATGACTTTAGTAACAACATAAAAATGTTTTTCATTAAGTCCAATTTTTAAAAAGTCAGTATGTCAATTTTCTCTATAGTATTATCTCAACAATAATAAGAAAAACAGGAGAGAAAAACCATGGAAACACAGCAGAATGAGAATAAACTGGAATCAAAATATTCACGGCAGTGGTCTTCAAATGTTTGAAGCAAAAATGGTGTTTCTTCTTGTCTTTCTAGTTTCTGCAACTTATATATGTAATATATATTTTTTATTATGAGAAAAGAACTCTAACCAAAAAGAACCCTTACCCTGTTGACAAAAAAGAAGAAGGGAAAGGAAAGGAAAGGAAAGGAATGAAGGAAGGAAGGGAGGGAAGAAAGGAAGGGAGGAAGGAAGGAAGGAAGGAAAAGAAAGAAAGAAAACAAAATCTAAAGTCATTGTCTATTTCCAGTAGAACAAACTATTAAGATTGATAACAACTACCACTTCAAAATGTAGTGAAATGTAATGGGGAATTAAAAAAGTCTTTAAATACAATCTGACTATAGATGCTTCTGCCATGTGACAGAGTGACATTTCTCATCTGCAGGACAGAGAGCTCATTTTTAAGGAAAACATTTGGTTGGGCCTTTGTAGATAAGGAAAGTGAGGATGTCTGGAAATAGCTTGGATTAGTGAGGGAAACAAAAAGGTAGAGCTGATTTGATTTGATCTATAAAGGAGCAAGAATTTTGATCTTAGCAAAGAGCCTGGGAGTGAAGAGAAGGGAAGATCAGGTGGTGACAAACAATTCACCGTGTGGAGTCCCTCTTGGCAGAATGGCTAATGAGGAATTTCCTGGAGAGATGGCCAAGGACTGCTAAAACATAGATGTCAATTTAATTCTTGTCTATAAGGTGGTATCAGGATTATGTTAGCTCACCAAATTATTTGTGAAATGGTCCCTCCTCCTCTATTTTCTGTAGGAGTTTGAGTAAGATTAGCATTATGTATTTCTTATGTTTGATAGATTGATCCTGAGCAAGGACCTCCACCCTGACCTTTTTTTTGAAGTCCTGCAAAACTCCAAGCAGGGAAATAAAGAAAAACCCCAAAGTTTTTTTAAAGAGAAATTCCAGGCATCTGGCTAGCCCCAGAGGTAATTAAGTAACTTGCTAAACAAGAAGGTAATAGTAGTCTTAACAATAGCCAAGGGAGTTAAAGCTCCAGGGATGTTTGCTTTCCCTATAGAAATTAAAGACAACATCTGAACAGACCCCCACTGAGGATCCCCACCTAACAGATCTGCTAGTACACAGAGCCCAGATTTGGGGGAAGTGAAGACTAAACTTTAACTATTGCCTTTTGTTCTAAGTTTTTACCTGAGAGGCTTGCAGAAAGTTACTCCCTCTAGCAAGGTGACATTTTTCTACTAACCCCAAAATTTTTAAACAGAAAATTCTGTTTCCTTAACCAATTGCATACCGGTTGTTTCTGTTTTGATTTTTTTGTAGAAAGATTTTTAATTATAAATTCATGGCTATCAATATTTTTGATTGTTTAATTTTTTTCTATTAATCTTTTAATTTCTGTTGAATCTGTAGTTATGTCACTTCTTTCTTTAATGAATTGATAATTTGTATTGTTTCTTCTTTTTTTGGATCAACCTTACTACATGCTTGTTAGTTTATTAATCTTTTCAAAGAACCAACTATGAGATATTAGTCAAATTGCTCTTCTTAAGATGGAAGTGTATATCACTGATTTTTAACTTTTCTTTTTTTCTAATAAGCAACTTAAATCTACATTTCTTCCTCTAAACACTGATAGGAATTCATCCACAAAGAAGATTTTTTTTTAATTATGTACTTTAATTTTGTACTTTTATTTTTCAATTTTCCTCTAAATTTCTTCTTTGATTTGTGAATTATTAACAATTATAAATTACTCTTGTATTTGTGGTGGGAGAATATTATCTGTATTATTTCAGTCATTCAACATTTACTGAGACTTGCTTATGGCCCAGAATGCCATCTTGGTCATTGTTCATATGCACATGAATAGAAAATATAAATTGTAATTTTAAGGTAATATCCTCTATATGACAGACACATTGTTTGACTTTGTGTTGTTCAAATATTTTATTTTGTACTGAATTGTGTCTACTTTTTCTCTAAATAAGCAAGAAAGGAGTATTAAACTCTCCCCCTATGTTAATGGATTTGTCAATTTCCCCCTTTAATATTGCCAGTTTTTACCTCATGTATTCTAAAATTCAGTTATTTGGTGTAGTTTTGAATTATTTTGTCTATTTAATACATTGATCCTGTTATCATTGTAAAACATCTGTTTATCTCTATTCATACTCTTTATTTGAAGTCTACTTTTTTTCTGACATTAATATGACCACAGAGGTTTTCTTCTGATTATCGTTTACATAGCATATATTTTCCATCTTTTTAATTTAAATATATGTATGTATTTATGTTTAATGTGTATTTCATATAAATAACATTAACTATTGTCATTTTAAAAATCCATTGTTCTAATCTCTGTCTTTAACTGGAGTGCTTGGTCTATTTACATTTCATATAGTCATTGACATGGTTGTGTTTTAATCTACCATATCGTTATTTGTTTTTTATTTGTAACATCTGCTTTGGTTTCTTACTGTTTGCATTATTTTTATTTAGTTAGTTAATTAGTTATTTAGTTATATTGGTTACTCTATGGGAGTGGTTCTCAAGCTTTTTGTCCTCAGTTTCTTTCTATAGTCTTAAATGTTAATGAGGATCCTAAACAGCTTTTGCTTATGTGGATTACATCTATCAGTATTTACCTTACTAGAAATTAAAATGATCTTTTTAAAACACAAGAGTATGCAGCACTGTCAGCCTGCCCAGCATTGTAAGAATCTCAGTTTCCAGGCTTTCCTGCCCATGAGACAGCTCACTATCTTTCAGGTAAGACAGGATTGCTGTCACTCCATGAATGCAAATTGTCAGCAAAAGAACACCTTAGCGTACAAATGTGCTATTCATAGGCCATGTCTGTCATTGGAATAACACCCCAATCCACAGAGAGGTTGTGGAAATCACTCTGGACCCCATTTTTAAAGAAAGATTCACTATCCCAGAATGTATATTTTGGACCAAATTGACAGCATAGGGAGGTTTCTATTAATCTATCCAAATGGATAATTCCAAGAAGTATCTTCATGAACTAGCAGGAGATGGAGAATCTAGAAAGTTAGTATATAAACCAACTCATATGGACGAGGAGTTTCCTACACAATGGAACGAACCTGGAAAAGTGGCTGGTATTTGTGTTTGTCAAGGGTCCTTAACTTTGCTTTATTTTCCAAAATAGATTTCCCATAGACTGGAATTGAGGCTAAACTGTGACTAACAAGGGAGATGTTACCAGTCTTTGAGGCAGTAAATAGGAGACCAACAGAAAATCTTTAGGATGCTCCTTTTGGAGTCATCTATCTTTTTAATGACCTAGAATACTTGGTTGACTGCTTAATGGCATTTAAATAGGTAATAAAATGAGTAACCAGGACTACTATGTCCATGTTTTCAACCTTGTCCCCAAAGAAATGAGATAAAAACTTTTAGACATGCACATGGATATTAGAAAAGCAGTTACAAAAATTCACAAAAATAACCTTGAATAGCAGTGGGAAATCAGAGTTATATGAAAAAAATGACTGCTGATACTTATTTATTTGTTTTATTACTTCATAGATTTGTTTCAAAGCTTACCTGAGTTACCACATATCATGTGTATAATAAACACTGACTACTATTATTATTGGAAAATCTGGTCTTATTATTTTTCATAGAGACTCCATGGAGCCAAAGGATTTGCCTCAGAGTTCACAGTTAATAAGTGCTGAAGACCAGATTTGGACTCAAGACTTATGATTCAAAATTCAGCCTTCTTTCAAAATACTATGAAGCCAATTCCATAGGACAAATTTCTCTGGTCTAATTTATCCCAAATTAGTGTATATAGAAGAAAAAATAATTTCTACCCAGTGAAATAAAAAATATGATTAAAATGACCATCCAAATCGCAAGATACAAAATGCAGTGAGTTGAAAATGTTGTGCTTAATATATTATTTGCAATTATTTTATTCATAAGATTTGCATTTGAAAATTACTTCATAATCTGAATTTATAGAATATAACTAGACATTAATTTAATTACTTTTTTATATCTTAGAAATTAGTGGTGAACTACAATCGCTAGCACAATTATTTAAGTGAGATGTTAGTCCAAATATACTGAACTCAATATTGGAAACGTTGCTTCTGGTTCCTGAATACAGTTGCCAATGTGAGCAAATGGTGACAAGTTCTAATTACAGTTATTATAGTGGAGAAAAAAGAGTAACCACCTCTGGAGGCTCTGGAAAAATCCTTCAGGGATTTTTGCTGCTTGGCTGAATCAAACATGTTTTGTTACCACAAGGACTTCAATGGAACCTAAGAATTCTTAAAGTATCCTTGCTGCTCAAGACACATTTTCTAAAATCTAAGCCACAGGTGCATTACTTAGAAAATCTGAGACTGTTATAAAGCAGTAGAATAAGTTAGTATAAATATATTTGATAATGAGAAGTTTTAAAATATGACAGCTTTCTTATACTTTTTGTAATACTGTTAAGTTTCTTCTCTATAGTGAAAATTGTGCTGGTTCACACAAAAACTGTTTAAGAAACACAACTAGAAACTTAAGTTGTTCTTACATTTGGGTGGTGAGACATTTTTGCAGGAGGCATAATAAAATCATGTGCTTTGCTGACAGTTCTAGACAGGCAGAAATAACGTGTGTATCATTGCTGCATTAAGACAACTGTCTTCTGTGTGATTAAAATTTCAAAATAGGAATCACCACGCTGATGCATTTACTTCTTAGTAAACATTTAATATAAGAGTTTTGTTCTTGGTCAATTTTTTCCAGAATTAATATTCCAGCAAAGATAGAAACTTGCCATTCATGTCTGTTACGTTAACATCTTCATCAATCCCTTTTCCTACTTTAAACACAAGCATGTTCAAAACCATTTTCTACTTAATATTTAGGCCTGCAGTCACTATGGTATTATGTCTTTTTAAAATGGACATGAGGATACACTGTAAGTTCAGTCCCACTTCAGTATAACAAACTAAACCAGAAGGCAGTTGTTTTGAAGTTCCATGATATTAACACACTCCTAAGATCATTCTTTCCTAAGTGGTACCTAAAGTCTTCTTTGAATAGTATTTTATCATTCTATACACACACACACACACACACACACACACACACACACACACAATATACCTATATATGTATGTAGTCACAATACTTAGAAGTGTACTCATTTTAAAGTGTACTTTAAAAGCATGATAAACTCACCTTTGAGAGTCCACCTACTTCCAAATAAAAGCAGATAATGAACACATTCCAGGTGACCCAGAGGGCAGTCCACACTGTATACTAGATAGAAATGGGGGAGGGAGAAAGAGAAGAAAAATATGGAGATGAAAGGCATGTATATCAAATAAATCAATAATAAAAATGTCAATAAGTCTGTCTTCTGGGAAGAAACTGACGGAGCGCTCAGAAAAGAGTGCTCTCTATGTGGTCCCCTAAGCTTTCCAGAAATTAAAAATTCAATAATTTCTACTGCTTTCAGTAGACACCAACAAAGTTAGATTTACTTTTAAAGTGCTTTGCTGGCTTCCAGGTACAAGTTAAACCAAAGTGTTGATTTGATTTCTGTTTTCTGAGTATTATCTTTTCTAGGGAACACAACTATGCAAATCTTCTGTGAGCTCTCTATCATCTTTAAGTTACAGTATAAAACTGTCACATTTTAAGGAATATTTATGGAAACCTAGGACTGAAAGAAGACCATGTTTGAAGAAAACATGCGTGGAGTACAAAATTAACAAACTTTCGTTTGTTGGACTATTTTATTAGTAGAATGTGTGCCTCTAATATGATCATATAATAAAAATATAACCATATAAAATATTTTAAAGCAGAGAAATTAATAAATAGGATTAAGAATGAGGAAATGAATAACAGATTTTCATATCTTCCAATCATATCCAGCCAACAAATTTTAAACCTACTGGTCTTACTGATTAATTGATTTTATTAAGATATTATGTATTAGGAAATACCTTCTCCCAGAGTATTAGTCGGTCTTAATTAAGGTAGCCCTAGATCGAGAGACTCATCAATGGAGAATCAATGATTGGACTATGGCTCCTCTCATCCAGTCACTTTTTTATGCAGACAAACTAATGGAGGCCCAGAAAAGTGACATACAGACCAGCTAGGATGACTGAGGATAGTACTTACTGTAGAACACAAATAACATATCAAATACAACAGTTTGCCTATTCGTTTTATTTTATCACAAAAATGAATGAATTCTTAATGTCTTAAGTAGACTTATTAATTTAATTATTGTTTTCTATCAGTGATTACAATCATTGCATACTGTTTTTAAATTAAAATAAATACTGAAATCATTTATTTAGCTTATTCTATGCTGTGCCAAACAATAGAATTATAAAATTTAGACTCTGTGTAATATAGGTATGTTACTAATAGAAACTTTATCAGAAGCTTTTAACTATTTATGAAATTCAATTTATATTTTGTATTCTGTCATTTATGAATTTTTAAAATAATCTCATATAGTAGTATAGTCCTATAACTGGTTACATTTAATGTTCCATCATATATTTGTTTTTCTGAAAGGAGGTTTGCTTTCATTTTTAAGATAATACAATTATAATAATGAGTAAAAGCTCAAAAATCACTGGAAATTTAGTTGGAAAACATGTTAAAAAGTTAAGATAAGTAAAAATATATAGTGAGATTTTTGGTATATGCAGGTATTGCTGATGCTGTAATATATTCTGTTCATAAAGTCTTCTAGTAAGAGTGGACTTAGTAAATTTTAAACTTTCAATAAGTTTTGAAGCTCTTGCTAGCAAGATGGCATCTAGTGTTTGATATCTTCCATTCTAAATAAATCTAATTATAAGTATATTGAAATGAGAGAGCAATGCTAACCTCTAAGTCAAGAGAAAAAAGCCATTGAAAAAGATTAGGAAAAGAACATAAAATAAAGCAATATTAAAGTAAGGCAATAAACTAAATTAATTACAAAACCATATGATAGGACTTAATTATTGGGACTAATTCCTAAATGCACAGGTATTTTTTAGTGAATCAATTCATAGTTATAACAAATGCATAATAAAACACATCTATTTAAAGATCATAGCACAAACTTGGTGATTGAAGTATATTCAGGATCTCTCACAAGTTGTAATCTTGATGCTACTTCTGAACTTGCAAAGGCAAAATTACCAGGCTATGTAAACCTCAACTGTCAGTTCCTACGTTTTTGACAATAAAAGGGTTATTATCCTGGTGCTTTCTGTGTTCCTGGTATTGTGGTAAGTGCTTTACATATATCATGTCATTCAATCATCACACTGAAACCGAGGTAGAGGGATAATCATTTAATCACCTATTTAGTGTCAGAGTTAGGATTTGACACCTGATAGTTTGATTTCAGAGCTGGGATGCTTAAACATACAGGGTAGGCTTTGTTTTAAAAGATTTTAGTAAAAGGATTATAGATTCATGGCAAGATAACCAGTCACCAAATTAAGCAATTTGTCAAATGACCAATTCCCCAAATTACCAGTTTACCTCAAATTTTTATTCATATATGTTCTATAATTGGCAATTTATTTTAGAATGACAGTATCTTTAGTATTTTACAATTAGTGTGACATGTATAATATGGAATTCTTGTGTTGTTTGTTTTAGCAATATTGTGTAATATCTTCTAGTACATTTACATTACAAGTTTCTTCTAATAAATTTGTGTTTCTTTGCTGAGAACAAAGAAAATATATATTTTTGATTTTTGAATTGTTATAAGGTATGAAGTATACCTTAATGTGCACTTGAGACACAAATCTGATCATGAGTATAAAAGAAAAGAGATAGCTAGAGATACAAATATGGCCATAGAAATTTAGCTAGGCAGGAAGCATTGGGATAACCAATGGCCAAAGAGACTGCCTACCTTCCCTATCTTCTTTTTGAAGTGGGTTATTTCATTTATAATTCAACTGAAGCAATAATTTAAAAAATAAGACTCTCCATTTTTAAACAAATACCCTTTGGTTATTATAAAGCAGGCTTACATCATGTATTTAGGTATATTAAATATACTTGTAGTAAAGAAAGCTTTTCAATATAAGAAAAAAATCACTCTGCATAATCTCTCCATCTCTCTTCTACTTTGCTTATGTTTAGTATATATATTTTAAATCCAGATCCACATAGACAAGACCTATAATAATGAAAAAAGAATGTTTATGCATTCTATGTGGCTTCCTAAATATATCCTAGTTTTACAAGGATATTTCAGCATTTTTTAATGGAAATAAACTTTGGACATCTTCCAGTCTATTTCTTCCCCATCAAGCAATTAGTTTATAATATGAATTATTTTTACTTTCTGAGCTTGCTTATTTTCTAATTACGAGAAAGACCATTCATTCATTCTTTCATATACACATCAATTTGCTATAATATCATATACAATATGCTAGACTTATAATAAAAATGTAGAGTAAGTTTCTTGCTCAGTCATTGTTGTAACATTTTTTAGTAGAGTAAAGGGGAAAAAAAGACATATGAACATCTCAAACATTTGTCAAACATTTACTCTGTGTTAGGCTATAGTAAGCAAGTCATATACGTTATATAATTATTTAAAATGATACATGGGTCAAGTTTTTCAAATGAGGTAACTATGGCAAAAGGAAAGCAAACAAACATCCCAAGGCTTCACAGCCAATAACTGGTGAAGAGGAATTTAGGTTTGACATTTACCAATTGAATCAAAACCTAACACTCAATTTCATGTTGAGCAGTGACTCAAGAATGGGATTTATGCTGACATAGCAGAAAAATTTTGCTATATAACAATTCAGATTAAAATGAATTGTCCTTTGCACATGAGCATTTGCATAAAAGTCCAGATAACTAAATTGCGGACTTTTCAAATTCACTTGACCCTTTACAAATTTTTAAAGGCAGTTTTGAGCTAATTTTAATTTCAAGGTTAATCTTATTTCAAAAAATGTTAAACAAATTTGCTAATTCATCTGCATGTGAGTTAAAACCTGCTTGATTAAATTATCACCCATGAAATAATGAAGATTTAAGTAATTATAGGACAAAAATCTTATTTTTAAATTTAGAAGTAGAATAAAACATATTTGACCGAGGAGTAAACAGATAGGAAATAACTGATTCTACAACAATGCTTTGTGAAGGGTAAATATGATTTCACTGCTTCATACTGTCTATAGCCAAAGAAGCACATAAGGCCCATTCAAAACGCAAGACAGAACACAGTATTCCCCTAAAGCAGGGGTTCCCAATCTCCAGGCCACAGACCAGTACTGCCTAAGCTCTGCCTCCTGTCAGATCAGCGTGGCATTAGATTCTCATAGGAACACAAGCCCTATTGTGAACTACCCATGCGAGGGATCTAGGCTGCGGCTACTTATGACAATCTAACTAATGCCTGATGATCTGAGGTGGAACATTTTCATCCCAAAACCAACTCGCCCAACCTCTGGAAAAATTGTCTTCCATGAAATGAGTTCCTGGTGTCAAAAAGTTTGGGAATGGCTGCCCTAAGGTACACATTCCACCTTGCACCTTAGCCAAAATACTTTCATGAGTAAAGGAGTACTATGTGGCAAAGTTGTTTTCATATTCTAAAAATAAATACAGAAATAGTAAATTGTACCTTAATAGTGTGATGGTACCTGGAAGGGAATTATTGATCTTTGATTCTGTGATTTGGGGTGGTTTTTCTAATAGTCTTTGCCGAGAGGCCTCCTCAATTATAGTGGCAGGAGCTCGCAACACTACATCTTAGAAAAAAATAAGTCTTGAGGAGTAAGTCAGCTAATGGTAGGTGCAGGCAGCACAGCACATACTATTTTATCATATAATTAATTCCCTCAACCAAGTTCAGGCTGAGATAAGCAAGGCAGTACATTGCTGTCATGTTCTGAGATTTTAAAAAAGTCCCTGTCCATTCCATCTTGTAAAATCCTTTCATCCAATAAACTTTGATTTATTTATTGTTTGCCCAATCAAGTATTAAGCATATCTAATGGTCTGTACATACAGGAATTGGCCTAGAACACAGGAATAGGCTTAGAATACAGCAATAGATGGGCACAGTTCTGCCTTCCAGAAGTACACATTGTTGAATGGGGCAAGACAGGTAGCGAAGCAATGATGACAGCCGGGTAGGGTGCTGGGGTAGAAAGTTACCAGGATTTACAGTAGCAGAAGGGAAGAGATACTTTCCCTTGCATTCAGTGGTCAGGCAAGGCCTGTAAAAGGTGACTATTTAATTGAGGATTATTAAAGGTTTTCCAAGAGGATAGAGAGATTAAGGCATTCCAGGCAGAAGGAGCAGTATGTGCAAACTGAAGAGGCAAAAGCAGCATGTGGTCTTTCGAAAACACAAATCATTCAGTGTGGCTGGCACAAGGTAGGCAAATGGGGAATGCAGGAGGTGCTGGAGAAGTAGATAAAGAAACAATTTTCATAAGCTTTGATTTAGACTCTAAGAGTTTGGAAAAGCTAGTCACTGGTGAGCTTGAGTCTCATGGTCCTTTACCCAAAACATTTTCATAAAGGTGATCAATTACTTAAACTCAGCTGTGATGAACCCTGTCTCTTGTCCAAAATGGCAGTAAATTATCTGTGTTTTTGTAAAACTAGAGGTCTATTAAATTGTCTCAGTGAACATACATATTTTATTAATCTCTGCGTGAGCACTTAGCACATACCTGGTGCTCCAAAGTGTTTGTTATTTTGAAATGGATTAAATTTAATTGACCTATCTGTGTGGTGGTTTGGCCAATAAAGGAAGACAATACTAAAAATAGAAGAAGCAATTTTGAGAGAAAATCTCTTGCAATGAAAAAGCTCTTTCCCCTCACAGTGAAAAGTCAGTATGGATTTCTGCTCCAGAACTCTTCTCACTGCCATTGAAAAGCTGCTGCCTCTAATGGGACATATGCCACATTCATTTTCAGTTTTTTTAAATATCAGAATTAATTCTAGGCCACCAGTTGTAGCTTCAAACCAAAGCATTTGTGACAACAACTCAAGAATGAATTAAAAAAAACCTTCCCAAATAACAACATGCTCTTTTTTAAAAGGCAATTTTTGTGAACAGATTTCTCATACTCATAGATTAATGATTCTTTAGGTACTTTTATCAAATAGATAATTTATACCCATATTAGAATAAGACGTAATCTGGAGCTTCATAAAGGTAACAATATCTGACTGGGAGGTAGGCCAAGACTGTTTCCTATATCACAACTTATACTGACAATGGTAACATTATCATCTGGAATCTGCCAGTGAAAGCAAAGCACAGATCATGCTCTAGCAGCTCCTTGAACCTAACAATCACAGGCCAGTACACACCCAGTTCTGCTGCCCACTACCACCTGTGTTCCTTGGGCTAGTCGCTCAATCTTTCTGACCTCTTTTCTCATCTGGGAAATCAGAGAAGCTAATACATGCCCTGTAGGATATTTATGAGAATGAAACCTAATGACATGCATGGACAGCTTTCACACAAATTTGTTGCTTTCTTTCTCTCCCCTTCCTGAGAGAGGATCCTGAATAAGATAGCAAATAAAATGAGAGAGACTTGGTTGGCATAATCCATAAAAAGAGACCATCAAGATGAGCAAAAACATGGATTGTTGGTCTTGTTGATGCTTTTCTTTGAAGATTCTGAAAGACCTAAAACTGCCTTCCTCTACGCATAGGAGGGAGGAGGGAGAGAGGGAAGCAAAGGAAAAAGTACCAGCAGAGAAGTGACAGCAGTTTCATCATGGGTGGACTCTGTGAACTAGTAGGACACTAGATAGGAAAAATAATCAATAAGTATGTACTGAGCGCTAATTACATTCTATGCTCTCAAAGAACACTTTGCCTAGAAGACATAAACATGAACAAATTATAAAACATACTCAAGACACTCTAGAGGTGAAGGAGCAGAGAGTGATTCACCATTAACGTGTATGGAAGAAGGTATCCATGAGAGACTGAGGAAATATTGCTAGACCGGGACACAAACACCAGGCAAGGCTACCAGAGCATGAGGCTGGTGAGGCAGGTGCAGCAGGAGGCCCATGACACTGAGGTGTGCAGACTCTCAGCCCTCCTGGGTCTCCACACCTGGCTCAGGCCTTCCCCTAGGCCTTGCCCCACTGATGATCTCATTCCTCTTCACTGCCATTTACTCACCTCTAGAGAGCCCCAGAACCTGCGCCTCCTCACTCCTTACATGGTTAGTGCCTGCAGAGCAGGGCCTCTGACATTTGAATTCTTTCCTATTTTTCCAAACTTAGCACAGTACAGGTCCTCAATAGATGCTTAATGAGTAAATCAGAACTGCTCTGATAGTCCCCCTTCTATGGACCTTGTGGTGCCTCCGGCCCAGACCCCCCTTCACTCCCTTGTTCCCTTGTGGACTCACTCTCACACTTGTCTCATACTCGTGACTCACTCTCATACTGAGAGCAGACCTCAGCTCTCAGCTCCCTGCAGGGTGCCTAACCCCATTGCCCGGCTACAGGCAGATACCCCATTAGACATCTCATGGCTAGTGTGCTCCTTCGTATCACTTATCGCAGTTGCAATTTAACATTTATGTGGACAATTGTTTGATAAAGGCACACCTCTCTTCATTGCACTGTAAGGTAAGCACCCAGGAAGACAGAGAATGTGTCTGTCTGTTTTTGCTCACCAGTATAGTCCACACCTAACACAAGGCCAAACACAGGGTAGAAGCTCAATAAATATCTCTTGAATTAATAAGTAGAAGAAAAAAGGGAGAAGGAAAGTTAGAAAAGAAAGAAGTGAGTAAAGGAAAGAGGATGGGGAGAGGAAGGGAAAGAAGAAGGAAGGAAGGAAGAAAGGAAGGAAGGAAAAAGGAAAGAAGGAAGGAAAGACAGAAGGAGGGAGGGAGAGAGGGAGGGAGGAAAGGAGGGAGGAAAGAAGGGAGTGAGGATGGGTGGGAGGGAGGAAGGAAAAAAGGAAAGAGGGAAGGAAGGAAAGAAGGAAGGGAGGGAGGAAGGATAGAAGGAAGGGAGGGAGGATAGGTGGGAGGGAGGAAGGAAAAAAGGAAAGAGGGAAGGAAGGAAAGAAGGAAGGGAGGGAGGAAGGGTAGAAGGAAGGGAGTGAGGATGGGTGGGAGGGAGGAAGGAAAAAAGGAAAGAGGGAAGGAAGTAAAGAAGGAAGGGAGGGAGGATAGGTGGGAGAAAGGGAGGGAGGGAGGGAGGAAGGAAGGAAAGAAGGGATGGATGGAGGGAGGGAGGAAGGTGGGGGACAAAGGAAGGAAAAAAGGAAGAATGGTTAGATATGAGTTTGGTCAAGTACATCAGGCAAGAATATTCTTAGATCTTATCCAGCTAAGGACCCAGTGGTGGTTTTAAGCCAGTAATTTAAGAAAAGTACAAAGAGCAAATTGGAAGGGAGAAAGGTAGAAAATAAGAGGCAAAGTCTATCTATAGAAGAGAGAAGGCATAAGCCTCAACAAAGGCAGCAGTTATGTGAATAGTGCATACGGTTAACATTTAGAGGGTAAAATCACCAGGACTAAATGTCACTGGTGTTTACCTATAGCTTCATTCTCTGGAAGCCATCTATGGTTTCAAAGCCACCAGGTATTTTGTTTCGCAGCAGAATACCAATATCATAAAACAAAAAGTCTGTAATGAGTAAAACTGCTCTATATTCATAGTAACAAACTAGAACACATTTAGAATTTGATAATAGCTTGATTATGCATGTTATGAAAGCATCTTAGGCCTCAAGTCCAACTCCATGAAACCCCCTTCTAGGAGATTGTGTAGTTACTTAGCAGAGGCTACTGTATTTTTATTTTATTTTATTTTATTTTATTTTATTTTATTTTATTTTATTTTATTTTATTTTATATTTTTTTGAGACAAGGTTTCTCTCTGTTGCCTAGGCTGGAGTGGAGTGGCATGATCATGGCTTACTGCAGCTTTGATCTCCTGGGTTCAAGCGATCCTCCTGCCTTGGCCCCCCAAGTAGCTGGGACCACAGGCCCCCCAATGTCTGGCTACTTTTTGTATTTTTTTGTAGACACTGGATTTCTATATATATATATATATATAAAAACCCTAGCTGCTCTTGAACTCCTGAGCTCAAGCAATCCTCCTGCCTCAGCCTCCCAAAGTGCTGGGACTACAGATGTGAGCCACCGTACCTGGTTGAGGCTATTTCTAAGAGAAGGAAAGTAAAGCAGAAATTGTTTAACCCTGGCAGCAAATTGAGAGCTATCAAATGCTCCCAAGGCCATTGGAATGCAGTCTATTCAGTTATCTATATCTCTGTGAAATGGTGAAAGAAATAAAAAAGCCAAGTTTAAAAATCAAAATAGAGAATGGATTAACAGAGAAAAATTATAACTTTATTATTTTCCACAGGTGGAATTAGATTATGTCAAAATGGAAAGATGGCATGTTTTTAAGTCTATGATTTTCTTCTAGTGAGGCAATATCAGTGTATCCCAAGAAAATATCTAGTAATTCTACTGAACACTGTATATTTATTCAGGCTTAATGAACATTTTAAAGTATGTTACTCCAACTTACAATACGTATATATGCTTATTATTTCTCACAACCTTCTCACATGGTAGCCTATAGTAATGAACTCTTTTATGTTATAGAAAAGACAACTAATTACTGTGAATAACTTCCATTAGATTGTGGGTCACAGCATACACCTCATTAAACTGTCCTATAATGGAGTGTGTGCTGACCAAGTTTTGGATATATGTTTCAAATTCATCTTGACAAACAGAGAAATATTCAATATCAATCAGTATGAAATGTTAGGGATGTGTACCAAATATCCATCCATACATGCACTTGTAATGTCCTAAATCAATTAAAATTAAAATACATTATTGTTTTCAGTGACTAAACAATTATGCTAGAAAGATTTGTTTTTTGGAGTTAGTGACAAATGTCACTGAAAGTTATGATAAATTAATGGTTAATGTACATTGCATCTAACTATCCTATTACCAAGACTACAAGCAGACCTCCTACTCTATCCAACCACTATTTTGAATTTCCTTGTAAAACTTGAATTCAGTTACGTTGTGAGTGACACCATGTCATCATACACTTTTGAGCATGTTGTTTTGATCTGACTGTACAACATTCATTATTTTGTATTTTCCACAGATAATCACTTCTTAACAAAATTTAACATTTGAGGGCTAGAAAAGCAATGCCACATTATATCAGAAGGGGCCACTTAGAAATATTTTATTTATATTCTTATAGAAATTTTGAATTGTTTATATGAAGCAAAATGATAAAAATAAGACTTACCACCATTATGTATCGAGGTCTGTACTGAATGGTCCCAAACAAACCCAATATGACAACTATTATGTGTAGAAAATTTCCAAGAATAGGCGCCCACTGGAAACCAAGGAAGTCAAAGATCTGCCTCTCTAATGCTGAGACCTACAACAAAAAAAGAAAGTTCATTAGCATTGAATCCAAGCATCATCATACTATTTTAATCTTTATCTCATGGCTGGAGGAGTCTGCATATTCAACTTCAATCACACTTTTTGTCACCGTTATTATTAGAATTTTCATTCTTATTTCATGTGCTGTTTTATGCACCTTCTCTCAAAATATACTAAGATAGTTTTAAGCATTATAACTTCAAGTATAATTAGATTTTAAATCTATCTGGAGAGTGAGAGGTACACCTCTTAAATCATTTTCTACAGTAGAAAATCCAGACAGATTTTTTATGTTTTAAGTTTATCATTGTTATTTTTATATTAAAAATTATGTTTAATTATGAGGGGTACATCATAGGTATATATATTTATGGGGTACATGTGATGTCTTAATATAGGCATACATATGTAATAATCACAGCAGGGTAAGTAGAGTATCCATCACCTTAAACATTCCTCTTTTCTTTTTGTTAGGAACATTCCAATTCCACTATTTTAATTGTTTTAAAATATGTGATAAATTATTGTTGACTATAGTCACCCCATTGTGCTATCAAATACCAGATCTTATTCATTCTATCTACCTCTATTTTTGCATTTATTAACCATCCTCATTTTATCTTTTCCTCGCTCCCCTTCCCAGCCTCTGGTAACCATCATTCTACTCTCTATCTCCATGAGTTCAATTGTTTTAAATTTTTGCTCCCACAAATAAGTGGGAGAACATGTGAACTTTGTCTTTCTGTGATTGGCTTATTTCATATCATTATTTTTAATAAAACGATTGGCTTAGTATAACATAATTGGATCAAAAACAAAGAACTCCAGGCTTGTGACACTAGAACTAGTACCATTTTGGAAAAAAAACAAAAAACAAAAAAAACCTTCTACCTATCCCTGCTTTCTTGTGTGAAATATACGTTAGCCAAATCTTGTCTCTTTCTTTTCCTTTCCTAAGATTGCCAGTGGTGATAATGACTAACCACCTGTTCAAAACGAAGCTTACTCATTTACTTACTCTGGGCTCAAGACTCTGATCTAAAACTAGAGTTAACCCCCTTGAATCACATTTTATTGAGATCATATACCTACAAGAAAATTTATCTTGGATTAGATAGCATCCTTTTAGAATACCAGACAGAAATTATGAGGTCATTACAATTTTAGACATGCCAGAGTTTATTATATTTGTATTACATACATCTACATTTTAAAACAATTATAAAGTGTGTCAATATATACACAACAATTTATGATGAAACAGATGCATTTCATATGGTCCAGTGAATACCAAAAATGCCATTATTATGTTCTAACAGTATTTCTTGTATTCTACATTGAAAAATTTTACAATATCACCTGCTGTATTTGGACACAAATCATTATACTTTTCAGGCATTTTTCTAGTTTTGTATTGATAAAATAGTAATTCTAATAAAATGATCCAGTGATTAGCCATACTGATGGCACTGGAAACTGCAGCTTTGAAATGAAAATGGCTCCCTGGGTATTTTTCTAGTTATGTGGCAGGTGTATGCTTGAATAGCTTTAATTTCCTTGGACATAAAGAAATGTCCTCTATCCAGTAAGCTGAATTTACCTTGGTTAAGATTTGCCTTCAGCAAGCGGTGGCGGAAAAGAGAAGAGAGCGAAGCCTAAAGAAAACCACAACAGACCCACATTCATTTCACGGGTATTTCCTGATCATGGAGTGATATGATTCAGGATACATTCAGGATTCATCTCTTGAATCCATAAATGTTCAGACATGGCTAAAACGCAAAATATCAGAGCAAGATAAGAAGCAACACAGTGTTTTCAACCTCCTGCTTGTCTCTGCTTGTGACTCTAATTAGTCCCCAGGAACCTTTCTCTAAAAATTAGTTCCTGGGAACTTTTCTATGCAGCATTTTATTTATAGGGCCATCAGTGATACAAATATGTATTTTTTAAATGTCCAAACATAACTAAAATACTAAAAAAAAAAAAAAAAAGGAAACCCTGAAGAGCAGCTGCAGGCCATTCATTCAGAAAAACAAACAAAAAAAAAAACCAAAAAAAAAACAACAAAAAAACACCCACGCTATTTTAAAGCAGTTGTGCATGACAAAAAGCTTTAAGGTGAACTTTCAAAGAGAAAAACTCATTTTCTTTTCTGTCAGTAGATGCATGGATAACATTCTCTTTTATGATATTAAAGAAAACACAGGTAATGAAAGGGAAGCCAAATTAATGCCACTTATGAGAAAATATGCATTTTATATTCAAGGCACTCTCTCTATTTATTAATATTTATTCCCTGAGAACTTAAAAAAATGAATTGAGGTGGGAAGAAATAAGAGCACAAATAAAAAGTCATGAAAAACAGAGAAGGGAGCATATCGAGAATACAGAGAAGGGCAGCTGTAACAACTAAACAAACTGTGAAAACTAGATTTGAGTATTATAAATTTGAAAAGGTAACTAAAAACAACAAGCCTTCAAAAATAAACAAAGCACCATTGTATTTTTTACCTAATTATTCTATCTAACTTCCATTTTAGTTATTTAGCCATTTTGTTTACTGGCTAATATTTTCTCTCTAAATGTCATAATCTCTAGAGACACCACTTTTTGCCCTTGACTGTAATATTTATAATAATGACCCAGAGACCCCAAATAAGATGAAATTATATCCAAGTTGCTTTGTTAAGTCAGAAAATGGATGAATGTTCTTTAGAAATATCTCTGTTAAAATGGCTCTAATCTGTGGTGTTGGGGAGATGCTAGCCTTGGTTGAGGGGGCAGGAGGCATCCCTTCCCCATTCTATGGTCAGTGAACTTAAGTTGGGAACTTGATGTCTGCCATGATGGGAATATTTGCAAAATGGAAATCAGAAAATGCTGAAAATTAGAATTTGTTTATATGCATGTTTCGAGAACCTATGTTAAATTTTTACCTGCACACCACTGAATATGGCACCTAGAAAACAGTGGTTGTGATTCAGAAAAGCAGTGGAAGGAAGTCACTAAATTGTAATGTAGCATAAATAGAAAGCATTCGGTCCAGATGAGGGCAGAAGCGTAGAGGACTGAAAGAGGATCTCTGCAGAGATGCCCAAGCGAAGAGAATGAATGAGACCTTTACAGAACTTGAGTTTTAAAAAAAGTAGAGAAATAAAGAAAATCTAAAGGCAGTAAGATGCTCCAGAGAAGGTGAAATCAGCAGACCTAAAGAAAAATGCATCTTTTGCTCATTTTCTGATCAGATTATTAGATTTTTTAATAGAGATGTTTGAGTTCCTTATATATTCTGATTTATTAACCCTTTGTCAGATGGGTAGTTTGCAATTTTTTTCTCCCATTCTGAGAGTTGTCCCTCCACTTTGTTGATTGTTCCCTATGCTGTGCAGAAGCTTTTTAACTCGATGTGATCCCATTTGTCAATTTTTGGTTTGGTTGCCTGTGCTTGTGGGATATTCCTAAAGAAATCCGCCCAGTCCAATGACCTGGAGAGTTTCCCTAGTGTTGTCTTCTAGTAGTTTTATAGTTTGAGGTCTTAGATTTAGGCCTTAAATCTATTTTGATTTAATGTTTGTATATGGCAAGAGATATGAGTCCAGTTTCATTCTTCTGCATATGGATACTCAGTTTTCCCTGACCCATTTATTGAAAAGATTGTCCTTTCCCCAATTTATGGTTTTAGCATCTTTGTCAAAAAATTCGTTCACTTTAGATATATAAGTTTATTTCTGGATTCTCTATGCTGTTCCATTAATCTATGTGTCTGTTTTTATGCCAGTGCCATGCTGTTTCAGTTACTATAGCTCTGTAGTACAATTTGAAGTCAGGTAATGTGATTCCTCCAATTTTGTTATTTTTGTTAAGGATAGCTTTGGATATTCTGGGTGTTTTGTGACTACATATAAATTTTAAGATTGTTTTTTCTATTTCTGTGAAGCATGTCATTGGTATTTTGGTAGAGAGCACCTCAGATCTGTGGATTGCCTTGGGTAGTGTAGACATTTTAACAATATTGATTCTTTCAATCCATAAACATGGAATATCTTTCCATTTTTTGGTGTCCTCTTAAAATTTCTTTCATCAATGTTTTATAGTTTTTATTGCTGAGATCTTTCACATTTTTGGTTAATTCCTAGGCATTTAATTTTATTTGTAGCTATTATAAATGGGATTACTTTCTGGGTTTCTTTTTTAGATTGTTTGCTGTTGGCATACAGAAATGCTACTGATTTTTGTATGTTGATTTTGTATCCTGCAACTTTACTAAATTTGTTTGTCAGTTCTTATATTTTTGGTGGAGTCTTTAGGTTTTCCCAAATATAAAATCATATCATCTGCAAACAAGGCTAATTTGACTTCTTCCTTCCCAATTTGATGCCTTTTATTTCCTTCTCTTATCTGATTGCTCTAGTTAGTACTTCTGGTACTATGCTGAATAACAGTAATGAAAGTGGGCATGCTTGTTGAGTTCCAGGTTTTAGAGGAAACACTTTCAGTTTCTCCCTATTCAGTATGATACTAGCTGTTGGTCCATTGTATATGGCTTTTATTTGTTGAGGTAATTCCTTCTACACCCAGTTTTTTTTTTAAAGGTTTTTATCCTGAAGGGATGTTGAATTTTATCAAATGCCTTTTCAGCATTAATTGAAATGATCATATGGTTTTTGAGTTACTTCTTGAAAGAAGACATATAAATGGCCAACGGGTATATAAAAAGGTGGTCAACATTACTGATCATCAGAGAAATGCAAACCAAAACTACAATAAGATATGATCTCACCTCAGTTAAAATGGCTTATATCCAAAAAACAGGCAATAGCAAATGCTGGCAAGGGTGTAGAGAAAAGGGAAACCCTGTACACTGTTGGTGGAAACGTAAATCATTACAACCACTATGGAGAACGGTTTGAATTTATTTCTGGGTTCTTTATGCTGTTCCATTAATCTATGTGTCTGTTTTTATGCCAGTGCCACGCTGTTTCAGTTACTATAGCTCTGTAGTATAATTTGAAGTCAGGTAATGTGATTCCTCCAATTTTGTTATTTTTGTTAAAATAAACTAAATAAAATAAATTCAAAAAACTAAAAATAGAGCTACCATATGATCCAGCAATCTCACTTATAGGTTTATACCCAAAAGAAAGGAAATCAGTATATCAAAGTGATATCTGTACTCCCACGTTTATTGCAGCACTATTCACAATAGCCAAGATTTGGAAGCAACCTCTGTCCATTAACAGATGAAAGGATAAAGAAAATGTGGCACATATACACAATGGAGTACTATTTAACCATAAAAAGAATAAGATCCTGTCATTTGTATCCTGTCATTTGCCAGAGCATGGACAGAACTAGAGGTCATTATGTTAAGTGAAATAAGCCAGGCACAGAAAGACAAACTTCACATGTTCTCACTTACTTGTGGAGCTAAACATAAAAACAATTGAACTCATGGAGACAGAGAGCAGAATGATAGCTTCCGGAGGCTGAGAAGGGTAGTAGGGGTTGGAGGAAGTGGAGAGGTTAATGAGTACAACAAAAATAGAAAGTATGAACAAGGTCTAGTATTTGATAATACAACAGGGTGACTGTAAGTAATAATTTAATTGTACATTTTAAAATAGCTACAAAAGTATAATTAGATTGTTTGTAACAACAAGAATGAATGCTTGAGATGATGGATACCCCATTTATCTTGATGTGATTATCACACATTGCAAGCCTTTATCATAAAATCACATGTACCCCATAAGTCTATACACCTACTATGTACCCACAAAATTAAAAATTAAAAGCTTAAAAAGAATGAACAAAATAAAATAAAACTTGAAAATCTTAGACACTTAAAAAAAGAACAGTGGAATTATTTCTAAAAGAAAGCTAAAGTAGGTAAGAATCTGTACACTATAAAGAATAGGATGAAAATAAATATCTTGTATTAAAAAGTTACAAAGTAAAGGCAATCAGGATCTTAATAAAAAGGAAGAAAAGAAGGCAGGAAAGAAAGAAGGAGGAGAGGAGGGAAGTAAGAAGGAAAAGAAACCAAATCATATACATAACGAAAGCATGGTTCAAAAATACCAAAAAATTAAAATGAGGCATGATTTTCATGTATATTGAAGAAACCATTGAAATAGCCTTGCTGAGTGGCACAGCACAGGAAACATTGTAGTTGCAATTGAGGAATGAAACCCTAGCTCATGCTAGGTGCTGCATGAAAAATATTTCACAGTCATTATAACTGTTTTATTAGATTACACCTTTAAGAATCAAATTGTAAAAAACTTCAAAGTCTTCAGTATGGTTATTGAATAAAATATTAGTGTTATTTGACCATATGAAGTATATCTAAGAGAGGTTGGAATGGGCTGAATGTTATGTGTCTATATTTTGTATGTCATGGCAAGGAGGAAGGGGCATGTTTTAAAATTCTTCCTGCAGAGTCAGGTGTTTTCTTATGAGGCTCCAAGGTGAAAATAACATTTCCTGCAAGTCTATGAATCATTAGCCATGCCCCGCATTAACTACCTATACTCCCAGTAACGCAAGAAATGTCCCTGCTTGCTTATTTCATCCTCAAGCAATGTATATAGAGACAAATGGGAGTGCCTTTAAAATACAATGTTTCTTATTGACACATTGATGTGGTTTGACTTTGTGTCCATACCCAAATCTCATCTTGTAGCTCCCATAATTCCCACGTTGTTGGAGGAACCTAGTGGGAGATGATTGAATCATGGGGACAGGTCTTTCCTGTGCTTTTCTCATGATAGTGAATAAGTCTCATGAGATCTAATGGTTTTAAAAAGGGGAGGTTCCCTACACAAGCTCTCTTCCCTTGTCTCCCACTAAATGAAATGTGTCATTCACCTCCTGCCATGATTGTGAGGCCTCCCCAGCCATGTGGAACTATAAATCCAATAAACCTCTTTCCTTTTTAAATTGCCCAGTCTCACATATGTCTTTATCAGCAGTGTGGAAACAGACTAATATAGTAAATTAGTACCAGTAGAGTGAGGTGTTGCTGAAAATATACCCGAACATGTGGAAGCGACTTTGAAACTAGGTAACAGGCAGAGGTTGGAACAGTTTGGAGGGCTCAAAAGAACACAGAAAGATGTAGGAAAGTTTGGAATTTCCTAGAGACTTGTTGAATGTCTTTGACAAAAATACTGATAGTGATTTGAACAACAAGGTCCAGGCTAAGGTGGTCTCAGAAGGAGATGTGGAACTTGTTGGGAACTGGAGCAAAGGTGACTCTTGTTATGTTTAAGCAAAGAGACTGGCAGCATTTTGTCCCCTTGAACTTCAGAGAGATGATTTAGGGTATCTGATGGAAGAAATTTCTAAGCAGCAAAGCATTCAAGAGGTGACTTGGGTGCTGTTAAAGGCATTCAGTTTTGAAAGGGAAACAGAGCATAGAAGTTTGGAAAATTTGCAGCCTGACGAGGCAATAGAAAAGAAAATCCCATTTTCTGAGGTGAAATTCAAGCCAGCTACAGAAATTTGCCTAAGTAAAGAGAAGCCCAATGTTAATCCCCAAGACAATGGGGAAAATGTCTCCAGGGCATGTCAGAGGTCTTCATGGCAGTCCCTCCAATCACAGGCCTGGAGGCCTAAGAAGAAAAAGTGGTTTCGTGGGCCGGCCCAGGGTTCCTATGCTGTGTGCAGCCTAGGGATTTGGTGCCCTATGTCCCAGATGTTTCAGCTATGGTGTAAGGAGCCAACATAGAGCTCAGGACAAGGCTTTAGAGGGTGCAAGCCCCAAGCCTTGACAGCTTCCATGTGGGGTTGAGCCTGTGGGTGCACAGAAGTCTAAGAAATGGGCTTTGGGAACCTCTGTCTGGATTTCAGATTTATGGAAATGCCTGGATGCCCAGCAGAAGATTGCTGCAGTGGCGGGGCCCTCATGGAGATCCTCTGCTAGGGCAGTGTGGAAGGGAAATGTGGGGTTGGCGCTCCCATGCAGAGTCTGCACTGGGGTACTGCCTAGTGGAGTTGTGAGAAGAGGGTCACCATCCTCCAGACCCCAGAATGGTAGATCCACCGACAGCTTGCACTGTGTGCCTGGAAAAGCTGCAGACACTCAACATTAGCCCACGAAAGCAGCTGGGAGGGAGGCTGTACCCTGCAAAGCCACAGAGGTGGAGCTGTCCAAGACCACGGCAACCAACCTCATGACTGGCCATCATGGTGAAACCCCTGGTCTACTAAAAATACAAAAATTAGCCAGGCATGGTGGCTCTTGCCTGTAGTCCCAGCTGCTTGGGAGGCTGAGGCAGGAGAATCACTTAAACCTGGGAGGCAGAGGTTGCAGTGAGTCAAGATTGCAACACTTTACTCCAGTCTGGGCAGTAGAGTGAGACTGTCTGAAAAAAAAAAAAAAAATAAGCCTATTTCAATAACCCAAGACTTATTTGAAATGGCCTAGGAAATACCAACTTAGCTAATAAGAATATATTTAGAGCTTTTACATCACACTTTAAGGAAAGAATTGATTCTTCATGTTTATGAAATATTTATCACATGAATTCGTAGGCTAGAGACTACACACAAGAGAGTAGCAGTCATACAATACACTTTAATTTGTTTTGTGAAACTATCGTTTGATCAAATGCTTTCTTAGGATTCTGCCAATATGTGTGACCCTGTTTTAATCTTTTTCATTGTGTCTACCTGTAGTGAACAGTGGAAAAATCCAAGTGGAATGAGAGTAAAAGGCAGCTCACTTTGAGCTGCCTGTTGGAAAGGCATGATTGGTTTTAAGATGTGATGAGATTTGGAGGGACCAGAGGTGAAATGATATGGTTTGGCTCTGTGTCCCCACCCAAATCTCATCTTGCAGCTCCCATAATTCCCATATATTATGGGAGGGACCTGGTGGGAGATGATTGAATCACGGGGGCGAGTCTTTCTTGTGCTGTTCTCGTAATAGTGAATAAGCCTCACGATATCTGATAGTTTTAAAAATGGGAGTTTCCCTCCCCAAGCTCTCTTCTCTTGTCTGCTGCCATGCGAGATGTGCCTTTCACCTTCAGCCATGATTGTGAGGCCTCCCAACCACGTGGAACTGTAAGTCCAATAAACCTCTTTCCTTTGTAAATTGCCCTGTCTCGAGTATGTCTTTGTCAGCAGTGTGAAAACGGATTAATACACCCATATATGATGAATAATGCTTCATGTGGCATTCTTCATAATTGTTCATAACACTTATTCTTAATTGTAAACATTAATTTACACATAAAACTAAAGAGCTATGAAAACTTCAGGTGACTAAATATATTCCTTGGTATCTGACCAAACTGGTCTATAGGATAAGCATCTGCCCAAAGAAGAGCTAAGAAAGAAGGCTCATTCTTGTGGAGTGAGTACCCCTGGAGATTCAACTTCACAATAAGGAAAGTGAGCTGCCTTTTACTCTCATTCCACTTGGATTTTTCCACTGTTCACTACAGGTAGACACAATGAAAAAGATTAAAACAGGGTCACACATATTGGCAGAATCCTAAGAAAGCATTTGATCAAACGATACTTTCACAAAATAAATTAAAGTGTATTGTATGACTGCTACTCTCTTGTGTGTAGTCTCTAGCCTAGGAATTCATGTGATAAATATTTCATAATCATGAAGAATCAACTCTTTCCTTAAAGTGTGATTTAAAAGCTCTAAATATCATTCATATTAGCTAAATTGGTATTTCCTAGGCCATTTCAAATAAGTCTTGGGTTACTGAAGTAGGCTTTTTTTTTTTTTCAGACAGTCTCACTCTACTGCCCAGACTGGAGTACAGTGTTGCAATCTTGACTCACTGCAACCTCTGCCTCCCAGGTTTAAGTGATTCTCCTGCCTCAGCCTCCAAAGCAGCTGGGAATACAGGTATGAGTCACCATGCCTGGCTAATTTTTGTATTTTTAGTAGACCAGGGGTTTCACCATGATGGCCAGTCTGTTCTCAAAGTCCTGGCCTCAAATAATCTGCCCAACTCAGCCTCCCAAAGTGCTGGGATTACAGGCATGAGCCACTGTGCCCAGCCTGAAGTAGTCTTTTTTATGTCTGGAAAGTTCACATATGCCTCAACTCCACTAACACATTCTTAGCTCTAAACTCTCCTATCTATTCAACTCCCAAGGGACTTTTCATGCTTGAGGTTGATGAAGCCCAACTTCTATGTACATCAGCATGCGTTAGGCCAAGTACAGTTTTATATTTTAAACTGTAATTTCAGAGTATTATTTTCAGAGCTCTGAAAAAAAGCTCAATAGCATTTGTATCATGATCCTACTTCATCATGTAATACCACAGAGTCCTAATAACCTGGAGACTTGCCACTATGCTAGACAGAGCTACTCTGGAGAAGTTTCCATGTGTCTACAGGCAGGTGAATAAGCCTTAGGATGAACATAGACTTTGAGATGGATCCAGGAATTCTATATTTGTAATGCTTGTGATGCAGTTCGACCAACAGACAGTTGTAGTCTGATATATCACCTCCTTTTCCTGTTACTTGGTTTTTAGTACCATCCCTGGTGGCCTGAATGATCATTAGTGCTTATGTAGCTAGGTGAGGTGGAATTGCACATGCTCAGTGGAAGAGTACTTTCCTTAATGTCAAGTGTGATTGTCTAGGTTGTTCCTTGAACTAGCTCTTCTAGGTGAAAAAATTGTCTCCAGAATATTTGAAAAGGCTACTTGAATTCTGTTTATATGTGTTTTAGTCCCTATATCTCAAGAAGTGAAATGGGGATTTCCTATCCTTAAAATTCAATAATAAAGATGTAAACTACTTTGCCAGGCAAACAATATGGGATCTCAGAAAACAGCTACATGTTGTGCGGCAAGTCTATTTTATTTTAAGAGATAAGGAACTGTGGATCACATCTTAAGGAAAGTTTTCTGTTAAAAGAGGAATGAATATTACATTGCAAATAGACAGATTTATGGAAGTTGATGAACTGAAAAAGTGCATGTGAAGGACATCTATGTATCACAAATTCACTCAGGAAAGTCTTTTGTTTTTCTTGTGCACTGACTCAGAATATCAACTGGCAGAGTGAAAACGATTTCGCAAAATTTTCAATGTGTCGAAAAAGGCAAATATATTAAAGAAATATTCTAAAGCCTACAAAACAGTAATACTATGTATATGACAATATTTGTCACTTCAATTTTTTATATTTATTAATCTAATCTGATGCTATCCCTATTAGATATAGGAAGATACTCAGAATGATCAACTAATTAAACTCAGAGCTGGGACTTAGTGTATTTATGCTCTGACCATACCACTCTGAAATCATGCAGTCAAAATGCATACTGTTTAATGAGTTTAAATTCAGAAATAAGCTTTATCATAAAATGTAGGAAGAAATATAGGATGCATGATGCTGTGTTTCATGATTTAGTCCTCTTTCTTCTCCACCCCACCCATATCTAGGTGTGGCAATTTCTTCCTCAAGTGTTTACAAAAGGAAAGTTGCACTTTTCAGAAACTTATTAGCTGTGCTATCTTAGTCAACCTTCAATTTATCAAAAGCAGGTAACAGTAATCTTTAATTTGATACACATGTGAAAAACATAGATGGCATTCAATAAGTAGAAAAAGTAGTGTATTTATTTCCTGTTGCTATTTCAGTGTTCTAGCAAATTACCAAAACTTATATTACTTTATTACTTTATAATCTTTTTACTTTATAATATTATATTACTTTATTATCTTTTGTAGTCCAGAATCTGAAACAGGTCTCAATGGGCTAAAATCAAGGAATCAGAAGGGCTGCATTCCTTCTGGAGGCCATAGGGGAGACTTCCTTTTTTTTAACTTTTCCAGCTTCTAGAAGTTCCCCACATCTCTTGATGGGTGGCCCTCTTCCACTATCTTCAAAGCCAGCCACAGTGGGCTGAGTCCTCATGCTACCATCATTCTGTTCCTTCTCACCTGTCTCCTTCTTTCACTTATAAAGACCTTTATAATTACATTGAGCCCTTTTGGATAATTTAGGAAAACTTTCAATTTCCAGAACAGCTAAATACTTAATTTCATCTGTGACATGCATTCTCCTTTGCCATGTAAAGTAAAATTTCAACACATTCCAGTGATTCGGACATGGACATCTTTGGGACCAATATTCTGCCTACCACACCATTTCTTCTTGCTCTGTCAATTCGGAGTTCCCTTGTTAATGGTACCCTGCCTGCTAGTGGGCATGTATGCACATCTCAGCCCGGCCCTGACCAGTCTAAGAAGAATCTTGAGTCTCTCTTTTTCTTCTTCCAACCCCAGAAAACCACATCTGAGCTAATGTTACTGTCTGTTCCACTCCTTCTAGGACCAACCCTATTACTTAGGTGACCAGGACTTCTCCCACACCATCCTGAATCCACTGGAAGTTTTCATTCCAGAAAAATTCATTGAAGTAGCATTATAATTCAAAATTTGTAATATAGGTATAAGAATTTTGATATAAAGAAACATAGCCTTAACTCTACAGAAGTACTTATAAAGCTATATCCACAAAGCGTAACAGAAAGGAAAAGACAAAGATTTCCAGTATATATCCTAGAGTATATATATCCTATATACTACTAATGCCCCATTTGAGATTAAAATATTATGAATAAGTTCCTTTTCTTTGCCTAGAAAAATAACTTTCATGTCTATAATAAGGAAAATCATTTGAGTTATGTCTAGTGATACTTAATGATCAATAGTAACATTCAGCACTTATGCAGTGATTTTTATTTTCAAGCTGCTCTACTGACATTCATCAAATTCAAGATACTCTGACTCTTTAAAGATGAATCAACTGAAAAAAAAGTTGGAGCTGGTGTCTCTGGAGTCCAGAGTATGGTATGTTTTGTGGTGGCAGGGATTATGAAAACCAAATGATAACAGATGACTAGATGGAGAGAAAGATTTTACATATATGATTAAAGTAATGTGGAAAGATTGTGATGCAAACATAAAACATTTTTAAAAATACTTCTGCTCCAACCATTAGAATATAATTCACTATTTCCTTTTAGATTCGGTTTTATAAATATAAAGCCATTAATTAATTTTTTTCTTTCTTTAGTTCACTCATTCATTTATTAATTATGAGGTAAGCACTAGGAGTACAAAGGTGAATGGCAGAATTCTTGGTTGGAGGAGTTAGTTCTTACTCTGGTGGAGAAGACAGGCATAAAGCAAATAATTATAATAAAATATTATATATGCTATAGTAAATGGGTGTCCAAAGAGCCAAAGGAACACAGAATAAAGGTGTTTAACCTCTGCCTGAGAAGACAAGCATATTCAAGGCACCTTTACAAAGAGGCTGCTGTTGAACACTATTCTCAAGCCATGGTCAAAGGTATTCCAGAAGAAAAAGGTGGGGGCAGAACAATGAAAGCTAAAGGTAGAACAAAGCATTTCCATAAGCCATGCAGTATCTGATGTGCCTCTGAAATAAATGCCTTAAAAATGGAGATAGCCTCTGCCTTACAAGGATGATGGATTGACTTGGGATTTTTTGACTTTACAGTGGGCAAAAGCAACAAGCATTCATAGAAAGTGTACTTTGAGTACCTATACAACCATTATGTTTTTCATTTATAGTATAGACACTCAATAAATTACAAGATATTCAATACTTTATTATAAAATAAACTTTGTCTTAGGTTATTTTGCCTAATTGTAGGGTAATTTAAGTGTCTAATGTGAGCACATTTAAGGGAGGCTAGGATAAGTTATACCACTCAGTAGGTTCGGTTCAGTGTATTAAATGCATTTTTGACTTTCAATATATTCAATTTACAATGGGTTTATCAGGACATAACCCCAACACAAGTGAAGTAGCATCTATATTCAATTTTAGTTTCACCAAATTTAAATCCACTTTCAAGTCTTTTTCTTAATTGCACAAGTTGTAGAAGCAACATTATGTAGTAGGAGATATTCAGACTGTTGGGCCAGACCATTTTGTTTCAAATCCTGGCTCTGCCATTTATACTGAAATGTGACCCTGAGCAACATCCTTAAACTCTGTGCCTCGGTTTCCCCTCTGTAAAATCAGGAAAATAATAGAAACTTTAGTTGTTGTTTTGGTAATGAAATGAGTTAATATGTATAAGGCATTTAAATCCATGCCTGGTGCTCTCTGTCACACACACACACACACACGCACACACGTATGCCCATGTATACATATGCACATACATATATATTGGTACATACATACATATGGACATGTTTGGTCTTATATAATGATATGAAAATGATGTTTATAAAGGGAGAGCTTGGAAATGAAGTGTCCGATATTATAGGATAATAAAAGTACATGTTGATATATCAAAAAAATAAAATACTACATGCCCATAAAATAGTGTATATCCAAGATGTATTGATATAAAAATCTGATCACAATACTTTATGTAGGAAAAAATCATGTGTATGTATAATGGGATTTTAGTTAATAACATGAAATTTATATTTATTCATTGAATCAACAAATATTTTGAGATTTTCCAAGTGTATGAAATGCTTGTGTAGCTATGCATATAAATCATGTATGTGTACAGCTGTGTGTATGGAAACATACAATATTAAATCCATATATCTAAGTTACCTCTGAATGGTGAAATATTGGTTATTTAAACATTATTGCTATTCTAAATTTTCTAAATATTTTAGCCAACAAACTCAAATTATCTGTGTTAAAAACAGATTTTCTCCGTGTGTGTGTGGGTTTGTGTGTCCACCCACAATAGGTAATACATTTTACATCTTCTACCACATACATACTGAAACAAAACATCAAGAAGCAATGGTTAACTTTATTATGTGTGCCATAACCTGCTCTGTTCTGTTCTATTTTATTATATTTGATTATATAATGCTGGCCTAGACCTACTGAATTGATTTTCCAACCTAAAAATGGGCAGGCCAAGAATTGGAGTTTGTATAACTCCAGTGTAGAACACATATGGTGGAATGTGCCTCACAAGGAGAAAAGAAAAGCAAGATGCACGTGGTTAAAGACTTCGGAATTTACCTTGCAGGTACTGGGAAACCATTAAAGGATTTATTTCTTGCTTAAAGAAGTTTCATAAACAGCATTATTCTTTAAAAATGCCTGGTCGGGTTTGGAGCTGTTTTGATCTTGCTCTGTAATGAGAGTGGGGAGGTAGTGGGGGTGAGGGTGGGACTCTGGCTGAGGGTAGGGAGCAAGACAGAAGGTATTGCAGTGAGCAGGTGGAGATGGCATGGATGTGAACTCAAACTGTGGCCAAAGGGATTTAGAGGAGGGACCTTGTGTTAATATTTTTAAAATTAGTATCTAAAGGACAATCATTTGTGTGAAGTGAAGAACAAAGTAGGTCAATTCTGCTTAAGTCTTCACACTGACCAAGAGAACTTGTTGGATGGATATGTTACAATCATTGAAAGCAGGGAAGAAAATCACCGTTTTGAAGCTAATGTGTTTGAATCCCTATGGAAGGTCTTACACAGCATCAGGTTACAGAGTCCAATTGTGGGCTTTCTCTGTCCTTTGATTTAAGGCAAATTAAAATCTAGTGTGTATGGTTTGCCTGACGGTTGTGCACTTAAGTGACTCAAAGCAAGGAGTTTTGAAATTCCCTGCAGAGCTCAATACTAGGTTTGGAAGCTCTCTCCTCCCCGTCTGTCAGTGTGTGCATGGAGAAGTCAAGTGTTTTCTTAATGTACATTAAACTAAATATAATTAGAATAACTCAAACAATAGCTGCAGATTGGGTACATAACATCCTGTAGAGAAACCTAAAGCCTGCTAAAAATAACTTTTGGGTTATTCACTGTGAGAGATTATTTTAATCACTGCTTCTCTTATATCAACCCAGTTAGCTTAACTAAATATAAAGAGTTTCAAGCTATGGTGCTTAACTCTGGGAAATGAGGTTCTCATAACTAAGTATTTGAAATATTTCCTTTGGTGGTACATATTTAAAAAATAATCTTACATTTTACTAACAGGTTCTTGCCAAGGGAAGGGTTTTTATACTTGTTTTCAAGCAGCACTAAAGACACTGATATAGATATAAAATAAATCATGCCATAAAAATTTAGGGAGTGAATACTCTCATTCCTTCTCTTATACTAACACAATAATGCTTTAGGTAAGAATGTCACAAAAAATAGGCAAAAGGAAACAATCTGTCAATATTGCTCAAGGATATTGCTTGATCTCAAAGAGTGCGACTTCATCATTTGATTCAGCTTCTAAGTATCCTTCCTCTGCCAAAAATTGTCCCAAAACCTAACTCCTCTTCCTTCTAACTCCCATGCAAAAGGCACCCTTAAAAAATGCAGTTATAGTCCACAAATAGCTTAAGCCAGGAATAAGGCAGCCATTTTAGCAAAAGCCCAACTTGCCAATTTGTTACAGAACAGTGATTGGAGATTGAATTTCAACTCTCCAGTGGAGCCATAATGAACCTGAGAGCACTAAAGTTGAGCCCCTAGGATAGGTGACCCACACAATCCCACAAACAAGCTGGCAGGAACACAGCTACCATGACATTTAAGACTCCCACAGTGGTTTTACGTAAATGGCAACCCAGCATGAGACGACAGGAGACAGGGTTACGGGCCAAAAGTTTCTCTAAGAACCTTTTCTCATGTTTATTTGTGATAGAGACCACCTGCAAGGAGTTCTTCTTTTAAAAAGTCTCTTTAAAGTACACATTTTCAGCAAGAACTAGATATTTCATTTGGAAACGAAATTAAATGTTTCCTCTTTAGAAAATAATATATAGAAAAAAACCCCTTGTACGTGTGAAAGTACTTATGCTATAGATAAGTGACTCTCATTTGAAAATCAACATGTACAAGAAACGCTTAAGTAACACACAGTTGATGGTGTTAAAGTAGGTTAACACCATCAACTACTTATCTTTCTTTTTGCCTTTTTTCTGCTACCCTAAATTAAATACGTAGCAGCTTCTTGAGTACTCTATTTCTGTTCATATCCTGGGAAAGGTAAACCATTGACAGTTGCAGTAAACCACTGACAGTAGAATGTGTCCTTGGTTGTAGAACTAATGAAAACGTTAGAAAAAGATAGAAGTATTTCTGCTGTAACCTTGCATTTTATTTTTTTCTTCTTCACATTTATCATTAATGAAAAGCTGTGACCTAACCTGGTGAAACGGTCTTCGTCAACTTTATGTGGGTGTTTTTACTCTTCAACATCTCAAGGGACAAACACTTTTAAACAACTCTCAAGGGACACTCATTTCTTTTCATCATGCTCTCATACTCTGTGGACATTGGAATGTTTCTTGAAGGACCAGGAAAGTTTGAAAGTTTGATTAGCCTCTTAATTTTCAAGGTTTTTAAAGAATATATGTGTATAAAGAGGCTAAATAAAACAGAAGCTATCAAATGCTCTGTCTCCTGGCTTCTCTGCTAGTGACAGGGATCTAAGTGTTAAGTCCTTGACCTCTGATGCAGGTGGTCATATGGAGATACACTGTCAACACCCTGAGCTTTCATCTCAGCCACACCCTCATTCTTGCTTCCAGGAAGAATCCATATTTGTAAGTTTCTTTATAGGAATAATGACTTTTCTGATGATTTTATAGGCAATAAATGTAATTAATCACTATTCCACACTTTAGCTGAAAGTGTTAACATTACAAAAACACATATTTACAATGCTATGACCTATGTTTCAACAAGCCCCATATTTTAAAGTAAAATAAAGACTCATGTTTTTACAAATCTATTTCCATTTCTGATAAAGCTAGGGGAAGTGTTAGTATTTGCCCATCATTATTTTGTGGTTGGCATTATGTACAGTATCTCATTAATCCTAATTTAGAAACTCTATGAAGTGAGTATTTTTGCCCTAATTTTACAGAGATTTGAAGAAACACCTACCACAATGAAGAAACACAACTAGTGATTATTGGAACGAACGTGAGGACCTCCTTCAGATTTTTACACCACAGTATGGCCTCTCCCCGAAGCTTTAGAGTAATTCCTACATTGCTTAAATATTTTATTAAACACATGTGGAGTTTATAAAGTGGTATACAGACAACTTTTTATTTGTGCCTCATTCATGGATTTTTAAATCTGCAGTAGCAAGTTTATAGGAATAAACTCAACAAAATACAGAGAAGACTTCCACCTGCAGGAAGATGTAGTAGACATGCTTTTCTATAGTCCTCTTGCTAAGTACATCCAAAAACTTTAACCATCATGTATACAATAAACACAAAATAACTCTAAAAAGTGGAGAGAAGATGGCAAAACATCCAGCTACCTGAGGAATCATGAGGTGATGATTTCCCTGGGTTTTCTTTTTGCTGCATATAACTCACATTTGGAAGAGGTAAAATTGGTAACTCAGAAATGTCAATGAGTGCAAACAAAAAAGCCCCTCACCTCCATATCCTTCTCTCTTTAGCCAAAGGAGCAGGAAAAGGGCAGCCTAGCAAGAGAGAAAACTTTTAGACAATAACCATTATACTCTAGTCAAACACCACATACAAACTGGCTTGAAACAAATGGGAGATTAAAGATCTTCAACAAAAAATAAAAAGTCTCAGCTAAGAAATGGGAGATATAAAGAAGAATAAAAAATTGTAGAACTTGAAAATATGATAAATGAAATTAAAAGCTCAGTAGATAGGATCTACAACAGAAAGGAGAGGAGAGAGAAAAGATTCCGTGATGGCTCACCCCTGTAATCCCAGCATTTTGGGAGGCCGAGACGGGTGTATTACCTGAGGTCAGGAGTTCAGGGTCAGCCTGGCCACCATGGTGAAACCCCATCTCTACTAAAAAATATAAAAATTAGCCAGGCGTGGTGGTGGGTGCCTGTAATCTCAGCTACTTGGGAGGCTGAGGCAGGAGAATTGCTTGAACCCAGGAGGCGGAGGTTGTAGTGAGCTGAGATGATGCCATTGCACTACAGCCTGGGTGACAAGAGAGAAACTTCGTCTCAAAAAAAAAAAAAAAAAAAAAAAAAGAAAAGAAAAAAGATTCAGTGAACTGGAAAATGAAATAATAAAAATTATGCATATGAATAATATACAGAAAATAGGCTGAAAAAAATGAACAAAGACTGAAAGTCCTGTGGTATTATAACAAAATATCTGACATTTAAGTCACTAGAATACTGGAAAGAGAGGAGACAGGGTAAGGCTAAAAAATACCTGAGGAAATAATGGCTGAAAACTCCCCAAATTTAGCAAGAGAAATAAACCTACAGATGCAAGAAGATGAGTAAATCTTGACAAGAATAAACCCAAATAAATTCATGGCAAGCTATATCGTAATTAAACTTCAGAAATTTAAACACAGATAAATTTATATTGATAGCAGCCAAAGACAATAGCTTACTTGCAGAAGAAACAATATGAATGACAAAATATTTATTGTAGAAATTACAAAAGCCAGAATGAAAAGCAAAATATTTCTCAAATCCTTGCTAAAAACATAAAACTGTTTACCAAGTATCCTATATTCTGCAAAAATAACCTTTAGGAATGAGTAGAAATCAGGACAGTCTCAGATAAAGAAAAACTTGTTCTTGACAAAATTTGTTGCCAGCAGACTTACCCTGAAGAAAAGGCTAAAGAGAGTTCTCAAAATAGAAATAAAATGATCAAATAAGAAATTTTGAAGCAACAGGACACCAGAAAGAATTACAGATATGGGTAAATACAGTAGGTTTTCTTTCTCCTCTTGAGCTTTCTAAATTATATGTTATGGTGGAAGCAAAATTGATAATGCCATCTGTTGTGGTACCAAATATATGTGAAGAAAATATTTAAAACAATTATATTATAAAAATGAGGAAGCAAAGAGATGTAAAGAAACATAAGGTATTTATACTATCCCTGAAATGGTAAAACAATAACACTGAAAGACTCTTATATGTATGCCACCCTGAGAGAAACCACTAAAAAAGCTATGCATGGAGATACACTCAAAATCACTATAGATATATTAAAATGGCAATCTAAAAAATGTCCAAGTAACCTAAAGGAAGGCAGGGAAAGAAAGGAGAGAAATTTTACAAATGAGAAAAAACAGAAAGTGAAAACTAAAATGTTAGGCTTTTGTCTTAATATGTTGAGAATCACATGAAATATAAATGGCCTAAATAAATCAATAAAACAATTGTCAGAGTAGATTAAAAAACACATCTGTATGTTATCTACAAAAAACTCACTTCAAATAAATTATATAGGCAGGTTAAAATTCAAAGGCTAAAAATGAGTGTATTATGGAAACCTCAATCAAAGGACAGCCAAAGTGGCTATATTAATATAAAAAAAAGTATACTACAGCACAAAGAAAATTACCAATATAATCAAACAACTAGATCCCATTGCTTCTGCTACCCAGAAGCAGTAGAAAACATATTCTTTTCAATTTCTATAAAATATATCAGATAGACCATATTTGGAGGCATAATCAAATTTCAACAAATTAAAAAGAATTGAAACTGGCAGTTTGTTCTTTGACCAAAATGGACTCAAACTGGAAATTAATAGCAGAAACACAAGAAACTCTCTCAAACTTTGAAACTAAACAACACACTTCTAATTAAGCTATCTTCAAATAAAAAGTCTCTATAGGAAGAAAAACACCTGGAACTGTATGAAAGCAAAAACAACATGCCAATGTTTGTGGGACACAGCTTAAACATGTTGAGAGGGAAATTTAAAGGATAAAATTAATGCATATATTAGAAAAAGAAAAAGTTCAAATCAGTAATCTGGGCTCCCACCTGAAAAACCTAGAAAAAGAACAAAATAAACCCAAGTGTGCAGGAGAAAGGAAATGGTAGAGATAAGGAGAAATCAATGAATTTGAAAACAAAAAAACAATAGAGAAAATTAATCAAAAGGATACCACCAGTAATATGTTTGTTGAGACTTGTCTTATGAATCATAATGTTAGCAATTTTCATAATTGTTCTATAACTGACTTTTAAAATGTGCATTTTTGCCCATGGATGGGTAGACTCAATATTGTGAAAATGGCCGTACTGCCAAAAGAAATCTACAAATTCAATGCAATTCCCATCAAAATACTACCATCATTCTTCACATAACTAGAAAAAGAAATCCTAAAATTCATATGGAACCAAAAAAGAGCCCTCACAGACAAAGCAAGACTAACCAAAAAGAACAAATCTGGAGGCATCACATTACCTGATTTCAAGCTATACTATAAGGCCATAGTCACTGAAACAGCATGGTAGTGGTATAAAAACAGGCACATAGACCAATGAAACAGAATAGAGAACCCAGAAACAAACCCAAATACTTAAAGCCAAATGACCTTTGACAAAGCAAACAACAGCATAAAGTGGGGAAAGGACACCCTATTCAACAAGTTGTGCTGGGATGAATGGCAAGCCACATGGAAGAGAATGAAACTGGATCCTCCTCTCTCACCTTACACAAAAATCAACTCAAGATGGGTCAAGGACTTAAATCTAAGACCTGAAACTATAAAAATTCTGGAAGATAGCATTGGAAAAACACTTCTAGACATTGACTTAGGCAAGGATTTCACGACCAAGAACTCAAAAGCAAATGCAATAAAAACAAAGAAAAATAGCTGGGACTTAATTAAACTAAAGAGCTTTTGCACAGCAAAAGGAACAGTCAGCAGAGCAAACAGACAACCCACAGTGTGGGAGAAAATATTCACAATCTATACATCCAACAAAGGACTAATATCCAGAATGTACAACGAACTCAAACAAAATAGCAAGACATAAACAAACAATTCCATCAAAAAGCAGGCTAAGAACATGAATAGACAACCCACAAAAGAAGATATACAAATGGTCAACAAACATATGAAAACTGCTCAACATCACTAATGATCAGGGAAATGCAAAACAAAACCACAATGCAATACCACCTTACTCCTGCTAGAATGGCCATAATCAAAAAATCAAAAACCAGTAGATGCTGGCGTGGATGTGGTAAACAGGGAACACTTCTACACTGCTGGTGGGAATGTAAACTAGTACAACCACTTTAGAAAACAGTGTGAACATTTTTTTTTAAGAGCTAAAAGTAGAACTGCTATTTGATCCAGCAATCCCATTACAGGGTATCTACCTAAAGGAAAATAATTCATCATATGAAAAAGATACTTGTACATGCATGTTTATAGCAGCACAATTCACAACTGCAACAATGTAGAACCAACCCAAATGCCCATCAACCAACAAGTGAATAAAGAAACTGTGGTATATATACATGATGCAATACTACTCAGCCATAAAAATGAATTAATGGCATTCACAGCAACCTGGATGAGACTGGAGACTATTGCTCTAAGTGAAGTAACTCAGGAATGGAAAACCAAACATCATATGTTCTCACTCATAAGTGGGAGCTAAGCTATGAGTATGTAGAGGCATAACAATGACACAGTGGACTTTAGGGAAAGGATGGGAAGGGAATGAGGTACAGTGTATACTGCTCAGGTGATGGGTGCACCAAAATCTCACAAATCGCCACTAAGAACTTACTCATGTAACCAAACACGAACTGTTCCTCAATAACCTACCGAAATAAAAAAAAATTTAAAAGTATATTTTGCAACTTTTAAGTTAAATATAAATATATCTTTTACATACTTTCACTTTAGTTGATCTCTCAAGCACTAAACCATGTGTGTTAAAATAGTCCAATAGGATGGTGGGTTTTTACGTTATCTTTTAGCTCTTAAGATTTTTGCTTTATATATTTGATGCCACTTTTTAGATTAATATAAGTTCAAAATGGCTATACTTTTTGACAAATTTAATATTTTATTATAATATTTATCCATTATAATGTTTTTTTGCCTTAAATTCTATTATATCTGGCATAGCTATATCACCTTGCTTTGCTTTAGTATTTGATTAATACCACTTTTTCATACTTTCAATTGCATACTTTCTATATTCCTATATATTATATAGCTGGACTTATTTTTCAGTCTCACCTGAGAATCTTTGTCTTTTAAGTCAACTCTTTTGTATAATTACATTTATTGAGTTGTGATATATTTAGTTGTGTTTCTATTATCCTAGTTTCAATTTTATTAATAATTTCTAGGCTCCTTTTTTCTACTTTATGTCCTTCTTTTGAGTTGATCAGTTTTTTCCATTTTCATTTTTTCCTTTGTTTCAAATATATATGAGTTATTTACTGTTTTTAGTTACCCTACAAAAGGTAGCATACATATATGTTATCAATGTTTGAAGTTAATCATTATCTTTTACTTCTTCCAAAGACAATATAATCACCTTAGAACACCATAATTCCCCAAATAGGTATTTTCTAATGTATACTGTTCTATTGACATTATTAATATTATTTTATTCAGTCAATGTTAGTGTCTGGTTTACCAATATATATACACCACTTCCTTGTTCATCATTTCTTCTTGTCTCTCAGACTTTCTTTCTGAAAAATATTTTTCCTCCTAAAGAATATACTTTCCAATTTGTTAAATGAGAGTCTCTTGATGGAAAATATTTCCATTTTTTTTCACTTGAAGGTATGTTTATTTCACTGAAATACTTTTAGACATTTTCCATTAGGCACATTTTAATTTCTGTATATTAAAAATGTGCTTGATTCTCATGATGCTAGCAGGAAGTGACTATTTTCTTCTGGAGAAAATTTGTCCGTTTTCTTTTACTCTATCAGGTCTTAAAATATTTCTATGTTCTTGAAGTTTTGAAGATTGACTACAATATCTCTTTGTGTGGAATTTTAAAAAATGTATCTTTCTTGGTAATTTGCAGTCTTCCTGGAATTTGATGATTGTTGCTTTTCATTTGTTTTGAAAAATTCACAGCCATTTCCTCTTTAAACATTTACACTTATCCTAGTATATCTCTGTCTTTTTTTCCTACTAAACCTCCAGTAAGTAACAGAGAACTTCTCATTCTATTCCCATGTCTCTTAATTGCCTATACTTTCTAAATCTTATTTTTCTGTACTACTTTCTGTATAATATCCTTAGAAATATTTTCACACTCTTTTTTCTTCCATTCTTTTGAATCTGCTAACCCTATCCACTTAGTTTTCTTTAAAAAATACTATATCTTAGTTCTGTTAATTCTGTTTTGTTTCTTATTCAAATATGCTTAGTCATTTTACTCCTTCTTCATTTCAAAACTCTTTCATTTTTTAAGCATATTACCTTATACTTATTTAATATTCTATGTCAAATATATTTGTGGATTTAATTCAGCTATTTGTTTTTTCTATCACCTCACAAGTATGATACCTTGGTTCTTTATGTATTCTGAATTTTTTATTGTGAATTTAGTTCTTTGAAATTTTATCTTTGGGAGTTTTTATATTGCATATATTTAAGGTATACAACATGACATTGTGGCATACATATTCACAGTGAAATAATTACTACAGTCAAGCAAAATGACATATCCATCTTCTCACATAGCTAGGCATGTGTGTGTGTGTGTGTGTGTGTGTGTGTGTGTGTGTGTGTGTGTATAGATTCTGCCATTTGTGACAGCATAGATGAACCTGGAGGGCATTATGCCAAGTGAAAAGAGCCAAACAGGAAAAGAAAAATACTGCATAATCTCACTTATATTTAGAATTAATAAAAGCCACATACATACAAACAGAGAGTGAGTGATGGTTATCAGGGGTGGAAGTGGGGTGTGGGGAGATATAAGTCAAAGGGTTCAAAGTGGCAGTTATGTAGGATGAGTAAGTCTGGAAATCTAATGTGCAACACCAGGATTATTGTTAAGCATATCTTTGGAAAATTTTGTGATTTATTTTGAATTTAAATAATTTCAGGTAGGAATTTTATTTGTTTTTGGATTTTCATCTCTGTTTGCCTGATGCCTTGAGGTACCAATAGCCTAGTACCATTTAAAATAAATTATTGCTTATATGTTTTATTAATTATTCAAGTGATGTGAATTTAGTTTACAAATCCATGTAAAGAATAACTTATTTTCGTGAATATTCAGGAGAAATTTTTCTGTTTCTCCACTTAAAACCAAGACTGGAGGCAGACAATTTGATTTATTTTCTGGGGATGGGTTAGGTCTAGTTCAAATTTATTTTGAAGTTGTAGTTGTTTGGGGTTCCTGCTTCATTAAAAGATTCTTCTATTAGACTCCTAGCTTGAGTATTCCTTTAGGATTTGTCTCTTCTTTCTCATTCTTTGAATCTTGGAAACTGAAGCTCAAGTTCAGAACTAGTTAGTTTCTTGTTAGCTCACTGATGTAAGTAAAACTTTCTAAAAATAAAAATCTGATGTTTACAGTTGTTTTTAACAGTAGTGATGTACAGAAAAATTATTCTATCATGAGGCCATAAGTGTTCCAAAGATGTTTCTAATCTCAAGTAAGAGATTGCCTCTATTACATGTCCCTCTATGGAATTACAAAGAAAAGTATCTATTTTTTCAAGGTAGCAAAATTTCACTGATGTGCTTTATTAGGAAACTACTAACACAAGTCATCGCTGTATGTTGAGGTGAAGTAGGAAATGGCATGCATCTAGTTTTCCATCAAGAGATATTGTTTCCTAATGCTAAATATTGGAACAAGTAAAAGTAGAAATCCTCTCCTATAATAGTGATTAAAGTCTGAGTTTCCATCATTAAATTGTACATTTTTAGAAACTTATGGATAAGAATGTGTTCAGGGCCAGGTGTGGTGGCTCACACCTGTAATCCCAGCACTTTGGGAGGCTGAGGCGAGCAGATCACTTGAGGTCGGGTGTTCAAGACCAGCCTGGCCAACATAGTGAAACCCTGTCTCCAGTAGAAAATACAAAAATTAGCCGGGTGTGTTGGTGGGTGCCTGTAATCCCAGCTGTTCGGGAGGCTGAGGCAAGAGAATCGCTTGAACCCAGGAGGCAGAGGTGGCAGTGAGCCGAGATCGCGCCACTGTACTCCAGCCTGAGTGACAGAGCGAGATTCTGTCTCAAAAAAAAAAAAAAAGTGTTCAGTATAAAAATACAACATGCTCATTTTCATCGTGTAAACATTAGAGGGAAAAACTATTTGTACTGTAAGATGCAAGGTTTTAATAATCCAAGGCCTAGATCAGCTTCTATTTTTATAGCATAGCATATAAATAAGGAATGTAACAATGGTTTGCATATTGTGGCTGCACAATAAATCTGTATTAAATGACATTCATTTTTCTTCAGAGAAAGAAAAGACAAACTTTTTGAGAGAATTTGTAATGCAAATATTTAGTGGGCAATCTTGCTTTAAATCATAATAGATTTAGTAATAAATAAAGTGGGTATTGACACGAGTTGAATGAAATAAGGAGAATGGTTTGGCAAGCCAAGTGGAAGGGGTGAGTCCAGAGCTGGGAATTAAGTAGGTGAATAATGTGATGATTTTAATGATACATTTCTGCACTAGAGTGATAAAAATAGCAATATAAACTTTCCAAGCATACACAATGTCATTCTTCCCCAAATTGCTGAATTCTATGTAACTTTTACTTGGAAGGAGATTTGGGGCTTTTATTTCTTTGTCTCCACCACAACTACCACCATCTGTTTTTCTTCTTATAGCCATCTCTCCATGGCAACCCATATTGACTTACCAGCATGATTGCAATTGTATGGCCAACTTCATGTAACCCTGTGCTGCCAACCATGGATCCAGCAATTTTCTTTCTACCTCTGCTTTCAGAATCACCTTCTAGTGATTGTGTTGTTGCACATTAGGGCACACCACACACAGGGGAGAAGTGGCGTTTTTAATGAAAGGTGGCTTTTATCTCAGCAGCTTTCTCAGGGCCAGAACTTCTCCAGCAGTTCTTTTGTGAAAGTTAAGACCTGGCTGGCAACTGAAAGTGTACATACTTGTCAAGAGCATTAACTGAGATTTCAACATATCAAACCAGACAAAAGAGAAGCAGGAAAACTGGCATCAATCTCAGAAATGGCATGTTTCATTTTTCATTTGTTCCATGCAGTACCATTCAGGATACAGTTTAATAAGAATTGGATGCTCCTTCACTCATTAAATAGTGACATCCATAACAACAGGAGATGTGAATAGATTGTTCATTGAGATTGGACTTTCTTTCTCTTTATGGTTTAACTAAGAAGAATTTGGAAGTTTTGCATTATGACAGATCAACAGTGCAAAGAAATCATCAAACTCTCCATCGAGGGATTATCAGACTCATGCTGTGAATAGCTTGGCAAAATTATGAACTAGTATTTTTTCAGTGACGATCTGGAAGCAGAGTACTATTTTTCTTTTAACCAAGTTAACTAGAATAAATTTTCTTAAAATAAATGAGAAATGAGAACCATACTTGGAAATAAAACAAGAAACATTACAACTGATCATGATATGTAAATGTAGCTCAAACAATAATCAGTGAGGTCTTCACTGTCAACTTTCACAACAATTATATGTGTTGCACCGCAATATACAGAAGATGTGAAATTCAATAGTTATGTGTCTAGTAAATGAATTATGTCCTGGATCAAGGCATAAAGAACATAATGGAAAGGCCCACATTTTTAATGACTTTAATATTTTCCATGAAATTTGATCAAAAACATTTGCCAAGAAATGTGATCAAAGAGAAAAGTTTTCTACCTGAGTAAAAGTATAGCAAGTGTTTTCAAGAGCAATTAATCAAGCCAAAGAAGCAGGATAAGTAAAATGTAGATGGCCAGAAATATCTCTGATATGAAGGTTTGTCTACCAATATTCCAAGAATAAGATGTTTTGCATATTTCCCACCTGAGTCCTGCATCTAAAATTCTTTTGCTAAAACTACCAACAAAGTGACTGGTTGGTTTTTATAATGATATACCTCTGCTTTCTGTGCATGGGACCCATTACAAACTCATTTTCCAACGGTCTCAAAACAACTGTTCAAACAACATAGTGTTTTGTCCTCTCTGACCTCTGTGGGCTAAGTCAAAAGTTTGTAAGTCAGGGGCGAGCCCTATTCCAGCACCAAACATACAAACAATACAATATCAATTTCTCTCCATTTTAAAGATTCTTTCTTAGGTTTCTCTATTAAAATAATTACTAAGGCACTGGTAGGCATAATTCCTACAACTCCTTGAATTTCCCTCCTCATCATGTTCAATTGCACTGATGTTTCAAACTAAACCAGCTAGTTCTAAAAATCAAGACCAAAAACAAAACAAAAACTCTACTGCCGTATGACTGTTCAGATTACAGAAGTAGATCCTAAGAATGAAGTACAGGAGACTAGAGACTCCACTTTTACTCTTTCCTTCCCGCTGTTCCTCTTCATTCCCTCTTATCTACTTAGGAGAAGCACCATTAAAAAAAATTAATGTAGCTATAGAAATTGTATTCTTGAATTCCAGAATAACCACCTGATGGAAGTTTTCTCTCTTCGTATTATTATTCACTCTGTGACTTGTATAAGCAATACTTTATGTGTTTAGCTCTCTACTCTGCTTCAAGGCCTAAGTGTGATGCCAGGACCCATGCAAAGCCGTCATGTTAAGGAGACAGGCAAAGAATTCAGCCATACAAAAACTGCAGTGCAGTGGCAGAGAGGAGGAAGAGAGTGGCAGAGGTGATCTCAGGACCTCTTGGCAGATATCAATAGTTACAAAGTGCTCCTAGGACACCAGAGTTGGGATTTAGAAATATACTAGGAATTTGTATTATTCTCCTTGTGCCAGACAAAAACATATCTGAACTCTTCTTCTTGTACATACTCACTCTTCTTCCCATTTCCTATAACAAAGGAGATTCTGTTTCAAGAATCTATAAAATTCCTTAAAATTTGTAGCACCTCTAATTTTATTGGGTCACATTAAATACACTCAAGGCTTTTTATTTGCATGCAAATCCAATCTGCATTTTTGCTTTAGAGAGTTTTCCTTGAGAACTTTACTCTTTTAAACTCATTTCTACTCTCCATTTTTGGATAAACACTGTTTAATGTAACTGCGTCTCATTGTTCATAGAGAATGTCTCAAATTCCAAGTTCAATTCAGCCAATGCCAGTGATTTTCTAGGAACCTATAGGTCTCTGTTAAAGATTTAGAGAAACAACAACTGAAAACAACAACTCCCTCCCCCACCACACACACGCGCACACGCGCACAATCCCATAGAAATCATTACGTTCCTAAAAGAACTTAAAATCTAGTAAGGGTGATAAGTCTCCAAATGATAAAGCAGAATGACATATGAGAATCATACACCAAGTGCTGTCCTAGTTCAAAGAAGATGGAATTAAAGCTTCTAAGTGTTGTCATATTTATCAAAGGAAAAAAGGGGAGCAGGCATGAAAATAAAAAGGTAAACACCTTTTAAAGGCCATAGTTTGATGGCAAATAGCAAAGCAAAAGAGAAAGAGAAATGTTTCTTAACATAGCTACATGATTGACAGTGCTAGCAAAAGAGCAGTCAAATGTGGACCCATGTATTATAATTGTAAGAGTTTCTAATAACTTGGTCTCCATAACTAGTTTTTATCTCACTAATAGGATCCATTCATACTTTAATCCACATAGCCATTTTTTGAATAAACATACAAATAGCTACCCATGTCCAGTGATCTAGTAGGCCCTAGAGGTACAAGGTGAGCAAAGGGAGACTCAGTTTTTCTTTTCATGAGTATTGGGCTTCTCAAAGTGTAGAATAATGGCACAGTATACACGTTCAGGTATGCACGTGCATGTATTTGAATATGTAAATATCACCTTAGTAAGTTTGGAATAAAAATCAATTCTAAAACTTTTATCTAGCAAGGCAGATTATTTAAGAGAGAAAAAGAGTAGGAGATAGAGAAGAGAGAAAAACTGGCAGGGAAAAGAATGGGAGAAAGAATGTCCACTTGGATAAGAGAAGGATCAATAGGCTAGTGTAAGAAAAAGAGATTTATCTACTGCCATTAGCCAAACTATTCCTACAAGGACTCCTGTTGTCAAATTTCTAGGCAGACTATTTCTTTACTTCTCAGGTAAAAATGCAAAATTTAAAGTGATCCTATCAGCCACTAGCTGGTTTTATGGGAAAACCTTTTTAAATTTTTCAGTTTTAAGCAGAAAGATGAAAGGCCATACTTCTTATTGAGGCTAAATTTTACACAGTATGACAAGGAAAAAAAAATTTTAAATTAAACAAAAATAACCTAACTATGTGGAACAGGCCCCCCTCCGATCCCCCAAAAAAAGAAGTGCAGCAGAGAAAACAATTGGATTTAAAGATGTGAGCGTTTTGCTATACTTCGTTTAATAAGGTGAATTACTGACAGACTATTACTCATTTTACTGAGTGCCTGGGTGAGAAAATATTAAAATGTATAGGCAAAAGCTCTTTCTTAAGGACCCTGTGAGTTTCAGCAAATTTTAGGAAATACTATAGCGTTCACAGTAAAAGGAGAGCATGAACATAATCTAGAAAAAATTTATTCACTCTTAAAGTTAATTAAATGTTTTCAAAATTTGCTTCAATTTCTCTAGAGAGTCTTAGAGCAGGCTTTTGAAAGATTAAGCATGTGGAGGGAAGCAAGAATGATACCTAATGATGCTAAAATATTACTTATCATAGCTTCTTCTTTACCTGTAACTTACTGAAAACTGTAATATGAAAAAGGAATAATTTTATAAAGAAGTTAAATAATAATCAGTTCCATGACTAGCCTATGTTTTCATTTTTCAATGTTTCATTTTATTTGTTCATCATATATATATTTTCCATGTTTACAATTGTATATATATACTATTATATATATTTTTATAAACTATGTACATACATACATATAATTGTAAACATAAAAAGTACACTATTATATCCAGCTCTTTTTTACTTAACAAAATATAAAATTTCCATGTTAGAATTTTCACAATTTTTATTTTCTGACATTTTACTCCACTGGTTTGACGTGCCATAATTTGCTTTATTTGTTCCAATAAGGATTTTTTTTCCACTAACATTCATTGAGCACTTAAAGGTGCCCAGGACTCTGTGGTGCCTGGACAGAATGGAAAGCATCAGAGCTGGCTGTCAGTGCAGCGTAATGACCCCCGACACAGGGGGAGCCGTGGCTCTGTAAGGGCTATAGCCCCAGGCCCCTGGACAGGGGCAGACTGAGTCCTGACAGAGAAGTAATAGCTTGGAATCTAAAATATATTTGATCACCATTTCATCAACACTACCATTCTTAACACATGCTCCAAGTATTATATCTCTTGTTCAGTAAAATGTTAAGTATGTTTCAAACATTAAAATACTGAATATATTTTCAGTTCATTTATTAAAGTTCAACTCTAGCTAGTTGAAGTTGTGAGGAATGAAGGTATTTTCAGAAGAAATATAGATCACCTTTTTGTCACAGTAGAAATTGAATTTCTGTTCACTTGTGTGCAGGTAGGAGTCCAGGAGGGCATAAGAGTGGACAGGTTCTATGAGATGAACAAGGCAAGAGATTAGGAGCCAACAGAGGTTGCGTTTGTACCTTCAGCTAGAATTACAAGATTTAAAACATAAGGCCATGTGTACTCAAAGTACGGGCTGTGAACCAGCAGCATCCACATCAGTATCACCTGGGAGCTTGAGAGAAATGCAGAATCCTGTGTCTCATCAAGAAGTACAACATCTGACTCTGCTTTTTAATGTGGTCCCCAGGTGATGTTACGTGCATTCAAATTTGAGCAGCACTGTCTTAGAGGATGCCTTCATCTCCATAGCATGCCACATTGTGTGCCAATCAATATGGCAATGGGGAATAGTCAACCCAGGCTCTCCTCACAGCTTGAAGCCCAGTAACAGCTGACCCCAACACTTGATATCTAAATGCTGCTGGAAGTTGGAGGAGCAAATCTATCATGTTAAGACCATCACTGAGCTGGTGGGCAGAAGCCATTTTAAATAGTGGCCTTGAAATTCTACAAGTATTTTAAAGCAGACTCAAACAATGGCACTTTTTGAAATCACTGAAGCCCTGTAATATAGATTTCTAACCTCCTCACTCACCATCAGATTACTGGCCTTTGAGTTTTTCAGTTTGATCAGAAATAAATAAACAAGATGTAGCCCCTGACAGTCAACTTAAAACACCATAAGCAAGAACCTTATTTTTACTATTATTAATGATAGTCCTTTTTACACAAGGCTTCATCTAGTTATCTTTGCTTTCGGCAAACTCATATAGAAGAAAATTGAATGTCTGAGATTTGCAGAGCAGATGTGGTCCTATGTTAGTAACTGAGAAGGAGTTAAGAGAGACATGTACCAGTGGAGATCTCTCTAAGGACAGGGTTGAAATCACCATGATGCTAATGTAAGAAAATCCAGGCAGCTCACATAAAATACAGATCACTAGAGACACTCTCAAGTCATTAAAATTTATTTGATCATAGCAATTGCTGATGTCTTTTTTGGGCACAGTTGTAACTCATTAACAACTTCACCCTTGTCTGCCCTCCTCAAGTGAGTCTTTCAATCCATCTTTAGACCACAGATAGACAACAGTAATGAAAAGGATTGTCTCCTGTGTAGGCTCAGCTGCACCAGGTCTCCACAAATCCACTTTCCTCCCTGGCATCACACATGAGATAATAGAATATTCATTGTTCACATAAAACCATATGCTACCTTGGCACAAATCCCATCATTCAATATTTAAAGCTGTGCTGCTTTCTTGGCACCCTCTGTCAGAATCCCAGGGACAGCATTCTAAGTGTAAGGCAAGCCCTAAACATCTACAATTTTATTTCCTTTTCTTACACTTTCCAATATTTTTAAAGGTTATGTTTAAATAGAAGTGAAATCATAGAGAATAATTTATCCAGAGGCATTCCAGAAACTTCTGGTTTGAAATAGTGTCTGGTTTATACTCATGACATGGCCTTTCCAAATCCAAACAGTGATAATGATGAAGACACCAAAACAGTGAAAATTCACCAAAGTAATACACAAGCAATAGGCCATTTGAAGAACCTGGGAGAAGTAATTACTGCTATAACTGGACCAAAAAGCACAATGGGTGCCTACTTGTGCTTTGTTATTTAGAAACAAGCAAGCTTGCAATTATGAGTGTAGCTACTTACATGCCACCTCTTCCTACCACTTCAGCATCTCATTATGTGCTCCTGAGATCAGAAATGCAACAGCCATAGCAACTCTGAAACTGGCTTCTGCTTTTTTTTGGTAGCCAGTGTACTGCATTAGCTTTGTCCCCATAGGTGATTTTTCTTATATCTACTCTAATATCATGCCTAGGAAATGAATGAGATTGTAGTATGGATGGTGTAGTGAAAGTCTCTTGACTCTTTTCCTCAGATTCTGATACGAGCACACAAGGAACGCATTAACCTATTGTAGACAAAGGTAAGAATAAGACAAGCCCTGGAAGCAATGCATGCTGGGGAATGTAGCTTTTCATCTGCTATCCAGAATGTCAGACAACCAGCAGCAAGCAGTCAGTCTACTTGCAAAAGATCGTGTTTGGATAAATGCTCAAACTCACAGAAATGTATATTAAAATAAAAACCAGTATTTTTGTACTTCTCAGATTGGTAAATGTTTAAAGATTAACAATATTCAGTATTAGTAAGAGTTTGAAGAAACGGGCATGTTTATATATTTTTGTGACTTACACTGCCTTTTTGGAAAGCAATTGGACCTTCCATTAACATTTGTATATTTTTTGATTGAATAATTCTATTTCTAGGAATCTATTTGATTGAAAAATTTTTACATACCTATGCAAAATGGTTTATGTACACAGATACACACAGCAGTGTTTTGTGTAACAGTAAACAATGGAAAATAATTCTGGAAACAACTGACAAGTGTCTGTCAATTGGAGAGTTTTTACATAAATTATTGCACATCAATTCCATGCAGTCTTTAGAAAGAATGAGATCAATTTATATGCAGTGAGATAGAAGGTGTGCTGATTTATTTATTTATTTCATTATTTATTTATTTAGACAGTCTTGCTCTGTTGCTCAGGCTAGAGTGCAATGGTATGATCTCAGCTCACTGCAACCTCCACCTCCCAGGTTCAAGTAATTCTCCTACCTCAGCCTCCTGAGTAGCTGGGACACACCCTGCTAATTTTTGTATTTTTAGTAGAGATGAGGTTTTGCCATGCTGACTGGGCTGGTCTTGAACTCCTGGCCTCAAATGATCCACCAACTTCAAGCCTCCCAAAGTGTTGGGATTACAGGCATGAGCCACCATGCCCAGTGGAAGAGGTGCTCATTTAAAATGACCAAATTTAAAAGGCAAGTTGTGGAATAGGATGTATGCTATAATTGTATTTATGTCAGTAAATTTAAAGTTTGGTGCATACATACATTTAGGTTAGTGTGTATAATAGGCATTGTATTTTTGGATCTTAGGAAATATGTATAGCTGACCCTTAAACAACATGGGTTTGAGCTGCATGGGTTCAATTTTATGTGAATTTCCTTTCAACTCAGTTCCCAAGACAGCCAGACCAACTCCTCCTCTTCTTCCTCCTCCTCAGCCTATGAGGCTGAAGAACTTTATGATGATTCACTTCCACTTAGTAAACAGCAATTATATTTTATCTTCCTTATGATTTTCTTAATAATATTCTCTTTTCTCCAGTTTATTTTATTGTAAGAATACAATATATAATACATATAACGTACAAAATATGTGTTAAATGACTATTTCATTGTTAAGCCTTCCATCAACAATAGGCTATTAGTAATTACTTAATATGTTTTAGGAGAGTCAAAAGTTATATGCAAATTTTTAGCTGCAAGGGGAATCAGTGCCCCATGTTGTTCAAGGATTGTTTGTACTTTATACAAATATTGTAAACACTTAGAAGGATGTCTGGGAAAATATAAAACAAACTTTAAAGAGGCTATACTTTGAAGAACTTTAGGGGATAATAGGGCTGAAAGGGGAATCTAAATTATTTATGCTATATAAATCTGTGTTATCTATAGTTTTTAAAATAAGCATTTACTACTTTTTTGATTAAAAATGAAAAATGAGGCCTTAAAGAAATATGTAAATATAAAGTTTTAAAGTGTTTGTATCTGAGTAGTAAAATTCTGGGTTTAAATGTCTTATATAGTTGTGTATTTTTCAAATTTTCTATAGTAAACATGTATTATTGCAATCACAAAAATTATCTTTTAAAAATAGCATGTTTAATTTTGTTTCTATTCTCATAGAAAGAAGATAAAATAAGTTGAAAAAAATACACAAGTCTGGATTCAGTGGCTCACAGCTGTAATCCCAGCACTTTGGGAGTCTGAGGCAGGAGGATTGCTTGAGCCCAGGGGTTTCAGACCAGCCTGGGCAACATGGTGAGACTATGTCTGTACAAAAAATACTAAAAATTAGCCAGATGTGGCAGTGTGCACCTGTAGTTCTGGCTACTTGGGAGGCTGAGGTGGGAGGATCTCTTGAGCCCCGGAGGCAGAGGTCGCAGTGAGCTATAATTGCACCACTGTACTCCAGCCTGGGTAATAGAGTGAGAACTTGTCTCAAAATAAATAAATAAATACAGTTACACAAAATTAGCAGCAATTCCCTTTGATTAATGGGACTCTAGATAATGTCTTTGACATTTCTCTTATTTTACTCCAGTTAAAAATTTTCTGTAAGTTTTACTTTTTGCACTGATAAAAAAATAAAAATAAGACATAATATAACAACCTTACAAACCCTTGGGAGAAGAAGCATAACAGTTATATTTTACCAAACATCTAAAATGGTATGCCAACAGTGGAAGAGAATTACATTCAGAAAATCAATCTGAGATTTTCAGTTTCTTATGTATTACAAATGTTACACATTGGCAAAGATTTTGCCAAAGTACCCAATAATTAATGAACTCATATAAAGCAGATAAAAGGTTAGCATTGGCTCTGGGTGCTAAGAGTACGGTACCCATGAACTATTACACTCTAGGCCAATGTGACAGACAATTCAGAGGATGTGTTGGCATCTATGTTTCCACTAATTCCAAAGGTGTTCTGCAAAGTGATTTATAGCGTCTTCTATGGGACCCTCAAAGGTGTCACATTGAAGCTATTGAGCAACATCATCTGTTCTGCCTCTGACCCACTATTTATATAGACACTGAATACATAATTTACTAGAATGAAGTTTATATGATTCCTTTGCATGTTACTTCTGAAGTGGGCATGGAAGGGAAATGAATGATTTCTAAATTCTCTATAGGGCATCTATGAGCTAGATGGACCAAAGGAAGGCTAGTAGCCTGAAATGCTAGAAGAAACCAGCAGGTGAAAAACTGATCCAAAAAATAATATGAGTGTGGAACTCTGAGGCAGCAACACCATCAGTCTCAGACAACCAGATGATTTGCCTGAATCCTTTAATATATACCTTTTGTTGAAGAGATCACCCCTTCAAGTATGGGTTATGTCGCAAAGAGACTGAATGTTGAGAGAAACATTCATTCTAAATGTTATTTAGCAACCAAGCAAGCTTGCAATTATGAGTATAGATACTTACATGGCACCTCTTTCCACCACTTCAGTGTCTCATTATGTGCTCCTGAGATCAGAAATACAAGAGCCATGGCAACTCTGAAACTAGCTTCTGCCTTTTTAGGTAGCCAGTGTACTGCATTAATACTTGCCTGCTTAACAACATGGAAATTACTACACATTGCTTAGATATATATGCATGTGGGAAAAACAAATAGCAAAGCCAGAACAAGGGCAATCATGCAATGACATATAAGGAACATTTAACTGCATGGAGGACTCTTTCTTATGTTTGATTGTAGGTACATGGGTAGACACTATCCCATTTTTAACATGTTTAACATGTTTTAACATGTATCCCGTTTTTAACATGTGGTTTAAATATTGCGTGAGTAATTACAAATTAGTCACTTTTTTTTTCTGAAATACCTAATTACCTTGTTGGACTTGGGATAGAGGAACTCAAATGGTCTTTTTATGGTGGATGACTGTTATAGATAGAGATGTCATCCATTATATGCTTACCCTTTCTAGATTCATGTTTAGTTTTGTCTTCTAAATTCTGAGTATACTTTGTTCTTATATGTTGATTAATCTGGCATTTGTTTAATATTTCATAGTTACGCAAATAAAGTTCACATATATCATGTTGTTTTATCCAAAAAAAACAAAGAACAGTTAGACCTGAGAAACCCCTTTTCACTCCATGCAGCAGAATGACTGTCCCTTCTTAATTCTGGCAGAAGATGGAACACTTACCCTCTAGATATGGTGATCCAGAAAGAATTTAGAGTAGGCAACCAAAGCTAATTGGGAGTAAAGCTTCCATAATGAAAGCTAGAGGGTTACACAAAAATCTATGAATTTAGTATTAAAAACTGCCACTTCTCAGCTCTCTTCCCAGATGTGGTTCCAGAACACTGGGATTTGTGTTTTTACTCTCAGGGGAAAGAGCCTCTCTGAGGGATTTGACCAGACCAGGAGAAAAGACCTATGAGTACTGTCATTTGAGTCTTCTCAGTGAAGCAATCTAGCCAGATTTACAGTGAGGTCCACAGGCAGCAAGCCCCACTCACATGAATGGAGTTTTTTATTAACTCACTCTTAAATGTCAGCAGTTAGGGATCAAAACACAACTTTAACATAAAAGACATTTTAAAAGTTTAAAAAGCAACAAAGAAGAAAGATTTGCAGGGAGAAAAAAGTTCAACAATAATTAAGAACAACTTCAAATGTGTCATTTATATTTTCAGAAAAATAAGAGATTACCTTTATAAAGCAAAGATATAATGCTATGAGAAACATCAGAAATGCATAAAAAGAGCTTGAAATTTAAAAGATAATAGATGAAAAAAATAAGATAAATTTGAGAAAATAGAATTAAAAGCAAAAAAATGGATAATAGAAAAAAGATGAGTGGTGCAATATCAAAATCATGGAAGTTTTTAAGGAAAGAACAGAAAACACAATAATTTAATAGACCTTCTCAGAGCACAAGAAAAAGTTTTCAGATAAAAGACCCTTCTCCTCACAAACAAGCATCCAGAAAAATGAATGAAAATTACTCCAAAAAGCTACATTGTTAGGACATTTCAGAACAGTGGATACAAAAAGAGGATTCTATTAACTTGGGCCAGGAAGGAGATGTTCTACAGGTAGTTTGAAATCAGAATAGCATTGGACTTCTTTTTTAAATTGCATTATTTATTTATTTTTTATTTGTTTGTTTTCTGAGACAGAGTTTTGCTCTGTAACCCAGGCTGGAGTGCAGTGGTGAGATCTTGACTTACTGCATCCTCCCCCCTCCCAGGTTCTAGCAGTTCTCCTGCCTCAGCCTACTGAGTAGCTGAGACTACAGGCATGTGCCACCACACCTGGCTATTTTTTTTTTCTTGTATTTTTAGTTGAGACCGGGTTTCACCATGTTGGCCAGGCTGGTCTTGAACTCCTGACCTCAAGTGATCCCCCCACCTCAGCCTCCCAAAGTTCTGGGATTAAAAGCATTAGCCACTGAGCCTGGTTGGCTCTGGACTTTTTAATCCAACACTGGAAGCTCATGAACAAACTAGTGTCTTAAAAATTTGAGGGGAAAACAATTTTGAAATTACAGTTTTGTTTATAGCCAAACTCCCATTTGAATGATAGGATGGAATAAAACAATTTTGGACACATAGATTCTAAGAAAAAACAAAACATCTTCTTTCACCCTTTTTTTTCAAGACTGAAGGAAACACTTTATCATAATAAAGAGTGAACCAAAAATGCAAAAGACATGGGATCTAGACAATAGGAGATTATTTATTAAAAAAAGACAACACACACACACACATGAACATCACACACCCTCAAAATGATGATTGAGGGAGCTCTTCGGATGACAGCTGAAGAATAGGTCTAGAGAGGCTACTCTAAACTCTCTATTTTAAGCCAGAGGGTTCTGAGAAACATGTCTCCAAGAAGATAAAATTTATAGAAGAGCCAATGTGTTTGAACATATTGACCAATTTATACTATGGAGTAGAGTTGGAGGTTAATTGGAGACAAAAAGGTAGAAAACAAATAAATGAAAAGATATGACTATAAGAATGGAAATGTAGTACACTACATGGCTCACTTATGAATAGTTCTTACATAGTTATGTAAACACTGAAAACTGATCCATCAAAAATTATGATTTACTTATACTGGGTAGGTAGTAGGAGGTTAATTATGAGTGGGAGGGTTTGAAACTGGTAGGGGATAGCGAAAAATGTTAAATCTCTTTCAAGGTGAAAATTTACTAGTGAATTGTATAAAGCTAAAAAAGAGAAAGCAGCTAAAGCACATTTTTGAGTGATTTGGAGGTAAATGACAAAATAAACAATAAGAAGAGTTGTAAATTGTTTCCTTTTGAGAGCAGAAATTAGGAATGGGAGACAGAGAAGAAAATGATGTTTTTTATATGATTGTTGAACTAAATGATTGTTAAATTATGTTGATGTATCTAACTTTGATAAAAATAAAAGCAATAAAATACCATAATAGTCACCAAGAGTGTTACAGTTCTCCATGAGGTAAGGCTGACAAAATATTTATTAACACAAGGTGAAGCAATGCATAGATCATTTATTGCCTTTTGTTTGAAAGTGATTGACTGACACACTTTAGAATGCTTACTTAAAAAAAGCACCTGGCTAGGTAAAGTGGCTCATGCCTGAATCCCAACACTTTCAGATGCTGAGGTGGGAAGATCACTTGAGCCCAGAGATAGAGACCAGCCTGGGCAACACAGTGATACCTTGTCTCTACTAAAATTAGCCAGGTGTGGTTGTGCACACCTGTAGTCCCAGCCACCTGGGTGGCTGAGGTGGGAGGATTGCTTGAGCTCACGCGATCGAGGATGTGGTGAGCCATGATTGCACCACTGCACTCCAGCCTGGATGACAGAGCAAGACCGTCTCAAAAACAAAACAAACAAACAAACAAACAAACAAAAACACCACCCAGGTGCAGTGTAGGTGTTATTTGATGTCTTTGTGTGATTGATCAGAAGAAACTCTGAATCTTTTTAAAGATCTGCACACCATATACCTCTAATTTTGGTGATTTATAGGAAGAGTCTATAACAAATGGCCAATTTCACACTGCAGTAAAGCTGAAATAAATCCCTACACTTGTTTTCTGTCAGTTTTACAATGGACTTTTTGGATGTTTCAGGTAAAGCCTTTAGTTTCCCTTCATTGTTTTGGATGTTTGCATTTTGCAATTCTGATAACTTTCCCCTTAATGATGAAATCATTTCTACTGAGTTATCTTTCAAGAAATTAATTCTTCCTGGTGTCACATTTGTAAAATGATGTTGCTAATTTTGCATTCAAGCTCAAAAGGAATGGATATCATTTCAGATAGTTCCAGCACCAATGTGAGAATGATAAACACGTTTCAGGACACAGACACAGGAGTTGGTAGATAGTGTATCAGGATTCAAAGTTCAGAGAACTGGATGCCCTTCCAATATCAAGTATTCATTTGCCAAACATACACTGAATGACCCTCCTGAGTTGGGCATTTTTCTAGGTGCTTAAAGGATAGTGGGAGCAGATAAACAAACAGGCAATTATTTAATATGTAAAATGATACAAAGTAAAATGAAATAAGGTAAGGGGATAAAGTGGTAAGCAATGGCATTATATATTTCATTACCTGCTTAAATGAACTTGCATATGTTCAATTTCTCAAAATTAGAAAAAGTAGTCATCTACTAGGATTCAAGGTAGTAGGAAAAACTCGTTGTGGAAAAAGTGCTATGTAATGTATAGGAACATACTGACAAAACAAGAACACGGAGACCAACAGCAAATTCGCCTGAGACCACAGAGGCTGAAATCATATTTAGTGATATGGAATATCTGAAATTTGTTACTAGTAGAAAATCCTCTGATAACATGAAATCCCACAAGAATTGATTATGTGGCTGAAATTATTCCATGTGAAATTTATGGCAATAGACACTTTAAAACCACTTTCTTTTGGAAGTCTGTTTAAGGTTTACTTTGGAGGGGGGAAAAGTTAAGGAAAACTATAAAGCTACTTTATGGCTGCGAGTGGTGGCTCATGCCTGTAATCCCAGCACTTTGGGAGGCCGAGGTGGGGGAATTGCTTGAGCTCAGGAGCTCGAGAACAGCCTAGGCAACTTGGTGAAACCCATTTCTGCCAAAAATACAACAAATTAGCCGTGTGTAGTGGTGGGTGCCTATGGTCCTTGCTACTCAGGAGTGTGAGGTGGGAGGATTGCTTGAGCCTGAGAGGTCGATGCTGCAGTGAGCCAAGATTGCACCACTGCACTCCAGCCTGGGCAACAGTGAGGCCCTGTCTCAACAACAACAAAAACAACAACAAACAAGCTACCTCATCATAAGAACTACCTTTCCAAAGTACTTGTATAGAGATCAAGCCAGATCTAGAATTTTTCAAAGCTCCTCAGGGCTCTGTTTTCCTTTCCCTTTCCCTGTGTTCAGACACCTGCTTTCTGTCAGGGGAAGCAGCTCCTGGCATGGACCCCAGACTCTGGGGATAATCACAGTTGCCATCCACTGTGAGGCCAGGCACACAAATGATGCAGCACTGTCATTGAACTTGGTTTATCTGAGGTTGTGGAAGAAAGTAAATATTCTCCTGCACCAGATTCTGCAAATCCAGTGTTGAGCAGCAGTATCTTCCAAAAGCAACCTGACCAAAGTGGCTCAGAAAGTATGCCAACTTTGAGTCACCAGCTCCATTTTACATGTGATGAGGTTCTTGCATGTTGTCAAATAGGATTTATTTTCTGAGATTCTTAAAGAATTCATAACTGATATTTCTGCAACTACACATTAGTGCTCAAAAATTGCTAATTGAGAGTTGTTGAATAAACAAAAGGGGGCATTAAAGCATTACTAGATATAACAAAATGCAGTTAGGGAGAAGTGGCTTGGAGTAATATAGTCAAAATAAAAAAAGGAGACTCTTCCTGATTCTTCAGAAGTAAGACTGGGGAAGAATTTTCTCCTAACAGAAACCAACATCACTTACGAAACCTTTAAAACTTTCTGGGCACCTTGCAGCAGTGTAAAATGCTTTAGATCCCCAATAACTTATATTGGCTTCCTCTTCCAGCCCCCATGAAGAAAGAACTGCTTAAGTAGAAAGAATATTATGTGAAATTTAAATAAAGGCATATTTTAAACCTTATTGGTATTCCCTAAGTAAAATCAGTTCCTTTATTTAGCAAATGAGCTTCAAAGAGTCCTTAACCTCTTCCTTCTAACTACACTGTTGTTCCTGAGCCACACCAATACAGAAATTCTAGAGTAGGCCCTGCTTGATGAAACAACAACCAATTACATAGCGAATTCTTCCTAAGTTTAATTGCCAAGATATTGTTAGTACTTTGTCCTTATTCAAAATATGCCTCTACCCAGAATGTATCCCAAAGTAAAGACATAAGGTAACTGGTTGTCTTTTCTTTCTTTTTCCTGAAGTGCTATAGGGCTTGATGCAAAAATCCAACATTTCAGTGTGTGTTGCCATGTCTGCCTGTCCCTGCTCCCTGAGTTTCAACAACTGTGGCTGTCTTTTCTCTCCTGATGGGAGAGCAGAGGTTCTCAGTGATATGGAGCCAAGTCCACAGATCATTATTCTCTCCCCATGAGGGCCTCGTAGATTGCTGGAATACAGGCTAAGAACTGTTTAGATTGTATATAAAAATGTATTTCAGTTTGGGAAAAGTGAACTAAAGTTTATTGCCAGTATTCCAATATAATTTAAGAGAATATGGGCAAGTAACCCATCTGAACTCTAACTGCTTCACTTGTCAAAGAAAATTTAATTCAGGTAACAAGAAAAAATAGCAAATATTTCAAAAGGATTTTATAGGTTCTTCCAGAGACAGCCTCATGGTCTCAAAACCTGTCCCTGTTTGTCATGTTTTCCTCAGGCCTTACTAGATGTGTCCCCACAGCCACCACTTGGAACATTCAGGAAATGCTTGCTGCTGTTCTACTGAACTCCTTCCTTATTCAGTTTCTACAGACAATATCTTAGAGCAAATGTAATTCAATAAATCCACTTGATAAGGTCCTATCTCCTCTTGAAAGGACATATGTTAACATTATTGTTAAACTAATGGCTAACATGCACACCATAGGTATTCCATAACTGTTCTATATGTTTAGGACTTAAAAATATTTGTTTTGCAGGCCTAATAGAGAAAGCAGCTTGTCATCCATCTTCAGCTAGAGATCTGTCATCTTGGAGCTTGCCCGCATTGCTTTTTGAAGTAATTATTATAATAAATTTATTTTAAAATGAATTTTAATCTTAAAAATGCTATAAGCATTCTTTATTCATGTTCCAAATGGCTTCACTTATAATTAATGCTCCAAAAATAGAGTCATTTCTTTGAAATTTTTCATGCATGTCTATACATGTCCTAAGATTCACATATATAGTCACATATATATGTGTGTTTCTGTACTTATGTATATACATATATGACATATGTGGTGTTAGGATATATATTGGTGTTCATCCATGGTTCCTGGCTCATAACTCCCATAGCCCTTGTTACAGTCTTTTGTTACAATGTTGGGTGTATTAGGACTCAGAGGCAGGCCATTGATGTCTGGCCCTCCTTTTACCTGCCCAAAGTAGGACTCTAATCTTCCCTGGACTTTCTGATTGTGGGTCTTAAGACTCTCTCATTAGAGGATCCCACCCTATTCTCTGGAAGTAGGAATGCTGAAGTCATGAGGCTTCCATAAAAACCCAAGAGGACAGAGTTCCAAGAGCTTCCAGGGAGCTGAATACCTGGAGGCTGCTGGAGGGTAGGGCACCCAGGGAGGGTATGGAAGCTCCATGTCCTTTCCCCCATACCTCACCCTATACATCTCCTCATCTTGATCCTTTGCAATATATTTTATAATAAATCAGCAAATGTAAGTAAATGTTTCCCTGAGTTCTGTGAGCCACTCCAGAAAATTGATGAGCCTAAAGAAAGGATCATGGGAATCCCAACTTGAAGCCCGGTGGTCAGAAGTTCTGGAGGCTCAAACTTGGGACTGGTAGCGGGGTGAGTGGAAGGCAGGGCAGTCTTAGGGACTGAGCCCTCAACCTGTGAGATCTGACACTGTCTCCAGGTAGATAAAGTCAGAATTGAATTAGAGGACACCCAGCTGGTGTTCACTGCTTGGTGTGTGGGGAAAAACACCCCACACATATGGTCACAGAAGTCTTCTTCTGTATTGATGATTGCTTTAGTGTGAGAATAGAAAACACAGAGAGAGTTTTCCGAACATAACATGAATATGAGCATAACTGAAACAGCACGTGGACTGTGGCATGTGCTGTCAGTACTTCAATGAGACAAATAGTGTACGAATTCAACTCAGTGCTCATCTGCTAGCTCTACCAATTTTGGATGCAAAGAAGAATCACTTAGTGTTGAACTGAATGGTAGTAATGACTCCATAAAGACACTCCAATTCCAAGTTTATAAATAATGCTCATAAAAAAGCATGCACACAAATCAATTTGAATTCCAATTATACATCTGCAATGGATAGAGTTATTTGTCTAGTTGTGTTTCACAGGAAGCTGCTCATGAACACTTTCTTTGGGACCATTCTGTGGAGCTTTCAGAAAATCAGAAACTATACGAAAAAAAAAAAAACCAATAAATGCAATGTTTTTACATTTTTACCATGAAGAAAGAAGCACTTCCCTGGCAGGCAGGGGCAGCCATATGGAGAAGTAGAGGTCTCTGCTAGACCAGTGGTTCTAGAATTTAGCCCAGAAGCAGCAGCATCAACAAATTCAAATTCTTCTAATTCTGTTAGTACAGATACCCAGGCTTTACTCCAGATTTACAGAAGGAAAGTCTGGGGGTGGGGCCCAGTACTCTGATTTAGCGAGCCATTGAGGCCCTTTGGCTGCATGCTGAAGTATGAAAACCGCTGTGTTATGTTTTCAATAAGAAACAGCTGATGCGTTTTACAGTTCACAGGTGACATTCATCTTATGTTGGTTTTGGGGGTGTGAAAAAAATACATTTAATGATGTTCAAAATGACATCCTTTCTAACTAACAAATGACGTGCTGGTGGGTATGATTTCGTGGTTCGGCAATATCAGCACTGCGAGAGAAGGTTGCACTAGAGTCAGCTCAGCGGGTGACCTGTACTATTTATGAGCATGCCTGTTGTCAGTGTTTCTTCCAGACAGGTGTTTCATTTAACCTAGCTTGGTTGTCATTAACCTTCAAAGGAAGAAACTCAACTTTTCCCACGTGTGGTCGCTGTTTAACTCAGACCCGGGCTTCCTGTGCACGCTCACTGGAACATACGTATGGGAACAAGCCTAGCCGGGGGCAGAGCTCTCATCTCATGCCCGTGGTGCTTAATAAAAAGTGGGAGATCTCAGGCAGGAAGATCATCAGACAATAGAGAGAGACTCAGAAAATTCAGTAGCTGGGAAGAGCTCAGCCTACCCTCCTTGTTTTCACGAAGTTGCCATGGTAATGTTGCGTCTGAAGTCAGCCGGAGACAATCACAGAAAGGGACTTGCAGTGTCCTCCATGGACCCCACATTCTCCCTCATATTCCAGTTCCAGTTTGTGGTATTTCTTTCATGTCTAGCAACTTGCAAGTCTGGATGATATTGCAGAATAAGTATTATCACAATTTTGTTTTCCATAATTTCATGGTAGATGAGTTCTACTAATATTTACTCAGGGTCTGAAAAAACATTTTAAAAATTCAGGCTTAATTCCCATTCCTGTGAATATAACACAAACGACCAATTTATACATGGGACTTTTTCTCTGTATACAGCTAACGACTAAAGATTCAAGGAAAGGGGAGAGCAATTTTACAAATTTAAGAAACTTTCAAAAGATCTACTAAGGAAGAAAGCAGCAGAAAAAAGGGGAAATCTTTCCTGGGCCTTCCAAGTAGAGAGAACTCAGTCTCCCAAATGTAATTCATGTTCTTTAGAGGATGATTCTCCTGGTCCAAGCATCCTGAAGCCCTGTTAGGAGGTGGGGTGAGAAGATGAGCACATAAGGCCCTGCCCAGCCATGGGGCTAAGCCCGCTTCAGGCGAAACTATACATTTAGGAGACTTCCTTTTTGGTGTCACCACACAGAGCCTCAATCTATGTTCTACAGTTTGTTCCACTGCAGCTGGGCCATTCTATAAGATTATCCCCCCAGAAGGTATCGACTGTTAATAGCTCTAGTTATTACTGGTTAAAATTCCATCTTTTTACATGTGTCCCCTCGAGATACTCATTCTTTAACAGGGTGCTTACTCAAAGGCACATTTTCAATGAGGCCTTTCCTAATCAAACTGTAACTTACAGTTTCCTCCCCAAACTCCTTCATTTCCTGTTTTCTTTTCCTTATCACATAAGCATATATCATTATTCCACTATTGTATATTTTATGTATGTATCTGATTTATTTCTGTTGTCTCCCCCACACCACTAGAATGTCAGAGCATTTTGTTTGTCTGAAAATAGTATCTAAGTGTCTAAAGAGTGACACAGAACAGACATTCCAAGACTTGTTGAATGAATGAATAAAGAATATTCTAGAAGAAAATATGTACTAGGTCCAAAATATTGACTCATTAGTCCTGGAATGTACAGTGCCAAGCCCAGCAACAACATGGGATGTGGAGTGGACGTTTTCATTCCTAGTCACTCAAATCTCACTACTCGATCCATGCGTAAACTTAACCTAGAGTGAGGGGGAGAATCCAGAAGCTGCTGGGGAAAGCTTCAGTCTCAGGTTCCAGTAATAAGCCTTTTCATAGAATGGAATTGGAAGCAGAGCGGGATAACAATGAGATTTTAACAACACTCACTGCTAATCAGACTCACATATAAAAATGTGCTCAATACGGTGTTCATCCAGATATTGCTAAAATGCTGAGACCAACAAACCCACTATGAAGCCATGCATTATCACAAAACAATTGCAAAATGCTGAGCCTGTCTGCCAGGGACATCAATTCTTAAAGAGATTAGCTTCCCAGCTCTATGAAAACATGGATAATTATAGCATCATGTTTATTATGCTGTAGTTAACAAAGCACACATTCATTAGAATGCAGCCAGGGCTTCAGGACAAGTATAGACGTTATATGTAGTATTGGATCATGAAGGTGCGAAGCTTTAGGGGACTGGGCAGGGGATAGGCAGTGAAAGCAGATTATAGCCCTGGCATAGATGAGTGGCTTTTCTCTGCCAGGTTTTGATGTCCACTACCCTGGTACCATGAGGCTGTCCTTGACCTTCAGATAACAGTCCTTATCAGTGTGATGGCATGGTACACTTTCAACGGTCATCTCATTTCTCATGGACAACACCGACAAACAATAGTTTAATAGAGCCCCTGACTAAAATGAGCATGTTCAAGAAAGAAAGCATCAGACTAGGAGCCTTAACCCAAGAACAGACATCAAAGTTAGTCAAAAGAATGCATCTGTTGGGTGCTTCCAAAGAGATTATAAATGACAGCATGATTTCCCAGACATGCTGGAGTAAGGTGTATTAAGTCCTTTCTTTATTACTGTCATCTGAGGGAGCTGGGCAGTCACGATGACACTTGGCAGGAAGCTGGGCACATGGGCATGATCTAGATTTCCTACTCCCTAGGAGAGAGCATGATTTTGCACAGCTGAAAGCTGGCATTCATGCCTGGGGAGTAGGTGGTGGTGTGGCTGCTAAACAGTACAGATAATCCAGTGATTTCCCTTTCCCTGAGTGAGTGCCCAGTTAGTTACTTCAGACCATCTCTGGGTCATTCATCTTAAATGACACTATGGGTTGATTCATTTCTTCATGGTTTTAGTCAGAAAAAATGTATGCACCATCTACTCTGCACCAGACAGTCGGCTGGGGATGCAAAAGAAAGCATGTCCCTGCCCTTGAAGAGCTCAGTCTGGTTGGGAAAACTGACATGTGATTAGCTCCTTAAAATGAAAGATGAGAGTGCTGCAATTGTGAGTTTTTAAAAAAGGAAAAGTGACACCCAGTGTGGCTTTCTACTGAGAATACAGGCACGGAGAAACCACTATTATTGAAGTTTTAAGCTAAGAATAAAGGGAATGGCTAAGGAAATATAGGCAGAATTTATGTGATGTTTTAGGGATAAGTAAGTTAGTTTCAACCTATGAGACATGTTAGGTAAAGATTTAGTAGAGTGTGGGGTTTTCACAACAGATAGAAAGGAAAGGAAAGAACATGAGACTCTTAATGTTCATAATCACCAAATATCCATGATGTACTAAAACGACATGAGAGGTACCATTGGGTCTTTGGTGAGCTGTAGATGTGGCCAGGAGTATTTGCTGATGTGTCCCACAGAGACAGCACACATGGTTTTTAAGCTTAAGCATTTTTTTCTCTCAGGCCCCCGACTGTGGCTCTCTGAACTACACCATCTGTGGAAAGGTCGATGTGGGCAGAGAGAGAGAAAACATATGAACATTATGCAAACCAGGATTCCTGGAGTGTGGTTGCTTTTTAATGTGAACAGACTACTCATAGGGAGTGAGTTGAAGCAAAATCTGAAAACCAGGAAGTGGGCCAGGCACGGTGGTTCACGCCCATAATTCCAGCACGTTGGGAGGCCGAGGTGGGCAGATGACCTGAGGTCGGGAGTTCAAGACCAGACTGGCTAGGCTAACATGGTGAAATCCCGTTTCTACTAAAAATACAAAAAATTAGCCAGGTGTGGTGGCACACACATGTAATCCCAGCTACTTGGGAGGCTGAGGCAGGAGAGTCTCTTGAATCTGGGAGGCGGAGGTTGCAGTGAGCTGAGATCATGCCATTGCACTCTGGCTTGGGCAACAAGATCAAAACTCCGTCTCAAAATAAATAAATAAATAAATAAATAATAAATAAATACATACATACGTATGTACCAGGAAATGCAGAGTAGAGAAAAATGACTCAATGCAATATTGTCAACCTGTTCTTACCTCTTAGGGGAATTTATTTGCAGAGGAAAACAAGGAGTTTTCTGTGTTGCTTTCAAAAGTAATCCCACATATCCAAGAACCAACAGCAGCAGAGCCAGTGAGTATCACTGTGTCTGGGTGTGATTTCACATGATTCCCCAGGCAACTGCCAAGATATCAGTTCTCAGGGTCACAGGATAAAGACCTAACTTTTAAAAGTTACTTGACTATGAGTTGTGATTAAGTTCTGGTTTGCCAACCCAGGTAATTGAAGTCGTGTAGGAAATATATTTATTACATCATCTTGCTAAAGATTTTGAAACTATGAGGCAGAAAAAAAAAATGAATCTGGTGTTTGAGTCACATTTCAAAGTCAACCTGTGTCCTGGACTCTCTTCCAGGAATCTAATCATCCCCCTCCTTAGTTGACTGCTTGGCTCCTAACTTTATACTGTTGTCCCCTTTGTTTCTATTATAATTACAAGTTCTATGACCTTATTGTAAGGTGTCTCAAACTTTTTTGAATTGGGTGTGTACATTTAGAGTAACCAAACTGAGTCAGTGCAAAGTCAACAGAGCTGGGCAGATAGCCGAGCCAGGAGAAATCTCAACTGGATGGTGCCAGAACTGGTAGGGGAAGCCTCTAGTACTGCTACCAAATATATTGTGGAGATTTTCCTTTTTATACAAAGATAACAAGAGCTCAGCTTGACACCTCTGACCTCGAGTGCTCATTTTCTTCATGGGTAAAAACTTCTTGGCTCTCCAGAATGCTCTGAAAGTACCAGAAAGCACATCCACTTAGTATTGCCTTAGTCTGTTTGGCTTCTATAACAGAATACCATGTACTGGGTGGCTTATAAACAACAAATATTTATTTCTCATGTTCTGGAGGCTGAGCTGTCCAAGATCATGGCACTGACAGATTCAGTGTCTGGTGAGGGCCTGCTGCTTGCCTCTCAGATGGTTGTCCTCCCACCTTCTCACTGTAAGCTCATATGGTGGAAGGGGGAAGGGGCACCCTAGCTCTCTGGATATCTTTTACAAGGCACTAATCCCATTCAGGAGGGCTCCACCCTCATGTCCCAATCACCTTCCAAAGGCCTGCTCCCTTAGCACTATCACGTTCGTTGTTAGGATTTCAATGTCTGAATTTTTTGTTGTTGTTGAGTGGAGCAGAGGAGGAAAAAAAGATTCATTCAATAACAAGCATAATGAAAAGCAGAAGGGAGCAATGTGTCAGTGAGATTTGTCAAAAATAATTTGAAGTAAAACTACAGACAGCCTCAGTGGGGTTAGAGTAACTTTTTGCCTTTTAAATTAAAGAAATGTCAAGTTATCCTGCAAGAAATGCCACTACGCCTTGCATCCTGATTTGCTTTCTTGAGTAGCAGATAAACAGGTTGAATTATGGGAAGAGGACAGGATTACATTCAGCTCTAGATATGCCCATGCGAGTGTGTTCTGTACCTATACCTCATCTGCTATGGATGATAAAGAAGAAAAAGATTGAGAGCTGCTTGTCTAGCAGAATGAAAAGGGGCCTTGGTTTCAGAGAGTCCTGATTATAATTCTGCTTCTACCCCTATGGCTTCATTCAAGTTACATAGCTTCTATATACCTCATTTTTCTTATGTATAAAATTAGGAAAATGGTATCTATCACTTAGTGGGATAAAATGATATAAAGTGTAGGCACTCAATATATTACTCAGTTCCTCGCCCTTTCCCAGGTATTCTGAATAATTACTGTGCCAGGGAGCAAGCTTGTGGTTGCAAATAACAGAAAACCACGTCATACCGGCATACACAACATGGAATATATTGGCCCAATAAGTAAAAAGTTATAAAGGTCAGGTTTCAGGGAATATAGTGTCTGCTGTCTAAGATGGGTCACCATGGATATGCTTCTTTTCACCTCTGAACACTGCTTTTAACAGAGGCTAACTGCCCTCCTGGTTACAAGATGTCTACCTATAGCTCTAAGAGCTATGAGCTTCTTAGAGAGAGAAGAAGGTGGAGAGAAGATTACTAGGGACAATGACAAATGCCAATGCTGGGCAAATAACATGAATTCTACACAGAGGGAGAAAGTAGTGGAATAGATTCGATGCTTGTCAGAAGGAACCACAAAGCCCACCACAGTGACAAACTGGCATTTTTAAGTCCTTATAGAAACATTTTGTGTTACATTTATTCTACAACAAAAGTCATATATATATATATTATATAATATATATATTATATAATATATATATATAATATAATATATATATATATCACAATACCAAATAGGTAGGCTTTCAACTCTTGCCCCACTTTGTCCCTCCCTCTTCTTGTACTCCCCAGTGCCTATTGTTCCTATCTTTACGTCCAAGTATATATATATATATCAGGAGAGTAGAGAGAAACCATGAATTGGGGGCCACCCATGCTGACACAGCCTCATCACCGCCTGAACTGGACTGGAAGTGTGGGAATCAGGGATAGTGTTTATCTTCTCTTTAGCATTCTTCAACTTGTTTCTTATTTTTATAAAATCACACAAATAGATTTAATGGACAAGAAAGAACTAAATAATTTTCCTCACAAAATCTCTATCTCTCTTTCTCTCTTTGTCTCTCTCTTTCTGTCTCTCTGTCTCTCTGTCACACACACACACACACACACACACACACACACACCAAAAAAAAGTACTAATTCCTTCATAAGCAACAAATTTCATATTGATATTATTAAGTCACAAGTCAGACCTAGGAAGAATCTTTAGGATTTATTTCACTCTTGACATTTCTGAAACAGTTTTGTACATAAAGCATGAACACTTCTGATTAATGTTGATTACTGGGTCCTGATTGGATTGGAGAGATAAATATAATAATACATTTTCTAAAACATTGCTTCTTAACTAGTCCATAGTGTTATTAAAGGGCAAACATTCTTTATATTTCAAATATAGGAACGTAAACTGAGGGTCAGTGAATTAACTCATAATGGTAGTAAATTCTCTGCTAATTATATCGGAATGTGTGCCCTTAAACTTTTGAAACAGTCACAAATTTAAAAAAGTTACCTTGCTGTTTCAAATGCATGCCCTATATCCATTATTATTTTATAAAGATATGGTTTATGAGGTTATCTGGTCTGTTGTCCTGACTAAGGAAGAAGGTTTGGTTAGCCTCAAATTCCATTTAATGTTAAATAAATATCTGGTAGCCTCTGGAGTCACATAACTTATTTTTTATTTTCAACAATAGAAGAAACAGTAAACCTCACAGCAATGGTCAATCTGATTTGTCTGCTCCATTTAGAAAGCTTCAATAGAGGGGCCAGTTATTTGACTGAAATGTTGAGTCGTTTGGCTGAGACTGAGTTGGGAAATTCTGGTGTACATCTCAGCTGAGGATGGGAGGCTGGTTGGATGGGATTGACACGCAGTCTGTCATGAGCTCCTCTCTCTCTGGTTTGGGGACTATGATGGGATTCCAGTCTAGAGACCATAAAGACTGAGGTTTTCCTCTTATAGATGCTGATGTGAGAATATGCGGAAAAGACAGAAGCTATGGTGGGATGGAGCAAAAACTGGGGATTAGTGCTGAGCCTCAGGCTGGATTCCTGAGGCTGCTTATTTAGCGGGTGCAAGTCAGGGATAAGGTGAGTAGTGGGTAGATGTAGGAAGGTGGTGTCAGAGACCTTTGTTGTTACTGCTGAGCTGATCGCTGCGGGCTAAGCCTTAACCAAATGGGTGGAAAGAACTGTGAAGTGGAGAGATGATCAGGGGACAGTGCTCCACCCATTACTAACCAAGTATCCGTAGGAAGGGCTGAAAACTCTCTGGGTAGTTATCTGTCACTTCTGCAATGAAGTCCATTTTAGATCTAATGTTCTGTAATTCTGTATTTACACAGAACCATGGCATTATTTTTCTCCATCTAGTAAGATTTTCAGCTTTCTTCTGATGCTAAATAAACACTCCTAGATGATAATATTGGAAACTGATGTGGTTTCTGAGAGGCATGTGTCAAATATAACAAATAAATCAAACTAGTAATCTACTATTTAAAATGTTGTCCTTTAAGTAAATAGATGTATAATATCCATAGGCAATCTAGTTCAACCTCTACTCTGAGGCAGAAATCGAGTCCAAAATATCCTTGACTAGGCAGTAGTCAATTTCTTGCTATAATGGAAATTTTGCTATAGGGGACTCCATTTTGGGAGATTTCTAAGTTAGAAGGTACTGATTAATGTCTTTCAGCTGAACTGGTTTTCTGTCAAATCCAAAGGTTTTTTTTAGTTGTTGTTGTTGTTCTTTGTAATAACCCTTGAAATATTTACATTTCTACTGTGTACTGTGTTATGTCATTGTTATTAATGTTCCTCCCAGCTCTTCCCTTTCTTATTCTAATTCTTGTTCCTTCAGCCCTTCTCTCATTCCATAGTTTCCAGGCCCTTGATTGTGCAGGTTGTCTCCTCTGCTCCACTGTAAATTATCAATGCTTCTCATAAATGTACCAGATACAATCTTCCAGATGGGATCCGCTCCCATAAACCTGGGTATGACCCAAAAATACGAGCACTAAACTGGGGAATGTGATGTTTTCTAAAAAACCGTGTTGTAACTTGTATTCTGTAATTCTCTGAATCACAGAAAAGACCATGTAATCATGGTTCTATAAAATAGCCCTTGAATACTTAACTCCAATTTTTGAAACTTTAGATAGGAAAACCACTAACAACAATCTTACAAACACCTATAAAAGTTTTACCATAGATTTTGTAGCCACACCAGACCAACTTGCCTCAGCTTTCATGTAACGAAGTTGGGGGTTGTTTTTCAGTTACCATTGACTCCCAGTGTGAAGGTCTTATAAGCTGAGTATGCCCAGATTAACCAAGGGTGCAACCATGGGTGGAACCTCAGTGCTCGACCGAGGGGCAGGGACTGAATTAAGAAGTAGACACCTGCATGTGCCTTTATGATAGAATGATTTATATTCTTTTGCAGGGACATGGATTGAGCTGGAGGCCATTATCCTTAGCAAACTAACACAGGAACAAAAAACCAAATACCGCATGTTTTCACTGATAAGTGGGAGCTAAATAATGAGAACACATGGACAAGAAAAGCAAGAAGCTGGTGTACAAAACAGAAGAGAAAGAGGTGGTTGCTGCATGCAATGCCTTTGTATATTTACCAAAAGCAAGAACTCCTTCTGATATCCTTTCCTTCACTTATGAAATTGCCTCTTCTACTGCCTCCTCCTCCTCCCACTACTCAATATTTGTTTCTTTTGAAATGTCAGTTTTGAAAAGGTTACAATTCACTTTTAAGTATGCATCCTTGTGTAAGCATTTGAAAAAAATGTAATCAGCTCTCCTTAGGGGGTTCTGTGGCAGGATTCTTGGTACACAGTTTCCCCATTAAAACTAATCTGAGTGTAGTTGATGGCTCGCAGCAGGAATTATAAAGCTGTTGCTAATTGAAGAAATTTATATGAAATCATTTACCCTTCAAGGGTCTCTCCATACCAACCCCTACCACAGTAGCCTCTTCAAAGAGAGTTGACAGAACAATAGATGGTTTTGTGTGGGATTTTTCTCATGGACCCTGCAGCAAAATCAATCTTGATGTGCAATTAATACATCTTTAATATGACCATATAGAGCATCAAACTAGTGTAGCTATTAAACCGGAGTACCTCAAGAATTCTGTGTAGACCTGTATTCATTTACAAAATGTCAAGATGTACTCGGTAGTGAGTACAAAGTAAACAAGTAACCAACGTGGATGAGCGGAGTGCTTTTAAGAATAAAGAGGGAAAATATCACAGCTCTTCCGCTTAAAACCTTTGCAAAGAAAGCAAAACAAACTTGAAATGTTGTAAGTAGCTACCTCAGAAGGATGGGTGTGCCTAGAGATTTCAAATAATTGAAGAATGCCATGAGGGTTAATTGATGTCAGTAGTGCAAGGCTGAGGAAACCACTCACTGTGGATTGAAAGTGAGTAATTGGTTCCATCCAGGGCTATTTTCTAAGTGACCTATGCTGATTGCCATCAGCAGACAGAATTAGTTATTACTGCCAATGTGTTCCTTCAGGGTCTGCTCATTTTTCAATTCACTGCCATTTGGTCGAGTTACTCCCTAAATGAATCAATCATTAATTCATAATTAGATCCAATGACAGCATAAATCTCTGTAGTGGAAAACTTTGGAGATGACAACATGAATCTTTAGACAAATCAGAGATATAGCCTGTTTGTTATTCTTAAAAACAATTACTTGCCTTAAAATCTTTCTTGGCCAAGGTATATTTGCTAATATATATATATATATATTTTGGTGGGGGGTGGACTTAGCCTGGTGAACTTTTTACTTCTTTTTTCCATCTTTCCTTGTTTTTCATACACATGCATGACCAGGATTCTAGAGTAGTGGTTTTATCAATGCCATTAACATAAACAGTCTTGTCTTCAGCTCTACATTATAGAAAATATTATATAAAAGTAATTATTGTTAATATAAGACTAGATCATCATCATCCTTGAGGACCAAAGCAACACAGTAAGAATTCCTTTTGGCTATGCTAAATATCTGTAAAATAATAAGGCTGGATAAGACAGCTGTATTTCTAATTCATCCTCCTCTTCCTGAGGCTTGGAAGAACCTGGCTGCAGGTAGTGCTACTGGCATCACAGTCAGAACTCAGTGCTTCTTACCCTTGCTCCACTGTACACGCCAAAGGAGAGCTGACGTACCTGTACCCGCGATACACACTTGCTATGGGTTCATTACTCCCTTGTCCTCTTTCAATATTCAGAGCCCTGGTGTCTTCATGGTCATAAGAAATCCAGAGATGCCCCACTGAGGTACCTTGGAGGGCCCCACAGTGTCCCATGCTGTGCGCCCTATAGTGTAGACCTAACCATTTTCCTTCTCCTGCTCCTAAAAACATATTCCAGTCCTAAACATGTTGATTTCTGGTATACAACAGTGAAACCCAGTGGGTTATTTAATTACTCACTTTTACAAGTTTGCCTAGTCATTCACTTTTGACTGAACTGCTTTAAAGTTTTGTATTTATTTAGGTAAGTCATTAAAGAATATTGAGAAACATGGTCAATATTGAGAAACTTGCTCACTGTGTTATTATGGCCCAAGGTCAAGCATTCCTCAGCTCTCTCAAGCACAATAAAATCATGCTTTGTTTAACAATGAGATATGTTCTGAGAAATGTGTTATTAGACAGTTTCGCTGTAAGGACATCACAGAGTGTACTTACACAAACCTAGATGGTATAGCCTGCTGCACATCTAGAGTATACAGTATAGTCCGCTGCTCCTAGGATACAAATCTGTACGGCATGTTATTTTACTGAATACTCTAGGAAATTGTAATTAAATTATGAGTATTTGTGTATATAAACAGAAAAGGAACAGTAAAAATACAGTATAAAAGAAAAAATGGCACACCTGTATAGGACATTTATCATGAGTGGAGCTTGCAGGACTAGACGTTGCTCTGGGTGAGTCAGTGAGTGAGTGGTGAGTGAATGTGAAGGCCTAGTACATTACTGCACACTACTGTAGACTATAAATGCTGTACACTTAGGGTACACTAAATTTATTTTAAACAATACTTTTCTTTCTTCAGTAATAAGTTAACCTTAGCTTACTGTAATGTTTTCACTTTATAAACTTTTTAATTTTAAAAACTTTTTGACTCTTGCAATAACACTTAGCTTAAAACACAAATGCACTTTACAGCTGTAAAAGAATATCTTCTCTTATTTTATAATTATTAATATGAAATATTATATTTCCTATATTTATTTTATAAGCTTTTTCTATTTTAACTCTTTTTAACTTTTTAAACTTTTTTATTAAAAATTAAGACAAGAACACACCCATTAGCCTAGGCCTACACAGGGTCAGGATCATCAGTGTCACTGTCTTCCATCTCCACATCCTGTCCCACTGGAAGGTCTTCAGGGTCAATGACACGCATGGAGCTGTCATCTCCTATGAAAACAAGGCCTTGTTCTGGGTACCTCCTGAAGGACCTGCCTGAGGCTGTTTTACACTTACTTTTTTTTTAATAATTAGAGAAGTACACTCTAAAATAGGGATAAAAAGTATAGTATAGTAAATAAACTAGCAACATAGTCATGTACTATCATTATCAAGTATTTTTGCTGTACATAATTGTATAGCTATACTTTCATATAACTGGCTGTACATAGGTTTGTTTATGCCAGCATCACCACAAACACATGAGTAATGCGTTGTGCCATGATGTCATGATGGCTACAGTATCATTAGGCGATAGGAATTTTTCAGCTCCATTATAATCTTATAGGACCATCATTTGTATATGTGGCCTGCCGTTGACCAAAATGTCATTATGCAGTATATGACTATATTTAATACATGTTTTATATGTGAATATGATGAGATCTAACCTCAGAGAAAATCCTAGACTGCCGCCTTTTTAGGCTCTTTGCAGACTGTTCACTCTCACCTTTGTGAGAGGACTGGGGTAGCCAGGCAATTTAGCTGACATTGCCACCACTGTCTGGTCCAGAAAATTCATGGCAAATCTCAACTAACACAATGATAGCTTCTAGTCCCTCATTCCTAACGTTTTAAAAGCAATTATAGCGTTTAAGAATTCAGACTTCCCTTGACTAAGAAATAAAACAATTTAGGGGGAAACTTAACTAAATCTTATCCAGGAAAAAAGATATTTGATGACATTAGCCAGAGATGTTTGCCAGTTTCTAGAATCATTCTTTCTTGAATTGACAGCCCCTCAGTTCTCTGCATTAATGAATCTTCAGAAGTAAATGGGAAACAATATTGTAGAGAGCCAGATGCTGCAATCCAGGTCCAGATCCAAGATGCTCTTTTTGTCCATGATTCAGCTACATTACCAGCAACTAAAGCAATTCAAGATTATTTGCCAGTGGGAGCCATGGGCCCACCCTCTACATTTACCTGAATGTGAATGTGTCCTTGATCTCAGCATTTTTCTGAAAACCATTTAAATAGGAGGAACATGTGTCTGCCCCTCTGAAATACACATGGGATTTACTGCCCATTGAAAACACAGCCATAGAAAGGACTCTTCCACCAATTCACAGCTTCCCAGCATTCATAGCTAAGTGCTTGCTCAGTTTTCAACACATTCCCAGACAAGGGAAAAGAAAAAAAGTTTGAAAACTCTATAGCACTAGTCATGTAATCAGAAAGATTAATTGTCCTTGCAAAAACGACATTTGGAAACAGCTGGCAGTGTGGCCTTTCTACCCATGGGTTTTCCTAGAATCAGAGCGTCACAGCAGGAAGAGACCTTGAGAGACGATTGGTGCGATCCGCTATCCTTCAGGAAGGCCTGCAACTAAATCATCCCAGACAGAGGCACATTTGCCCTAATTTCAATGTGCTCCAGGGACACAGTTCTCATGACTTTCTATTCTGAATAGAGAGAAATTTTTTCTTACGGCTAAACAATCTCTCCCATTAGAGCTGAAATCCATTTATCTGTGTCTAGCTGTCATCTGAGATGGAGAAGGGCCCCTCTAACGATTCTTATGCCATGCACTCTTTCCATACAAGCAGAAGTCGGCTACTTCCTGGTGAATCATATTTTCCCAAAATTTAGAAGTATTTAAAATAATTTTTGTGACATTTCGCTTGTCTCTCAAAGTTACTTCTATTTCTTCTTAGCTTTTAAGTCCAGACCTATATATTGTTTTCCAGTACAGTCTCACTAAATCTGAGTAAAATAAAAGGCCTTTGGCTGTCTAAGATGGGAGCCACTAGCCACCTGTATACTCGAAATGAGGCCAGTGTGACTGAGAAACCAAACTTCAAATTTTATTTAATTTAGATATTAAACCTGTAGTTATTTCAGTGTTTCAAATACTTTAATTATGTTTGAAACAACTTGAGCTTGTGAATCTGCTTTTTCAAATTAAATCTTATGACATATAAGTAGTGTTCAAGTACTGCCGATAAAAATTTAGCACCCAGTTTAAGATGTGTTTCAGGTTAAAATACAGAGGATTTCAAACACTTAACATGACAAGAAGAATTTATGTTATTAATCTTTTTTTATTGATTACCTATGGAAGTGATAATATTTGGAATACCTTGGGTTAGATAAAATATATTATAAAAATTAATTTTACTTTATGTTTTTACTATTTGTTATGTAACTAAATCAAAATCCTGAAAAGAATCCTTTAATCGGTGGAAAATCTTTTATTATACTTCCCTAAGTATCATAAATCTGACACAGTATTAAAAGGTTGAAAGAGGAAAAGAACGAAGTCAGAACTGTGGGATTTTAAATAGTGCACCACAGGGTCATGCTGAGAAGCAGCCCAAGGAAGAGGATTTTAAGGATATCTACATAGTCCCAGAACTCCAGCTTGCTACAAATCTAAGGTGGGTGACATACATCTAATGTATACAAAAAAAGTTAATTTTAAGGTTTTTGTTTGTTTGTTTGTTGGATTGTCTTGTTTGTTTCAGATTTTGTGTATGAGAGATACGAAGCAAAGTCTGCAAAAAAAAGGAAAATACTGAAAAAGGAATTTTGCGAGTCCATCAGGACACATTCCTAGTCCTCAGGAGGCCTGGCTGGTCCAGGAAGGCCTCTGATCTGGCCAGTCTGCACAGGGCTGTGCTGAACTATGTGTGAGATATGGCTTGAGTCTTGTACTCTAAGGCTACATTCAGAGAGCTAAGATGCCCCGGCAATCTGAAAACTTAGAAAGCTATTTTGAATGCAACTGGCTGTGAATATAAGAGCAGTGTTATACCTTGAAAATGATGTTTTTATATGTTAACTCATGGATTAGTATTGAGAAAAGGCCTCTTGTCAGAACCAACTTTGTCCAGGAGAAGCAATCATGCAGAATGATCATGCAGATGCCCACAGAAGGCTGAATTTCTTGGGATCAGCATTCAATTCTATCACTTTAAGTTAAAAGCCATTTTTTATTTCTTCTTTGAATCTCCTTCAGGTGTCTTTTAATGATACCAAAAGAAGATGCTATACGTGTAATCCCTGTGATTGTAGGCATTCATATTGAGTATATGATCATAGATTCTGAGCTTCTAAGAAAGTAAAATATGCACTAAACCAGAAGTTTTCTCTGATGTGACATTTACTAATGACAGCACCATTTTAAGAGTCATGGAAAGTGAATTTGGCCTGTATAAACAGGGTAGCACCCAGAAGGATGAAAACAGAAGACATGAGATTTCTGCTTTCAGAGATTCTAATGAATCATCATGAGAATTTTATCAAGTCAACCCTCCTTCCATCTTTTCCTTGACCTTTTGAAATACAAGTCTCTGGTTACTTCATCTGTTGGTAATATGCTAACACTGTCAGGAATTTAATCACTGGTATTAGAAGCTCACTGAAGGCAGGAACTGTGTCTCCAACTTCTTTTTTGTGTCCTATTTTTTACTATGTATAAATTTGGTACAAAGATCTACATGAAATATTTTGGAGCATTTATTTTACCCTTAGGGAAAATATATCCACTTCACACATTGTGAAAGCTATTCAGTATTAGAATTCGAGTGCTAAAATGACTCTGAGAGATTGCCTAGTAAATCCCTTCATAGTAGAACCAACAAAACTGGGACCCAGGCATTAACGCCACTTCTAAATCCTGAAGCTAGTTAGCAGAAATCTGAGCTAGAATCCAGGTCACTAAAAAATTTGTTTCCTTATGCTGTCTTAGCAACAGCTGAGATTATTTGTGAACACCTCAAATACACAGACAAACTATTTCAAGGTTCGTTTTTTTGTCTCACCTTTTAACTTTGAAAAATCATAGTTTTAAAAAGCAATTTTATGTGTTTTTAGGAAAAAACAATTTTTAAAATCTTTTGATCCCTAATGTACTTGATGCCAAAAGTTAGGACCAAATGTTTAAATCATGATGAAATCATATATTCTCAATACTCCTGATTATTTAGCATTTACTAAGTGATGGGGACCACGGAAACGGTTCACATGCATTATCCTATTTGATATTCCAACACCCCAAGGAGGAGGCACTATTACTATTAATACTTGGCAGTGTGAAAATGGATACACAGAGAGATTAACTAAATAGCCCAAAATCAGACATAAATTCAATGATTGATGGAATCAACTGGATATCTTTTTTTGTTTGTTTGTTTTTTGAGATGGAATTTTGCTCAGCCTGGAGTGCAGTGGCGCAATCTTAGCTCACTGCAACCTCTGCCTCTTGGGTTCAAGCAATTCTCGTGCCTCAGCCTCCCAAGTAGCTGGGATTCCAGGTGCAAACCACCATGCCTGGCTAATTTTTGTATTTTTAGTAGAGATGAAGTTTCACAATGTTGGCCAGGCTGGTTCAAACTCCTGACCTCAAGTGATCCTCCCACCTTGGCCTTCCAAAGCACTGGGATTACAGATGTGAGCCACTGTGCCTGGCCCAAATGAGCATCTTAAGGTGCTGAGTTACATATGAGTCTCCAATATTTCCCTCACAATTAACTTCCTTGGCTGAATATGACTATAGTCATGGCAGCTCATTCTATATGATTCCCAGGCCATTTGAAATGGAAGATATAGATATATATATATAGATACAGATACAGGTATAGCTCTAGTTAGATATAGATATAGTTTCTCCAGGATCATTCTCCTTTCTAGTAAAATTCTAAAAAGCAAACATTGAGAACTAGAACCATTCTGAACAAACTGTAGACCATATTATCTCAGAAGAACTTAAAATCGATGGTCCTGACAGAACAAAATGTCCACAACACAATATGCTAATGCTGGAAGGAAACGTGAAGGATTTTGTGTTATGGGTGAGCAGATTTGCTTTTCCTTTCTTGATCATACACATTGTGGGGTGGAAACTACTGGTGCCCTCCCACATCCCATTCTTCTTGGGGGGATTAAACTTCCCTGCCTCTTTGTAGTTAGGTGCAGTTCCAGATAATGGTCTATGAGTGGAAGTGAAATGTGTCACTTCGATCTAAAGCTTCTCATTGCCAATGAAAAATCATACGGTATTCTCTTTGCCTTCAAAGTCAATGAACAAGACTGAGTTCCAGATAATGTTTTTACAGGATGGTGAAGATTCCATGCACTTGTATCACTACCAAAACTGGGATGAAGAACAATTGCCCTAGAGAGTTACCTATACCCACAGCAGACTTTGCTTAGTAAGAAATAAACTTTCAGAGTTTGGTGATATTTGTTATAACAGCATATTTTATACTATTCTTATTAATACCCACTGCATTTTAAGGGCAAGTTTATTTTAAAAACAGTACTTGCGTCAACAGCATTATATTTTATGATTATGCAAGAAAAATATTGCTGCCATGACCTAAAAGTCACCACCAACCTCTGCAATCAGAGAAAAAAAATTATAATTTATTCAATAAATATTTATGTGCTAATTTTGAAAAGACTGCTTTTATAAAGAACTTTAGCTTTAAAGTAAAACTTAATGAGGCGTCAAATGAAATGGTGAAAAAGAGAATAGTTTAGGTAGGAAATCAGTAAAAGATTTATAATCGGATGTCTGGAAGGAGCTGAAAGTGGTAGCTATTATTAAAATTGTAGAAGACTGAAGGGGGAACATTCTGGAAGCGGGGTGGAGATCAAATGCACATTTGGGTACATGTGAAGTTTTAGGTAATGAGAGATGTTCAAAATGAAAATATCAAATTGACAGTTTGGTGTATCTACAGGGAGAATCTCAGAAAGAAAGCTACAGACTACTGATGTAGATTTACAACAGCAACAAAATTAGTAAATTTCTAGGGAATAACTTAGCCAAGAATCCATAAAATTTGTACAGAGCACATTTTAAAAACTCTGTTAAAGGTCTTAAAAGATATTTAAGTAAAATGAGAGATAAGTTTTGTTCATGGGTGGGATTATTTCACACTTTAAAGATCTTAATTTTCCTCAAGTTTACATATAAATTTGATACAATACCAAACAACAATTTTGAGAACTTTGGAAAACTTACTTGAAAGTGACACAAGTAAAACAAACTAAGGTTATTTTGACAAAGAACAAAAGCAAGGATTTTGCTTTACCATATATGAACACACATATTAAGGTCCTGCTAATAAATAGATGCATGCTGCTGGTGTAACACAGAGAACTCAGAAAATACTACATGACAGGGTTAACTTAATATATGATAGTGCTGGCACCATTAATCAATGGTGAAATGGTAGACTGTTTAGCAGAAGGTATTGGGAGAAAACTACCAATTAAAGAAAAATCAACAACCTTGAATCCTTACCTCATACCATACAGAGGGGAAACTTAAATGTGAAGGGTGGAACTACAAGGTTAATAGAAGAATATATAGAAAACATTGAGACTGCTAAATACACAAACCATACATCTAAATGTGGGATCTTTAGCACTTGAATCTCCTAAGTTGCCAGCTTGGCTCTCTTCCAAGTGTACTTTACTTCCTTTCTTAAAAAAAAATGGGGCTTTTTGTTCAACAGAGAATACCTTAGACAAAGTTGACAGACAGATCACAGACTGGGAAAGATTTACAATCAACAAGGAGTAATATCTTAAAAATCTAAGGAAATACCCCCAAATCAAGAAGACAGGAAACACAATAGAAAAATAAGCAAGTAATTTAAATATATAATTTATAGTGAAATCCAAATGATTAACAAGTATATGAACAAATATTCAGCCTCACTAGCAATCAAATAAATGCAAGTTAAAACAAGGGTTTTCTTCCATCAGACTGGCAAAAATTAGAGAGCCCAAATAATACCAAGTGTCAGAAAGATGTTGGGAAACAGAAACCCTAGTGGATTCTTGTTGAGAGTGTAAATTAATGTAGCGTTTCTGGAAAGCAATCCGTGGTGCAATTGATTAATCACACACCTAGGATATAACAGCTCCACTCCTGGATGTATATACTAAACACATTTCTCTCTTTTGAGTAAGGGAAGTTGTATAACAAACTCCAGTGACACACAGTTTACCCATGTAGACTGCACATGTATCCCCTGAACCTAAAATAAAAGTTAAGAAAAGAAGATAGAGGGTGTGCATAATGATACTCACCACAGTGTTGTTTGTGGCATGGGAGAGATAGAGGCAATTTAGGAAAGGAGGAGAAAATGTGAAAGGTTTATGCTATGGAACTGCAAGTAGGCATCACAAATACATTAAAATATACACATATATATCACATCATGTTGCACACAATAAATATATATACTTTTTATTTGCTAACTAAAAAATAAATTTTAAAACAATACATGTAGAAACTTGAATAGTTTTAAAAGTGTTGAATAGAAAAAAATTAAGTCAGAATGACTCTTTAGCACAATTTTCTTTTCTTAAAATGTAGCATAATTTTGTTTTTGTGAAAACATACCCAGACAAAACAATATTGTCATGATGTATTACAGTCAAGGAGATATTCTTGATTATGATGGTAGAGCCTTTGGAAGAGGACAGGGACAAGGGAGTGGTGGTCAGGGAGGACTGGGGGAGAAAATGAAAATTAATTCCCAAACTAAGGATTATGATTATATCAATACTTAATCACATATCACTCATATATCATTATAGATACTTTTGGGGTGGAAGGACCTGAAAGCTGAAGGGAAAGTGAGATCAAGGTGGAATTGTTTTCAAAGATGTGAGATGCCACTGCAACTTTGAATGTTGACGATTCAGGAGAGAAGGAAAGAGAGATCGGTGGAACAGGCCGCCTAGCTCCACACTCATCCCTGAAGTTAGAATATCCATCTTTTGCTTTTAGGTGTATTAACATCCCTTACACTACATCCATCTAGGAAGGGTGGGGAGTAGTAACACATGAATTATTTATTCACTTTGCCATGACTAACTCATGCAGAACATGAACTTCTCAAAGAAGTGTGGACTCTGATTGAACTACTATCAGCCTACATTTAAGTGTGTAACTGTTGTTCACGGTAAGGAAATCATGTGACTAACAATCTCATATTTTGTTCCCCTTTTTATCAGTGAAGTATCTGTGAAAAGTGAGGAAATATAACAATATTTTACAATTACTGTTTCAGTTACTGATTTAATTTTACCCTCTTCCTAAGATGTTCTTATATATAATTTCATCTATTTATAGGGTATATCACATTTCCATTTTATGGCATTTTCATCCAAAGCATGTATGTTTTAAAGCACATCTCATAGGTTGAAATATTTCAGAGAATCAGAATTAGTGGCATTATCTAAAAACATTAAAAAAAACGAGTATCTATAGCTCACATCTAGAATGTCTGAGTGCATACTCTGATGCTGAGCATGAGTGGATGTCATAGAATGCAGCTTTGAAGACATAATGCCTTTAGTTGCAAAATGAGCTTTTTCAAACAATGAGAGTAAGCTGGGAATTCTCTGCTGAAAGCACCTGTCCAAGGATTCCTGTTAGTCTTAGGAGAAAGAATAACAGGAACTCTTGGAAGGCCCTAACATTTCACATTGAGCCCTACAAGGGGCCTCTCTCTTCACACCGATGCACATTTGTCTCCTTCTTGCTTTCTGTGCCACAACTCAACTGGCCTTCTTTCATCTACTCCTAAGTTCCATGTCATCTCCTTCCTCCACCGGATCTTTACAAATGCTTTTATGCTTTTTTTTTTTTTTTTTTTTTTTTTTTTGAGACAGGTTTCACTCTGTTGCCCAGGCTGGAGTGCAGTGGCAACTGCAGCCTTGACCTCTTGGGGTCAAACGATACTCCCACCTCAGCCTCCCTAATAGCTGGGACTACATGTGTGCGCCACCACACCTAGCTAATTTTTGTATCTTTTTTTGTAGAGATGGGATTTCTCCATCTTCTCCAGGCTAATCTCAAACTCCTTGGCTCAAGTATCTGTCCACTTCAGCCTCCCAAAGTGCTGAGATTACAGGTGTGAGCAACTGTGCCTGGCCACAAATCCTCTTTCCTTTGCCTGGAATGTTTGTCTATCTTCTCTACCTTTACCACACTAACGCCTACTCATCTATCTGATTGCAGCTTAAGAATCACTTCCTGGAGGAGGCCTTTCTTATCATTCAAATTCATGACTTCATGGAGCTTTTCTCACTCATTCATTGTGCTTATATTTATGACCATGTTTTTGTGATTGTTTGATTAATATCTATTTCCCCCTCTAAACTGCAATCTCTGAGAGAGCAGCAACTGGGTCTATTTTGCTGACGGAGATAGTTGCATTTAGCTTCAGTCCATCTAGTTGCAGTCAAAGGCCTCAACATTTTTCTTTCCTAGAAAGGTGTGAGGCATCTATTTATCACAATGCATTACACTATTTCCTTACATGAGGCTAAACAGAACTCTGCTGTCTTCTAGGAAAGCAAATGCTTTGACAAGAAAAGATTAGTTATTTTTCCCAATAATTGTGTTTGGAGGAAATATATATGAGGTTAACTGATCTGTCTAAATCAGTTTCTTTGACTATTTTATATATATTTTTCAAAAGTGGATCTCATGATGCCAGTAGGGAAGCAAATAATGTGATAAACTCATTTACTTTGTGAGCTTCTTACTCACCCTGCTGCCATATTTCTTGTGGTTAATTTTATTTGTTTCTAAATACTTGTTGGGAGGACAGTCATTTGTCACTTGTTGGTAATGCACCATCTGTTCAGAGAAAATGAAAACCATGATAAATAAAAGATTTCCTAATCAGAAAGGAAAGGCAGGATGAGAGGATGCTGAAGATTTACCTGAGCTTCAACATGTGGTCACATAAATAGACCCTGCAGGTGAAAGACACAGTTTTCTTTGTGGCAGCAGCTTCAGTACTAACACAGTTTGTTCACTGCTAAGTACACATTGCCATTTAGGACCTGGGTCCATGAAAGTGTTCAATGTGCCTCCTTCCCCAATGTCACTTCTAGATGAAAGGACTTAGCAAGTAGAATAGTGGAATTTGAGATTAAGAGAGGCAGCTGGGAGAATTGAAAAAACACAATAAATAACAGACTGAAACAGAACAGACTACAAAGTTGGCAAGACGGAGGCATCTTAGAACATCAAATCCCTCAAAACCAGGGAAACCATGGTCACATATTAGAGAAGTTCTGCTTCCTTGGTCTGATCAGAGGTGAGAACATGTTTCCAGGCCCTCACTGACCATTTAAAAGAGAAAACTGGGGCAGAAAGAATGGATTAGGAACATTATAGAGAAATACTGGGTGAGGGTATCTGGGATTAGCTGGTTAGGGCAATAAACACCTACAAACACACAGTCTTCCATCAATAATCACAAATTAATTAGCCTGATATCCACAATGCCTTCTTAAATCAATCATTTATCAATAATTTTAGCAATCTTCATAGATAAAAACTCTTCAAGGTCCTCAGAATATAGCATTAAACCAGGCTTGTCTCAGTTTCCCAGAATTTCATGGTATAAAAGAGAAAGTTCATTTTGCTAAAAGCACTATATTTATTAAGTGCCTATGACATGCCAAGTATCATACAAGATAGTGGGAATAAAAACATCAGCAAAATAGCCCCAGCTGCTGCTCTTACAGAGATGACTATTTAGAGAGGGAAACAGATATTAATCAAACAATCACAAAAACAATTCCACGGTCATAAATAATGACAAACACAATGAATGAGTGAGACAAGGCTCCATGAAGTCAGGGATCCAAATGTTAAGAAAGGCTTTCCCAAGGCAGTACCTCTTGAGCTGCAATCAGATAGAGGAGTAGCAGCTAGTGTGATGAAGGTGGAGAAGATAGACATTCCAGGCAAAGAAAAGCATTTGTAAAGATCCTGTGGAGGAAGGTAGATGGCATGCCACTTTGGAGTAAATGAAAGAAGGCTGGTGGAACTGTGGTAGAGAAAGCAAGAGGGAGACAAATGTACATCAAGGTGGAAGAGGGAGGCCCCTTGTACGGCTCTGTATGAAATGTCAGGGCCTTTGTCTTTCTCCTGAGAATATCAGGAACCCTTGGAAAGATTTTGGGCAGAGGATAGTCATCACACCACTATTGTTTAGAAAAAATCATTTTGCTACCACATAAAGCACAATTTGGAGAACAGCCGGAGGGGTACAAGGAGGTGGATAAGAAGACTATTCCAGGGATCTGGGTGGCATCTGAGAGTGGCCTGCAGCGGGCAGGCTGCAATGGTTTTGGAGTGACCTAGAGAGTTGCTGGTCCTTGAATCAGTGACTAGGTACAGTGAAGTGAGCATGAAGAGAGGCACTGAAGAGGTGAGGGAGGGCACAGGGAACCCCGCGGAAGGCGGTAGGAACTAGACTGCAGAGAGGCAACCTGAAATAAATTCCTCTTGAATGAGAAGTGATTTGTTGGACAACACCAAAGAAAGTGTGTGGAATTCCAGGGTGTGGGGAAAGCTTGAGGGAAGCCACAGAGGCTGAGCTACATGGGGAGGGTGTGGGGAGGCAGATCCAAGGCAGAAAGAGCAGTTAAAGATTTGTGCTGGAGGTTTGAGAGCAATGTGTATCAAGTTGTTGAGTTTATGTGGGTTTCCTTAGGAGGACTGAGAAGAGAGGACCTGGACAGAAACCTGGGAGCACTGCCATTTATGTGGGAAACAGAGGGCAGACACCAGCAAACGACCTTGAAAAGGAGCAGCCAGAGCTTAGGAAGTAAACACAGGAAAAAGCAGGACAGAGGGGGAAGGTGAGTCAACAGAGTCCAACAGGTGAAAGAAGAGGTCAAGGAAAAAGACTAAAAGCTGACCATGGGATTTACCAGTTTACCCATAATATGATCCCACTTTGTAGCCAAAATGATCTCACTGTGCCCCTAAAACTCAAGTTTTAAGCCATTTTCTCCTTACTCCTCTTCCACCTCCTCCTCAATCTTTTCTTTGTATTCTTATTCACTTCCACATTCTGCTTCCTTCCTCCTTCCTCTTCCTCCTCTTCCTCTTCTTTCTCATCTTTCCTTTTGTTAACAAACCCTATTTTCATAAGGGCTCTGAATACAGTTAATCCCAGAAAATCGTAACAAACCCATCACCTTCCCAGCGATTGACCTAGAGATGGACATGTGCTTCTGCACTGCCGTGAGTTGTCATGGTAAGCTGACATCAAGAGCCGATGTGCTAAGAATGATGGAGTGGAAGAAGAGGAGAAGGCTAGCCCTTGATGACAAAGCTGGCCCTGAACAAAGAATGAAGGTGGTGGTCAGTCTGGGACAAAATACCTCCAGGATTCTTTCAAAATACACCCTTAATGCCCTTTCAGTTTGAGCTAGTTTGGTAGCGTTTATTGTTTTTGATGTTGATATTCCTTTCACCTGCAAGCATTTCTAACAGATACAATACCTAACTATTCACTGTTCTTTATACAAACTCAATTTGGTCTTCACTTTTCTCTTATTCACCCTGATTCCACCACCAAGATTACCAAATCATCATATATTCCAAAATCAACCCAACTTTTAAGGCCCTCTTAAAATGTCACTTCCTTCATGAGGTTTTCTTTCATCCACCCAGTCCTAAGGAATTACTCCTCACTTCTCATCTCTCAGCCATCCATACCATTATCTGTCAATCCTTTTGGTCACTTAAAATATACATATTTATGCACATGTCCTATGTCCCTTGGTAATTTTTTCAAAAGCAAGATCCACATGCTAATTATTATTATTTCCCTGCACCTAATAGAATGCTTTGCCTATAATAGGTGCTTTGCCATAAACGGTCTTCATGGAGTGAGTGACTTAATGAAATGTCTAAAAAGTCTCAATATAAATGAGGCTAGTAATAGAGAACTATGGATAATATAATATTTAGGAGAGTTACGATAAGAAAGAAAATTCCTAGTAGAAGAACCGAAGTCAGAGGAAAGAGTTAATAGCAATTTCAGATATAGCTTTATGGCAAATGGCACATTCCTGGAATTGTGGGCCCGTGTCTCATGGCAATTTAGTGATCACAATATACACTTGGCACTTGGATGCTCATGGTGGTTAGAGATAAGAATGAAACCACTGCCGCATTTCATTAATAGCCCATAGATTAGAAATACAAAACCCAAGGCTGTTTTTATTAAGTCGGAGACATGCACCATTGACAGTAAAGGAAAGGAGCAGACAGGGGAAGCTCAGCAATAAGCAAAGGTAGTGGATAAAGGAGGAAAAGAACTAGGGCTGCATATCTTGCCGGATGGAACTCTTCCTGGATAGAAGGGTGTGGCGGGTGGTCAAAGTTAATATAAGACAGCAAAACAGGATCTGGGGTGCAAAGTATAGGGTGAGGTGAGGGATAAGAAGAAGAAATGTCTCTATAATACCTTTCCCAGCTTCTGACAATGCTTTGCTTGGGACCCCCTCCCCACCCCACATGATTATCTCCTACTCTCTATGATCAATGCCTTAGTCATCACATGTAGAGTTCATGCTGATTTTGCACACATTGGAGTTCAATCCTTTAAATGTCCTTCACTTGTTGTAGGTATTTTTGCTTCCGTAAAAAGGCTGTAGGCTACACCTTGCAGAGAAAGTGACCTTCTCACTAAAGATATACAGAGCCATGCATACTGGGGAAACCATAGATGACTACGTAGAGAAGTCACTGGATTCCCAAAAGACACTGTTTTAGAAACCTGTTGAATTGCGAGGAGCATGAGTTGTGCATCTGGATGTTTGTTATATGGGTACCCTGACTTCGTGAAAATTCATTCCACCACACACTTGAAATTGGTGTATGTTTCTGTATTTATGTTACACTTCAATAAATTGTAACTTAAAAATATGTATTAAAAATGTCATGCTAAATTATCACCATTCTGAAAGAAAATCCATAATAAAACTCACATGAACACAGAAGCCTGGCTGAGAGGTGAAGACAGTGAGGGACTAATCATCTTTACAGAAGATTGATTCTGTCGTCTTTGAAGAACACTTTGGAGCTGGCCATGCATGTCAAACATATTATTTTATCAAGCTCTCCCAACAAACCAGGTAGGTAAACCAAGTAGGCATGACTAACTGGTCCCCGGACAATGAGGGGCTTGGCTTGTGGCTCCGAGGGTTGTCACAGAAGCCACATCCTAACTTGAGGGTGAATGGGACTTTTGTGATGTGCAGCAAAGGAAAACTAATGTTTGTGACTTGGCTTGAGTGAGCTGTAAAGTGACAAGAAGGTCTAAAAGAGTGATGTCCAAGGTGGAGGGGGAGGGGCAAGAATGGGTCTAAAGCAAATTGTTTGAAATGGAGAACCTGCCATAACTAAGCAAAAAAATGTCCCTCTGTTGTGAAGGGTTGGACTGGAATGATTCGGGGTCATCACGTGAAGGGATTGCCTTCCTCTTCCTTGTGCTTCCTCTGCATTTGCAGGGAGGGTTCACCACTCTCTAATCAGATTCTTCCCAGGTTTTCACAGAACTACTTTCTCCACAGCCCGGCACACAAATTTCAATAGCTATCTAGGGAACGGGACATATAAAGAATTATTTCCTGCAAGGAATAACATATCACCTTCCCTTAGAAAGCCCAATCACTACCTTTGACGGATATCTGTCCCAGATGAGCCTAAAAGACAATATACTAAGATGTTTTTCAGCACATTTTTATACTGTGAAACTAAAACACAGAACTTTCAAGCACTGGTGCATGAGCCAGCAGAATCTCTCCAAAGATCACTGGATTCAATCTCAGCCTGCATCTCTTTTTCCGTGTCCTTTCTGCCATCCCTTACTCTGTTGGTGGCCTTTGCAGTCGGGAGCCGAGTACAAGCATCATTTCTTTTACAGATTCCATAAGGAAAGCTTTTAATCTGCCTAATAATTTCTTCCTATTGTGGGAGAGGGAAACAAGTTTGTAACAGAAAGGAAAAGAGAGTCATATAAATCATGGCTTCTTTATCTATTCTGGGATACCATTTTTTTTACAAAGAGAGAGAGAAAGAAATGATGGCAGCTTTGTGGTTTGCAATTAACAAAGTATAATTATAAGGCTTCTGGAAAGGTATAGCATTTGGCAAAAAGGCTGAGTCATGCATTCTCCAAAACAATGTAACAAATTTGGGAATGTGTATTAATTTTAGGTACAGGATGAACAATTGTAGTATGAGGCACTGACTGGGAAGAATAGAATTGAACAACTATTGATGGGAAGACAAATAAAATGATTCTCTTATTCAAATAATAAACATTTAATGAGTGCCTGCTGTGTGCAGAACTAGATAGTTGCTGAGGTACTGATTACGTTGTTCTAAGATAAGTCCTAGTAAATAACTCATAATCCACAAACAGCATTTACGCTTTGTTCACATTCCAGACTGGAATCGGAAATCTTCATCCATCTGGTTGTACTCATAACTTCCAAGATTGTTTCAATTTTGTATAGTGAAACTGACAGACATATAATAAAAATATTTTTTCTAACCACTCAAACACTTTGGAAAACAAAGGGAAATTATTCATACAGTATAAAATTATCTTTATTCAGAAGATCACACAGCAGCATGTTCACAATCAAAAACATTTTACATTAGCAATAAACACCAGTCATTTATGCAAGAGCTTCCCAGGGTTGGTAGATATTTTTATGGCTTCATTTTGCTCTAGTCAAAGAAATGGAAAAGATGCTTTTAACCCATTATCAATTCTACATCAGGTGTCGAGAAATGCATAACATTAGAAAGAGAGAGGGGAAGAGGGATCTCCAATGTTCTCTGTAAAGGAGCAAATTCTGACATGGTCACCTCAGACACCCTCTTTTAATTCCAAAGTCTAACCTTACAAAAGCAGTAAAAGGCTGGGTATGGTGGCTCATGCCTGTAATCCCAGCACTCTGGGAGGCTGAGGTGAGCAGATCATGAGGTCAGGAGTTCGAGACCAGCCTGGCCAATATGGTGAAACCCTGTCTCTACTAAAAATACAAAACTCAGCAGGGCGTAGTGGTATGTGCCTGTAGTCCCAGCTACTCGGGAGGCTGAGGCAAAAGAATAGCTTGAACCCGAGAGGCAGAGGTTGCAGAGAGCTGAGATCACACCACTGCACTCCAGCCTGGGTGACAGAATGAGACTCTGTCTCAAAAAAAAAAAAAAAAGAAAGAAAGAAAAAAGAAAAAGCAGAAAAAATAAAAATGCACATGTCCTAAGTTGCACATGCACAAATAGCAAGTACCCATGCATTCTAAGGAAATGTAATCTTTGTTGCTGTTGTTTTACGGGAGGGGTGTAGAATTACATCCTGCAATTTGCTTCTTTGAAATGGCACTTTGGAATTCGTAGTCTCTATTATAAATTAGAACATGACAGTAAGATATATGGCAGGTGAAATAATGTCCCCCCCCCCAATATTCTCATATGGATCCCTGAAACCTGTAAATATATTATATGACAAAAGACTTTGCAGATGTGATTAAGCTAAGGATCTTGTTATGGGGAGGTTATCCTGATTTATCCAGAAGTGTCCAATATAATCACATGAGTCCTTTAAAGCAGAGAATCTTTTTCAGCTGCAGTTAGAGGAAAATGTGAGTATGTAGTAATGATCAGAGTGATGCAACACTATTGGCTTAAAAGATGGAGGAAGAGTGCCATATGTCAAGGAATATGGGTTGCCTCTTGAGGCTAAAAAAAGAAGGGAAACAGATTCTGCCTTTGAGTCACCATAAAAGAATCCAGCCCTGCCAGAGTCTTGATTTTAGCCCACTGAGAACTATATGGGACTTCTAAACTACAGAATTATAAGATAACTTTGGTTATTTTAAGCCACCTGTTGTGTGGTAATTTGTTGTAGCAGCAATGGGAAACTAATACATATAGGCCATCAGACAAAGATTCTTTGGTGCCAAATAAATAAATTCACAAAGCCATTTTGATTAAGATACCAATGATACTACTGGATATGGATCTATCAGTATTTGAAAAAAGATCAACAAAGTCAGATCATAGTGCTTGATTTCAACAACTATTTAGCAAGTCCCCAGTATGTAAAGGCATTCTGTAGAGCAGGGGATAGAAATGATTTTCAATGTTATACCTTAACAGTCATATAAAACCATGCTTCTATATTTATTATAAGACTATTATTGAGAACCTTATACATTATTTCACTCAATATCCCCTACATTATGTTCCTAATGAGAAAGTTTTCTCAAACTTTAGTACCAGGAGAAATTTTGCTTTTCATAATGAACTGTTGTATATATTCCTCTAAGGTTGTTTGAAGTATATAACATTTTCCCATAATTTTTTTCTGAGTAGGAGCCAGAACAGTCTTGTTAGTTGCTTTTCAATACCTAGGGCTAAACACAAGGAATTCACCCCAAAATTATTTGTGAAGTGAATGAATTAATAACCAAATCTTAACTGATAAATGTTTCACAGCAAAGTTTTGTGCATAGCCACAGTAATTGCCCTTATTGCTGTATTGACCTTATTGTTCGCATAATTACATTTCTTGGTTCTTCCTTTAGCATTTGAATTTCTTTCTTACTACCTTTATTGCCTTTATCTAGTCTGATTTCAAAGGACTTAGCTTGTGGGGAGAAAATGCTTATTAACTACAATAAATGCAGAATGAAAACAGAGATTCAAGTAAGTGTTATAGGAACAAAAAGGAAGACCTGGCTAAAGTAACTGGCATTTTATCAGGGAAGAAGAGCATTCAAAACTGAAAGAAAGTCATTAACCTGGATAGCTTGTTTGAGGGACATTGAGAACTCTGGTGTTACTAGAGCAGAAAGAGAAGTAGTGAGGGAACACTCTGGAAAGACAGTAATTATAACACTGTAAGGGAGATTGACAGCTAAAGGAATTATAGCATCGTGCTATAGGCAACACAGAGCTACTGAAGGGTTTTAAGAAGAATAACCTGAGTATTGCTGTGTTTCCTGAAAATGAAAACAGAAAAACTCTGATAATGAAATAATGGATGGTTTGATTTTCCATTTATGGAAAACAGAGAAATCAATTTGATTGTTATTGCAACAATCCAGGAACAAATAAGGAGCAAAATATAGACAGCTAAGGGTGGACTCTATGGAATCTAGAGAAACAGAATCTACATGACATGACCAGTGATTAGATGTGAGGATTGGGATAGAAGGAAGAGGAAATGATTATGGGATGATGATATGATTAAAGGAATAGGAATGCAATAGGTGGAAGAGTCATTGGAGAGAATGTAGTATAGAGAATATCTCATATGCATTAAGGGACAGCAATTTGCTAGGTTTTGTTTCAGATATTTTATATTCATAGTTATTCTGCAAAGTAGGTTTTATAGCAGTGGTCCCCAACCACTACGGACTGGTTTTGTGGAAGACAATTTTTCCACAGACTGGTGGTGGGGGGACAGTTTCAGGATGAAACTGTTCCACCTCAGATTCAATAAGCATTAGATTCTCATAAGGAGCATGCAACCCAGATCCCTTGCATGTGCAGTTCACAATACAGTTCACACTCCTATGAGAATCTGTTGTGGGAAGTCAGGGACCCCGGATGGAGGGACCGGCTGGCGCCGTGGCAGAGGAATATAAATTGTGAAGATTTCATAGATATTTATCACTTCCCTAATAATACTCTTATAATTTCTTGCATCTGTCTTACTTTAATCTCAATCCTGTTATCTTCGTAAACTGAGGAGGTACATCACCTCAGGACCCTGTGATGATTATGTTAACTGTACAAATTGATTGTAAAACGTGTGTTTGAACAGTATGAAATCAGTGCACCTTGAAAATGAACAGAATAACAGCGATTTTAGGGAGCAAGGGAAGACAACCATAAGGTCTGACTGCCTGCGGGGTTGGGCTAAAAAAGCCATATTTTTCTTCTTGCAGAGAGCCTATAAATGGACATGCAAGTAGAAGAGATATCACTAAATTCTTTTCCTACCAGGGAATATAATATTAAGACCCTAGGAAAAGAATTGCATTCCTGGGGGAAGGTCCATAGACGGCTGCTCTGGGAGTGTCTGTCCTATGCGGTTGAGATAAGGACTGAGATACGCCCTGGTCTCCTGCAGTACCCTCAGGCTTACCAGGATTGGGAAACCCCAGCCCTGGTAAATCTGAGGTCAGACCAGTTCTCTGCTCTCGAACCCTGTTTTCTGTTAAGATGTTTATCAAGACAATATGTGCACCGCTGAACATAGACCCTTATCAGGAGTTTCTGATTTTGCCTTGGTCCTATTTCCTCAGAAGCATGTGATCTTTGCTCTGCCTTTTGCCCCTTGAAGCATGTGACCTACTCCCTGTTCATACACCCCCTCCTCTTTTGAAATCCCTAATAAAAACTTGCTGGTTTTGCGGCTCAGGTGGGCATCACGGACCTACCGATATGTGATGTCACCCCTGGTGGCCCAATTATAAAATTCCTCTCTTTGTGGTCTTTCTCTTTATTTCTCAGACTGACCAACACTTAGGGAAAATAGAAAGAACCTATGTTGAAATATTGGGAGTGGGTTCCCCCGATAAGAATCCAGTGCCACTTCTGATGTGACAGGAGGCTGAGCTCCAGGTGATAATGCTAGCCCACCACTCACCTCCTGCTGTGCAGCCAGGTTCCCAACACGTCATGGACCAAACCAGTACCAGTCTGTGGCCCAGGGGTTGGGGACCTGTTTTGCAGTTTTCATTTTACAGCTGCACAAGAAGTTCAAGCATGTTTTCCAAGGTCCTGTAGCAACTAAGAGCCAGAGATCTAACCCTGGTCCATCTGAAGACAAAGGCCATGCTCTTGTGTTACTTCCTCACAGTCCAATTGCACTTCGAACACATTGAATTTGGAAGTCCAGAGGAACATCTGTGCCCATCAAGCTGCTACATATGTAAATGTGGAGCCTAGGAAAATAACTGGTATATACAATACAAATTTCAAATCATCTGAGGGTAGATAATGGCTGGAGAAGTGTCTGAGATCATACAGGGAGAACACATAGGGACAGAGAATACCAAGAATTCTACATTTAAAGTGCAAGTTAAGAAAAAGAAGGTCGGAAGTAGATACTGAGAAGAAGAAGGAGAAGGAGAAGGAAAGGAGGAAGGAGAAGAAGAAGAGATAAAAAGAGAAGTGTCATAGAAATTAAGTAGGGGAAGGAATGAATGGTTAACTCTGGAAAATTACATGAGTGTGAGGGCTGGGAAAGGGGCCGCTAGATTTTGCAATAGGATATTCACTAGGGACTCTGAAAGAGCAGCATCATGTCAATTAGTAGGTACTGTTAGAAGCAGAAACAAGATAGTGGAGTTGAGTGGTAAGGAGTAGTGAAGATGTGAAGTCTATTCTTCATGACATTTAGCAATGACTGGAAGACTAGAGATAGAACAGAAGATGAAAGGGCAAGGAGAATAAAATATATACATATATATGTCAATAGGAGGGCTTGATTGAGTACAAGAACGCAGTAGAGAGGGAGGAATGAATTTATGAGAAAGAGACTTTTCTTCATTGTCTTGGCAAATTATATAGCAACAGTGCAAGGGATGAGTCATAAGTGCTAAGCTACCCCTTTGATGACCATCTGCTATGACAGCATGAGTTGCCACATGGTGGGCAGCTCTCTGGCACACCTAGAAAATTGGAAACACTTTAAATCTTTTTTTGCTTAAACATAATCTCCATCTAGGTTCTGTTGGTATTTAAAATGCATTCACTGAGAAAAATGTGGTATCCCAGGCATGACTCATCACTTAGCATAGGTATATTGTTAGTAAATACCCAGGATGGTCACTGAAGCTTATGATTTTATTTTGCATGCATATAGTAGCACTGATTTGAATACTTATACACAGGAAATGTAAGCCCAGTGGCTTATGTTTGCTACAAAAATGGATTTCAGCTTTTAAGTTGAGTAATCACTAAGCAAACATTTAGGGTACCATAGGAAGAATAATTGTGAAGATTGCAGGCTGTTTGGTCAAGCCTATGTCATACAGAATACACAACAGTGGTAATGCACATTTCTCGTAATGCCTAGACACAGAGGATGGAGAGAGTAGAATATACTTTGACTCCATAGGAGGAACAACAAGAGCAACAACAGCTTTGGAATCAGCTGCAAACAGAAATGAGATGACCAGAAAGACATGAGAAAATAGAAAGCCTTGTAACTCAGGAGGAATTGAGAAAGCAAATGAAACATAGCAGAAGAATACCAGCCCTGAAGAAAAAGCCCAAAAGGAACGAAATCAATGTTACATCCTAGATTATTCTGTTCCTAGAAAAGTGATTATTTTAAAAAAGAGAGGAGACAGACCTTAGAGGATTTAATAAGGTCATGAGGGTGGCAGTGAGTATGGGGCCCCCAGTAGCTACTCATGGATAGTGAGGGTGTGATTTCTTCCTTTATCTCCCATGTTTTCATATATTCAATATAATTTCATATTGTATTCACCAAATAATATTAGGAGATTTAGACATAATATGGTTACATTATAAATGATCTTTGCTTTTCCAAAATTCACAGCTCTATCCAGTGGAAATAAATAGCATAAATGGAATAACTAGAAAAAAAGGAACATGTATAAGAATATGTTTATGTGAATATAATTAGCATAACAAAGAATAATGGATATTTTCTCAATTTTTTTCTTTTGAGAAACTGAAATGTTGGCAAGAACATTTGGCCTAGCAATCCCCGTTATGATGGCGTGCATCATCCCTGCAGCTCTCTAGGTGAACATTGGGCCAGGATCATCACATAGACATAGAGAGTGGCAAGAGAATATAGTTTGACTCCATAGGAGGAACAAAATAAGAGCAACAAAAGCTTTGGAATCATTCCCCTCTTGGTGCCTTTGAGGCTTCTGCCTTCTCTGGTTCTCCATGACAACCTCCCTCTTGGTCCCGGCAGTATCCTTGTCCCTTCCTGCCCAAACCCATTGCCCTCCACAAAGGTGTCAAATACAGCCTATGTTTCAAGGTCCCATTAATGTGTTGTCTCCTTGATGAAATTCTTCCCCATTGCTGAGTGGCTCTTTTCAGTCGGCCCACACATTATGTACTACCACAGAGGTCACATCTAATTGTCCTCCCTCCCTCCCTCCCTCACTCTTTCTTTCTTTCCTTCTTTCTTTCTTTCTTTTCTTCTTTCTTTCTTTCTTTCTTTCTTTCTTTCTTTCTTTCTTTCTTTCTTTCTTTCTTTCTTTCCTTTCTTCCTTCTTATTTCTTTCCTTAAATTATAAAGTTCTATATTTTTCTTAGTACTTAAACCCATTGAGTGTTTTTCCTTGGTAATGGAAGACATGGTGTCATTATCTAAAACTTCCAACTGCCAAAAGAAATCTTGAAGAAAGCTGACAAGATTCAAGGAACACTGGTTATAGACAGAATATTTGGGTTCAAATAAATCCAGGCTCTGCCACTAGCTCATTCTGGCACTGAAACAGCATATTTAACTTCTCTGGGTCTCAGGTTGCTGGAATGCAAAATAGACGGGTTGAGGATGATAGAAGTCTCTGGCATTCTGCGAATAGGACCCCCTGCAATCTTGCCCAGTGACAAGCGGTACTCATGCTCAGACCCATTTCAGTGAAGAGGTTCACTGTAGTTGATGTCAACCTTAAAATGCTAGGTCTGATCTTCCTCTTAAAATAAACAATCAGTTATTTCATTATAAGTTGCTTCAACCATGACCAGACATAATAAAAAGAAAGCATAATTGGTGAACTAAAAAATTGTTGTTGTGACAAGGACACAAAAAGAAAAAAAAAGAAAGAGAGAAGAAGGAAAGAAGGAAAGAAAGAAAGAAAGAAACAAACAAACAAACCTGATCACAGCTTTCTTTTGCAGTACTTTTTTAATCTCTGGTTTCAAGGTTTTATTAGTGGGATGGCCAAATCCTTAAAATATATGCTGCCTAAACTGTTAATAAATAAAAGGGGATATATAAGTCCTAATCTTGTCACTAACTAACCTTAATTAAAGCACCTATTTACAATGACTTTCAACCCTTAGGAGATATGATGCTGTTTCCTTTGCCTCTTTATTTCCCTTCCATGGTGCCACATGAAACATAATTTTCCTCTAAATTGACACAAATAAAATTTAACTTTGTTTGGAGACCTTCGGTGAAATACTTCTCTAATAAATTTGAGATACCATGAGTATTGCAAAGTTGGTTTTGGGAATCATTCAGTGGAATTCCCTCCTAGATAGGCATCAAAAAGAACAGAAAATACAGTTACTATCTCCAGACCTTCAGTGAAAGACCTCTCTAATACATTTCAGATACCATGAGTACTGCGAAGTTGGTTTTGGGAATCATTCAACGGCATTCCATCCTAGAAAGGCAGCAAAAAGAACAGAAAGTACAGTTACTATCTCCAGAGTGTGACACTTGCAGCTAGCTTTTACCAAGGCCTTAGCATGGGCAGGAAGTACCTTTTCACATTCACAGCAGTTTACGCCTAGTCCTCTTCCGCTATTACCTCCATCTGAGTTATGTGTAGACCAATCACATGGCACAATCTGACAACTACTATCGAACTCTGTATCAACAAGGAAACTCCTCACAGCATCAAAGAATCTGAATTGATAAAAATGAGAGAATATGGACTAGAAAGGATTATAGCTGGAATCAACTTACACAGAAGGTGACCTTTGAGTCAGTCTTGATACTCTTATCAGATATAAATAAATGGTTTTAAGGGGGAAGGATATCTCGGAACAAAAAGGAATATTGTATGGCAAAGATCTTATCACAGTAATTATCATGCTTGTGATTTGGTTGCTTCATGTCAGTCCTCCCCATTACATTGTGAGATTGACGGGGTCTGAGCTGCTGTCTTGCTTATCTGATGGACTTGCTTCCCAAGTCCTACTATATAGCAATACAGGCTGAATGGAAAAAAAAAAAAAGACATACATCCTCACTTGGTTGATTGGATTCTTGGTCCCAAATCTGTATTCAGCATGTATTCAGTACCTCTGCCATGCAACTTTTCAGGTCTTCCCTAAAAAGGCAGAATGTTCCTTACCATTCATTGACTTTGAACTTGGCAAAGCAATTTGCTTTAGCCAATGAGATTATAGTAGTTATCATCCAAGCAGAGGCCGAAAACATGCGTGCATTTGGTGGTAGAGTGTGAGAACTGAGGAGGCAGTTATACAGGGTAATACAACTAAGGTGAAGCAATATGGTGCTGAATGTGTCAGAGAGGGTGGAGCTGAAAGGTAGGGAATGAGATGAAGAGAAAGTGGCTAAGAGGTAGTCTTAATAATCAAATTTAAAACCTTAAATTTCAATAGGGGGTCTGAGGAGAAGAGCAATTGCATTGAATAAAATAAACCAGAAACTAAGTATTATAAACAATAAAGCATTCTTCAGACCAATTCTTCCCTGCTCAACAAGTGTCACAGTCCACTATCTTCATGCCACTTTGTTTGACAAAACAACCAGGGATCTCATTTTACGATACATTATATACCAATCTGGGCTAAATATTATTTTCAGTTCATCCAACCCAAAGGTTTGACGATTACCGTCTTCCTCACCTGTGATGTGATGGTGATCTACAAACATAATCAATGTACATTTGTAAACACATGAGCACATATGACATCTTTGTAAAAAAAGAAAGAAAGAAACTAAGCAGCAAGAGAGGGTTTGAATCCATGAAGGTTAGCCACCTTTCCCCTAACCACTCAATCACTTCAGAGGTAGGTGCCATCAGGCTTACTAACGTTAATCCTAAGATTTTTGTAGCTTATAAACCCAACCTGGCAATGCTGGAAACTCAGGCTGCAGAAATTTATAAACTTAATTCCCTGTGGCTTAGAACCCAGAGAGTGACTTCAAGGGCCTCAGAGTCAAGGTACCAACTGCACAGTGCAGGACTCCTGAGCTTCAGTGTCAGGTTCAAATTTGGCACTCAGCATACTTTGGATCAGGGATGTTTTGGATCACTCCTAGACACTTAGGGTCTTTTCTTAACTGTAATTGGCCTCCTCTGACATAGAATAAAATTCTCTGGTGTGTCTCCATTGAAAATACACCTGGAACCAAGTAAAAACTTGTAGGTAGGAAGGGAATAAGCAGGCCATTGTCCTCTTACTTAGAAACAGTTTATTCTAAATTAAACTGTTTTCAATGCTATAAACGCCTCTAAGACTTCTGCTATGGGCTTGATAAAAAAAAAAATAGGTTATACTTAGAAATCACCGTCCACATACATCATGTTCCACAGGACATTGCTTCAAGTATCATTGTTTCTACTGATAAGACAGTATATATCCTATCTTCTACTACTATTTTCAAGTCTACAACTGAGACAGACATCCTATGTTTATTTCATTTTCTATAATTTCCATTCTCTTTCCCTTAAATTCTGTATTTTTATAACTAAAAACCATTAAATTGTGCATTTTGATTTTTTCTAATAGCAATTAAAATATATATCAAATACTTTTTAAATTTGTCAAGCTAAGAGAAAATCTTTAGCTGTAAAACAGAAGAAACAACGTCTTTTCCAGATTATCAACTCTTTCAATAGCAGCTGTATCATTAGGAAAATGTCTTTTTTAAAAAAAAAGAACTTGAACTTCAGTGCCTTCTTAATTGTGAACACTCATTAAGAGTTCATAAATGACATTATTCTCTAAAGCTCACACTCATTAAGCAAAGCATAGCCGCTGTAGTTATTAAGACACTAGGGAATCACTGCACCAGTAAGGAGGCAGGAAAATTGGAGGCCACGTACGGAAATTAAAAATTCCTGCTAAGAAACTAATCACACAAACAATACAGAAGAAATGAAACCTCTGCTACCAGAAAGAGGAGCTAAAGTTAGTCTAATCTACGCTAATCATGTTATACAACACGTTTTAGCTCCATTTTTTTGAAAGCGGGTCTTCATAGCCTTTCAGAACCTTTCCCATATTCCCTGACACCATTGAAATCTACTCTTTATATTATCTCAATCATGAACTCTGTTGAATAAATGCATGCATGAATAAATAAATAAATGGATGATAAGCCTAGGCTTTGAACAAATGACACTAGGATGACTTCATATTGAACTTCTTGAAGCAGTTTTATGTGTTAACCAGAATCAATAAGGAAGATGGAGATCCATGGAATTGCTTTTCCTATGGTACTGTTCCTTTCATAGGTGCTCTCTCAGTCTCTGATAATCCAGGAAGAACACACTGGATGAGCCTGGATACCCAGCACTTTTAACATCATTTAGATAAGACTAAAGGTGGAGACTAGAAACTCATGGGAGTTATAAAAGCATGCAACTTTTCCCCATAAGCCACAGTAAGAATCTTGGCTCCATCAGTTTTTCATGCTGATTGGAAGGCAATATAAAAGGGACCTCATTAATAATGTAGTTTAAGATAGCTTATTTCTTCTTGTGTGCATTTACAATTTTCTGCCTTTCCTTTTATGCTTAGATATTATAAACAGTAAGCACATTATTAAAGACTGTTAAATTAATAGGCCATGATGCACATCATTAAAAGATGTTAAATTAATAGGGCATGATGATCTTAATAAAAGTATCTAACCACAAATTACAACTACACACAAAATGTGCCCCAAAACTCAGTGCACATTTACTGTAGTCAAAATTCCTTGCTTAGACCAATTCAGTGGGGACAAATTGTGGTGTGACTGTGCTGTGGCATAAGCACTGGCCTGGAGTCAGCATAGCTGGGGCTCCATCACTGAAGAGCTTTCCAGTGGGAAAGAAAGAGCTTGGAGGTCAACTCATGAATTAACTTGTTAGCTATCTGACTTTGGGAAAGTTACCTAACCCCTGTGAATATCAGTTCTCCTATCCAAAAGTTAGGACTCAGTTCAGAAAGTTGTTGAAATATTAAATTAGGTAATGTGGATAAATGGCTTAGCACAGACTGAGATAAGTCAGTAAATGATAGTTTAAAAATCTATGCTTTTCAATCAACTATCTATACTCTAGGTTTATTCTGTTTTATTTATTAAACATCTTTATTTTTGAATCCTCTGTTCCCATAAGAACATAAATTTTATATTATATTTATATAATATATATATATATACTCTCTGTCTCATTGTTCCCCAAGAGCAGACAGCAGGTCTACTTTTGTATTCTTCATAACACTTTAACCAAAAAAAATTTCTTGATAAAAAGCCAATTTGGCACTGAAGAGATGTGTGCAAAATTGTGTAATTCTCAAACATGATGGCATTTTAAACACTTTATTCATATTCTGCACTCATTTATCAATTTATTTCTAGCTGTTGTCTATAGATTGTCTTTCCTTTTACTGGCATATTGACCATTTTTTCTGACTATTTATCAATACTCTTATTCTAGTACTTTCAATTCCTCATTTAAATCTATTTTTAATTTTTAATTCAAAAACTATTTTATCAGAATTCATATAAACTACATGAAATTGGTCATGACATAGTTATAGCAAAACTGCAGTATGGCAAGCAAAGAGTGTGAACTACAGCTGCTGCAGCTAGATATGAAGATGGATAGTAAGAGACAGGAAATAACCATGCAATAAAGGGCCTCTGATAATGGAGGGAGTGATTTCCAAGTAACCTTTAAAACAGACATTGTTCTTTCCCTCCCAAATTGCTACCATAAAAAAATTCAAAAGATCAGCAAATCCAGGAGTCATTTTTTTGAAAAAGCTAATAAGATTGATAGGGTGCTAGCTAGACTAATAAAAAGAAAAGAGAGAAGATCCAAATAAATACAATTAGAAATCACAAAGGGGACATTACCACTGACCCTATAAAAATACAAAGAACCATCAGAGACTACTATGAACACTTCTAGGCTTACAAACTAGAAAACCAAGAAGAAGTGGATAAATTCCTGGACACATAACACCCTCCTAAGACTGAACCAGAACGAAATTGATTCCCTGAACCAAGAATGAGCTCCAAAATTGAATCAGTAACAAACACCAATCAAAAAAAGCCCAGGCCCAGAGAAACTCACAGCCAAGTTCTACCAGATGTACAAGGAAAAGCTGGTAGCATTCCTACTGAAACTATTCCAAAATATTGAGGAGAGTGACTCCTCCTCAACTCATTCTGTGAGGCCAGCATCATCCCGAAACCAAAACCTGGCAGAGACACAACAAATAAAGAAAACTTCAGGGCAATATTCTTGATGAACATTGATGCAAAAATCCTCAAAATATTTGCAGACCAAATCCAGCAGCACATCAAAAAGATAATCCACCATGATCAAGTAGGCTTTGTCCCTGGGATGCAAGGTTGGTTCAACATATGCAAATCAGTAAATGTGATTCATCACGTAAACAGAACTAAAGACAAAAACCACATGATTATCTCAATAGATACAGAAAAGGCTTTCCATAAAATTCAACATCATTTCATGTTAAAAATTCTCAATAAACGAGTTATTGAAGGAACATACCACAAAATAATAGCCATCTATGACAAACCCACAGCAAGCATCATAATGAATTGGAAAAAGCTAGAAACATTTCCCTTGAAAACCAGCACAAGACAAAGATGTCCTTTCTAATCACTCCTATTCAACATAGTATTGGAAGTCGTGGCCAGAGCAATCAGGCAAGAGAAAGAAATAAAGGGCATAGGAAAATGGGAAAAGAGGAAGTCAAATTATCCTGTTGGCAGACAATATGATTCTATTCAGAAAACCCTAGAGTCTCGACCCAAAAGCTCCTTCATCTAAAAAACAACTTCAGCAAAGTGTCAGGATACAAAATCAATGTTCAAAAATCACTAGCATTCCTATACACCAACAGACAAGCCAAGAGCCAAATCAGAAATCAATCCAATTCACAACTGCCACAAACAGAATAAAATACCTAGGAGTACAGCTAACAACAGAGGCAAAAGATCTCAACATTGAGAATTACAAAACACTGATCAAAGAACTCAGAGATGGAGATGACACAAACAAATGAAAAAACATTCCATGCTCATGGATAGGAAGAATCAATATCACTAAAATGGCCATACTGCTCAAAGCCATTTACAGATTCAATGCTATTCTATCAAATTACTGATGACATTCTTCACAGAACTAGAAAAAAATTTTAAAAATTCATATGGAACCAAAAGAAAGTCTGAATAACCAAGGCAATTCTAACCAAAAAGAACAAAGCTGGAGGCATCACATTAATTGACTTCAAATTATATTACAGGGCTATAGTAACCAAAACAACATGGTACTGGTATAAAAACAGACACATAGACAAGTGGAGCAGAATAGAGAGCCCAAATATAAGGCCAAACACCTAGAACCATCTGATTTTTGACAAAGGTGACAAAAACAAGCAATGAGGAAAGGAGTCCCTATTCAATAAATGGTTCTGGGATAACTGGCTAGCCATGTGCAGAAGATTGAAATTGAACCCCTTCCTCAAGGTAGATAAAAGACTTAAATGTAAAACCAAAAACTATAAAAACCCTGGAAGATAACCTAGGCAATACCATTCTGACATAGGAACTAGCAAAGACTTCATGACAAAGACACTAGAAGCAATCCCAACAAAAGCAAGCATTAACAAATGGGATCTAATTCAACTTAAGAGTTTAAGTTTAATTAAGTTAAAAATACTTAAGAAACCATCACAGACAACTTGCAGAATGGGAGAAGATTTTTACAAACTACGCATCTGACAAAGGTCTAAGATTCAGCATCTATAAGGAACTCAAACAAATTGCAGAGAAAAGGGAACACTTACATACTGTTGGTGGGAGTGTAAATTGGTTCAACCATTGTGGAAAGAAATGTGACAATTCTTCAAAGAGCTGAAAACAGAACTACCACTGGACCGAGCAATCTCATTACTGAACTTAAAATGAAAGTTTAAAAAAGACAAACTGCTATCAATTAAACTGCTGATAGTGTTTTTCTGTTATTCACATGAAGCTGCAAAAAAAGCGTAATTTCAAAATTGGTAGAAAATTGTATTGCTGACATTTCCACAATTTGCGAAGTAACAAGTAAGAACATTTGAATTAACTACTATAATAGAATAATAGTTGAAAGATATGTGTTCAGACCATTATTTTAGCAATTGCAGACAGAGTTGGGTACCACCTCGCATTTAGTATGTCAGTGCTGACATAAAGAAGAAAACAATTCAATAAGGTAGGACATAGGCAACAGATATAGTATCCAGTAAGATAAGAAGAAAATTAGGACCAAAGAAGACTCACTGCACCCCAGAAATGTTGGTTCAGTAGAATTGAGGTGGGGCTTGGGCATCTATATTTACAAAGTTTCACAGATAATTCAGGTGTACTACCAAGACCAAGTGTTCCCAAATTCCAACATTATACCTAGTAAATAAATACTGCACTCTACACTTGTGGAGAAAAGAAACTGTGCCATATTTCCCATTGAACACAATCGTGGATCACTAAGCTCTACTAAAATCCCTGACCCGGCTCTTTCTTCATTCTTTCCTTCTTAACTAAATTTCTTGAAAACGTTTTCTACAATTTGCTATGTCCCCACTTCACCTGTCATTTTTGTCTCAAGGGATTGCATTCCAGCTTCTATACTCACAACTCTAAGGAAACTGTTCTCAGTAAGGTTATTGGTGATTCCTCAATTGATAAATGTGATGGATAATTTTAGTTCCCATTTTTCTTGACTTATCCTCTCAGGAACAACGGACATTACTGACCACACCCTCTTTAAAACAGTCACATTTTTTCATCTCTTCTTTTGGTGTCTTTATGGGCTTCTCTTTTTCTTCTCACAGCTTGATATTCCCCGGGGTTCCATTCTCAGTCCTCCTTTCCCCATTCTCAATACTCTCCCTTACTCATGAAGGATAGATAGGCTGACAATACTGAGTAATTCTCTTTAACCTAGACTTTTATTTCCTACAGCTACTTAATTAAGACTTAATGTCCAAGCTGGAATTATTTCCATCATCTTCACCCTCCCACAGCAGGACACCTTCTTTTCCGCATCTATTTACATAATTTGTAACGCTTTTAAAATTTTATTCAGGCTACAGTGAATTGCTAATCTCTGGCTTTGTCATTAACCCCTCAGAGGTCACTATTTGTGTTTGCCTCTATTAAGAAATAATGAAAGGAGAAAAGTCTAGAAGGAAAGGATAGCAAAGTCTTTCAAAAGACCATTCACATGTGGGGGCTAGTTTGAGAGGGCAAGGGAAGCTCTGACACTCAGTTACTTCTAATACATCTAACTTATGAATAGGTAGGAATCAACAAGTAATCTAGGCAAAATAACAATGGAGACAACATGGAGATAAAGGCCAGAACACTATCTGACCACTGGCCTATAGGATCTATTTGTAGTGTATCTGTAATTTGATGTGTCTAATAATGATGTAGAGAAAACCACACATTGTCAGTGGAGGTGATTAGAGGTCCACTTCTTAGGAAGAAGCACACTGAGATTTATAATACATATTTCTACACAACTTGGGAAGTTTGATGTGATAGTTTTTCTGGGTATTTACTATTTCTCCTTCCATATGACACAATAGGTAGGAAATATGTGAATGCTCATAAACAGTAAACATTTACCACTACTGAAGATGCTTGTCAATCAGTATTGGTTCTTACTAAGATGATCAGAAAATGAGCAAGGGCCTGGTGTGGAGAATCCATGTTTCAAGGGAACATTAGGTACTACTTATCGAGTGTTTGTTTGGTGCTGGCACTATACATGAATTTGGAGAACTATTATTATTTCATATTTACATTAAAGTTAATGTAATGGAGCTTCAGCAAGGTTAAATAACCTGTCCAACTTCAGGCAACCAGTAATGATTCTACGTCTGTTTTATTTCAAAGCCCTTATTCTTTCCTGTATGAAGGGACATGCTGCCTTTTCCATGATGCCAGCACTGGGATGGCATCGTGATGGGCTGGGCCATCATTTGGTACCCATGAATCAATCTTACACTTTATGAGACACACATAAACATTCATGAATTTCTGTTTTCTTGTAAGTAAACATATATTCCTGCATTTCTGAATGAGGACTTACTATTTCCCATAGCTTTCCTCTCTACCAGACTTTCTGAGGAAGATTTCTATTAACCAGAGTCCTTGAGTTCCATAATGTGATTGCTTCATCTCTTATTAGTGTCTATATTTTCTAACATTCCTTCTTCACAAAGAAGGTAGCCATGTAAATTGCTACTGTATGAACCAAAAAGCAGAACCAGGACATATATATTAAGAGATTTATTGCATGTGATTTGTTTATACAATTGCAGGGCCAGCTAAACCGTCTGAACTTCGTAAGGCAGGCCATCAAGAAGGGCAGGTTAGGACCCATGGGCATGGGCACAAATGGAATTTCTTCTTTCAGGGAAGTCTCAGCCAAACTGTACAGCCCTCCAACTGATTGAATCAGGCTTGGCCACATTAAAGTCAACTGGTTATGAACTTTAATCGCATCTACAGAAAACCTCTACAGAAACTGCTAGATTAGTATTTGAATATGGATGAAATGTACAGTGCCAAGTTGACACACCAGAAAGACTATCATAGTTATGATTACTACTTTTAATGTAAATAAATTACCTTTACTGTAGTATTTTCCATATTTTAATTTATTTAGCATCTGATAGTTAAAACCCTAAGAAAATTGAATAAGGGCTTATTTATAAAAGAAAAAGCTGAAGCTCAGATACCTTAAATTTATCTAGAATCACACATAAGAAAACAGTGAAGTTGAACTGGAAGCCAGACCTTTGGTGTCGTGACCTAGTCTTGTCAGCACACCTTGGTGAAGGTCACTGCTCCACGTATCCACCAAATGCACAGGATAATATTCATAAAGGGATGATATTAGAACTTAAGTTTGCATGTCAAGAAAGTTTAGTTTCAGACAACTCTTACGAGTTATATTAAACACAGTATATTAAGTACTTGGTTATTGATTTCCTCATTGATACTTGTTAGGAATGAAGAACACAATTAAAATAAAATGCAAACACAACTCTTTTAAATATGCTGTTTTGTCATCATTTAAAAATGTTACTCCTTAAAACCTATCTATAGTGGAATTTTATTTTTAAAAAATCTTGGTTACCCAGATATTAAAAACAAGGCATAGAGAAGTTTAAGACTGCAAAGACCTTCAGAGACCCTTAGAGTTTCCGTTCATTCTGAGACATGTTCCTATATAAGATATAACAGATAACTGAGGTTAGCACATGTCTATAATGTAAGGCTATAGACAATTTTTAAAAATTGAGAATATATATTTTCATTTAATGGCTATGATTGCACTTTAAGACTTAGACAGCTGGGCGTGGTGGCTCACGCCTCTAATCCCAGCACTTTGGGAGGCCGAGGCGGGCAGATCACGAGGTCAGGAGATCGAGACCATCCTGGCTAACATGGTGAAACCCCATCTCTACTAAAAATACAAAAAAAAAAAAAAATTAGCCAGGTGTGGTGGCGGGCACCTGTAGTCCCAGCTACTTGGGAGGCTGAGGCAGGAGAATGGCATGAACCCAGGAGGCAGGGCTTGCAGTGAGCCAAGATCTATATATACTTAGACTAATGTGTGATTAATTTTAAAATTTCAAATTAAACAAATAGATGATTGTCCTATGATAAATGGAATAATAATAGCTAGCATTCATTGAACACTTAGCACGCCTGCCATTTTGCTAGAATATATAAAATATGAATAGGTGGAAGCTATAATTACCAGGGAGGTTAAGGATACACAGGTGCTAAGTGGCAGAGCAAAAGTTGAACCAATAGTTTGTAGTCCTGGAAGCTAACTACCCCTCTGATTAATACAGCCCTACACACAGTTATTCCTCAGCATCTCAAGCTTTGCAAAAATTTTGTTTTGCTCACAATAAAATATGGTTTATTTTTCTATTAGTAGCAGCCTATTCAGATGTCGTTATCTCCTACTGATAATATTCTACTAATTCTAGGCTAGTAAGAGACCTATACGCTGATAACTTTTACCACAAGTCTTTTATGGACTGAAAAGGGCAACAGGACTCACATTAACTAACAATATACCTTCATCATTTCCTCATGTATTCATTCATTCTCAATAAATATTTATTGAGAGGATGGGCTACCCATTCAGCTAGGCAATAGGGATATGAAGATGAAAAAGAAAGGATTTTAGCTGTCAAAGAGCTTGCTGCCTATTAGGGATGGGGCAATGAACAGTTACATAAAATGATGAGGCAAGTGTAATAATAAAGAGGCACAGTGGTGCTAAGAAGTCATGGAGATCCTTGATGGATAGGCCAGAATTAGCAGAGGAAAGAAGGAATGCCTTCAAAACACATAGAACACTATGTATGGTGACACTGAGGTAAAGCAGAGCCTGGGATGTTTCCAGAAAACTGAGATGTTCTCTGTGGGTGAACCAGCAAAATCAGGGAAGGAGGTGGTGTCTTTGGAATAGGAAGAGGTTGAGTTAAGACTTGATTGGGTTATAGCCAAATTTATTGCAGCACTGAATTCTGTTCAGCAAGAGTGATCTCCAACTTTATAAAACTTCAGTTTAAAGATGCAATGTCTAATTCATTAAATTAAAAATTAGATTTTAAGGTAAAACACTACCAACAATGAAATGGACCAGTAAATCTGCCTGGTGGCCCAGTTACCTTTCTAGAAATCTAATAAGCTACAAAACTCACTCAAAGTTCTCACATTTATTGATAACATCCAGACTCCTCAGCAGATTTACTCTTTGTCATTTTCCTGGTATACTACCCCAAACTCTACTTGCACTTGTAATTTGTAGCTGGCAATGAAACTAGTCTAAATGCAGCTGTTAGAAAGAATGACAATGGACACATATTAGGATAAAGTGATATGTTTGCAAGATGTGTGGTGATAATGGGATTGAATTACACTACTATTAGTAGCTTTCAACTCATTCCCTTCTACCTAGCCATAAATTGTTGAATTTTCAACAATTTTGTGATTATATTTTACAGTGCAGATATTCAAAACTTGAAAAAAATACAATTTTAAAAGAAAGTAACATTAAGGCAGTAAACCAGCTATTGAGACAACGTGGAAATTCAACCATGTCTCTTCATGATAAGATCACTGCTGGAATTATAACATGCAATGCTGTCTTAACTTTTAAAAATAAAAAGAAGAGTGAATTTTCATTTTAGAAATCAGCCCAAGAATGACATTGTCCATATTGCCCTTATCTCTTTCTCTCCGTGGGTAATATTTATTTAAGGTTCCAACTACTGCCATCCGTGAAAAGTGCAGTCCTTTATCCAGTGAGTGAACCTCATAATTCTGAGCTTCTGCTGATTACAAAGAAAGCAAAAATCCTCTCAGTTTCTTAGCACAACCCATGCCATTTTGGAAACAGAATTTAGTGTGTCAGAAAATCTGCTTTACAATCTCAAGCTCATCAGTGACCATTGCCAGTGAGTGCCTGGGTAAACGGGGAGCCAGCAGTCCTCAATGCCCTGAGAAAAATTAGCACCTTTGTGATATTTTAAATGTTCAGGCCTTTATTTTGATTATAGTGAACTCTCTGCTCTAGCATGGTCCACGAATCTGGCATTTCAGTGCATGGCCCCATTGAAAGAAAGAGAAGGTAATGGTGTCAAAGCTGTCAGTCCTTATGAGATTCAGGGAGGGTCTGCATGAGATGAGTGTTTTTGTGGGCGTGCTTGCTTCCACTTCGTTGGGCCATCAGATATCTAAACAGCAGCAAGAACACTTCCCAAACTGCTTCAACCATATTTTAAATGCCACCCCCTCAGACTTCCTTCATTCTTCCACTTTGCAGTCTTTCCTCAGAAAAAGGATGCAGAATGAAGTTGTTGCCAGTTGCCATTTACTGAGCCTTAAGACAATTGCAAATGGTAGTAAGAATGGCAGGAGAACTGCCCAGCGATGATTAATAATGTCTTCCTCACTTTTCCAATCCAGGGTGTGTGTCGGAAGTTTTCTCTGTGTGTTAGTAAAACTGTAATAAAGGGTATTACTTTTTCACATTGCCTTAGGTCAAGGATACCAAGTCAAACGTCAGATACAAGTGCAAGGGATGCCCCACTCAGCTTGTGGTTAGCTACACCAGACATAAAACTTACATCCAAGCAATATTTTGAATTACCAAAGGAAAATATTTCAAATATCTAATACATTAACTTTTAGACCACCTAACATTCTGATGAAAAAAGTTACACAAAGACATTTTTTTTTTGAAAAAGAAAGAAATCCTGTGAGTCTGAGCTAAGCATGCAATAAATTAAAATAAATTAACTTATAAGATCGTTCTTCTTTGAGCTAAACAGACACCAACATACTAAGGGTCCCTTCCTTCTCAACTCTGATACCGGCCTGCCTTATTGAACTCTCTTCACTTAGAACGTCCACTCTATCTGTCTCAACCGATTCTCCACTCATCAGACTTTCTCAATCTCCTTTGCCGACTCATTTTATTTTGCCTCTAAAATGTTGGTGTCCCTAGGACTCTGTCCTCAGCGTTCTCTCTTTTTGTTTTGGTGGTCTTGATTGATTTAATTCTCTCTCACAGTTTTGACTATACACCAGCAATTTCCCACATTTTCTTTTATCTCTAACCCTGATCTTATTCCTAAACTGACACTCTCATTTATACTGCCTGTATTCAACTAAGAAGCCTACAACTATTTTCTAATTAATATGTACTTGTTGTCATCACTCAGCCCCGCCCCATTCCTGTTTCAAAAATCAGTTTATGCACTGTCAATCTTCTGCTCACTCAAGCTAAAACACTTTCCTGCAGGGTTCATATCTGATCTGTTGTTCAACCTCTCAAGTTGACCTCCAGAAAAGCTCTCAAATCCATTCCCTCTTCTCTTTTCCCAGGATCATTGTCCGGTTTAGATTTTAGTCTCTTCTCCCTGAAAGAAAACTACAGCCTCTTACCTGATCTTGGCTCCCAACACTTCTCCCTTCACCCCGTCCTCAGCACTGCTGCCAGAATCATCTACATGACACAAAGTTGTGTTGCATTCAGTTGTGTTCTTTGCTCCACAGTCTTATAGAATAAAGTCCAAACTTCTTGGCATAAAATAAAAAGCCGCATAAAGCTGACCCCAGATACATATAATTTAAGCTCTATTACTGACCTTCAAGTACAGGGGATTACACAAACATGTCGGGCACACAATAACATCTACTGAAGGAACAAATAAATGGGTGTTTTTTTAACAGGATTTAGCATATTAGTGCTATAAAAATGTTCTTTTCCACTCATTGTGGTGAAAACAAATAAAAATAATCAAACACATCTATCTTGAAATTACATATACAGAGACCACGTAGCTTTCTAAAGCCTCTCGAGAATGGATCTTAAGAACATTTACCTCACAGTTGACCCATGGATTCTCACTGCCACAGTCACCAATCTTTCTCCCTTGGGCTTTTGTCCTCATTGTGATGCTGTGAGGACAGAAAGCAAGCAGGAGGCACCAGAATTTAGCATACATCATGAAAAGGACTCAACCCTGGGGCAGTTATGACCATGCCTCTCTCTGGCCCCTGAGAGGGGCAGGGCTCTGTTGTTCCTGACAGTCAGGGACTATGCAGTTCCTGTTGAATCAACAGAAATAGTAATTAATGTATAATGTGGTAAATTCAATGACAGAGTTATGTACAGGAATGCATTTGTTGGCTGGATGGGAGGTGCTGCTGCCACTAAGTCCACAGCCTAGTGAATGCTGGCCTACACCTGGACTGAGCCCCTCCCTGGACCATTGCTGTTGCTGCCCAAACAAGGTCTGTTCCTGGCTTGCTGTGATGGAAGACACCACTATGTGACCCTTTGTGCTGCAGCAGAGGCTACATCAGAAAGTGATGGCCCAAGACCCAGGTTCCCCACCTTGGATCTCTGTTCACATCTGAGCAGAGAAGAAATCCCATGCAGAATGAAAAGGAAAGGAATAGATTTCTGCTTATCCAGAAAGATAACTTAGAGTACATTTATTCCATTCACCATATTAGTGCCATAATGAGTGCAATCTGTCCTGGATTGGAAAGTTTGTAAACGAAGATTTGAGATATGAACTCAGAAAATTCAGCTCTGAGCAGATGCTCAAAACCAAGATGCAATGCTCCCTCTCTATTAAAAATCACAACAAAAGGGCTATTCATAACCAAGATCTGCACAGGCCCCAAACCCCACGGAGCAGAAAGCAGAAGTAGTTCAACTAATGGTGAATGAGGAAAGCCTTCATGGGATGCAGACCTTCAAGCTGAATGATTGTGAAAAATGAGTAGATACTTACCTAGTGGATGAGTGGCATGGTGGGTGTTGGGGTAGGAAGATGCCTGGGGGCGAGACATCCTGGAAAGAGGGAAATACTGGGGTGAAACAGACATAGAAAGAGCCTAGAGTCTGCTAAGAGCATCCCGAGGGAGATGAGAGGTGACAAGAGATGAGTCCAGTGAGGAAAACAGGAGGAACCCATCAGAGAGGGCCATGAATGCCACTGTGGGAAGGGCTGGCTTTACCCTGAGTGCACAGGAAGCCAGTACAGAGCTTGAAACAGGAGGGCAGCACCTACCGACTTGTGTATCTGCTGAAGACATGTCAACATGTGTTTCTCTGTCAGCCCTTCACTTGGCGTGTCTACTAACAGGTCTGTTTGCTGATTGTGTCTGCAAGGTAGACGGTAGATCCAGGGGGCCAGTGTTGAGGCAGTGAGACTAATTAAGAGAGTACTGTTGTAATGCAGGAGCTTGACTTACAGGGATGGAGAGGAGGGGACCATTTTAAGAAGGATTAAGAAGCTGGATCCTAGGTTCCAGCTAGGGAAAGGGGGCAGCCAACAGGAGGCTGGTAGAGGAGCTTGAAGAAGCTGCAAATGCGGAATGAAAGCCTCCCGCAACATCCAGGTTGAAGAAGCTAATTTATTGACTCGGCAAGGGCTTATTGTCCCTGACAACCTCCATAGGATAAGGCGGCCTTCAGAATCAAAATCAACCTATGAGAAGATTACCCATTCAAATCATAAAAGACCAGATTTAAAACAAAGATCTATCACCCGAACATCGACTAGAAGTGGAGGTCCGTCTGCTTGGAAATTAGTACTGAGAAGAGAAAGCCAGCAACCAGGGATGACCACACACTCCAGTCCAGCATTGGTTACCCAGCCTGAGCATCTGCTCAGCCTGACACTCCTGGCTCACCTAGCCGAATAATACTTTATGAAATGCTGAAGAGTTTACAAGGAAACATGGGGAAAGCGACCTGTGGACAAAAGTCTGCCAGGGTGCATTCCACCACGTGTGAGCAGAGCCTCCGCAGTGTGCTCCAACACTCTGCAAAGCAGGACTGTGGAGAAAGGACACATCCATCCCCTGCCTTTTGCTTGTGGTAGTGACTAACTTTCTACAGTTTTCTCAATCAACAGTGGTCCAAGTAAACTGTAATTAAAGGATTAAAAATGAAAGATGCTCCAGTTCTGCTTTCTTTGTTTTAAAAATCACTGCTGCAATCTGCTTCAAAACAACAGTGCTTCTTTTCTTGCCCAAATTTATTCAAAATCTTCAAGTTGTGTTTAGCCGAGAAGGCTCTGCAAAGGAGAAGAGACGGCTCTGGTGTCTCTGGTGGGTTTTCTTCTCCCGTACTGCACTGCTCAGTGTGGGAGTTAATTCAAATTCTCCTGACTCCAGATTATAACATCCTTTTGAAAAATTTGAAAACAAGCAAACAACAACAGCCCTCCTATCCTGACTCCCTTCTCCAAAAACAACAACAAAAAGCCATGAAAAGGCAAGGCCTAGCTCTGGAGTAAAATTCCTGCTAATATTACCCCAGTAATATCGATGAAATGGGCAAACCCTGATGTCAGTGCATGATTGAACTCTAGCACGGCCGGCCCCTGCAAATGTAGGTCTGCGGTGACCCCGAAGGGAGGGCCTGCCAACCAGGGCCACTGTGCATGCTGGGTGTGATGAATCTCTCACCAGAAAGGCTCCTGAGGCCAAAGGCTGGCACTCTTCCCTGAATCCATTTTGGAAGACTTGCTGGTCATTGCAGGCAAAGCTAAGCCAGACTATCCCTTTGAAATTCCAAGCTCATCTGTCACCAGGCTCCATCCCAGTGTGCCACTGAGCTCACTCTTCAACTCCTCAGGGTGGCAACCCCACCACAGCTCTCCCTGAGCACAATTTGACCTTTTGCATGATTGAAATTGGTGGAAGTAAGATATTAGCCGGCACCAGTCTGGGATTGCCAGTCCCTTGCTGTCCCCTTTATTCTTTCCTTCAATGCAGCCCAGGAGCAAGATGGCCTTCCCTCTCCCTTTGGACTCACCGCTTTTGCAGACTCAAGCTCCACTTAAAGCTTACTCAGTATTATCCTTTAAACGTGTTTTATATTGTTTTGCCTGCTTTTTTGTGTGAAATAAAAATTAACCTTAGAATTAAAAAATAAAGAAAGCAAAGACATGTGTGAGAGGGAATAAAAGAGGAGGCTAGAAAACGATAACCAACAGTGAAAGGCAGACTATGTGTAGGAATGGAAAGTATCTTCCTAGAAGTGACGATAGGGAGATGGGAGAATCTCGACAAGGCCTCAGGGCCCATGATATGTTTGAGTGCAGAGAAACAGCAGAGAGGTATTCACAGGGGAGAGAAGCTCAGCTGCATTATGGGCTGCATTGGGTTTTGTGGGCTGGTGAGCTACTGTGGCCACCTAACCACCATTCACAGCATAGATTCATTCGGTAAACACACTCTGAGGTTCAAATAAATTAGATTTTCAATTGAATGGAGTCTAACCTGTTCACAGTTAGGAATTTTCTATCCAATATAGGACTTTATCACACCTGACATTTAATTGTATCTCAAAGCATACGATGATTTCTTTGATTAGTGAACCCCTTGTCTTGTGTTCTGCCAAGTCATAAAGAGAAGGGGAAATTATTTTTAAGTCTTGGTTATTGGTATCGATTTCTAGATGACCTTTTGTAAAGGTTTCCTATCAATTTCATCCTTTTTTAGTTTAATTGGTTATCACATCAACAGACTTTTACCAAATGGTACTATGGGCCTGCCTCTGTGCTAGCTGGTGGGGATTTAAAGATGAGCAAGACCCAGGCCCAGCCCTCAAGCATCTCATAGGTCTAGTCAGGATAACACAAATAAATAGATAGTTAATGTATGACATGGTAAGTCCAATGATAGAGTTATGCACAGGAACATCTATGTCCATATGAGAGGGATACATAATCCAGCTCGAGGCTTCTCGGAGGAAGTGCCACCTGAGAAGTGCCCTCCAGGATGAATGCAAGATGGCTAGACAAATGGAGGATGAAGAGGGTGGGGTGTGCAGGTCAGAGGTGGTGAGGGATACACCAGGAATTACAAGTTATTACTGTTGCTGGAGCATTAAGTATGAGATGAGGAATGATGCAAAGGATACTTTGAACACTTACTAACCTCCTCCAGGTTAGAGGAAATTAAAACTCAAGAATCTGACTATCTAGATCGGGGAGGATTTAGAATTACATGTGACAAAGGCAATCAATAAACATGAAATGACAATGAAATGATGATTATAAATATGAGAAGCATGAGATGTTGAGTTTTTAAATAACTACTTGGCTATCTTATCTTATAGTCACTGGCAGTTCAGGAAGGTGAGGCTGTTTATACTTTTTTGGGATGCCAGTTACTTCCCGGTCAGGGTGCCCTCTCCTACCTCTTTTCAGATCCCTGAAGAATGACTCCATTCTGATCACTTCTCAATTTTGTCTCTCCACTTTCTGTTCCCTAAGACACTGAGAAAATGCATGCCCCATCCCCAGGTCCCACGTGGGACCTACTGCTCATCATTATTCAATTGACTTCATGAGTCCTTGGATTTGGTTTCTAGCTTTAAAGAAAGACTGAAAGTAATACAGGAAATGATTTTCTGGGTACAACTCAGGACTGCCATTTAAATAGAAATCTAGGGCCTTTTTTTCAATTAGCCCTGAAGCTTCCGTCTCCTAGGGCCATTTTGAAAATGTCTTGGTCGGGCTTTTTCTCTCCTGTTAGGACTCTTGGAAATCATTTTTCTTCTCTATTCCTTTTTTTTTTTTTTTTTAATCCAAACATTGCTTCCTTCCTAACTAGCCAAGTTAGTTACTTCATTACTTTCCCCCTGACCTTATCCTGAAAATACTGTAACATGGCAAGCTATGGAGTGATTTTCCCCCCAGCTTTATTAAAGTATGATTGACAGACAAAAATTGTATATATTTAGGATATAAAATATGATGTTCTGATATATGTATGCATTCTTAAATGATTACCACATTGCACTAATTAACATAGCCTCACACAGCTATCATTTTTTTGTGTGTGGTGAGAACATGTGAGATCTACTCAGATGATCTCAGGTGTATGTGGCAGCTAAAAGAAGTCAAATTCATAGTAATGGAAAGTAGCACAATGCTTATTAGGGTCTGGGAGATGGGGAAAGGGGGAAATATTGGTCAAAGAATACAAACCTTCAGTTATAAGATGAAGAAGTACTGAATTCCTAATGTAAAGCATAGTGGCTATGCAGTGACTGAATTCCAATTTAAATTTTTGAGAAAAGAGATGCTATATAAAAACAAAGTGTTCCTTTAAAAACATCTTTGATTCAAAATAAAATCAAGCTAAATTCCAAAATGTTCTGGGGAAACGCTGGGATTTTTCTCATTTTTTCCTATTCTTTTACCTTTCTCACTTGTTTCCTTATTGTCTACAATTTCTCTGGGAAAGGCGGGGAGCAGAAATATCCTGACCAACCTTGCAACTATTGGAGCTTGTAAAATAACATATCTAAGGTTTATTTACTTCTGGACATTTACTCTGGGACCCTGAGGGCTGGGACATTCCTCATCTCTTCTCCTAACAGCCGTGATCCTCAGGATCACAGAGGCCATAGATACCTTTTTTCTCCTCTCTGACCTTTGAAAGGTTCCTGTTGGGCACATCCAGTGTTTCTGGAACCTTCTTAGTCCCTATATGACACCCCTCTGCCCTCAGAAACCAAAACTGATCTTTTATTTTCAAGACTGAGGACAACCTGGGATGAATCCAGATCTGGCAAGAAGCTGCTAACAGTTCTAGCAAGAGCTGGGCAGTCTTAGCCATGACAATACAAACCCAGTGGAGGGAACAGGGCCTTTGGAACTCAGATCTGGGTTCAAATTCAGGCTTCACCATGTAGAAGCCATGTGATTTGGGGCAACTTGATTTGCTCACGTCAGTTCCTTCACCTGCCGAATTTGGATAATAGCTCCATTCTTGCTGGGTTGCTTAGGGGGCCAAATGAGATAATGTAGGTAGAGTACCTGTCAGAGAACCTAGGATATAAGAGGTGCTTAATAAACTACAGTTCTAATAATAGTGATAATAATAACACAATTGATCTATAAAGATTTAAGGCATTTCCCACTGAAACACTCATGTCCAGGAATGAATCCTCAAAGTCCTCAGGTTTGGTGAACAAGGAGCCTGAGTGACATATCGAGTGCAACCCTGCATTTTATGGCCTCATGAGGCTAGCACCTGCAGGCGACACTAGACACACAGTGAGAAGCAGAAACAGTGGATTGGAAGATAAAGGAGTGGAGGCCCTGCCTACTCCCCAGGTGAATGCCATAAAGCTTTATGCTGAGAGCTCTACAGGGCAGGGTGCTGTGTCTTACAAGAACCTCCTTGCGAGAACCTCCTTGGTGTCCAGCAAAATGTCATACCCAGCACACTACCTTGAAAGTTCTATGAGTATTTGGTGACCAATGCAATTTTTATTACTGTCTGTAACTCAGAATTGTGTGGGAAGTTTTAGAAAAATACGGGTCAGCAACCCCCTAACCCTGACTCCATCCCTGATCATCTGGTTTATTTGGTTTAGTGTATGGCTCAGGAAATAAATATTTTTTAAAACCTTTCCAGATGATTTTAAAGGACTATCAGGTTAAGAAGCACAAAGGAAAAAGTATTACTTTATTTATATTGATAATAAAGATTATTAATAATGATAATGATGATACCACAAACAGTAACACTTATCTTCATGCTGCAGACTCTGGTAAGTGCATGATTGCATGACTTAGTGTTGGTAGAGTCAGGACAGGAAGCTGGATGTGAAGGACTTCAAAACTTATACCTTCAGTTCTTCTGTGAATTATATATTTTATGGGGCCATCCACAGAGTTACTGCACAATGCATGACTTTACTTTCTTCCAAGGTAACAGACAATCATTTTGGCAGTGGCCATTGGAGTCTGTGACCTTGGCTTTGTATAGTGGCATAATAGTCTAATGGTTAAAAGCATGCATAGATTCTGGACCTGTGTCACCTTGGTTTAAATACTGGAGCAACTACTAACTAGCTGGATACCCGGCTCTACTAGTTACCAGTTGATTAACTATGTCTCAGTTTCCTCATCAGTAACATGGTAATAATAATAATAATAATAACTCCTATCAGTTACATGTTTGTGCCCCTCCAAAATGCATATGTTGAAACCCTAATCTCCAATGTGATGGTTTTTGGAGATGAGGATTTGGGAAGTTATTAGGTCATGAGTGGGGAGAACTTCTGATGGGATTAGTGCCCTTTTAAGAACAGACGGAAGTGAGCTTGCCTTTTCTGGGAATAAATACCTCTATTCACATAAAAATAATTATGTTATATATGTATTGATTTTAGCTCACAGATATTAGTTTGTTTGCCAGGTTCAAGGCTGGCTCTGGAAATTACATGCTTTTTAAATATTGTTCTAATCCCCTCACTGTTTTAGGCAGTCCTGCTTTTCTTCTCTGGGTCCCAGAATGTCAATCCTCTTATCCCCAGCTTCTGGCCTGTGCCCACAGGGTTCTTGCCTTGTTGATTACATCTTGACGGAATCATGACTAGAACTTCTATTTTACTGCTGAGTTACTCCATTCCATTTTCCTTCTCTGTGGTACTTTTTGGGTCCTGAAATACACACCTCACAGCAGCCTTCTCCACAAAATGAAGCAAGCATCCTCATCTCCTAGCAATACTATTTCTATCACCCAAGGAAGCTCCATATATGCACATATAAAAGGAATGGCCATAAGCAACCATCCTGTGAGGGAATAGTTTCCCGGACTCTGAGGCAGGGAGGAGAGAACATGCCTTCGGAGAGCCACGAAGTCAAAGAAAATAAAGCCTGCATTGCTCTTTCCCTCATTGCCTGAGCCCTGGCTCACACAGGGAAAGCCTACAGTACTCATTCATCCAATTCACCAGTTTCACATTTTTTTTTACTGCCAGTGCAAAATAGATGTACTGTTGTCACTGTCTTTGGCAAAGGGCTCCAAAAAACATGCGTTTGTGTGTGTGTGCATGCGTACATTTGCGGGTGTGTGAATTATGTAAATCTGAGCCCATCCTTGCCCTCATTCCTGCAAGGAGCCTGCACTCCCACCTGGCTCAGCTCCATGTGTGTTTCCACACATGATTGATACGCTAACATTTCACCAGCTGTTTCCTCCCCATCTCTCTGCAGGAACATTTCCTGCCCTGACTTTTTCCTCTGCCCAGGAGATCTGTAAGAGTTTCCTCTGATTGCTCCTGTATCTTCCTATGTTTCCCTCAATCAAAGCTGACTATACATTTGTAGTCAAACCGCATATCTTTCCACCCTGAAGTCACAGCATTCTTCCTTGCCTTTCATTTCCCCTGTCTTGGTGTCACAAGCCACTTTATTTCTTTCTGCTGACAATTTAAAGGGGCCACAGGAATTTTACATTAAAGCAAGAGACAGGGACAAGCCAACAGATGTTAAAAATAATAGTAAGTTACTCAAAAAAGCTGTATATGAGGCAGGGCACAATGACTTTTAAATTACTATAGAGGCCGGGTATGGTAGCTCACGCCTGTAATCCCAGCACTTTGGGAGGCAGAGGCGGGAGGATCACGAGGTCAGGACATCGAGACCACCCTGGCCAACATGGTGAAACCCTGTCTCTATTAAAAATACAAAAATTAGGTGGGTATGGTGGCACGTGCCTGTAGTCCCAGCTACTCAGGAGGCTGAGGCAAGAGAATCGCTTGAACCTAGGAGGTGGAGGTTACAGTGAGCCCAGATTGTGCCACCACACTCCAGCCTGGTGAAAGAGCGAGACTCCATTCTCAAAACAACAAAACAAACAAATGAAAAAAAAAAACTACAAAAAATCACCATAGAAACAAAAAGATACTAACTGTCTAACATGTGCACGGGTCTACAATTCTTTAACAGCAAACAAAACATGGCAATAGTCAACGCTTCCACAATAACAGTTTCAAAAATGTGAGGGCTCAACTCTTCTAAATTCTATCTGAATAAGATGAACAATGTGCTATCTTGTCACTTCCCTCTGTGCTTTTATATATCTATTTTTTAGTCACTACATTCCCTTGAAATATATGCCATGGTCATAAAACTTAAGCCTTCTTACTTTGTCTTAGAATTGAGCAGCAGAATGCTCCAAATTCATCCTAGTACAACCCTCATCTGAAATCCCTAGCTATTAACTATATTAACTAGAATGATGATAGTAATTACTGACATCTGGGGGACTTGATATGTGCCATGTATTTTTTCAAATTTCCTTATTTTGTTTCACTTTATTCTTATTATGAATCTCATGAAAATTGTGTTATTTCACAGAAGTGGAGGCTGCATGAGTTTGAGTAACTTGCCCAAGTTCAAGAAGAGAGCTGTAATCTGACCCCATCCTGCCACAGTACTTGTTCTTAACCACTACTCTCCACTGTGCTTCATATTAGTTAGATAACATGTTTGTTCATATTCCTTAGCAAGAATTTTTATTTTATATCAACATGAGTTTCCAAGGGCCCCTAGGCTGCATCACACCTGGGAGCCCATCATAAACATGTGCCTTTGGAGCTATTAAACTTTAGTATTCTCCAGAATCACTTGTAGGATCTTGTTACAGTACAGATATGTGTAGTCTACCAGCAGAGGTTCAGTCAGTTGAGGGTGGATTCTGGGATCCTAATTGGTACAAGCTTTCTTTAGGGATGATGAAACATTCTAAAATTAGCTTATGTGATGGCTGTAAAACTCCGTAGATATACTAAAAATCACTGAATCATACTCTTTAATTGGGTGAACTATATGGCATGTAAACTATATTTTAATGAAGCTGTTGAAAAAAAGTCTGGAACAGAAATGACCATGGAGGCACAGCCTTCTAGCCAAGTCTCACAGAAGGGCCCACGAAGAGCAGGGCTGGGATGGAAGTGTCGTGGCTTTCTCATTCATTCATAATATTAAAGTCATTTATAGCAAAGATAGAGATAGTAATAATTAATATCATGAAGACTTAACATGTGTCAGGTATGTTTCCAAATAATTTTCTTATTTTGTTTCACTTTATTCTCATCACGAACATCATGAAAACTGTGTTATTTCACAGAGGAGAGCTGAGGTTCTATGAGTGGAACACATTGTCTTTATTCTTTTTTTATCCCTTCTGTTCTTTGTTTCTTTGTTTTTACTTTCCAGTTTGTAGTTTTGGGAGGGAGGAGGGGATATAAATGAGTAGGCTTTAGTATCTCTCTACTGGCTTTTTAGCTATGACTTTTAAAATTATTTTATAGTCATTGCTCTGAGAATTACAATATGTATGCTTAACTTATCATGATCTACCTTAAATTAATATTTCATATATCTCTCACATACTGTAAGAAATTTTAATTGACTTTTTAAAAATTTAGAAGAAAAAATAACCTTTTATATTTACCCTTTCATTTGCCATTATTGGGGTTCTTTATTCCTTATTAGATCTGGATTTCCATCTGGCACTTCATCTCTTTAGCTTACAAAACTCTTTTTAGCATTTTTGATGATTTTGATCTGTTGGCAACAATTTCTCTCATCTTTTGTTTATCTGAAAATGTTTTTATTTAACCTTAATTTTTGAAACATATTTTTAGAGTATACAACATTTTAGATTGATGATATTGTTTAGTTTTTGTGTTTTAGCACTTAAAAGGTTTTGTTCTATCTTCATGCTGTCATTGTTTCTTAAATTTATTATTATTCCTCTCTAAGAACTGGTCTTTTTTTCTGGCTATAAGACCATGTGGTCTTTGTACGTTTGCCAATCCAGCTCCCATTCTCTGCTTATTCAGTAAAATTCTATGAGAGGGAATTAGTAGGCTCCTTCAGATTCAAAAGTGACCTGCCAGCACACAGATTTGTCCAGCGTTTGCAGGTTTCTTTTGGACACAACAAAGACTGCCCTTCTCTAGCAGCTGGCTTCCCTGTGCTCCCTGTCTTAGGAACTGGTCTCACCTCCAAGAGTTTGTCCCTCTGGTGCTTAGTTCACATAAGATTTCTTTGTGCCCACTGTGCTTCAACATCTTTAAGGAAAAGTATATATTTTTTGTTTCTATGTCTGCTTGGTGATTTCTGGGGTTTGATCACATGAATGAAGATCTTTTACACCTTTCTGTATCCTAATTGAAAGTGGGATTCCACTACATTTCCAAGGAGCTTAAAATCTGACTGAAGACCACAACAACATTAGGTTGGAAATGCCAGGTGACAAGTAAGTCATGAGGACAACAAGTCTCTCAAGAGTTCAGAGAAGGAAGTAAGGTTGCTCGATACAAAACAGTGACACAGGTAGGAAAATTTCAGATATAAAAATAATCCATATTTAGTAGAAGTATATCCTAAATATTGCACAAAATAGACATATTAAAATTATTTCTTACCTCTCTGAAATTCAAATTGAAACTGAGCATTTTGTATATTTATTTGCTAACTGTATCCCTGGGAAAGAGTGACCATTAGTAGTGTAGGGAAAGGACTCAGGAAGAAAGTAAAAATTGAGGTAGGCTATTAAGGAAAGACTGAGATGTTCAAAAATTGCCACATAATGTATATGCAGACAAGTACCAGGAGAAACGATCAGAGAAATGTGTCAAGTTCAAAATCCCTAAGGGTTCTGAATGCCAATCTAAGAAGAATGGATTTCATTCTGCTGGCAAAGATGAATAAGAAAGATTCTTTATAAGCTCCCATTTTTGACCCCTTTAAAGGTAACAGTAGCAATAAGAATCAATTTTATGGTATAGGTCTTCCATAGAGAAGTCCTTTTCAGATTTTATAGGGCTTTTTGCTTCAATAAGGCCCCATTTTCCTTTTTATGTTTTTCCTCAGGTTTTTACAGTCTTCCTTTGTTCAAGTATAAGAAATGATGATGGCTCTACCTTCAGGAAAGTGAAACGAATAAGATTTTTCTATTGCTGCCAAATAAATGAAAATGATAAATGATCGTGTAAAAATTGACAAATCTCAAGCAATAGACTTTTAACCATGTTTATTTGAAGCAACTTGCTGTACTTCAGTGCACAATTACAAATCATCCTTTCAAGTTCTTCAGAAGCTAAGACCTGCAAAGAGCTAATTAGCTGCTCTGACAGCAGGAAGATGTGGCAACAGAAGGCACAGTTTCTGAATGACTGCAAGGTATTTAATTTGAATAAAAGGAGAATTAAACAGCAGCAATGTGCAAACATAGCAGTAGATAGAGAATGCCTATATTAAAGACTCTTACTTGCCTTCAAAATCGACCACTGGAAATGTATATTGCAGTGAATGTTTTAAAGCACAAGACAGCCTTGCAGAGCAGACAGCAGAGACAGAAGAGTTTGTGTTGGTGCAGCTCATGCAGCAGAAACTCAAGTCTCCCCTTTGAGCACCTTGCCTGCACTGCGGATCAGTGTCTGGAACATGAATGAGCATTCTTGGTGCTTAGTGTTGTGGTCAGACCGCTAAGCTTTTCCTAAGCATGTGTAACTGAGTTAAGTGGCTGCCGCATCTTGACCAATTTGAGAGATGCATGCATAATCTAATATGTTCCTTCTTCATTCATTTGCAACTCTTTTCAGTCACTGAATGGACTTATTCTTCCCTGGATCCCACTGACAGATGTGGGGAGTGGCAGCATCAATGGCATTTTTCTTGGATCCCTTCTGAGACAGTGCTTGAGATAACTTCAGCTAAAGCCTGCCGGCTGCTTCTCTGTCTCCTCTCCCTGACCTACCCTTGAAAGCATGTACCCTACTAAGTTGAGGTGATACTAACCTTTATTGAGGTGCCAAGTACTTTCATATGTTATTTCATTTAATTCTCATAAGAATATCCTCCAGATAGTGTTACCCTTGTTTTGAGATAAATAAACTGAGTCTCAGAAAGATTGGTATCTTGCCCATCACTCAAACCCTGGCTTGCTGACTCCCCCTGCATGGACTGCCTGCACAGCTTCCCCACTCAGCTTCACCTTCCTTGCTTCTAGGATCTTCTGCTCTGGTTTTCCTTGTAGCCTATTCCTGATTCAGTTTTTATTTCATGTGGAGTTAAAGGCCCCATTCCTTCCTTCCCACTCAAGGGTTGAATCAAATCTGTAACCGAGTTCAGCTCACCCAGGACTGAGGCTGGCTTGTCCTTGTTGGGTTGCACTTGGGTCAGCTCCCTGAACTCCTGAGATTTTTAGATACTTTCTCCAGCTCCCTTTCACCCCAGTGAGTTCAGTGAGCTGAAGACTTTTTTTTTTTTTTTTAAACAGAGTCTTGCCTTGCTCTGACACCCAGGCTGGGCGCAGGCTGTTTGTTTGTTTGTTGGTTTGAGATAGGGTCTTGCCTTGCTCTGACACCCAGGCTGGAGCAAGCTGGAGTGCACTAACTGGCACGATCATAGCTCACCATAGTCTTGACCTCTTGGGCTCAAGCAATTGTTCTCTCAGCCTTCTGAGTACCTGGGACTACAGGCACGCTCCAGCACACCCAGCTATCTTTTTCTTTAATTTTTGTGGAGGTGAGGTCTTCCTATGTTGCCCAGGCTGATCTCAAACTTTGATCCTCCCTCCTTGGCCTCCCCAAGTTCTGGGATTATAGACGTGAGTCACCGCGCCCAGCCCCCAGTGAGCTGAAGTAGAAAGTGCCATTTAGTTTCATAGTTATGTGAACCCTATTACTAGCTGAAATTTGATATCTTTTCACAGCTGGTTTTCTAACTCATATATACTTCCTCCAACAGGAGACAGCTGAGTGTTTGCATATAAGGCATTGTATCAGTAATTCTAATGTTCTTATGGTACACACAAGATTTTTCTTTTTTTAAATAACATTGACAACTTTTCGTAAAACATCGTTTTCACAGAACTTACAAAACATTTCAAGCATATTTAAGAGTATAGGAAAAATACAGCATCTATGTAATTATCATCACCAGGATCAAACAGATGTTAACATATTGCAATTTGCTCCAGATCATTTTTTTTTTTTAGAGAAGTAAATTGTTACAGATATTGCTAAAGTGCTACTCTCATCCTTTAACCCGCCCTCCCCAGGACTATCCACTCTCTTGAAAATGGTGTGGATCATTTTCATGCATGTTTATGAACTTCTACACTATGAATAAATTCATCCATAAACAATGTTTGTGAGTTTTAAAGATTTAGATAATTGCAATCCTACTGCACATTTTTTTCACAAGTTGGTTTTCCCCCACTTTTTATGGGTGTCTATCCAAGAGAAACTAGATAAGCACAGGAAATATGTACAGAATTTTTCACTGAATGTCTGTGTGTTTTAGTTTTTTTAAAAAAGGAAAACATCCTAATTGTCCCTCTGTTGTACAATGTTTACATAAATGTGATTTATTCATTCAGTGGGATGCTATCAATGCTATCTAGCAGTTAAAATGGATCAATAAGATCTACACATATTTATAGAACCTAAGTTGTTTTTTTTTTAACTGCATTTAGGCCAAAGGAAGCAAAGAATATAAAATAATATTTTTTGTATGTGAGAGAGTAGGCTTTCTGCTTGCTTCTATTTAATATTGTTCCCTTGATAATATAAAATATTGAATAATTTGATATACGAAACATCTTAACGTTATCACTGGTGGGGGAAAAACAATGTTTCAGTATTTTCATTGTCTAAATCTCTGCTCTGCCTTCAGCTCATGTGATGAACACTGCAATGCAGGAGAATTCTGCAATCCATGAGTTTGTGAAAATGTTGACTTAATTTAGTGTCTAAATCCTGCATCTGCAGTTAGCAAAAAGATTCAGGATTTAGACATTAAATTAAGTCAACATGTCCACAAACTCTTTCAGCCCCTGTCATTGATTCTACTAGAAAACTTAAGATAATGGAAAAGGTATCTGTCATTCATTCCAAAGAAATTGTTCCCAATTACTATATTTGTGGATGGCTATCAGGTCAGTGGTGGGCTTTCTTGCCCTTTTGTTTTATCAAGTTAGTTCTAAAAAGACTTCCAATAACTCATTTGTATGCATACTGGAATTTCCAAATTGGCAGCCCTAAGTACCACAGCACTAGAACTGCCATCTATAGACGACAGTAAATTACTTTCAATATTACCTCCAGACTATTAAAGCTGTAGTCATATGAGAATAATGCACACTTGCATATTGCTACCATCAGTAGGTACCCAATCAATAAAACAATATTGCTCAGTATTTCAGCAGAGTAGAGGTCTGATAAGGTAATGGTAGCTTGAAATATGTTAATAAATATATTTAGTAAAACCTCTATTAGTAAAGAAGAGGCTGCGGGGAATTGGGAGAGCTGCAAAGCATACCAGGATCTGTGCAACTCAAAGCTAGAATTCTGCTGAAGACACTTTGTTGTAGTTTAACCTGGAAGAGAAGTGATGTGTGAACCACACAGTAAGTATTGAGCCATACAATGGAGTTGATGAGAGATGCAGCAATTCCCTGACCTGCCAGAATAGGTTAGGTCATCCTGTTGTAGGCTTTTACTGTACACTGCAATCTTTCTTAGTAGAGCTTATCACTACTCTGGATGTGCAATTCTTTGTAAAATTAGGTGATGAAGGTTTCTTTCCTCTAAAAGCCTCTAAGGTGGATGGAAGGGACCATGCCTGCCTTGTGAGTTACATATCCTCAGTACCAAGCAAAGCTCTTTGTACACATTTAAAAATAAAGTCATAAAAATAGTAAGGGGAGATGAAAGGGGAAGGGCCCAATCTAGAGGTCTTATTGGGCGCCAGTCTTGACAAGGCAGGTCTTCTCTGTGTCCGCACTCTGCCTGCAACCTGTCCAGCAAGAGCAGAATGTTAGTAAAACCAGTGGGGCAGTAGAGTAGAGAGCTCACGTTCATATTCAGATAACTTGGTTCATATTCAACTGTATCATTGACTTGCTTTGTGACTTTGGGCAAGCTACTTAACTTTCCTATGCTCTCACACATAAGATGAATAACTGTTTCATACATTGTTTTTTAAGGATGAGATAATCCCAGGTATTGCCTAATAGCCTAGAGTCTGTGTTCAAAACATGTTTTCTAGTATTGCCATTATTATTCAAGATTAGAATCTATTCCTAGGGAATTGGAGTTGATAAGAAATCAGAAGGCATGACACTAAACTCTAATCCATTGATACTATTTTAGAATGGGGTTCTAGGCTCGGAGGTGTGAAGTCTCAGAAGGAATCAGTAGCATATTTCAGGAAATAATAAAGACTTACAGTCCAGGCCAACACAGGTGACAGGCCAGAGGAGGGTGGAGAAGTCCTAGGCATTCAGGGATTGAAAAGTAACAGAACGTTGGGTTAGACAAGAATAAATTTGATTATTGGGAAGAATGCAGATATCCAACCTAGTAGATGTCTACTAGGTGCTGGGATTAGGGTTGCATTACTCAGAATTAGTTGATCCAATTTTGAGAAACTTGCAAAGAGATCGGAATTAAGACGGGGGATGACAAATTCATTCTGATGATGCCAGTTACTTCCAGAAATCTTACCCAGAAACATAAACATGACATTAAGCAGAACTCAAATTATAAGAACATTAGGAAAGAAAAGTGGTGGCCATACACTCATAATGCATTTATTAAAATTAAATTACAAGAAAATTTGAATAAATAAATACTAAATTTGGAATATTTTTCACTTTTAGCAAATGGCTTTCACTGAACAGTGAGAAATTGTAGAACAACAATGAAGAAACTTTAGAAAATGACTGGCAACTGTAATCTTGTCCAGGCATTGCCAATGCACAGCAAATGTGCTGCCATTTCCAAATTCTGTGGGCTTGGTGGACCTCAAGGAAACATCTCTTCATTGCTCCCTGGTGAGCTCTTACCTGGCCTCAAGACACTTCTTAACACAGTGCAAACTCCTCTTCCAACAAAACTGGTTTGGCACACAAGGGAGGACATACTTATCTTCCTTGATCTAGATTAAATGATAAAACTGAGATCTACTGAGGCTGAATCACTTTCTGCCTAAAATTTCACCTTTCCTGGTTAGTGTATTTTCCCTTCTATTTTCATGATCCTAATTTCTGTTTATATTTATATTCGATTAACATTATTGTTGCATTAGATACATTTAGACAAAATATCAGGTGTTAAATAAACAAGTAAATAAAATGATATTTCTTAAGTCTCATGACTACTTCTTAGAATCAGGATTCTGGTCAAATAATAATTACTTGTGGCTGAACTTATGTAAGAAAAAAATGAAGGAAAAATGTGCTGGTTAAACTCAATTAAAAATAAAAACTCTGAGGCGGGTGGATCACTGGAGCTCAGGAATTGAAGACCAGCCTGGGCAACATGGTGAAACCCCCTCTCTAACAAAAAATGCAAAAAAATTAGCCAGGCATGGTGGTGTGCAATTGCAGTCCCCAGCTGCTTGAGAGGCTGAGGTGGGAGGATGATTGCTTGAGATCAGAAGGTCAAGGCTGCAGTGAGACGAGCTCGTGCCACTGCACTCCAGTCTGGGTGACAAAGTGAAACCTTGTCTCAAAAATAAATAAATAAATAAAATAAAAACTCTTTTCAATGAAATAATATTTTATTTATTTTTATTTTATTTATTGAGCATCATGGTTACTCTCTTTGATGTAAAAATAATTCACTGAGAGAAAAGGACATAAACACAACCTATTTTATATGATTTTAAAGGAGACCTGGAAGTTCCAAATTATCTTCCTCCAAAGCCTTGTAAATTCTAAACAGTAAAAAATTAGTTAATGAAAAGTGTGATGCTTTGTTATAGCTTACATATTGACTTCAGATACATTTATGACAGAGCCAATTATATTTTTTGTCAAGTATTTTTACACTGATCAAAAAGGAGCACTAATTTATGAGATTTCTGATAATTTAAATTAGCTATAGGACTTTACAGGTGTTGTACCTTTGTTTTCATAAGGTTTCTGATCATGATTGTGATTTCATTGCCACAAAATTCTTAGGATTTCTCCAACTTTTCTTTTCTAAAGAAGTATGTAATCTCTTTGTGGTGATGCAGTTTTTAATAAATGCAATGAAATAGTATGAGGAAAGCACTAACCAGAATCTCTGACTTGGTTAGGACTTGGGAATGAGGAGGCAAGAAGCAACATTCTAGGCAGAAGCAGCAAGAGCAAGTGCAAAGGTCCTGAGGCAGGAATTAGTCAAGTACCTCTGAGAAATAAAAATGAAGCTCCTGTGCTTGCTGTAGGGTAGAGCTGGAGAGCAGGAAAAGAAGTGAGGTGAGAGGTCGGAGGCAGGTCCTATAGAGCACTGTAGCCCATTGTTAGGCCATGGATTCGAATTTAAGCCCAATGGAAAGATATTTGAGAAATTTAAGCAAGCAAATGTGTGATCTGATTAACCTTTTAAAATGAGAGTATCTCTCTCTTTTTTTTTAAGAGCAGTAGTAATGCCTTTTCAATTTATTTAACTCTCATCCACATGTGATATGAGTGATTGCTAATAACATAAAAGGGAGAAATAGAGATGTTAGAACTATGGATTGCAAAAGAAGAATATGCATTATACTCCATGATATGAGGCTTTTAAGACCTAAGTTTATCCTATGGCAGAATTCATCTTTGTACCATGTGCTATGGCAACAAGAAAGTCAGCAACTTGGTGTGATGACATTGCAGCAAAACATGATTTTAGTGTGCTCACCCAGAGTACACATTGAAGAAAAGTGACATTTAATTGAAGAATATACTATTAAACACAACTCTCCTTGCCCTTTCTTGTGTCAGGGTATGAGCTGGAAACCGCAGGACTGGTTAAGACTTTGTCATTGTCCTTTAACCCAGATGCATATGGCTCATTTGCACAGACATTTATTTTGGACCTTTCTCAGTTCAGTTGTTTGACATCTGAGTACTAAGTATCTACATATTACTATCTTAGAGACGAAAACACTGATCTTTAATGAAATTAAGGAAACGTAAATCACATATTTTGGAGAAAAATTGGTCATTGGAAAGAAAGGTAGATACTACTGCATTAGTAATAGGTCATATAAAATAATTTTCATATCTATATTAAACTATTACTTGAGGAAAACAATTGACTTGCTTTTTCAAATTTCCTCTGTCCAAAAACCTTCAATAATAATAATAATACATTATTAACTTGAACTTTCGTTAAGGTTCTCTTCCAATTTGTTTAAAGCTCCTGTTTTCACTGTGCTCTGAGATTCACCCAATCTAGAAACCCTGGAAATTACCTTGCTATCGTGTCTCTCAAAACTTTTTTTTCTTTCTTTTTTCTTTTTAGATGGACTCTCGCTCTGTTGCCCCAGGCTGGAGTGCAGTGGTGCGCGATCTTGGCTCACTAAACCTCTGCCTCCTAGGTTCAAGAGATTCTCCTGCCTTAGCCTCCCAAGTAGCTGGGATTACAGGTGTGTGCCACCACACCTGGCTAATTTTTGTATTTTTAGTAGAAATGGGGTTTCACCATGTTGGCCAGGCTGGTCTCGAACTCCTGACCTCAAGTGATCCACCTGCCTCAGCCTCTCAAAGTGCTAGGATTATAGGCGTGAGCTACCGTGCCCTAAAATGAAAGTATCTCTTATATTTGAATTAGTTTTATTTAAACAAGTAATTAGACCAAGAGCAGGAACTGCTGCTTCTCCTTCATCTTCAACACCTTCACATTGTTCAACTCACAGCTGTCCAAGAATAAATGTTTACTGAATGAAGGAGACATTGGATGGTTTACTGAATGAAGAAATTAATATAGGAAAATGACTATCAATGTACGTAGAGGTCAAAACACATATTGAAACAGTCCTGGCCACAGCTAAAGTCTGAATGGACGGGAAAATACTTTAAAATAGTAGGCATTTATGATTTTTTGTTGCAGATATAATTAGGCCCTTGTTTTTTTCCTTCTTGAAAAGTTTGTTTATTCTGCAGTTGTTGTTGTGTTAACGTTCTTGTTTTATTTAAATGTTTCATTGCCGATTAGCTTGCATTTATGTAGCCAGGATAGTCAGGTTGAATTACATCATTTTGGGGAGGTTAAATTCTAGTAATTATACATTTGCATCTTACAATTATGGTATAAATCTGATGATGTTATGTTACTTGCAACGTATACAATAATGATAATTTAAGAAAGATGTAAACTTAGAATTCTGGATTTTATTGAGTTAAGCAATCTCTTTAATCTATAAAACTGTTTGAGCTTGAATATTTGAAAATAATAAAGCTGTAAAGTGATACCTTTCCATTTGAGAGTTGGAAATGCGATATTTAATCTGTCTTTAAAATGTTTTCCAAATAGGCAAAATGTCACTTAGGATATAGCATAAGAAAACTCCTTCTACATGCTAAGCTCAGTACATTGAAATGCCAATTCTATCTTCACCTATAAATAATACTCCCAGTTATTTTTGCAAATAAATTGTAAGTTTCATTATGAAATATCTCTAGGATGCATAATTCACAGGTATATCTTTCTTACAAAGTGCAAATAATTGAATGATACATTTAGGCCTGTGAAATGTCAATAGTATCAAGAAAGATTCTACTTTTAACACTTTTCAGAGTCAGGACTAAAAAACTGGAAAGTTCAGTTGACAATAAACAACTATTTTGCTTTTCAAAAACCGTTATACTTGAGGATCTTCCTGACCCATCACGGGAGACTTTTCTTACATTAGAAGATTTAAAATATCATTAGGATATATCTGTTACTATCTTCAAATAGAACATTCTAACTGGCACTTAAGATAGATACTCTTTAGCACTACGCTTCTATCAGGCAATAAAATGTCACTGAACAAAAAGACGGCCCACATAGTAACTGATTTTTTAAATGTTACTTTATGAATTAAATATCAGTGACTTCTTTTCTAACTTGCTTCTGTGTGAATCCAAATATATACATTTAAGTATACTTGTATGTAGGAAGATTAGACATTGATAATTATTTGATGAAATACGCTGTTATCAGCAACAGGACCTCCCAAACTCAGGAGAGTTGTCAGATGGCACCAGCTTTCTGAGTTTTAATTTGAGAATACTTTCCAAACATTGCACCAACTTCTATTTATTGATTTTTAGAGAAACCTTATTTTGTAATATTTGTAGAGCTACAGGGAGGTTGCACAGACAGTATGGAGAATTCCCACATACTCCTCACCCAGTTTCCTCCATTGTTAACATCTTAACAATATCAAGGTACATTTGTCGAACTAAAGAAGGCAACAGTGGTGCATTGTGATTCACTAAATCACTTATGTGGATTTCACTAGGTTTCCCATGGAAGTCCTCTTTATGTCCTAGGAATATCCCCAGTTTTGTGTGTATCTGTGGTACAGTATTCCCCCTCATCTGCAGTTTTTCTTTCTGTAGTTTCACCTTTCACAGTTTCAGTTACCTGTGGTCAGCTACAGTCTTTATTACAGTATTTTCATAGAGACAATATTTATATAACTAATTACAGGATATTGTTAAAATTGTTCTACTTTATTTATTGTTAATCTTTTACTCTACCTAATTTATAAATTAAACTTTATCACAGATATACTATAGACATAATATAGAGAGAGTCTGGTGTTATATACAGTTTCAGGTAGCCACTGGGGATTTTAGAACATATTTCCCATGGATGAGAGAAGACTACGATATATACAACAAATACACACAAAGCAAAAGAAAAATTGCATATAAAATGACAGCATTTAGGGACAAAGATTCAGCTTTAGTGGCAAGGAGAATAAACAAACCACCAATAGTTGGTATAGCTTTCCATGCTGTATATAGATTTAGATGCCACAGAATACAGTCCAAGGGCATGAGTTTTGATAACAAATTTGCATTCAACATTTTAGAATATGCCTGCTAGCTTCCACGACAAGACTTAAAAAGCACTGTTATAATATGATAGTGTAGAACATACTAGGGATTTTGTTTGTCTGCTAAGTACCTGTGCATTCCAAGGTGAATTGAATAGATTTTCAACATTTTCTGAGGTAACATCAATATTAATTGCTAATAAGCATTCCACTGTGCCTAAGATAGATTCAAAATTTACTATAGTCTCTTAAACCAAATTATAATGGACCAAACTTATTATTCATTGCACATTTTGTTGATCCTGTTTATACAGAAACATTTATTAGCTGTGAGTGAAATTGTAAAAATGGATTAAAATGCCAACCCTCCCTCTAAACAGCTTAAAAATCTAAAAGGAGAGACAAAAAGGTAGAACAAATAAGTTCATAAAGATAGAAGATGAGAAGTGCTATAACATTTGAACCTACAAAATGTGGTAGGAACTTTGGGAACACAAATAGCTGGGAGAAAGCAGTCTTTATGGGAATGACTGGAATGTTTTGGGCATTCAGTAACAGAAGAGAAGTTCACTCATTCTATGAAGTGAAAATGGACTGCACCAAGGTTTGCAAAGCCCATATGTGAAGTGCAGATCCCTGAAAAGAGGCCGGTTGCTGCCTAGCTCCAGCCAGTTGCTCTCAGCCTGGTTCACTGTGTCAGATTTTCCTCAGACCCCAGGAACCAGAAACACAGATTTTCATCTAAAAGTCTCTTCATTATTGAATATTGCCAATGATCCTTTTTCTTTTGTAAAGATGTTGTACAGGTAAATATATATATGTCTCCTAGTCCAAGTTGCCTCATGGTTCCCAGATTGTGACCTCAGGCAACATACAGGCAAAAAATGCAGCCCAGGGAAAGGTATGCAGGGGTTATTCAGAGAACGTAAAAGTATAATTTAGCAGAGGTTTAATCTTCCTGCCAAGTAGGGTGGACAGCAGGGACTTTGCCCAGAGTACTGACATTTTAAGATTTAAGCATTTAAATTAATGTAAAAAGTTCAGTGTCAGTCAACAAATAATTAGTTCAAGGATGAAGCTCCCCACATTCCATGCATTGCTAATAGCAATGAACAATCGGTGCATTGTGAATTATATCATTGGTTTGACTTCAGTACTGCTTGACCTTGCAAAAAAATTGCTAGTGATCTTTATGCCTCCATTCTTCCTCTCCTGCTCTCCCTCCAATTCTGAGTTGGTGGTCTTATGCCTAACTTCTTTGAAAAAATGGAAGCATTAGAAGAGAAAGGATTTCCACATGTTCCCACCACCAAAACTGCCATCCCATCTGCGCCTGTGCCCATGGACTCTGTCTCTCTTCTTTCATAATGAACCACCTGCCCACGCTCTTTGTCCATGAGAAGCCATCTTTATTTTGCTCCTTTCAAAATTCTCTCTTGGTCTTTGCCTTTTGATAGTTTAATTATAATGTGTCCATTATAATTTTCTTTGAATTCATCCTACTTGGAGTTCACTGAACTTCTTGGATGTGAAGATTAATGTTTTTAAGCAAATTTAGAAAGTGTTCTGCCATTATTTCCTCAGTTATTCTTCTTGCTTCTTTGTCTCTCTATTCTCTTTTGGAAGATCACACTTATGAGTATGAGCAGCAAGGTCTGCTTGACAATTTCCCACAGGCATCTGAGGCTCTGCTCAGTTTTCTTCGTACTTTTTTATTTCTGTTACTCTCACTGAATAACCTCAATTGACCCATTTTCAAGTTGGCTGGTGATTCTTTCTTCTATTGGCTCAACTCTGATCTTGTGAATTTTTCTTTTAGGTTATTATACTTTTCAACTTCAGAATTTCTATTTTTATAATAATTTCCATCTCTTGATATTCTCTATTTGGCAAGATATCATTCTTACACTTTAGTTCTTCAGACAATATTTTCTTTAGTTATTTGAGCATATTTTAAATACCTGATTTAAAGTCATTGTCTAGTAAGTTCAACATCTAGGATTCTCTAGAAATAGTTGCTATTGATTGCTTTTTCCCCTTTGAATGGGCCACTGTTTTTTTGTGCCTTTGAATGTCGTGGTATTTAAGAACTGGATATTTTGAACATGGTAATGTGGCAACTCTGGGAATGCACTTACGGTCTTACCCAGGGTTTGCAGTTATTTCTTGCTGTAGTTGTGTTTGTTTGATGACTATTCTGGAATAATCCTGTAAAGTACACATTCTTTGCTGTATGCAGCCACTGAAGTCTCTGCTTTGTTAACTTAGTAGAGTAACTCAGTGGTCATCTATTCATTCCTAACCAATCTTCTGTCTTTGCTGAGGGACTCTATGTGTGTGTTGAGACATACTTTCAACAATCATCAAGGCATCTGCAACTCTGCATTAGACTTCACTTCCTGTTTCTGCAGAGCCTCAAGATTGACCAAAGGTGAGTGTTTAGGGCCTCTCAGGTTTTCCCTGAGCAGGCACAGCCCTGGACAGGTACTCAGCCTTATACCTGTGTATGTCCTTCTAGGTTCTCAGAAATATCTCAAAGCTTTTAAGCTCCTACGGACAATTCATTCCCAAGATTTTCCTTTAAAGTTTTCTGGTTATTCTACTGATTGCCACAATTGTTATCCATCCATCTAGGCAGACACAAAATTAAAATACTTCCCTCCAATTGTTTTAACACACAATCCTCTGAGCAAAGGCTTTTCTCACTTGGTAGCTCTGAGTAATGTCAAGTACAGAGAGTTGTGCAAGTGAGGTCTATCGAGTAAAAAAGACAGGTCAAATACTGACAGTTCTGTGGGAGTGAGGATTTGAGTAAGCTCTAGCTCCATTCTTCCCTCTCTGATGCTTGCCAGGCTGCAGTGAGAATGTGAGCTCTTCTTTATCAATACTGTTGTAGATCTGGAGAGCAGGGAATGGGACTCAAGTGAATTAAATATTACAAAGCTCATTGTTCTTACCAACATTCAGCTGTTTTTCTTGAATAAGTGCACCTTGACTTCTATAAGACTTTACTTAATTTCTAGACTTCCAAACAAGTTTATTCTGACCATTTTGCCAGTTTTCTTTCTTTTTTTTTTTTTTTTGAGATGGAATTTTACTCTTGTCACCCAGGCTGGAGTGCAATGGTGTGATCTCAGCTCACGGCAACCCAGCCTCCTGGGTTCAAGTGATTCTCCTGCCTCAGCCTCCCAAGTAGCTGGGATTACAGGCACCTGCCACCACACCCGGCTAATTTTTGTATTTTTAGTAGAGACGGGGTTTCGCCATGTTAGCCAGGCTGGTCTCGAACTCCTGACCTCAGATGATCCACTGCCTCGGCCTCCCAAAGTGCTGGGATTGTAGGCATGAGCCACCACACCTGGCTGCCAGTTTTCTTATTGCTTTGATGGAGGAGAGAATTTTTAGAGGCCCTTACTCCACCGTTTCACTGGCGTCCCACCACATTCTCTTAACCATTCTATTATAAGAGCCTCCTAACTGGTCTGTTTTGAATTGTACCACATTACAGTCTATTCTCACAATAGCATATAAAGTCATGTCATGTTACTTCCCTTGTTCACAATCCTTCAATGACTTCTCATCTCTGTCAAAGGAAACACTAAGTTCTTAGCATGACCTAAAAGTCCCACATGATATTTTCTTCACCTCCCTCTCTGGACTCATTTCTTACTGTATTCTCTCTGTTTACTCTTTACTCCCCTTCAGTATCCTGGCCTGCTTGCTCTGAGCACACTTTATCTTTGCATATTGCTGGAATGCTTTCTTCTCCGATCTATGTATTGCATACTCCATTTTCCCATTAGATTTCTGATCTTATATCAATTTATCATAGAAACTTTTCTTGACCTTACTAAAGTAACATTTCCCTTACCAAGTCACTCTGTACTCTGCTTTGTTTTCCATCATTGCATTTATCATCCCTTGACATTACATATTTTTTCATTGTTTGGCTTCTTCTACCAAAATGTAAACTGCATAAAAGCAAGCATGTTCATTGCTGCATCCACAGTGCTTAGAATAGAGCCTAGAAAGTAGCAGGCACTCCATAGACATGTACTGAGTATGTGATAAATGTCTGTAGGGGAGTAGTGATCATTGTTCACTTGGCCTAGTAAACAATAATCATCCTTATCTAAAGCCTCTGCTGAAATTTCAGCAGCCCTGACAAGGCTGACAGCCTTTAATTATCATGAACACTCCCTGTTGCTCAGCTGACCTAGACTTCTGGGAATGTCCTCGATCTCCGAGGCCACAGTCAATCAAAGTTGCCAAGCCAGGCTGAATTTCAACTCCAAATATTAGCAGAGGCCCTGATCTAAACTGGAAGTCTGGCCTAGATCAGATCAAGATGCCTCATGATCAAGCACTGCTGAGGACAGAGGCCTGCCAGTCTAGGGTCTAATAGCCCAAACTTGCTAGGCTTTTTTTTTTTTTTCTCTGACAACACACACATAAACTCTACCTTTTTCTCCTGTCACAAGGGCATAAAATCTAATCTTTCATCCTATCAGTCATGATGTTTGAATGTTTACTGCTACAGAGAGTCTGAAAATCTCACAGGAAAGATAAAGAATTCTAAAGAATTTCGATTTTACTTGTATTGACCTGTTCCAAAATAGACTCGTCCCTACAGCCCAGAAGGGGCACCTTGGACCAATCAGCCACATATGCCCTTTCCTTCTCTCAATACCTTCTGCAGAGGTGCAATGAATTCTGATGATAAACTTTAGATATTGGGAAGTTATCTCATACATCACAGACATTCATTAAATGTTTCTTGAATTTTGGTGAAGGTTTTCCAGTCCTTATTTATTGAGTGGGTGGACAATGTTTTAAGAACATGAGAAAGACCTTTCATTTGACAAATGAATTTTGTTCTACAAAGGCAAACTTTTAGAAAAGTGTCTGCCTCAGCTGCTTTTTCTAACCAAGATGACTTGTAGGACATGCATTCTTCCAGGCCTTCACAGTGACAGATGACTCAAGGTCTGGTACTAAATTACCAACAACCTTTATTCACTGTTGTCATAGGGTTGGATCTATCACCTCCAAACCCAAACACACATTACTCTGCAGTCTGGTTCCCATGGACAAATAGGTTTTGATGTGATTTTATTCTTAAAATGCCTTACCACTTTCTTGTAAACATTATATACTTAGCGTGATTATTTACACATGGTCCATCTTATATAACTTTCTTTTTATAGCTTTCCTTACTCCTTAGGTTTGGCAAATAAATTTTTGTAGAGATGGCTCTAGGAGTAAGCAATGAAGTCATAGGGTTGAGATTTAAGACCAGGCCTGTTTCAGAAGCAGCTGGGGAACAGAGAGAGATTAATCTTGACAGAGTTAGACATGCAGATACTTAGAAAGGTGATAATATGCTTTGAGCTGTCTATTATGATGCTGTTATTTTTGTTTCATGTAAAACTATAGCATTCGAAGACCAGACAAAGCTGGATTATACACTAACCAGTCCCGTCGAGGGCCTACCTATGCATAGAATCAAAATAAAAGAGACAGAAAATCAGTAAGTAATCAATAGTGAGATAATTACAGTGTAGTGGCTTAAGTAATCTTGGCCACATGTCTGTTTTATCCACCTGAAAAAGACTTAAATAAGTTCCCCCTGAATAAAAATTAAGTACAAGCAGATGCTAATGTCTGTGGTAAGAAAAAGCAATTTATAATATATGGCAAATCCAAGTTATTTTTTATTATCCACCTATGCCTAATTTAATGCACTAAAAATATAATAGGAATTATTTGTGTAAATTTAAATCAATGGTAAACTGTACTTAAATCACACTTCATTCAATATTTTTTTAACCAATCATTGTCTGCCTAGGAAAAAGAACTCACAGCTAGAACAATAAGGAAATGGATTTTCAAATGAAATTAGGAAGCATCTTTAAAAGACAAAAAATAACATTTACAAGCAGCAAGTGGAAATCATCAAGTGCTCAATTATATCAAAGTTACACAGTCATAGTTGGAGAGGACTTCAAAGGCAGCATGCTTACCCTCCAACAGATGAAAGAATTTGCTCTATCACCCATCACTGCAATGTTTATCTCATCTCTCTGTGAACACTACTGGTGACAGAGAGCTTGATACTTTGCAAGGGCTTTGCTCATGTGTGAACACTCTAATTTATTTTTAAGTTCTCCTGAACCAAAACACTTACCAGTAGTTTAACCCAGTAACAGATCTTTATATTTCTCCCTGGAATAACATAAAATTAAAAAATCCCTCTTCCATTCATGGTCCTTTCAAATATTTGAAGATGACGTTTATATCCCCCACCTAAGGCAGTCCTTTCTCCAGAAACATCCCCGATTCAGCCACTTCCTGTGTACACAGTTTCCCTAACTTTCATTATTTTAGTTTCCATCTTTATTCATTCAATAAATATTACTTAAGCACCTACTACATGCCAGGCACTGGAGATATGCAGATGAATGAAAAACCCAGCACTTTCATTCATGGAGATTAAAGTCTGCTAAGAAAGGCAAACACTTTAAGCATGATAATTTAAAATGAGATGAATGGTACAACGAGAAAGGTCATGAGCACTTTTCAATTACATTCTTATAAAGTAGTGCCTAGAACTATGTGCAAAACTCCAGGAATCGTTCTAACGAAGGCTGGGTGCATTAGGATTATTTATCACCTGATCTAAGCCATGATTTTTAAAATTTGGTTAAGATTGCAATAACTCCAAAATCACATCGCAGAGTGCGAAATATTCATACTAAGGCTGAGATAAGTGGAAACTTGTATAATCAGTTCACAGCAACAGCTGGGTCCTGTATCTACATCTTGCTGCTCCAGGTGAAAGTACAAACTGTGTTGGGGAAAAGGCCAAGGCAAACCTATGATTCAATGACTGAATGCCGACTTCAGATACATATCAGGAAAAGGGCCCTCTCAGAGATCAAGAAAGATTTCCTTATTTTTATTTTTTTTTTTTTTTAAGACGGAGTCTCGCTCTGTCGCCCAAGCTGGAGTGCAGTGGCGCCATCTCGGCTCACTACAAGCTCTGCCTCACAGGTTCACGCCATTCTCCTGCCTCAGCCTCCCAAGTAGCTGGGACTACAGGCGCCCGCCACCACGCCTGGCTAATTTTTGTATTTTTAGTAGAGATGGGGTTTCACCATGTTAGCCAGATGGTCTCGATCTCCTGACCTCGTGATCCGCCCACGTCGGCCTCCCAAAGTTCTGGGATTACAGGCGTGAGCCCCTGTGCCTGGCTGGTTTCCTTTTCTTAAGACTTCTAGTACTGTAGTTCCTGCTTATCCACAGTTTTGCTTTCTGTGGTTTTAGTTACTCGTGGCCAACTGTGACCCAAAAATATTAAATGAAAAATTCCAGAAATAAACAATTCATAAGTTTTAAATTGTGTGTTGTTCTGAGTAACATGATGAAATTTTGTGCCATCTAGCTTTGTGCCAACTGGAGACATGAATCATCCTTTTGTCCAGCATACTTAATCTGCACAGACCACTTATCCGTTTTCCACATAGTAGCCATGTCTGTTATCCCACAGGAAAAACATAGTATACACAGGGTTGAGTACTATCTGTGGTTTCATGTATCCACTGGGGGACTTGGAACATATCCCCCAAAGATAAGGGGGATTACTGTATATTCAAACAATGAAGAACAGACAAAATGAAATCTGCCAGTTAATTTATTTGAGGCTAACAAGCTTGCAATTTTATTTTTGTGTGTGTGCTAGTTATTCCTTTCAATGGAAGGACACTTTGATATTTTCTTGAACATTTTCAAACATAGTTCACTGTGAGATTGAAACTACGTTCATTGTAGGTTCAGGGGGTACAAGTACAAGTGTATTACATGCATATATTGCATAACGCTGAGGTTTGGGGTCCAACTGATCCCATCACTCAGGTAGTGAGCATAGTACTCAGTTAGCATTTCAGCCCATGCCCTCCCCACTTCCTCCCTACCACCTCTTGTAGTCCCCAGTATCTATCATTGCCATCTTTATTTCCATGAGTACACAGTTTTAGCTCCCACTTATAAATGAGAACATGCAGTATTTGGTTTCCTGTTCCTGCGTTAATTCACTTAGGGTAATGGCCTCCAGCTGCATCCATACTGCTGCAAAGGACATGATTTTGTTCCTTTTGATGACTGCATAGTAGTCCATGGAGTACATGAACCGCACTTTCTTTATCCAATCCACCACTGATGTGTGCCTTGGTTGATTCTATGTGAATAGTACTTTGACAGACAAATGAATGCAAGTGTCTTTTCGTAGAACAGAGCTAGCCATCAGTGTAAAGATTAAATCAATGTAAAGATTACTTAATGTATGATCATATTCTCTAGGGACATCCCCCAGAATTTTCTCTACCTCTTCTCTGACTTTATCCTACCAAGACACAGGACTCATCTTTCTGTGTGTGCTTTTGCTGTATTTTCCTGAGCATGAAGAATTAGCCAATGGTGCATCTCAAGACATGAGAGGGACCTTAGGATTCCACCTGAGTTGGCATGTGCCAACTTCACTTGAATTGTATCACAATGATATTCAGCAAGCCAAGATCACTATACAAGGCGCTTTCAGGACAGAAAAAGTTGGACAAACTGTTGCTGCTGACCTCGAATTCTTGTTTCATTCTAATTCAACATCTCAATTTGATATTTTCATGGAATTTGTTTTATTTATTCAATAGTATTTGACTATTTTTCCCTTTTGGTGTATCTGTGTTTATATACAAGGACCAATTGAAAAGAAAAATTTCAACACAATATGAGAAAGCTCATGGTTTGTTCTCTTTAATCATTACACTTAATATTCAATGTCAGGAATGCTGAATTGCTATGTTACTCATGATTCTAGATATAATGATGCTGAGAAAGTGGAAGTGTTTTAATTAAGTTGCAGAAAGTCTTCACTAATTCATGTGGGCATGAATGACAGTTCAATTTATAGTTTTTACCCCACTGTATAGTTGGTAATAAAAATTATAGGGCAGGAGTTGTGAATTTCTCTGAATCTTTGTGAAAACCCTAAGACAGTATAATACAAGCTTGTCCAATCCAACCCACGGCCCACAGACTGCATGTGGCCCAGGACAACTTTGAACATGGCCCAACACAAATTCAAAAACTTTCTTAAAACATTATGAGATTTTCAGATTTTTTTTTTTTTTTTTTTTTTGCACATCAGCTATTGTTAGTGTTGGTGTATTTTATGTGTGGCCCAAGACAATTCTTCTCCCAATGTGGCCCATGGAAGCTGAAAGATTGGACCCTTTTGGTTTAATATATAAATTGAAGTAGCATATTGTTATGGAGTGAAGTCCACAACACTGGATTTCAGTGCAGTTTGGAACCTATTGGCTAAGTGACTCTGAGCAAGTCATGCCATATCTGAACCTCAGTTTCCCCATCTACAAAATAAAGGTAGAGATTAGATAATCTATGAAGTCTTAATTTCTAAATGTTTATAATCAAGTTTTAGAAAATTCTTTGGAATAGTTTCAATAGGAATGATACCAGTTCTTCCTTATACAAGGAAGGTGGAATTCAGCTATGCATCTGTCTGATCCTGGTTTTTTTCTGGTTGGTAGGCTTTTTAATTTTTATTCCATTTCAGAACTTGTTATTGGTCTGTTCAGAGATTCAATCTCTTCCTGGTTCAATATTGAGAAGTTATATGTTTCCAGGAATTTATCAATTTCTTCTATGTTTTCTAGCTTATGCGCATATCGGTGCTTATAACAGTCTCTGAGGGTTTTCTGTATTTCTGTGGGGTCGGTGGTAATGCCCCCTTTGTCATTTCTGATTGTGTTTATTTAAACTTTCTCTTTTTTTCTTTATTAGCCTAGCTAGTGGTCTACCTATCTTATTAATTCTTCCAAATAGCCAGCTCATGAATTCACTGATCTTTTGTATGGTTTTCATGCCTCAACTTCCTTCACTTCAGCTCTAGTTTTGATTATTTTCTTGTCTTCTGTTAGACCTGGGGCTGGTTTACTCTTGGTTATCTAGTTCCTCTAATTGTGATGTTAGGTTAATATGAAATCTTTCTAACTTTTTGATGTGGATGTTTACTGGTATAAACTCCCCACTCAACACTGCTTTGGCTGTCCCAGATATTTTGATATGTTGTATCTTTTTCTCATGTTAGTTTCAAAGAATTTATTGATTTCTGCCTTAATTTCATTGTTTACCCAGAAGTCACTCAGAAACAGGTTGATTCTTTCTTTAAAAAATTTTATATTCAGATTGAATTTTAGCATATGGTACCTCAAAAAAAGTATGATATTGAATTTTTTCTTAGTCAAATAGGCAAGTGGAACTAAAGGTTTATATACATCTTTTTAAATAATTGCTTAACTTATTTTAAAGAAAACTTAAAATACTCAAAAAGACTACAAGTAAAACAAACACATAAGTGATATTTATTCAGTTTGTAAATATTTCATTTTCTATAACTCAATGTGGGTATTTGTGAGAATTTCTTTTTTCTGATTTACCCAAACTTAATTTGGGTCTACCTTATCAAGAATCCATTATGCCGAGTGATGTACACTTACAAAAGACACCCTCTTAGACTGCCAAATACTAATGAAAGCTAACAGTTTTCAGAAATATAGATTTTTTACTTTTGGAGTACCCCACTTGGCATAAGAAATTTTCTAAAATATTTAAGTGATTTTTCAAAAAAGTGTATTTTAAAATCAGTATACTAGTTTAAAAATAAGCCATATACCACTTTCAATAAGGAATTAAGAAATCAAGAGTAATGATAAGGGATAAATTACAAAATGATTAGGAATCAAGACTCTTTTATTTTGTTTTTCCTCAAAATATATTTTTGTAAGTTTCATTTCTGAACTCCTTCTCATAATTACTGTGTTCCAGAGAACACCTTCAATATTTAAGCCTCACATTGGAAATGACTTTTGCTCAAGCCACCACAAAATAAAAGTAAATTCTATTTGTTTGTTTGTTTGTTTATTTATTTATTTATTTATTTTTGAGACAGAGTCTCACTCTGTCACCCAGGCCGGAGTGCAGTGGCACAATCTCAGCTCACTGCATCCTCCGCCTCCCAGATTCAAGTGATTCTCCTGCCTCAGCCTCCTGAGTAGCTGGGATTACAGGTGCATGCCACCACGCCCACCTAATTTTTGTATTTTTAGTAGAGATGTGGTTTCGCTATGTTGGCCAGGCTGGTCTCAAACTCCTGACCTCAGGTGATCCACCCACTTCAGCCTCCCAAAGTGCTGGGATTACAGATGTGAGCCACTGCACCCAGCCAGTAAATTCTAGTTTTAAAGGGAAACTTGGACACTTTTGGTTTAATATATAAATTGAAGTAGCATATTGTTATGAAGTGAAGTCCACAACACTGGATTTGAGTGCAGTTTGGTACCTATTGGCTAAGCCACTCTGAGCAAGTCATGCCATATCTGAACCTGCATTATTCTACTGGGTTCATGACATTGTAATGTTCAAACATTTACAACTACCTATTGATATATCCTGGAAAATAAATAAAGCAGCAAGCAGTCTACATATAAAGGTAATGTTCTGAAAGCAGCTGTGGAATCTTTCATGTATGATTCCTTGAGTTTTTCTGATCTCAGACATATTTTGGCCTACCAAATAAAAGGTCATTTCTGAAGCTTTCTAGGCTCTTCGAGCTTTAATATTATACAAATCTGAATATTTTAAAATTGTGTTTAGAGTAGTTTTCCATCAACATCTCCATAAAGTATGCAAATCAAGAAAACTCTTTGATAATTAAGAGACTAATCAAAAAACATAAAAGCCTCAAGATACTTGACTGTGAATGATTTTAAGTAATATATTTTAAATATTTGAAACATTTAGGTCTTAGGCTTCTACAAAATGTTTTAATGCTAGTTTTTAGCATAGATGCTACCATTACAGGCCCAGCAAAGAGCATGAGTTTGGAAAGAGATTGCTCACGTGGTGCTTATACGTTCTCCTGATTTATGTACTTTATGAAGATGGTGCCAAAGATTATAAAAACTCATCTAGATTACTATCATTATCTGACAACGACATTTGACAAAAGGCTATCTGAATTCACAGACTTTGCAGTACCTAAAAGAGAAAGGTGATTCGATGAAGAGAAGAGGAGAGGACAGGAGAGGAGGGGAGAGAAGGAGAGGGGAGGGGAGGGGACGGGAGGGGAGGGAAGGGGAGAGAAGAGAAGAGAAGAGGAGAAGAGAAGAGAAGAGAGAGAAGAGAAGAGAAAAGAGAAGAGAAGAGAAGGCGATTCAATGATGAGCACTTGATTTTTGGTTAATTGTGTTTTATAAGAATATACTGCTTTAAAATTACTATAACCATAGTCATGGGTGATAGCTGCCTATTCTCCAAAGAAATGTGATCCAAACTGATATAATAAAAAAGATAATTATAGATCTATTCAATATTTAAAAAATTAATGTTAAAACATAATTAATCTGCTCCACATTGCATAAGTACTACCTGTATGACCTTTTGGGAAAAATCACTCTACCTTTCACTGCACACTGTATCTGTTCCTCACTTACAAAGTGGATTAGCCATGTCTTACCTTCCTCTTTCACAAGCTTATAGTGAAGTGTGTTCAAAATATATCACACCACAATAACATAAGACATTCTTTCAAGATCCTTTATTTATGAATTTCATCATTTTTTCCTTCTGCAGGGATCCAGTTTCTACATTCTGATCCTGAGCTATGGTGTAGATTACATGAGAATCTCAGACTACACAACAGAGATTAGGAGCCATAATTCTGGAGCTACACTGCCTGGGCTTCATCTGTTGATTTTGTAGTCAACTGGCTGTGTGATTTGAACAGGCCAGTGAAGTTTTCTGAACCTCTGTTCTTCATCTGTAGAGTGAAGATAGTAATAGTACTCCCTCACTGAGCAGTTTTAAAGACAAAATGAGTCACTATTTAAAGTGGATAAAGCAGTGCCTGGCACATAGCAATTATGTAATTATTATTATCATCATATTGGATTAAGTGGCGTTTGCTCTGGGTAAGCAGATCTGAGGCAACTATTCACCTGTTGAATTTTTAGCAGGTTTGAAGTGTAATTGGAGGAGAATTCCAGTACTTGTTTTCCCAACTCTTCTGGGTTTGAGAAAACCATACTTTTTGAATGTCTCCTACCTTTCTATCTTACCCATCCCTTAACAAGGGATCCTATCCTCACTCCACATTAATAAACATTTTTTCAACAATGTAAATGTTAATAAAAATAAAAAATAACTAGCTACATGCTTTAAATGTTGGAGATTAGGCTTCAGTTTAATCCAGACATCCTTGTCAAACATCATTCTCACATAATTTTGATAAATCTAGATGGATTTTGTTTATTTCCTGTGCTCTTGCCAATATCCTTATGTATGTTTTTAGCAAAAGCTATAACTTTCTTTAGCTTACTTAATCATAATAGCAGAAAATATTTTTGTTTAAACTAAAGACTGCAATATTATTGATAAAACCAAAATGCCTTGGTCATTATTTTGCTTCCTCTAATTTTAGACATTATGCATACATGTTTACCTTCTCACTAAGATTCTCTACAACCAAAGCCATTTATAACCATGGTTGACTGATCGTAATCCCAGGAATGAAGGACCATATGTGGTAGCTTTCCTTCCGGCCCACACCGAAGTGTAATGTATGAAATTCCAATAAACACAATGTTTTCTGACGACTCAATGAGACAAAAACTCATCAACAAGTAAAGGGGAAAAATACGCTTATGGATTGTTCTTTTTCTAAATCATAAACATACCTTTTAGTATTTTAATACTTAAACTTATACGTTCTGAAAAATTACACCTCTCTCAATCAGGTATACATGAACCAAAGGCTATAAAAGAAAGAAAAAGAAGTAGAACTTTAAGTACATTTCAAAGTTGATTGTTTGTTTTATGATAGAACTCAATGAAACATAAGGAAGAAACAATTACACTTATATTTAGCTATATTTTTCCTAAAAGCCAGCATGGTGACATATATATGAAAGAAATAATTTTGACAGTCCTGAGTGCTTCATGCACTTTACATATTTTATGCTTTCACCATTTGTTAATGTTTCCAGTCTAATATAGATATAGAATGGAATACAGCAGGTGGATGGACCAGGAAGTTAGACACGATTTAATAGATTACACATAAAGTAAGCTTAGCCACTAAACCGGCTTCTTTTCATTCACTTAGAATCTCAAGAAATCATGGAATTTCCATGATGCCACAGTGTGCAATCGTGGAAAATACTGGAAACCATAATTTTTAAAACACTGCTTCTAAAGGCCAGTTATTTTTCACTTCAATGAAGCTGTCTAATACTACATTAAAAAAGGGATTTTGAGATTTCTGGTGCATTTTAAACACTTAGTGTTTCTTTCAGAGATCACATTACACACTTTTTCTCATAGTAAATCTTTGAGTTAGCAAGTATAAGACCTACAAAAAGAGAAAGGCAAACAACATAGCTTGGAAATCCTAAAATAACATTTTTTCCTTCAATAGACATTGGATAAGACAATATAACCTCAAATTAAGAACTGTGTTCTCATTAGCAATACCACCAAAGAAGGAAAAAAGCTGGGAAGCCTGATTAAAATGGTGCTTAAGAATTTTCTGCACTTAAAAAATCCATACAACATCATATGCTTTATAACTTTAAAATTTGATCTAGACTTAAGCTCAATGACTCTTTACAAAAAGCTCAGAAATTCTTGTAGCAATAGTCTTCCACATCTTCCATTATTGACTAGCAGAGCTGCCTCTTCTAGGTCTGCTGTCTTTCTGTCAGTTTTTCTAATGAGTTTGTTTCAAAAATACCCTTTAGAATATCTGATGTTAACAGAATAAAGCAAACTGTGAGACTGCATGTATTGTACAATCTCAATTATGTTAAAAAAGAGAGATCCAAACAGCTAGAAAGCATTCTCTGAAAGGCAGGTGATTTTTCTTTTTATCTTTTTTTTTTTTTGGATTTTCTAGAAGCTCTACAATATGTTACTATTATTTTTATATATTATCTTTATAAATCTAAAAATAAATACCATCATAGGCCTTCAATCTCTCATCTACATATCTGAAATCTAAAATTACTGAAAACTAAAAGTTTTCCGTAATATTGGTACTCCCTTATTTGTCTGCAAAATCTGGCCTAACCTGAAAAGAAGCTCTTTGTAGTCTCTGTCCTCCTTGTGAGAATTCTGATATGTTCCTCTGCGGAAACACTAATTTGCTTCTTTATGGGGTTCTATAACAAAGGGATCTATTTTTTCAAAAAAACTCATCTGAGACATAAATGTGGCATATGTCAGAGCAAAGAGAGTGAACTATAATATATAAAACAATCAATTTGTTCATTATAAATTATACCTAATTATTAACTGAATGGCTACTTAAATCCAACCTAGCTTTCTCCCTTATGTTGATTTATCAAGGTGATTTCCTTTCCTTTGGCGCAGTTACACCTAATACTCTCTATTCCCCCAACAAACAAAGTGTTAATCAAGTACTCAGATAAAGGTTTTAGATTTCAAACATCCCACTTATCTAAACAGTTTCCCACCTACCTTGATAATTTATCAAAGGAATAAAATTGTTGGGGCTTGGTTCTTTCTTCTATTTCCATTTGGCCTTGAAGTACTAATTACATAGATATAATCAGTGTCCCCCTAGACTTTGGATATCCAAGGAAGGGGGGATCTAATTTGCTACCAGGATCAATGGGATGCCAGAATGTCTGAATTTCTGCTTCTGATGAATGAAGGGAAAAGTCTTGAGATCCAGACAAAATTAATTCCCTTTAGAAGTGATTAACTATATGCATTGGTTGGTTGGACCTATGTCAGAGAAAGAAAAGAACCCAAAGTACAAAATTCATTTTTATTGTGTCCAATTATTCTCTTCTCATGGAGAATCTGAGATAATTACTGACAAAAGTGCTAGCAATAGAAAACAATGGGTTCACCTAGACCTATCGCTTGGTGCCACCTCTGTTAATAATTATCATTTCTTTAAATAATATCAAAGGACAGTATTAAATGGTTAACTTAAGGGAAATAGACGGGTTTGACTTCATCTCACTAAATGGAATCCCAGAGGTTTAAAACTACTAATACACTTCCTAATCTGAAAATTTGACCACAATTTCCAGTGAAATTAAATACAATATTTTCAAATGACAGATTCCAGTACCTGGAAACAAAAGATTCTATTTATTAAACTGCCTTTCAAAGGGATAAGGTGGCCACATGACCTGGTTTGCCTGGGATAGTTCTGTTTTGTGCCGATTTTGTCTAGGTAAATATTAGTCATATTATTTTTATTGTCAAGACTATCCTGGTTTGGATGATAAATTGTGTGGTCACTCTATAACGGATACTTACAAATGATTCAAAAATTTCACCAGGTATGGCATCCCAGTTAACACCAAGTATTAGATTTCTAATGTCTTATTAGTTTGTCTTATCTAAAAGATTTTGTTTTAGGTACTCAAATCATATATAGATATACATGAAAGCTTTGCACACCAATGTTTTTAACAGCATTAGTCACAATAGCCAAAAAGTGGAAACAACTTAGATGTCCATCAACATGTGAATGGATTACCAAAAGTGATACATATACATACAGCGGAATATGACTTAACCCTGAAAATGAAGGAAATTCTGACACATTCTACAACCTTGAAGATATCACGCTGAATAAAATATGCCAGGCACAAGAGGACAAATATTGTAGGATTCCACCTATATGAGGTACCTGACGTAGTCAAATCCATACAGATAGAAAGTAGAATGATGTTTACCAAGGTTGGTAGGGTTCTGGGGGAATATGGAGTTATTGTTTAATGGACATAGAGTTTCAGTTTGGAATGATGAAAAAGTTCTGGAGGTTAGAGACAATGATGGAACAATAATGTGAATGTATTTAGTGCCAATGGAGTGTACACTTAAAAATGGTTAAAATTGTAAATTGTAGGTTATGCATATTTTGCCACAATAAAAATGTGTGTTTTAAAAATGGCGCTCATTACACAAGGCTTAATAATTAATTTTGACATATATTTAAATTATTTATTGCTATTTTTGTTGAAAACTAAAAAAAACCAGCCATATGTCAAGATATTAATGCTATATATCATATGGAATTTTAACAACACTAACTCTTCCTTCAGTGTTATAATCGTGTCTGATCATATGCTAAGATCTCTTCTTTGTGTTATTATTGAGGAAGACTCTACAACCACTCCACATAAACTTCAATTAGCTGACTTATCAACTATTAAAAGGGATTTCTTAGTTTCTTATTTGGCTTCAGGTTGAATCCTAAAATTGGCAAGTGAATAAATGGGCATTTTCACTCAAGTTAGAACAGAAGATGTTTCAGGATATTTAATCGTTAGTGTCTATAACAAGTTACAATTGCTATGACTTCATAACACCATCATTTCTTGCCACTCTAAACTGCTACCATGGCATTTTCTTTACTCACCTCTTTAAATGTATTATTTTGTAATCTATGAGTTTCGTGCTTAACAAACATAATCTCTATATGCCTGAAATACTCTGGAATCTAAAATTTTCCTCTAATGTGTTCTCTTACCATTAGACCCAGAAGAAATAACTAACTCCCAGTCCCCAGACTTCAATATGAATGGATTTTGCTGCTCCTATTTTGAAGGTAGATTTTTGATGGGGTAAGAGAAAACCATATAGAAAACCAGAATGCCTAAGGAGAGGAGAACAAGGAGTGAGGACAGAGAGGACCAATACAGAATGAAACTCTCACCATCTCTACTACTATATTCTGAACTTGCATCTTGTGCTTCATTCCTTTGATGTCTTGGTGCCTCCCCAACTTGTATTTCACCTTCTCACTTCTGTATAACTGTATAATATAAGAAGTAAACAGAAAATAGTTGGGAGTGTACACTCAAGAACCAAATTGATTAGGTTCAAAGTCCAGCCCCAGCATTTATTGTGTGGGCAATTTTATTTAACCTGAGGCTCAATTTCCTTATAAGAAAAATGGGTATAATATAAGGAGCTCAAACAACTGAACAGCAAAAAACCAAGAAAATTGATGTTAAAATGGGCAAAAGATCTGAATAGATATTTCTCAACCAAAAAAAAAAAAGACACGTAGATGGCCAACAGGTATATGGAAAAGACTCAAAATCATTCACCATCAGAAAAATGCAAGTCAAGGTTGGGCGTGGTGGCTCATGCCTGTAATCCCAGCACTTTGGGAGGCTGAGGTGCGCGGATCACAAGGTCAAGAGATTGAGACCATCCTGGCCAACATGGTGAAACCCCGTCTCTATTAAAAATACAAAAATTACCTGGGCATGGTGGTGCATGCCTGTAGTCCTAGCTACTTGGGAGGCTGAGGCAGGAGGATCACTTGAACCTAGGAGACAGAGGTTGCAGTGAGCCAAGATAGTGCCACTGCACTCCAGCCTGGTGACAGAGCGAGACTCTGTCAAAAAAAAAGAAGAAAAGGAAAATGCAAATCCAAACTCCAATGAGATATCATCTCACCACGGTTAAAATGGGTTTTATCAGAAAAGACAGGGAATAATGGATGCTGGTAAGAATGTGGAGAAGGCAGAACACTAGTACATTGTGGGGGTTATATAAATTAGTACAGCCACTAAGGAAAAGTGTATGGAGGTTTTTCATAAACTGAAAATAGAACTATCACATGATTCAGCAATTTTGTTATTGGGTGTATATTTGAGAGAAAGGAAATAAATATATTGAAGAGATACCTGCACTCCCATGATTGGCACTATTTACAATAGCCAAAATATGGAATCAAGGTAATTGTCCATTAATGGATAAAGAAAATGTGGTGTATATATACCTAATGGAATATTACTAAGACATACAAAATAATGAAATCCTATCATTTTTAGCAACATGGATAGAGCTGGGAGTGACTTTATTAAGAGAAACACAGATGAATACTGCATGTTCTCAGTCACAGGTGGAAGCTAAAAAAGTGGATTTCATGGAGATAGAGAGTAGATTGGTTGTTACAAGAGGTGGGGAGGAGGGATAAAGAGATGTTGATTAGTGGGTACAAATACACAGTTAGGAAGAAGAAATAAGGTCTAGTGTTCAATAGATCAGTATGGTGACTATAGCTAATATTAATCAATTGTACATTTCAAAGTAGCTAGAAGATAATGATTTGAAGGTTACTAGCATAAAGAAAAGATAAAATTTTAAGGTGATGGATATCTCAATTACCCTGATTTGTCCTTCACATATTATATATTATATAAATTATGAAATTATCACTTGTATCCCAAAAATATGTACATGTATTACATATCAATAAAAAGGCATTATAAATTTATTAGAAGGCAGCACGTCATAGTGGTAAAGAGTATAGGCTCAGGTTCAAGTATTGGAACCATTAACTGTTTATCTTTAGGCAAGCTATTTAAAATTCCACTGGCTGTTTTTTATATATAAAGTAACGCTAACAGTAATGCCTGTTAGAGCTTTATATAAATGAAATGAGATGATACAGGCAAAGTGCTTACAAGACTGCTTGGAGCATAGTTTACAACAAAAAATTATTTCTGTAAGAATGAATTTTTAGAAATTGTTCTAAAATATTACCTATGAGATATACATATTAGTGGCAAAAAGATGCAGAAAAAATCAAAAAGAAAGAGAAGAGAAAAATTATAAAATAAGAAAATAATAATAACTAATTGACAATTGTGGTGGCAGTTAAAATACCAGTCAAGGCTGGGCATGGTGACTCACGCACCCCAATAAATCCCAGCACTTTGGGAGGCTGAGGCAGGTGGATCGCTTGAGGCCAGGAGTTCAAGACTAGCCTGGCCAAGATGGTGAAACCCTTTCTGAACTAAAAATATAAAATTAGCCTGGCATGGTGGCTCGCACCTCTAGTCCCAGCTACTCGGGAGGCTGAGGCAGGAGAATCTCTTGAATCCGGAAGGTGGACGTTGCAGTGAGCCGAGATTGTGCCACTGTACTCCAGCCTGGGTGACAGAGTGAGACTTTGTCTCAAAAAATAAAATAAAATAAATAAAATATCAGTTAAAATACAAAGTAGGACAACAAGTAAATTGAAAGCAGCAATGAAGGACAATATATAATACTACGAAAGATAATAAGTGAAAAGTCCATAATAATCATATTATGAGTCTATCTATACTTGAAATACAAAAAAGCAGAAATCATCACATCTATAGGAAAAATAGATTCATAAACAATTGTTCATGAACAATTGTGATTGGGATTTTAAAAGAGAAAACTTAGAAACTGATAAAGAAAAAAGAATAAGAAAAATTCTAGAACTTTTGAATAAGATGGCTCATAAACTTAATAGATATATGCCTAATTTTATATCAGACAAGGAGAAAAGACATGTTAAGTACACATGGAATATACACAAAAGTCAATGCTGAATGAACTCTCAAAGGAAGCCTCAATAAACTTCAAAACATCAATATCATACATATTATGTATGATATATTTTTCACTGATCAAGTGAAAAATAATTAGATCAATGAAGAAAATAGTTAAAAATGGACATATTTGTATCCTAAAACACTTATGACCAGATGAACTTGGGTCAAAATGGTAATGGTATGGGGGAATAAGGAACAATTTAGAGCTAAGTGACAATTAAAAACCTATATATCAACAATTGAGGGCATAGCTCAATCAAGAAATTTATGGAAAAATTACAGCTTTCAATGGATCTATCAGACCACAAGAGGAAGTGAAAACAAGTTAGATATTATAAAAAACATAAAAAATACTATAATAAAGCCAAAAATAAAAAGAAAATAAAAAAATTAAAGGCAGCAATCAGTGAAATAAAAAAGAAACATTAACCAGTCAAAAAGATGAGGAAACCAAAAATTGATTATTTGAAAATACTAAAAGTTAGATAACCTCTGTTAATACTTATTTTTCAGTGTCTATGGGAGGGCAATAGACCAAATAAATATATTATAGAATTTGAAAGGGAAATATCTCCAGGTATTAATGCTATAATAATAAACTACTGTTTTGTGCATCCATATGCCAATAAATTTAGAAATCTAAAACAGAATACATTTCTAGAAAAATATAAAATGCCAAAACTAGTAATATTAGCCTAATGAATAGACAATGACTATTAAAAATTGAAATATAAATTAAATATATTCCTTTCCACCAAAATAGTACAAGGCTCTGATAGTTTTACAAAGAATTCTAGCAAGCTTTCAAGGAACAGATAAGCTAAACTGGATAACTAAAAACAGAAAATTGTATAGGCATTTCTCAGGTGTGAAAAAAATCCAGATTAATTAAATTAGCTTTTATATCTCAACAATTTACAAAAATATATCATGTTCAATAGAGAATATAATGATTTAATATCAGAACATCTATCAATACAAGTCATCAAATTAACAAAATAATAGACAAATGTATATGATTTTCCCAAATGCAAAAAAAGGGGGATGAAATTCAGTCTGATAATCAAAGTCTGGGAAACTTAAAAGTACAGAGAAATCCCTTAACTTGATAAGGAGAATTTATCAAAACCCCACACAACACAATGGGGTGATTTGGTACATATTTTTTAAAGGAGGGGATGAGATAAAGATGTTTCTTATCAATGTTTTTAATTAGATTTGATTTTTTTCTATATTGTACTAAAGATCCTAGAAAATGTAATAAGAAAATAAAATAATAGGAATAGATAAAAATTATTAATTACCAATATATGTTCATCTACAAAGCAAATCTAATGTAGTTAACAGGCACATTCTTAAAAATTATAAGGTAGTTCTGGGAAGTTGTTTGATATGAGATTAATTTTCAAAAATTTACCTATACCAGGCATAATCAAGTAAAAAATAAAATTAAAAATAAGATAATATTAAAACTCACAAGATAAAATATTTAGGAATTACAATAATAGTTGTGTAAACAATGCACAAGACATTATAGAGAATATTTTAGATTTTCAAGCTTTAGTAATTCCACTTACAGATATAAAAACTTGAAGAAATAAAGTTACACTCTTTTCCCTGATAGACAATTCAACATTGTAAAGATGTTAATTCTTTTCAAAGACATCTATAATGAAGACTTAGGAAAAACAGCTGATCTTATCAGATATGAAGGCATACCGAAAAACAAAATAAAATAAAACAAAATCCCACAGCTATATAGTAGTAAAAATAGCATATTATCTCTTAAAATCAGTAATATTATCTCCTACTTCTTTAAAAATAATAAAAAGCTTAGCCCTTTGAATCAATAAGACCTAATATTCCTGGAGAATATTTATATTCAAAACTATAGATGTCATGAAAAGCAAGAGGTAAAACAAAGTAGAAATAGGATAGCAAACAAATAAAACAAAAAACCAAGGTGAATGTTGATTAAGTAGCACCAGATGAAGCCTTCAAAATGGAGGCGGGTAACATGGCAGCACAAGACAGGTTCCGCATTGAGGATGATTTTGAGGATAAAATTTGAAAAAACCATGGCAGTCGAAACAAATTAGGATATTCGGAACAGCAGCTTTGAGCAGACATTCATCACCCTGCACTGAATAAACTCTTGCAATAGCCAGAAAACAGATCTACTTGCCTCTGGCAGCCCATGGCTACATTAATCTTTCTGGAACACTGCATGCCAAGGTCTTTCATTGACATCTGTATTTCACAGTCGTTAGCTCTCTCTTGAAGAAAAAAAAAAATAAAGAAGAAGAAGAAAAAGAAGGAAGGAGGGGAGTGAGTATGGTCGTTAGAGAGTTAATGAAGAGCAAGAGATTTGGGTTTTTTGGTAACAAAAACTTGAGAATCAACATGTACACAGGTCGCAGGGACACTAGCCAGTGTTTCAAGATGAAGGACATATAATGGCAATGAAGGAAATGGGAAAGATCTGATGAAGAGCAGAGTTAGACATGATGACCTATGACAAGAGGAGGGAACTTTTATTTTCTAAGACTGAGGAAAAGTGACATACGTGCTAATATATTGGTTAAATTGATTCTTTCCATATCTACTAACAAAAATGCTCTCATTTCAGCAGCAAATTTTGTCTGAATCTTGACCAGCTTTTCATCCCCAGTGAAGCTTGGACAAGAATCCTTTGATTGGTAATAATTTATGAACAAGAGCAGAGAAGTCATAAAATTCACACATGAAGGGCACCTTTAGTTTGGGTTGGACTTTGTTATTTATTTTCTAGGTCCTTTTAGTGTTCAGTATGAAAGGTAAATAAGAAGACTCTGACAAATCAATGTTAGAGGTAATGATGTTTTCCTAATTCAAAACTACCCAACCTTGGAATTGCAAAAAGGAGTAAATAAAACGCACCTTTTAGTAAAAGCAAAGGACCCAATTTTGGCTAAAAAGAAAGGCAGAATTCAATGAAAAAGTGGGTCCTGAATGTCTTTCTATTAAAATCAGCATCTACAGGAAAACACATTCTCCTCATATTAATATCTGCTTCCTAACCGATTAAAGTAAATCTATAAACACAGCAACAACAAACCATAATTGAAGTAATACTTATTTAAATGCAGTAAAGTACAACACTTTCCCAATACAAGCACATGCCCAGAACCCAACAGCAAGCAAACAACAACAAAAAAATTGCTTCTCTGTTGACTGCACCTCATGTTCAGTGGCAATGGTTGTTCTATGCAAATTAACAGAGGAAACTGTGAAAAGAGAACATCTTTGATAACATCTGTCTGTAAATGTTCCAAACATTCAGCATTTGAATCCATGTGGCTAAGTACAAATGTTAATGATTCTGAATTAGATTGGATGGAGTGTTGAGATTGCTAAGTCTGACATAGAAAGTAACATGAGAGGGAACAATCTGTGTGCTGGATACATTTTTTTACTCAGGATGAATGCTTAAGTGCAGAGACACTTAAAGGAAATCTATTCCTTAGCCAAAATGATGTTGGTATTTTTAACTTGCTTTCTTGCTTCCAGGCTCAAACACCTGCTAAATTTGGTCTTTTTAAGACAGAAAAGCATGGGTTGGCTGGGATCAAAATTATGCTAGCAGAGAAACTGGAGCTGCATAGTAATTGTCCTAACAGTCTCTTCAAATGTGGCACCTCTCTTAAAATTTGTAAACTGTAAGTTGCACTTACCAGAGTCTTCCCTGTAGTTGTGGACAGATTCCTTATTTCCTAATCCAGAGGACTCAGGCTCATACCCTTGTTCATCTCTCACCAGTTGTGCCAATGTGGACCATATCCAGCATCATCATTTACTTTTCACATCAGATCATATCGCTCTTTCCTGCTTAAAATATTTCAAGAGCTATCTGGTGATCCTTGGATAAAGCCTAACATCTTTAGCTTGGCCTAGGAGGTCTTGCCTAATTTGCCCCACCTGACTCTCCAGTCTAAAGTTGTGTCATGCTCTACTTACTTTCTATGGTCTAGCCACAGTGGCCTCTTCCAGTTTCCCAACACCAGCATTGCTCCTGCACCTGGCCATCAATCAGCCCCTGTGAGGATATCTGAGCTCTTGAGAATGAACATTGGCATTTTAATAGTGGCTGTTCCTGGCCAGGCTCAGTGGCTCGCACCTGTAATCCCAACACTCTGGGAGGCCAAGACAGGCAGATCACTTGAGATCAGGAGTTCAAGACCAGCCTGGGTAACATGGTGAAACCCCATCTCCACCAAAAAGTACAAAAATTGGCTGGGCATGGTGGCACACACCTGTAGTCCCAGCTACTTGAGAGGCTGAGGCAGGAGAATCTCTTGAACCCAAGAGGTGTAGGTTGCAGTGAACTGAGATTTTGCCACTGCACTCCAGCCTGGATGACAGAGTGAGCCTCCTTCTCAAAGAAAAAAAAATAGTGGCTATTCATGACACCGGCCCTACTGATGTCCCTTACGAGTGGGAGCCAGAGCAGGAGAGAGGTAACACGGTAGGGAACCTGAGGTGATTCCAGGTGACAGATGCACTCACAAGTGCCCCCAGGAGCCACAGAGAGGGTGAGTGGGGCTCACAGTGTAATCAGGCACAACACAAATGTCACCCTATTTGTGAATACCGGTGGCATTTGATTTTAGCATACAAATTTCTCACACAAAATATAAACAAAGAGAAAGCAAAGATTGATTTTATTCTCTCCTTCAGATAAAGATAGGTCCTTTACCTGTGAAAAATTTACAAAGAAAAATGTAAAACTTGCAGAAAGCAGCACAGACAAGAGGCTGATAGGAAGGGACGAGAGGGCAGCTGGGATAGCAAAGCAGCCCAGAAGAGGAGTGTGGAGCCAGGCGCAGCCCCTTCTCTTGGAAGCTGCACAGCTGCCCCGCTCTGCGCATTGCTCATGGGACCCACAGTACAGTTTAAAATAAGGGTGGGTTGTATTATGGAAATAATTAATATAGGTTTATGAGAGAAAATTTGCAAAATCATAAATGTGGGAAAGTAAGAATAACACACAGGGTTCATGAACAGCAAATCAAATAACGTTAAACCTCTGCTATATTTTCTTTCAGCTGTTTTAGAAATAAGAAAATTTTAAAATTATTTTTAATTTTTCCATCGTTGACTGCTCCTTTAATAGCAGTTTCCCAAGCTATCACAAATTCTCTTTAAATTTCAATCTAATTAACTGTGTTGATTCCATTGGGAAGAAGGATCATCATATATTTACCCAATTCCTCTATTTGGGTATTAAAGTGATTTTTTTTCATTTGTAAATGCTCACCGTGGTAATTATTTTTGCCATCATATATTTCTAAGTTCACAGGTCCTAAGCATTACCTGAATAATTCTAAAATGTTGTTTTTATTGCTCTCCGTAGCACCCATAACTTAAAATTTCATAGCCCTTTCCTTGCATGGCAAGACAGGAGGACTTATGCCTCAGCATCTATAAGTCATTCCTGGAAATGACAGAATAGCACTGACCAGTCTTCAGTCAACCTTTGAGGATGTCCACATCTGTAGCTAAAATGGAGGCATTGTGTAAATAAGACATCTAAATACTGTGCTGTCTGTAAACCTGAGAAATTTATTTGGAAAAACTTAATTTTACTTCATTTAACTATCCGTGTTAACGTTTATGTTAACTATTTGTGATAAAGCCTTACGTTTCTATTTGGGAGATATTTTATGATGATTCCTTAAGGTAGATTCAGATAAGCTAGTTGTACCTATTTTCTTGTTTCAGTGGTTATTCTTTGAGATATTATAGATCACTAATGGTCTCAGGACTTTTCATATACTTTTAGCCTCTCTGTGTCAAAAAAAATCTATTCTACCTCTGTTCATAAGGATGTCCTTGAAAATCTCACAACTAATAGTACCAGTCTTTAATCATTGCATCTCTCCTTGCTAATACATTCGTCTATATTTTAACCTCAGGTAATTAAACAATGTGATTAGGAAAACAATGTGCTGAAGAATCTAAACAATCTTTCATTGACTTTGGCCCATTTTCTTTAGACTTAAATATGAATGATTTTTTATTTCATTTTAATATGCCACCCTCTTTTTGGTGTGTCCCGCACATTACAGTTACAGTTTTTCACTTTGTATGGATTTTAATTTCTTACTTTTACTTGTGCGAAGTCCAGTACTTTTGAGAAACATGAAAAATGCACTTCTTCCTTAACCTAGGACATCACATTGACTCCACAACAAAGTGAATGTCTGATTCCGTAATGCATAAAAAGCTATTTGACATTTATAACATCATTATTTTTTAAAAAATTGTCATCAAATAACAACTCCTAATTAAGTGAGCAAAACTAGGCTTTCTGAAAAAGAAGATGGTCTCTAATTTCTATGTGTTTACATATTACTTTATTATGTACTTAATAACTAATAAAAAGAAGAGGAAGATGGATATCTATCCACAGTTAATGTAAAATTTCTACATTCATTAAGCTGGTGATCACAGCTGTTTTATAACCACTTAAACTGACAAGAAAAAATGTGACAGCTTTACTCTGTCTCATTCAAAGTTGCAATGTTAAGCACTATTAAATAAATAAAAGATGTCTGTAGAGTTTAGAGTTTTCTTAAAAAATAGCTTCATGTATAATTTTCAGCCCTGATTTCAGCCACACACAGGACCAAGAAAGGCTTCACCTGGTTACCTTAATTAGAAAACAGTCAGTAACATTTGCGGTAAAATACAAGTGGAAGAAGACTTATTTAAAGAACTATTGTTGGCACTTTAAAATCCTCATTTATTAGTGAGAATAGAGAAATACTGCCTCTTCCACCTAGCCCCTGAGAGACCTGTAAGATATATAATATTTGAGAGCAGTCTGACAACTTGTTATAGTTTTAAAAATGTTCACATACTGTGACACGGCAATTTGCCTTTAGGGATTTACTTTGAGTAAAAATATCAAAGGCAAACAAAAAGATTTAAAAGTCAGAATATGAAAACATTGGGAATGAAATAGAGTACAATTAATTGTGTTAAAGCATTGTATACTCATATAAAGGCATACTGTGTAGAATATTTAATGGCTAAAGAAATGTTGTCTTTACATTTTTGAATGAAGAAAATCTACAAAACAGATTTTGTCTACAAAATAGGTATACTGAAGTAGACATGAGGTTTAAAAAACTTATGAATACTTAGATGTACATCTTGGGGAACAAACTAAAATAATGTACATCAAAATGTTATTTATAATAACTTTTGTATTTTATATCTTAATTTTTTATATTTCCAAAGAACATATATCACTTCATAATCTTGGATAACAATGCATATTAATTTCTAAGCATTTTAACAAGGCTAAAGAAGGTAAAATTTATCTTGGAACTCCTTATACGTGCTCACAGGCATGAATGTGACTAAAAATTAGCATAGTGATTTTTTAGCAACAACTCCCCTTCGTTTGTTTGTAAAGATATGGCAAAGGATTGAATTTTGAAAAGGGTTGAAATTATTTCTTGGCTTCGTATATCTACTTAAGTAGATTACATCTTTTTATTTTTAGTATGACCCATTGCCCAGCAATTCAGTCCCCCTGGCTCCACATACTAATTCTGTCAGCGTGTGGTTTTTGGTAAGAGTACACGGAAGCTCATGCTGGAGAGATTTTATTGTGTCCATAACCTTCAGGTGTCAGAATCTGATGCTGCTATGAGTCAGAAACTGGTTATTAGGCCCCCAGGAGGAAGTGCCTTGAACCATCAGAACGTCTAGCCCTGAGACCCTTTAAAGTCCTCACACTTTCAGTAGCTGAATGTGGCCACAAATGACAGCAAAACAGGGGGAAGCATTTTAGGACATGAAGTGTCATCTCTCAGCTAGAGGTGTCAGCGCTGACCAGAAAATTGTCCACTTATCCAAAATCTCCTCCTTATTTCCACCCTCTTCTCCTGTCCTCCTCTGTTTCTCCCTGTCTGATCTTCCATCCCTCCATCCACCAGTTAGAGCTCAGTGTTCTCCAGCTCAGGAAAGGGAGCTTATCTTGCTGTTTAAAAATGATTGATGTGCCTCAAAGCTCTTTCAGCATAATAGATGTTCTGCAAAAACTCAAGGGGGAGAGGTGTTCAAAGGTCAGTTAACTTATTTTTTAACCACAGGACTCCTATGCTCCTTAATTTACAAGTGCATAGTTAATTTTCAGGAGAGGTCTATAGATTGCAGTGTTTCCCAGATTTAATTATTATGAAACCATTTTTTTCAAATCACAAACATATGCAGGATGTGTGCCTTTCAAAAGACATTTGGGAAAATCCTAGCATTAATACAGTGGCATCTCCTTTAGGTAAAGTTTGAAGACTTTATTAGAAGGAATGCCTTGATCATGATGTAATTTGTTTAATTCCCTGTGTCAGAGGAAGGGACAGATACTTGGAAGAGAAAAAGCAGTCTTTTCCTAAAATTTCCCTAAAATCATACATTATTGGGTTCCTTACACCCTGATTTATCTTAAGATAAACGCTGGTCTGATAACATCCGGAATCCAGTCCTCCTGAGTTCAAAGAAAACGATCCTCCTGCCTCGCAGGACCTTCTCAGGGCTGAAAAGCCTTGCAATCATATTTCTGCCTCCTGCAATGCCACTGCATCCAGGAATTGTTCCCTGATTACTCTAAGCTCCTCATAACTGTTGAATGAAGGAGAAATGAGGTTGAGACTTGCATCACTTAGTGATGGCAGCAGTGTCTAAATGCTGCTCAACTTTGTGACTCAGCTCAAATGCTACCTCCCGAAGGACAACTTCATGGACAGTCTTAAGAAGAGTGGTGCTCTTCCTCTGCAATGTCAATACAAGTCTCCATCAGACTACTTCTCTCAGGCTGTAATTATTTGTTTTATGTGCCTTCCTTCCCTGGATCTTGTCGTTTTCTCTTTGGCATGCTCAGCATCAGGCTCACACAGACTACAAGCTCCATGAGGACAAACGGTTTATCTGCCATGCTCATATCTGTGTGCCCAGGACTCAGCTGACTGCTGCTCTTAGTGAATGCTTAATAAAGATATGGTGGATGGATGGACTGAAGGCTGAAAATCAAAGGAACAAAAGGCTGACAAGATGTTAAGGTATCTATTACATGCCCTTGCCTGACTTTCAGATTCCTTAGCTATGGACTTAGTTCTAAAAACCACAGAAAGGGGTAGCTATAGATATTTATGCCAGGGAAGTTTCCAACTCCTCTTAATCCAATTAATTTAAATAACTAAATTTAATGTCAAATAAAATTTAAATTATTAGGTTGGTGCAAATTAATTGCGGTTTTTGCTGTTAAAAGCAACGGCAAAAACCTCAATTACTCTTGCATCAACCTATAATAATCTGGACACAGAACTTGCTTAGGGAAAAATCCCACCGTCTGATAAAGTGTAATAGATATCTAAATTTCTATTTCTAATAGAGCTTTGTAAAACCGTCTCAGTGGACATGAGGCTTAAGAAATCACTATAAAATGCAAATAACTTACCCAGATCCCATATCTGGCATAATAATAATTGTTGTAACTTTGCTTGTATTTTTTTCTATTAATTTAAGAAACTGATACTTGAGATTGTATTTTTATTTTACTAATATCTGTAACTACCTGTCATTTGCATTGTTTTCGTTTTTTTCCTTTCTTAACCAAATTCTGTGAGCTGATCATTTTTGTTCCCCACCTACCACCACAAGATTGATAATAACTTGAGGTAATAAACTTAGTAAGAATTGATGCTTCTGCCCAGAGATGGCTCGCAAACCTGAGATTTGGAATTTAGCAGTAAATATCCTTTAATGACACTATATTTTCAGTTGCATTGAACTGAAATTATTACAGTTTTATTTGAATCAAAAAGTGGCAAAAATATTTAAATCATTTTTAAAAGTGCCAGGACATTTATTAAACATTTACAAACATAAAATGCTTTGGCAAAGTAATTAATTAAAGATTATCCCTTTTGGGGTTAAGAGGACAACAAACTACTTCAAGTGTGGCTCTCATGTGCCTTGGAATGACACAGATTCACTTCCTTGGTTCAGACATACCAAATGGCTGGTAGGGACATAGGGCTTTGGTGTAGTGAATACTACTGAGCACTGATCAAATACGAAAGCCCTGCTTTGGGATCAGTAGGAATAAGGTAGTGTGAAATGCATAGTGATCTTCTCAATGAAGTGTCCAATACCAAGGGAAAAAACAGTCTCCTGTTCTTAGACTCATTACTTCATGTTCAGGTTGAGAAATAGGTAAATGTTTGAAGCAAATATGAAATCTACATTCAAAATTTAATTTCCATGATCCAGGCTAAGGGGTTTAGACTGGGATGCATCTCTTCCATAGCACATTACACTTTAGATAGTGATTTCCCTGATACAGGCTCAGGAAAGATCAAAGACAACATGAAATAATGTGCAATATTATGACAGACATCAAATATCATGCTATTGTACAGTTTTTGTCACAGATTAATTTGATGCATAAACCCTTAAGTCACATCAATATCACAGAGGGTTTTCTGAGTCACAAACCTAAACCATTCTACAATCCTCTCTGCTAATGCAGAAGTAATTCATTAAAATTATTCTCAAGTTGTAAACAAATAATTTTGGCTGAAAGAGATGCATCCTCATTTCTTGAAGTTCCTCCAAATTATAAAAGAGTTCTTAGGAGAAGATCTTCTCCACTGGAAAGGCAGTATTCAGCTGGGAAATTAAATAAAATCACTTCTGCAGGGATTCTTTAGTCTCTGATGATTTCAGACTTGTGAAGAATCATCATAATGATTCTATTTTCCTTTAGTATTTTCATAACATCAGAGACCTTTTTGTGCATTTTTATAGATTATTTTGAGTGATTTTTCTATTTTTTAAGGAGAAGCAAATTGAGAGATTATAAAAAGGAATGATCAAATTAGAAACATTTTGAGGATAAATCCACATAGTCAACTGTTTGGTTCTCCATTAATTTCCTATTGTGTATTTTATTTCTTTTGCTAAGAATGATTCTCCCTTATTTCCTACAAAACCTAAAGGCTTATGACATGGGCTAACCACAAATCAGTTATAGTTTAATTGGGTGAAAACAGTTCTTAGAAAAAGCTTTTTTTTTTTTTTTTCCTTTTTATAAGCTTCTCTTCAGTTCTCCTGAGAGCATCTCAAAAGATAATTAAGCATTCTCTAAGGAACTTTTACAGTTCTTGTTACTACCGACTGGTAACAAGACTTAGCAGAAAATAAATCACCTTCTTTTTTTCAGGTTACCTAAAAACATTTTTAAAAATCCTTTGCTATTTTAAAATACAAGAAAATCAATTGCTACAGCAATAACGCTTTTGAGATACAAGCCTTGGGCAAGAACAAACACAAAGATGTTATTTGGTTCATTTTGTTAAAGTTTAATTCTATTCATCAAAAAAAGCTTTTACATGAATTTCCACATCATTCCCATTTCCACATTTATGATTTCAAATATAATATTGGTTTACTATCGGTCATATACCTTAGTCAAATTAGCACAAATGGGTTCAGCCAGAACTTTGGGCAAATAAGAAAAAATGGCTAACAGAAAAAAATTGCTATATATGTTTATTGTAAAAACAAGCTATATTTAACCAAAAAAGTAGAAATATAAGTGAAAGAATCATGATGTTCATCTTGGGTCTTTGTTAGGATCTTTGTTAAATGAGAGTTCTTTGTTAAATACATTTAGAGAATTTAGTTTTTATAATTTTAGAACATCTACTTTAAAAGAATGCAGCCTGACTAATGACTAGAATAAAAGAAATCCAACAAGATATAAATCTTTGATTCAGACTATCTTTGGATGTGACAAAAATCATTTACCTAATAAAAGGAAAAATGGTTTCCAAGTAATATTAATATAAAATACAAAACTGTAAACATATTTGTAAAATGCTATAAGTGCTTTCTCTCCCTCTCTTTCTAACAAACTTTCTCCTAAGTCCAAATGCTTTGCCATTTCTTGGTAAACTAGATTCATCCCATCTGTACTTATTTTGGACCCTATGCCTATAATACTTTCCTGCTTTTTCAGGGTCTAAAAGAAGCTTACTAATGATTGAACATCTATGTGAATTTCCATTTTTATGATGCTTTCCAAGCTGCCTGTTTTTAAAAACAGCTCCCTTTATGTGGAGACCACCATCTTCATACATACTACTCATACCACAAAGAGTAGAACTTACTCACATTACTGCATTGTATTTTAATCATCTGGGTTGATTTTCATAACCCATTTATAGCCCTGTTCTCATATTCCCAATTAAAGTAAATTTTAACATCTACCCCCTCACTTCAGAAAAATGTCTACCCTTAAATGCAAAGTTCTTATTTTGACTTCCTTTAAGAATGTGTGAAAAATGAAGGCATGAGAATGTGAATAAATTAGAACCCTTATGCACTACTGGTGAGAATGCAAATGGTATAGCCACTGTGGAAAACAGTATTGCGGTTCATCAAAACATTAAAAATGATAGTATCATAAAATCCAGCAATTCCACTTCTGGATACATATCCAAAATATTGAAAGCAGGGTCTCAAATACACACCCATCCACACACACACACACACACACACACACACACACACACACACCACAATATATATGTATGTATCTCAGAGAGTATATATAAATAATATTGCTATGAATAATATCACAGCAGTATTATTCACAATAACTACAATATGAAAGCAACCCAAGTGTCCATCAATAGATGAATGTATAAGCAAAATGCAATGTACCTATAAAATGGGATATTATTCAGCCTTAAAAGGGGGAAGAAATTCTGATACATGCTACAGCATGGATGAGCTTTGAGAACATCATGTTATGTGAAATAAGCAAGTCACAAAGAGGCAAATACTGTATGATTCACTTATATGAGGTACTTACAGTAGTAAAAATCATAATGAAAATCACAGAGAAAGTGAAAGTTGTTTCCAGGGGATAAAGGTTGGGAGAATGGAAAGTTAATGTTCAATGGGTATACTGTTTCAGTTTTACAAGATAGAAAGAGTTATGGAGACGGATGGTGGTGATGGTGGCTGCACAACATTATAAATGAATTTAATACCACTAAACAATACACTTAAAATGATTATAATAGTAAATTCTATGTTACGTATATATTTATCACAATAAAAAAATAATTAAAAAATTGGTTGCAGTTGCTAGTGCAGCTTCAGTGCACAAAGACTGGAGTATCCTAGATGTAGTAACTGTGCTGATGTGAAACATTAATGCTTCCAGCTCCACGGTGGTGCACTATTAGACAAAAGTGGCAGAAAGTAGATCCTCGAATAATACTAATTCTACTCAAACTATGCCAAAACAATAGGGATGGAGGAAAACTTCCAAACTAATTCTACAAGACCACCATTACCTTAATATCAAAACTAGACAAATAAAACTATAGGCCAATATCAGTGATGAACATTCATGCAAAAATCCTCAGCAAACTGAAGTCAATAACCTATTAAAAAGATCATTCTTCTTGATCAGGTGGGATTCATCTCAGGGATCCAAGGATGGTTCAATATACAGAAATAAGAACTGTAATAAATCACATTAATAGAATCAAGTACAAAAACCATATGAACATTCAATAAATTCTAGAAAGAGCATTTGATAAAATTCAACACACTTCATGATAAAAACTCTCAACAAAGTGGGTGTAGAAGAAATATACCTCAAAACAATAAAGGCCATATATGACAAACCTATAGCAAGCGTCACTGTGAATGGAACGAGACAAGTATGCCCACTTTCACTACTTTTATTCAACATAGTACTGGATGTCCTAGCCAGAGCAATTAGACATTTACAGCCAGCTAATTTTCCACCAAGTAACCAAGAACATACAATGGGGAAAAGGCAGTCTCTTCAATAAATAAGCTGGAAGAACTGGATATCCATATGCAGAAGAATGAAGCTAGACCCCTATGTCTCACCATATTACAAAAATCAAATCAACATGGATTAAAGACTCAAATCTAAGAATGGAAACTATGAAACTACTAGAAGAAAACATTGAACAAATGCTCCAGATCATTGATTTGGGCAAATATTTTTTTCTGTAAGACCTCAAAAGCACAGGCAACCAAAGTAAAAGTTGACAAACAAGATTTCATCAAGCTAAAAAGCTTCTCTACAGCAAAGGAAACAATTAATAAGTGAAGAGAAAACCCACAGAAGAGGTGAAGATATTTGCAAAAATATCTGAAAGGGTATTAATAACCAAACAACTCAATAACAAATAAACAAATAACATGATTTTAAAATGAGCAAAAGTGCTAAATGGACATTTCTCAAAAGAAGACATGTAAATGACAACCTGGTATATGAAAAAATGCTCAACATCACTAGTCACCAGGGGACTGCAAATCAAAACCAAAATGAGATATTATCTCACCCGAGTTAGAATGACTATTATCAAAAAGTCAAAAAGATGATAAATGCTGGTGAAGATGCTGAGAAAGGGGAACACTTGAACACTGTTGGAGATTATACAAATTACTGCAGTCAGTCACTGTGAAAACTCATATGGAGGTTTTTCAAAAAACTAAAAGTAGAACTACCATATGAGCTAGCAATCTCACTTCTGGGTACGTATTCAAAAGAAAGGAAATCAATATATTGAAGAGACACCTGCACTCTCATGTTTATTGAAGAACCATTCACAATAGTCAAGATATGGAATCAACTTATGTGCCCTTCAATGGATGAATGAATAAAGAAAACATGGCATATATACACAATGGAATATCATTCAGCTGTAAAAAAGATTGAAATCCTATAATTTGCAGCAACATGGATGAAACTGTAGGACGTTATTTTAATGAAATAAGCCAGCCACAGAAAGACAAATATTGCATTTTCTCATGCACACGTAGAAGCTAAAAAAAATAATCTCCTGGAGATAGTTAATAGAATGGTGGTTGACAGAGGCTGGGAAGGGTAATGGCAAGTGGGGGGTGAAAACAGGTTGGTTAATGGGTTCAAAAATACAGTTAGATAGAAGAAATAAAATCTAATGTTCAGTAGCACAATAGGGAAACTATGGTTAACATAATTTATTGTATATTTTAACATAGCTAGAAGAGAAAATATGTAATGTTTCCAGTACAAAGACATGATAATTGTTTCAGGTTATGAAATATTACAATTACCCAGATTTGATCATTACACATGGTATGCTTATAGAAAAATAACACATGTACCCTATAATGTGTACAACTTCTATGTATGCATAAAAATTAAAAACAAATTTAAGAATTATAAAAATATAATTTATTCTTGAAAATGCCACAGAAAACATGACACTTGTAGGAAGAACCTAAGGTAGCAAGCTTTGTACACAGAGACATGCTCTATGAGTAGAAGATTTACTAATAAATCATGTCTGTTAGTGATATTATTAGCTTATGGTTATTTTGTACCTAATACTTCCCAGTAAGCTAATACACATTATCTCAATTTTCTTTCAGAACATTTTTTAAAGTGTAATTAACTACACTTCATGTGAGGAAACTGAACCTGACAGATGACCACAGTCAGACAGTAGGGGACCCAGGATCTGAGTCCACATCATAGCCTCAGAAGCTTTTGCTCAGCAGAGGATCTCAGCTACTCTTTCACTGGTGAATAGCAAGGCCTCATAAACACATGGAGAAGTCCAGAATACTTCCAGTTTTTGAGTCTCTTGTAATATTTTGTTTCAATGCCATAATAAAACAGGTTTCCAAAAATTGTGATATATTTAAATTTACAGTTAACCTGTTAGTAATTTTGACAAGAAAGTAATCTCTTTTACAGACAATATCAAAAGCCTGTATTTGTAGCTTTCTCTGGATTGAGAAATGGGCCCATTGGCCATCTTGAGCTCCCTCTGACAGGCTTTGATTGACAGTAACACTGCCACTAGCTCAAACATGAAGGTGCTGCTCTATGGGTATCACCTTATACAACAGTCCCCAGCATGGGAGTGTCCTGTGATCTACAGGTGCTTACCAAGGATCCAGTGTGATATTACCCATGTTTCCACCTTATCCACATAGTGGCCAAGCTAGCTGATGTGGGTAGCACATAATTTCTTCCTGCTAGCCAGGCGCTTCTGAGATAACAACTTGACATGGATAAATCTAATAAAGAATAAAACAACTCAACAAACGAACTGGGGGAAAAAAAAGGAAAACTAAAGTCAGAAACTTCAGCATTGCTCCTATGCAATGTCTCCACTATATATTCACTTCAGCCTTTTTTTTACTAAAACTCTTAATTAATGAAATAGGCTCCACCCAATTATACACAAGGAATCAAGAGGAAAATGGAGCAAGTTTGGGAAAGCACTGCAGATACATGGTCTTCCAAGGTTAAATGGCTAATCAGAAATTCTGCACTGCAAGGAAAATGTTTTCAAAGGGTAACATCCCCACAGGCAAATGGCTACTTTAAAGTTAAATGTGTCCACCACCATAGAAATAGTTACAAGCCACTATTGAGTTTTCATAAATACTCCAGTAGTTTAAGATGATGCTGTTTGGCCTTTGAAGAAGCAGATTCTTATTCTATATTCATATTCTGAAGTAACTAGCTTTTAAAAAATTACACCTTACTTTAATGATTAGTGGAGTGATTTTCTGGTAAGGCTCACATCAGGAAAGAAAGACTTCTTTAAAATACCCATTGTCAAATTTTTCATGCATTCCTCTTATCCTTATGAAATTGAAAACTAAGGTAATTAAGTCACTGTTGTCACCAATGGTAGATTTCCCTGTTCTCATTATCCTTTCTCAATGCCAAGATTTTTAATATAGACTCCCAAAGACTTGAACCGCTATTGACTTGACATTTCCAGTCTCACCAAAATGCACTTGATAATTGCTCATTATAATATAAATAAATTTTTGAAGAGTGTGAAAAACTTTTGAATACAACCATTCAATCAATCAAATCCATTAAAGTAGACAGGATGTTAAATGTATGTTCTATTCTGAAGAAATATCCTAACATCTGATAAAATTAAAATATTGGACTCCATAGTTTATTTAACTGTAAAGGATAACAGATTTTAAGATAACATCATACAAGTAAGACAGACATGGAACGTGCAGAGGATACTAGAGCAAAACAAGCTACTAAACAAAGCATGCAAGACACTAAAGGTCACATTGAATGTCAACGCTTGTATTTTGAAGAAAGCATTCATTCTAAGATAACCACTGCATCAATTTATCATTCTTTAAAAAATAATTTTTCTAGCCAAATTAACTACTCTCTCAGCATATATACAAGTTTGTTTTCATTATTAAACCCATCAGGAACTACAACTAAAAATAGAGAAAATAGAATACATTCCTTTAGCTGACTACAAGTCAAATAACAGCAAATTTAATTCCACAAGACCCTTATTTAACCCAAAGTCTATAAGATTAAGTGTATTTATTCATACTTGCAAAAGATCTCCTCCAGTGTGGTGTTGTGCAACAGATATATAATGTAAATATCATGTAACTTTGAGTTTTGTAGCAGGTACATTGAAAAAGACATAAAATTAATTTTAATAATGTATCTTGTTTACTCCAATGCATGTGGCTCACATTTATCATATTAGACAATGAAAGTATTGAATAATTTTCCCTCCCTGGGAGGCTTTTCCTTGTTTTAAAATTGTGATAAGAGTACATAATATGAGACATACCCTCAACAAATTTTTAAGTGTATGGTGCATATTGTTAACTATAGACACAATGTTGAACAATAGATCTCTAAAAGTTAATCTTGCCTAACTGAAACTTTATACCTGTTGAATAGCAACTCCCCATTTCTCCTCCCATTCAGACCCTGGAAATCATTATTCTACTCTCTGTTTTTATGACTTTGATATAACCTCATATAAGTGGAATCATGGAGTATTTGTCCTTCTGTATCTGGCTTATTTCCCTTAACATAATGTCCTCAAGGTTGATCCATGTTGTCAGATATGGCAGGATTTGCTTCTTTTTTAAGGTTGAATAATAATTCATTGTATGTACACATCATAGTTTCTGTATCTATTCATCTGTCAGTGGACATTTAGATTGTTTCCATATTTTGACTATTGTAAATGCAACTAATAGAGTGCAAATATGTCTTCAAGATTCCAATTTCAGTTCTTTTGGATAAGTACACAGAAGTGGTATTGCTGGATCATACCATATTTCTATATTTAATTTTCTAAGGACACTGCATACTGTTTTACTAGTGGCTACATTACTTTATACTCCCATCAATAGTGTACAAGAGTTCTAAATTGTCTTTTAAATACTTGTTATGTTTTTGGGATTTTTGATAACAGCCATCTGAACAGGTGTGAGATAATATTTTTTGTTTTAATTTTGGTTTGCATTTCCCTGATGATTACTGATGTTGAGCATTTTTTCGTGTCCCTGACAGCCATTTGTAAGTCTTCTTTGGAAAAATGTCTATTCAAGCCCTTCACACACTTTTTAAGTGGGTTATTTGTTTTTTTTGCTATTGAGTTGTATGAGTTCCTTGTAGATTTTTTATATTAACTGATTTTTAGATGTATGGTTTACATATATTTTCCTCCATTGTGTAGGTTTCCTTTTTACTCTGTTAAATGTTTTCTTTTGTTTAATGTAGTCCCATTTGTCTATATTTGCTTTTCTTGCCTGTGATTTTGGTGTCATATCCAAGAAATTTTTGCCTAGACTAATGTTATGGAGCTTTCCTCTAAATTTTCTTCTAGTGGTTTTACAGTTTCAGGTCTTATCTTCAAGTCTTTCATTCAAATTGAGTTCATTTTTGTATATGGTGTAAGATAATGGTCCGATTTCATTCTTCTGTATGTGGATATCCAGTTATTCCAGCATTAATTGTGAAGAGCCTGGGAGGTGTTGATAAAGAATGTGATTTTTGGGTGAAGAATCTTTTGCTTCAGCCTTCAAAATTCACACAGAGGAAATAAAGAGTGATGTGTTCATACAAAAAAACAGACCACAAACAGCTGGAGAACTACTCCCACAAAGCCAGTGTTCAGCTAAGTAAAAATACATGAAATGCATCATGCTGCTGCATGTCTTTACAAGATAAAATGTTGGCATTCATTAAATAAATAAAGAATGTTTTTAGTATAAGATATGTTAGAATTAGTCATGGGGAGCTAAATGTGCCAGTAATAAAAAAGGTATTAGTTGGAAATGAGAAATCCCCTTTAGAGAAGGGGCCATGATAATTTCAGATTGAAGTAGATTCAGGAGAATTGAGAAAAAGTATTTAAAAATCACAGCTGAAAAATAATCTTAATTTTTATTTAAAGATTGGATAGACCTGGTTAAAAGCTTGCGAAGAAGCCAAAAATAGCTCTATATTAGTAAAGCTGTAAAAAAATAAGAATGCCAATAACAGAAAAGAGAAGTTCATAAATTTGTGTTAATTTGAGAATGATGGACAGTTTCAAATTTAGGCAGTGTGTGTGTATGTATATGTTGGTGTGAATAGATGAATATATGTATAAATAATATATATATATATAATATGAATGTTATATATACATAGAGATGACCACAGATTTTATAGGGCACATGCTGCTGGAGATGAAGAACTTGAGAAACAGCACGGTTTGGAAATAAAGAGTTTATTAGGTGGTAAATCTGATGAGTAAGGGACTATGACTATTTCTTTCAGAGATGACTAGTTGCCTATTAAAATATTCAGGCTATCCTTCCTTCCACAGTTTCATTTAGGAAAAGGAAGTCCAGTCAGTGGCTACATTTCCTAGTTTCTTTGCATTTAGTTGAGGTGGTGTGACTTTTTCTGGCCAGTGGATATAAACAAAAGTGATTTGTGTCACTTCCAGGCCGACATTGTGGTTAAATGTGCTATGGTTTTTCCCAGCTACCTTGAAAATGGAAAAACCACTGTTAGAAGGAACCAGAGTTCTTGGATCTCTCCTTGGAGGACAGTTGCCTCATGGAGTCACCCAACCAGTGATATCTGCAATGCACTTTGCATAAGTGACAAACTTATTTGGTGAAGTCATTGAGTTAAGGGATTGTTTCTTATGACAGCCTACCACGAATTTAAAAACTATCTTAATTTTTAAATTATTCTATTTCCATTGTTTAGCACAGAATATAAAACATAGTAAGTAACCAACAAATATTTCCTTTTTAGCTATGGTAGAGATAATAGTGGATTGTTTAAGTCAGAGATGGAAAATAAGTCAGAGATGGAATACAGTAAACACCTATACTAACTCCAGTCAACTAAGAGTGGCTAGTGAAAGCCCTGTCTTGAAAAATTTCTGACATAACATTCAGTTTCAATGGGAAAGAGCATATGATTGATTAGTAATGTCTCATATGAGTGCCAGATGGAGATGATGGGACAAGTGCTATTTATCTGCCATTTGCGATCTTCTACATCACCAGTGTAGAATACTTAAAACCAAGTTAAAAAGATAAGACTTCACTGATATGTTAATCAAAACTGAAAAGCTGATAATTTTTTATTAACTCTTCTCAAAGTTATTAGAGACTATTTACATGGCATAGCATTCAAAATTTTTCACATTCCAATTCTGTTAGAGCATTTTATTGCCATAACAAGAGAAAGATTCCTAATCTTAAAAATGAATTAAAATGTTGTTTATTCAAACCACATTGTTTTTCTAGGAAAGGCAGCATCAAATTAAGAAATAATTCTCACCATAATAGGCCTTTTAAGATCATCTTTTATTTCCTTAAATATTTAAGAATGTATTTCACTCAACATTCAAAGTAAACAGAATACCTAACTTTACTAATTGTCATAAAATAAAAAAGTTATTTTACCCCAAACAAAATAACTTGACATATTTTAGTTTATTTTCTGCATGAGACTTGAATGAGAATATTATCATACTCTTGAGTAGGCAACTAGCAATATTCCTAAAAACCTGCTGTAATAGCAGCTGTTAATGCAGATTCCTGTTCACCGCGATGGTTCTCTGAGCCACTGTGTGCAGTGATGAGGAGTCAGAGCCCTGGAGGCTTGAGTTTGAATCCCAGCTTCCCACCACATACTGACTATATGACATCATAGCTCCACATTGTTTCATCTATTACTCAATTTTCCCCAATATATAAAAAATGGGACAACAGGACCTACATTATGAGGTTCTTATAAAACCTCATGATATACAAAAATATATTGTATCAATATAAAGCATGCTACAAGCATTTAATACACATTTGCTTCTAAATGGGGAGGAGCTACAGCCTGGTTTCCTGTGGGGAGTACATTCACAGCCATAGAAAGGTACATATATATATGTATACAGAGAGAGAGAGAGAGAGAAAGAGAGAGAGAGAGACTCCAATTGCAGCCAAATCCTCCTCCCGCAGCATTTTCAGCTAATACAGAAAAATGAGTTCCACCCCAGGGAGATGGTGTATGTATTCCCCAAATAGGTTACTTCCTCAAAAAGCAAAGCTGTGGGGATTAGATCCTCTCCTGCACTGCCAAAGTACATACACACTTAGACTTGAATTAAGGCAAGCTGTGTCAGGGAGGAAACAGTTAAGACAGGTGTTCTCAGGAACTGTCAATAGGAGTAAAAGTTGGCACAGACTTCTTGAAAGACATTTTGCTCACTACCCCACTGAAGTAGGGACAAAGATTCTGGGACAGTCGATCCTGCAGCAATACTCTTCTATCTGCAACACCTGCCTGGCTGGGCTATAGCCAGAGGTTAGTACCAACGGGCACAGGAGAGCTGATGCTTTCTGCTTAGGGCCAAGTAGCTGGGAGGAACTAAGAAGGACAGAAGAAATATCCACCTCATGGTAAGGACTGACCTTCTGGGCACCTGGCTGCTCTGGTTTATAATCCTCAACCTTGTGCGGTGTTTCTTTTTCAAAGTTGTGTGGTAGGCTGCATGCCTAAGAATGATGAGTGGATTATCTGCCATGTTTAAGACCCGATATAGTCATCTCATGAAGTAAATTTTTTAAAGTTTTCCTTTTGGTGTTTATGCCATTTCTGTGTAGTATAGCTGTTTAATCTCTGGGCTCTGTTCTATAAAAAGTGGTTATTACCCAAAACCATATTTTAGCAAAATTTTGTTAAGAATCATACTACAATTAAATTTTCTGAAAATTTTTAAACTAATTTATGATTTGTGTAAATTTATCTGAAAATGATCTAATTCTTATTTTCATTCTATTTTTATAATATACAGATTATTTATTTCTTCTTGAAATTTGGTTAATCTTAATATAAATCTTCAAACTTAATCCAAAACACATCCTTTTATTTAGATGGCTATTTGAGTAGTTTCACACAATGTCACAAAGCCTAAACTTGTAAAACTAGCCACACTTATTTTTAAAAGGCTACATAAACTCCATATTTTCTGTTACTTCTGTATCTTATGTTTTGTTGATATGCTTACAGCCATGGCTCCAGAAAGGAATACAAAATTTTCACCAAAAAGAATCTTGGTGAACCCTAGGACTCATTATTCTGATACTTAAAAATGTGTAACACGGAAATACCAATTACATTTTAAAAAATGAATGCTTGGCTGTGGAATACTAATTGACTATGTAATTGGAATCACCCTTTAAGTTGAGTACAATCAGATCTGCTGAGGCATGAGTTTAAGTGAGAATAGCAGTAGTCCATTGTTTGGTGAAATTATATATTTAGATCTGGGCCTGAGTAGGTCCAGAAAGCATGAGTAAATTACATGAACAGGTAAATTTCATAATGCCTACTTTATTTACCCTCTTCTCACACACGTGACTCATAAGAGATTTCCTACAACAAAATGATAGGGAAAAGAGAACTCTGGCCTGGCTCATTGATGATATGTTGGTGCTAGCTAAAAGTTGACTGCTGACACATGACAGCTCCCCTCCTAAAACATAGTAGGAAAGGGAAATGCTCTCAGGTGACATGGTTGTGGGCTGTAAATTTGGTCACCTAGTTTATATAGAAGTGTCCTTCACTATAGATATGCATAAATTATTGGGTGGTGGGAAATGGCTTGATTAATTGAACATGGGTTTCAAAGGAATAAGATTGAAAAAACAAGGATGGGCACCTCGAGATGGCCTTTGTGGTTGGACCTATGGGAACTGATGCAAAACATTTTAATCTTTGCGTCACATATTAATATCCATTGGAGAATTTCTCCCAAAGTCAGAGCTCCAAACCACCAGGAAATAGGAAGACTCTTCCTATGAATGGCAGCCAGCATTTCTTCTTGATTATCTCAGGACTGCTATAATGAAACCATGAATAGAGTAGCCATGAGAGCAGACAGAAATTTCATAAGTACACTTAGTAACACAGACTCCTTCTCTACAAGATTTATCTATTTGTCACTACTGAATGTACAACCTATTAGCAGCAAAAACTTACATTGAGCCCTCTCTATGACAGCATTACTTGAGAATACCATCTGGCCATTTACTGGCAGGTAAGTTACATCAGAACTTTTACAACCTGGAGAGCTGTGATTTCTCCTTATCGAAAGTAATCCCTTCTTCCAGAGTTCTTTCCTGGGTGGGAGAGACCATGTAGCATGACTTTGCAAAGATATACCTTAACTATCAATGTGATATTGCACATAGCATTGCTTCACTGGAAAAGACATAATTTACGGCAAAGGAAGTTTACCAATAATTACATGTACATGGAATTCAGGTACCCAATCACCCACATGCAGTCAGCCTAAGAGACAGATGAAATTGCCTGCTACAATCTCAGTTAAAGTATAAGCTTAAAATGAGTACTCTGTGGGGTCAAGGTGTTGACTTCCAGAATGCAGTGCATGCACTGAATCAATGGCCAGTATATAGTCCTACGTCCCTTTAGTTAGACTACTTGTGTCTTGAAACCAAAAGATAGAAGTAAGACTGGCTCCTTTTACCACCACTCAATGACCCACTTGTAGAGTCATGCTTCCCATCTCTGCAACTTTTGGCTATGTAGGGCTATAGATCCTGTATCCCAGGAGAGAAATGCTTCTGCTAGAGAACATATTAAGGGTCCAATTAAACTTGAAGCTACAACCTTCCCTGGTTCATACAGTACTTTTCATGCCAGCGGATCTATGAGCAAATAAAGCGGTTGCAGTACTAGAGGAGGCTAACCTCCATGATTACCATAAAGAGTCAGGGTTGCTGCTTAACAATGGGGGCAGAGACAAATAATACTCAAGGGATTCAAAGCGACAGTACTTGATGCTTCTACCTCTAGTTTTGAAAGCAAAATTGAGAATGTAGTAACCACGTCCCCAGAACACTGAAAAATGTAATACTTTAGACAACTCTGAAATGAAGATTTGCATCATTCCATGAGACAAGCCACTCAGACCAGTCAAAGAATTGCTAAGGGTGAAGGGAATCTAGACTGGGTGGTAGAAAGGGGAGATCGCAAAGATCAATTGCAGCCCCAGGACCAGCTACAGCCATGGGAGCAATAGTCTATCTCCTAGCCCACTTGCATTAACTTTTCAGGGGGTGCAGCTGGCTACTACCTTAAAGGAACTTCTCTGAAAATAATTGATTTACTTCATCTCTATCAGAGAAGAAGTAAGCACAATTTTTTTTCCTATCTTTTTTATGAGAGCTAGATATAATGGTGGACACTCAAGTAGCTGAGTTGTGTGAGGAGCTAATTTTACATATCTTAGTCACCATTTCACACCTTAGATTCACTTGCCTCTTATGATAGCTCTATGATTTTTGACCATCTTCACACAGGTACCCTTTACTCCCCACTTATGGGTGATTCCAAGACTCAGTCTACACTTCTCAGGGAACAGAGTTCCTGAATCAGACAACCACTTGCACTTGCTGGCAGCTGGACTGATAATGCACCTCAATCAGGGCTGTAACTGGGGAGAGGTGAGTGAGGTGTGAAGCACTTGCTTTGGATGAAAAATTTAAGGAGATACCAAAATATCATACTCAAAATAGAATTTGATCTCATTGGTTTCTCACTTCTCTCCTTCACTCCACTGTTCTTCATCCTCTCTTTTTTGATTGTATTCCTTAATAAAACAACATCCTGCAAATTACCCATCTGACAAGGGATTAATAAGCAGAATATACAAGGAATTTAAGCAGTTCTACAGGAAAAATCTAATAATCTGATTAAAAATAAGCAAAAGGTTTTAATAGAAATTTCTCAAAAAAAAGACAAATAAATGGCAAACAGGCATATAAAAAGATGCTCAGCATCATTGATCGTCAAAGAAATTTAAATCAAAACTACAATGAGATATCATCTCTCCCCAGTTAAAATGGCTTTATCCAATAAACAGGCAATAAAAAATGCTGGTGAGAATGTGGAAAAAAGAGAACTCTTGTATACTGTTGGTAGGAAGATAAATTAGTTCAACTACTATGGAGAACAGTTTAGAGGTTCCCCAAAAAACTAAAAATAGAGCTACCGTATGTTCCAGCAAGCTCAATGCTGGGTATATACCGAAAAGAAAGGAAATCAGTATATAGAAGAGATATCTACACTCCAATGTTTGTTGCAGCACTGTTTACAATATTCAAGATTTGGAAGCAACTTGTGTCCATCAACAGGTGAATGGATAAAGAAAGTATGGTACTTATACACAATGGAGTACTATTCATCCCTAAAAAAAGAATGAAATCCTGTTATCTGCAACAACATGGATGGAAAGGGAAGTCATTATGCTAAGTAAAATAACCCAGGCACAGAAAGAAAAACATTGCATTCTCACTTACTTGTGGGATCTAAAAAATCAAAACAATTGAACTCATGGAGATAGAGAGCAGAACGATGGTTATCAGAGGCTGGCAAGGGTAGTCAGGAGGATGGAGATGTAGGTGGGGAAGGTTAATGGGTGTGAAAAAATAGAAAGAATGAATAAGATCTAGTATTTGATGGTACAACAGGGTGACTATAGTCATATATATATATATAAATATATATATTTATTTAGATGGAGTTTCGCTCTGTCACCCAGACTGAGTGCAGTGGTGTGATCTCAGCTCACTGCAGCCTCCGCCTCCCAGGTTCAAGCGATTCTCCTGCCTCGGCCTCCCAAGTAGCTGGGATTACTGGTGCGCCACCATGCTCAGCTAATTTTGTATTTTTAGTAGAGACGGGGTTTCACCATGTTGGCCAGGCTAGTCTCAAACCCCTGACCTCAAGAGATCTGCCCGCCCCAGTCTCACAAAGTGCTGGGATTACAGGCGTGAGCTACCATGCCTGGCCAATAATAATTTAATTTTACATTTTAAAATAACCAATAAAGTATAATTGATTTTTTGTAACACAAAGGATAAATACTTGAGGGGATGGATATCTCACTTTACATGATGTGATTATTATGCATTACATGCCTGTATCAAAACAGCTCATGTACCCCATAAATATGTATACCTACTATGTACCCACAAAAATTAAAATTCAAAATTCAACAAATAGCCATTGGTCTTTTTTGTTAAGCTCTGCTGTCTGGGAGAACAGGTTAAGATCATTCTAACAAATGTGTCTGAAAGGAGACACATTAGGAGACCATCTAGAGAAAAATGAAAACTTTTTTGAAGGAGAATAAAAACGGAAAGCCAAGGCAAGGGAAGAAAATAATGCAAGAGAAAACATCTAGGGCTTCTTCACCCTCACAAAACTATAAGAAACTAAAATGCCATTATTTTAGAGGAAGAAACATATTGACTGAATACAGCTATTGAATCCTTAATGAGTATGAATTGTAGATGGTAGACGGCTGGAAGGCAAAGAGTGGAGCAGATGTCTTTATGAGCCCCCAAATTTTCCCAGAAAGGCTAAGATCAAGACCTTAGACACGGCAGTGAGGGTGCAGAAAAAAGGGGACTCATTATTCAGGAGTATGAAAAGAAATAATTCTTAGGCCAGGCGTGGTGGCTCACGCCTGTAATCCCAGCACTTTGGGAGGCTGAGGCAGGAGGATCACGAGGTCAGGAGATCAAGACCATCTGGCTAACACGGTGAAACCCCATCTCTACTAAAAATACAAAAAATTAGCTGGGCATGGTGGCAGGCACCTGTAGTCCCAGCTACTCGGGAGGCTGAGGCAGGAGAATGGCGTGAACCCGGGAGGCAGAGCTTGCCGTGAGCCGAGATCGCGCCACTGCACTCCAGCCTGGGCGACAGAGCGAGACTCTGTCTCAAAATAATAATAATAATAATAATAATTCTTAATAAAATTATTATAATGAATCATCTGTACCTGCAAAAGGAAGAAGTAGTTTCTATAGTTTATAAATGTAGATTATATTCAACATGTCCTTGTAGGATATGCATACACATCAACAAGTGCTTTAATGCAAAACTGAACCTTAAATCATCCGTAATATGTAACCTGTAATTAAAAAATGAAGGTGTTGAAAGAGTGGAGTCTATATGCAGTTAATATTAGCTTTTAATGTATCATTAATCACTTTATTATTTTAGAAAATAAAAATATGGCAAGCCAAGATGCTCAGCTTCTTGACAACTATGTAGACAATTGATGATGATGATGCTAATAATGAAGAATTACTATTTATTTAGCAATTATTATAATCCAGACTTTTCTGATCTCTCTCATCATCATCATCATCTATTTATCATCTCAAGCTTTACAAGCCTATTAAGTAGATATATATAAATATATATAGTATATAATATATACTATAGTGTATATTATATTTATTATATATAATATACTATATTATACATAGTATATAAAATAATATAATATATATACTATAGTATATTGTAATATAATATATATTATATAATATACTATAGTATATAATACATATATACTATAGTATATTATATATTATACATAATATATATTATATGTAATATAGTATATATAGTATAAAATTATGTAATATAATATAGTATATATATATATAATATTTCTAATTAATTCCCAATTCACAGAAGAGTAAGATGACATCTAGATCAGTCTGATAGTTGCCTGAGATTCAACTCAAAATACATGAGTTTCAAAACACATGATCTTAATCCTACACAGTGAATGATTGACTTGAAAGTGTGCTGGGTAAATGCCCTTGTCAGTCTCTGAATTTTCACTCTGATAATATTTACAAATTATTAATGATAAATTACTACTGTATATAACATGTTTCCTAATATTTCTTGATTTTTCTCATTACCTCTAACCTAAAAGAAATAACATTTCATGTATCATAGTTAAATACTGACTGCTGACTAAGACCCTGAAACAAAAGGAACAATCAGAGATTTCACGAGATACTGTTCTTTTTACCTGTACCCAACTCAGATAAAAGCTTTGTAAGACCAGTTGAAGACATATTTATTGTACTTTATTGGATCCAATTTATAGAAAATATCTAGAAAAGTTGACTCATTTTTCACACTCCTGCAACTCCTCTTATCAGATCTTCGGCATTAACGCCACGAACAGCAGAATTGTTGCTAACTGTCACACAACACATTTTATTAAGAGGTGATTATACACTAAAACAAAGCATCAAAAGAACAGTATCGTTGATTTTTTTCCACACTTCCCATTCCTCAATGTAAATGGCAAAATATTTGAAAACTTAATCAAATCCTCAAGTGTCTTGACAACCATAATTGTATTTGCTTCATTTATAATGCAGCTCCTTTTATTTACACAGTATACAGAAAATCCCATTGAAACAGAAATAACACATTTTAAAGAAAATCTTATTATACAGCTTAAAATAAAGCAATCTATGGTAAATATAGTCTGTACTGAAGGCTGGAATGCAGGCATAAGGTAGATAAATAGAAAATGTCTTTACTCATCCTGAATAGTATTCAGGTGGCTTAATTTTACAAAAAGTCCCAAATCAAAGACATACGTATGCACACAGAAGTACAAAAAGATATTCCCAAGCTTTATCAACATTTACTTCAGATTTTGGTCATTGCTGATTTATTCAATTACTAATCAGTAATTTATTATCTATGTCTAATAGTATAAATAAGTTCCTATTATGTCTAATATTAATGAGAAACAGTTTAAAAAAACAAAATCACATAAGGCTTTCTGTGAAAGCATATGGCAATAAAATTAAATATTTTGGAATTAGAATAAGAAGTTATAACTCAATAAATCATAAGTTATATCATCTCCTATTTTGGTGTTGGTTTAAAGTATGCTAAAGTAATATAAAGACATTCCTATATTATGATATCTTTTATTTATTAAAATGTACATTTATTCTGAGACAGCTGAACATTTTCTTTATGAAGAAAATAAGCTTAGTCAAAACGTGATTTGAATTTTATACTTTAGTTTTTTCCTTGAATGTGTTTAGAGATTTAAATCACCGAGTTTTGACATTAGCCTCTATTTATTTAGCTCTTGATTAAAATGGAATTGGGAAACCAAAGTTGTAAATAATGCCTTAAAATATATTGAACTTTGAATACCCTCTACATATGAAAAACACTTAATAATTCAACATAATAAGGTAGAAAAATTACATAATGTGAGGCTCAGGCAAAAACCAATGAATAAACCCAAGGGTGATAGTCAAAAATATTTAACAAGTGGTGTGGCAGTTGTCCCAAATATTCAGAATGTATCCTGGTAGAATATACCACACTCCAGACATGTGTGCTTACTGAACACCAGCCCTGGAGAAAGCAACAAAACAGAACTGATAGTCCTTAAAGAGATGTTAAACTCTAAGAAAAATCTCCAAACTGCTTTCCACAATGGCTGAACAAATTTACATTCCCACCAGCAGTGTATAAGTGCTCCCTTTTATCTACAGCCTGGCCAGCATCTGTCGGTTTTGACTTTTTAATGATAGTCATTTTGACTGGTGTGATATGGTACCTCACTGTGGTTTTAATTTGTATTTCTCTGATGATTACTGATCATGAGCATCTTTCATATGTTTGGTAGCCACTTGTATGTCTTCTTTAGAGAAGTTTCTGTTCATGTTCTTTCCCCATGTTTTCATGAGGTTATTTTGTTGTTGTTATGTTTTGCTGTTTTTTTTTTTTTGTTTTTTTTTTTTGACGGAGTCTCAGTCTGTCACCCAGGCTGCAGTGCAGTGGTGCGATCTCAGCTCACTGCAACCTTCACCTCCTGGGTTCAAGCGATTCTCCTACCTCAGCCTCCCGAGTAGCTGGGGCTACAGGCACCCACCACTATGCTCGGCTAATTTTTGTATTTTTAGTAGAGACAGGGTTTCACCATGTCTCTACTAAACAGTTTGAGGCCAGGCTGGTCTCAAACTCCTGACCTTAAATGTTCCGCCCGCCTCTGCCTCCCAAAGTGCTGGGATTACAGTTGTGAGCCACCGCACCCAGCCAAGGTTATTTGTTTTTTGCTTATTGATTTAAGTTCCTTATAGAGTCTGGATAGTAGACCTTTGTTGGATACATAGTTTGGGAATATTTTCTCCCATCCTGTAGATTGTCTGTTTAAAGATTTTCTTCTGGAATTTTTATAGTTTGAGGTCTTACATTTAAATATTTGATCCATTTCGAGTTAATTTTTGTATATAGTGAAAGGTAGGGGTCCAGCTTCAATCTTCTGCATATAACTAGCCGGTTATCTTAGCACCACTTATTGAATAGGAAGACCTTTCCCCACTGTTTTTTTTTGTTTGTTTGTTTTTGTTTGTCAGCATTATTGAAGATCAGATGGTTGTAAATGTGTAGCTTTATTTCTGCATTTTCTATTCTGTTCCACTAGTCCATGTGTCTCTTTTTGTACCAGTACCATGCTACTTTGATTACTATATCTTTATAGTATAGTTTGAATTTGGTTAGTGTGATGCCTTTGGCCTTGTTCTTTATGCTCAGTATTGCTTTAACTATTTGTACTCTTTTTTGGTTCCACATGAATTCTAGAATAGCTTTTATTTTTTTCCTTCTCATTTTGCGAAGAATGACTTTGGTAGTTTTTTAGTAATAGCATTGAATCTGTAAATTGTTTTGGGCAATATGGCCATTTTAACTATATTAATTCTTTTAATCCATAAGCCTGGAATGTTTTTCCATTTGTTTATGTCATCTCTGATTTCATTCAGCAGTGTTTTGTACTTCTCCTTGTAGAAATACTTCACCCCTTTCGTTAGCTGTATTCTTAGGTATTTCATTTTCTTTGTTGCTATTGTAGAGGTGGGAATTGTGTTCTTTATTTGACTCTTAGCCAGGAATTATTGTTGTATAGAAATGCTACTGATTATTGTACACTGTCTTGTAACCTGAATCCTTAGTAAAATTGTTTATCAGTTCTAGTAGTCTCTTGACATCATCTTAAGGGTTTTCCAGATATAAAATCATATCATCAGGGAAGAGAGATAGTTTGACATCTTCTTTTCCTATTTCGATGCCTTTAATTTCTTTCTCTTGTCTGGTTGCTCTGATTAGGACTTCCAGTACTACGTTGAATAAGAGTGGTGAGAGTGGGCATCTTTTTCTTGTTCCAAGTTCTCAAGAGGAATGAATGGTTCCAGCTTTTGCCCATTCAATATGATGTTGGCTGTAGGTTTGTGATAGGTGGCTCTTACCATTTTGAGGCATGTTCCTTAAATGCCTAGTTTGTTGAGGCTTTTTATCATGAAGGGATGTTGGATTTTATCAAAAGCTGTTTCTCCATCTATTGAAAGGATCTCATGTTTTTGCTTTTAATTCTGTTTATATTGTAAATTACATTTATTGATTTCTGTATGTTAAACCAGCCTTGCATCCCAGGAATAAAGCCTAATTGATCATGGTGTGTTAAATTTTTTGATATGTTGCGGGATTTGGTTTGCTAGAATTTTGTTGAAGATTTTTATATCTATGTTCACCAGGGATATTGGCCTAAAGCTTTTGTTGTTATTGTTGTTATTGTGTCTCTGACATATTTTGGTGTTAGGCTGATGCTAGCTTCATAGAATGACTTAGGAAGGAGCCCCTCTGCCTCCATTTTTTGGAATATTTTCAGTAGGATTGGCACCAGCTCTTCTTTGCATGTCTGGTAGAATTCAACTGTGAATTAATCTCGTCCACTGCCTCTTTTTGGTTGGCAGTTTCACTGATTTTTTTGTTGTTGTTGTTTTGTTTTTTTTCTGACTCAATTTCAGAGCTTGATATTGGTCTATTCATGGTTTTAATCTCTTCCTTCTTCAGTCTTGGGACATTATGTGTTTTCAGGAATTCATCATTTTCTCTAGATCTTGTAATTTATGTGCATAGAGTTGTTCATAGTATACTCTGAGGATCTTTTATATTTCTGTGGGGATCAATTATAATGTCATTCTTATCATTTCTGATTGCACTTATTTGGATCTTATCTTTTTTTTATTTGTTAATCTAGCTAGTGGTTTATCAATCTTATCTTGTTTTGTTTTTTTCCAAAGTACCAATTCTTGGTTTCACTGATCTTTTGTATCAATTCTTACGTCTCAATTTCATTCAGTTCTATAATTTTAGAGCTTAACCCAGCAATCCCATTACTGGGTATATACATAAAGGAAAATAGATCATTATACCAAAAAGACACATATACTTACATGTTCATTGCCTTGTTATTCACAATAGCAAATACATGGAATCAACCTAAGTGCCCATCAGTGGTAGATGGGATAAAGAAAATGTTACATATACACACCATGGAATACTACACAGCCACAAAAAAATAATAAATCATGTCATTTGCAGCAGCATGTGTGGCACTGGAGGCCATTATCCTAACCAGGGTCAGAAATTAATGCAGGGACAAAAAGCCAAATACCACACATTCTCACTTATAAGTGGGACCTAAACATTGAACACACATGGACATGAACATGGAAACAATAGACAATGCAGACTACAGAGGGGGAAGGGAGGGAGGAGGAGGGGGTCCCAAAATTACCTATTGGGTACTATGCTCACTACCTGAGTGCAATGTACCCATGTAACAAACCTGAACATGTGCTCCCTGTATCTTAAAAATAGTTGAAAAAAATAAAAACTCATTAAACATTTTAAAAAGTTGCTAAATATTGAGGATAACCTTATTCTTTTTAAAATCATGTGTGTACAATTTTTGAATATTTAATAAAAAGTGAGCCAGGACTATAAGGTAGTGAACCAAAAAAAAAAGTGCTAAACTATATGAGCACAATATAAAATCTTCTGAATTTTTACTTAGTGTTAAATAAATAATTTTAAAAATTAGTAAAGAAAAGTAAGTATTTTAAAAAACTCTGAAGTTGGATATTTTTCTTCTTAGCCTTAACAAACAACAAAAACAAACAAAAACCCTAAAGATAAAATAACATTTTAAATAAAATCTAAATTTATTTAATCCTGTAATGAAATATTAATAAATATTAACATCTTGGGGAATGGAAAAACTTTCTAAGTATAATGATAATAAAAATGTGATCATAGGCCTGTAAAATTCCAATAAATAAAAAAGTAGTATAAGAATAATACTTAAAATGAGTATAACCGATAATATATGCCAGGCACAGTGGTTCATGACTATTATCCCAGCACTTTGGGAGGCCAAGGTGGGAGGAGCACCGGAGGTCAGAAGTTTGAGACCAGCCTGACCAACATGGTGAAACCCCATCTCTACTAAAAATACAAAATTAGCTGGTTGTGGTGATGTATGCCTGTAATCCCAGCTACTTGGCAGGCTGAGGAAGGAGAACTGCTTTAACCTGGGAGGTGGATGTTGCAGTGAGCTGAGATTGCTCCACTGCATTCCAGCCTGGGCAACAAGAGCGAAACTCCATCTCAAAAACAACAAAAAAAAGTTAATATAAATATTATACAGAAAGTCCTTTCCAAAAAACACTTCCGTGACAAAAATAGCACAGAACACTAACTTGTAATTGATGTAAGAAATTATATAAGCGCATGAAAAAATGTCAATCTCACCAGTGATCAAATATATTGCAAATGTAAGATTCTCTGTATGGCAGAGAGTAATAATTCTTCAAAACCATTTTTCTATTTTTTCCGCAATATTTAATTCCTAGTTTTCAGATGGGTCTTGACAAACTCAAAATAAACACTACATCTCCCAGTTTCTCTAACAATTAGATTTGTCTAAGTGACTAATTTGTGACTAATGGATATGAACAGAAGTTTTTAAAGCAAAGTTAGAATTTTTTTTATAAAGAAAACTGCATTGTTCCCTTAAATAGAAAGGAAATTCTACTTCCCTTCACTTTTTCACTTTCCTCCATAATGCTGTTTGGACATGGTAATGGCAGTGGTGTACTAACTTAGACCAAGGTGGGTGAGAGCAAAAGTTAACAGCCACAGAGATCTTTGAAAAACATTGTAGAAAAACCTACTGCCAGACACGAATCACCTCTACTTCCTCTAAACCACTAAGTGAGAAAAAAATAAATGTCTATAATGTTTACAACACAGTTTTTAAAGATCTCTGCTAAATGCAATTGAACTTTAGTGCTCTATAAGAAACATGTTTATTTTTAACCTTTCATACTATTAATAATTTTAAATTTATTACATTTAATATTAGTGGAGTGAGATGGGTACAGTCATACTCTACAGGTGAGAGTAAAATCACCAGTTCAGTCTTGTGGGCTGTATACTGCACAACTCCAAGGGCTGTATATATTCACATATAAGCAGAAATACAACTATTGGCCCTAGATGGATGTATAAATTTTCACGGCCTTTAAAAATATATTTTGAAAGTGTTGATCAAGATTCTTAGGAGATTATGATTCCACTTAAAATCTACTGTGATAAGTAATGTGATGAATAAGTAGAGCTGTATTCAAAATTTTGTGTTCAAAGTTTATTACATAAAAGGAAAATGGGAAAAAATAATATCTAAAATATGTGGTGAAAATAAATGAAGCAGATGGGTAAATATATAGACTATAATACAGTGCGATCCTATGGGGTCTCACTCTGTAACATATATGTATTTAGAGACAAGGTCTCACTGTTACCCAGCGTAGAGTGCTGGATAACTGTGCGAGCATAACTCATTGCAGCCTCCAACTCCTGGCCTCAAGTGATCCTCTTGTCTCAGCCTCCTGGTAGCTATTAGGGACACGTGCCACCACATAGACCAAATATATGTATGTTGTAGAGACGTGGTCTCTCTGTGTTGTCTAGGCTGGTCTCTAACTCCTGTCCTCAAACCATCCTCCCACGTCATCATCCTAAACCAATGCAATTACAGGCATGAGCCTAAACATTATATTTTTGAAAACTATCTAGTCAGGCTGGGCACGGGGGCTCACGCCTGTAATCCCAGCACTTTGGGAGGCTGAGGCGGGTGGATCACGAGATCAAGAGATCGAGACCATCCTGGCTCACACGGTGAAACCCCAACTCAACTAAAAATACAAAATTTACAAAATTACAAAATTACAAAAATTACAAAAGTTAGCTGGGTGTGGTGGTGCGTGCCTTGTAGTCCCAGCTACTCCACAGACTGAAGCAGGAGAATCACTTGAACTCGGGAGGCGGAGGTTGCAGTGAGCGGACATCATGCCACTGCACTCCAGCCCGGTGACACGAGACTCCGTCTCAAAAAAAAAAAAAAAAAACAACTATCTAGTCTTGTCAGATAATAAATTCAATGCAATGTTAATTTTTTAAAACTCTCTATATACCATGATCCTAAAAGATAGAAAAAAAGCATGCAAGTATATATATATATACACACATATACATATAATTTTTGTGTATATATATATACATATAGCTGTATATATACACAAAATATTGGAAAAATCTATTAAAATATTAATATGTTTATCTCTGAATGGTTGATTTATGAGTTTTTTTCTTTGTTAATACCTACTTTCTTTTTTCTCCAGTAAGCATGTAATATTTGGAAAGTCAATTAAAATTAATACCTAAATGTCCAGTAAAAGAATCCTAAATAGAAAAATTATTGCAAATGTTTTACATTCAAATGTCTATATTGTTACAAACATTCTAATTCAGCCAGTGATGACAGTATCAGCATTGTGGCTAATTTGATAATGATACAGGAAAATATCTTGTTTACAACTGAAACAAATTGAAACATTGCTTGAAACTTATTCTAAATGAATATTTTTCATGAAAGAGTTTCTAGAAAGTTACATATGGAGCAACAGAGTTGTCTGTTTTAATTTGCCATGATCACATAAGAATTTGAGAAAAATTCAAGTCCCCTTTTCAGATGCAGAGTTAGAGACAGGAACACCTAATAGAGGAATATTCTTAAGTATTTGGTGTGCATAAAGACTTCATATAAATCAGCAGATTCATTAAAATATATTTTGAGGTCTAAATTAAAATGACATAAATGGTATCTCAATGTATATAAATATGATGCTTTGAAATAAAATATTTTAACATTATTATTATAGGTCTTTCTCAGGTCCAGTGATAAAGCAAATTTTACAGCCCAGAAAGCAACAGCTTCCAAATATAAATGTATATTGTTTTAAAATAAAAGTGACTAAAGTATCTTACTTTTATTTTTATGAGAAAGAAAAGACTCATAAAAGACTTATACCTTCAGTGATGTATTTTATTTTCTTATGTTTGAAAAACAAATCTTGGGCATGATCTAACTTTCACATATTTCTTAAATTTATGTAAGCTCTCTCTTAAGAGCTTACATACATAGTTCATATTTTACAGCAGACAAATTCAGGTGAGGTGAGGTCTTCTCCATTTTAAGACATTGAAAGCATAAGCAATGAAATTATATGCATGAACTAAGTATTTAATAGTTGCCCATATCAGTTCAACAAGCATTTATTGAATACCTTGTATGTACTCAGCCACGTGTTAGGCACTGAGGATAGACACTAAGTATAAGGAGTGACTTCTCTTTGGAAAAACTTTGGAACAATACTTCATTAAACATTATGGTGAGTAAGATAAATTATCCTTGGTTTTACTGTAGTGAGCCATATTGATCAAAGAACTTATATTCTTATTGGAGAAAGGAGACTCATAAATTTCAAATAATTGGATACTGGTTTAAAAATGATTTACAGCCAAGTAATAACTTGTATGGTGTAAATTATTAATAGTTTGTTAATTAAAAGAAAAGAGAAATCAGTGAGCTTCTAAAATGAGAATGGCTCATGAAGAACACTTGAATGTCGAGGCAGAGCAAGGTGGCCAAATAGAAACATCCACTGATGATCATCTCCATGGGAACACCAAATTGGACAACTATTCACATAAAAAAGCACCTTCATAAGAACCAGTAATCAGGTGAGCAATTACAGTACCTGGTTTTAGCTCACATCACTGAAAGAGGCACTGAAGAGGGTAGGAAAGGCAACCACACCACCCCCACACCACTACCACCCAGCAGCAGCACTGCCGCATGGAGAATCTATGTGCTTAGGGCACGGAGAGAGCAGTGATTATGGGACTCTGAATTGGAACTCAGTGCTTCTCTGTCACAGTGGAAAGTAACACCAGGCAGAACTCAGCCAGCATCTGCAGAGGGAGCAATTATGCCAGCCCTAGCTAGAGGAAAATTGTTAATCCCAGTGGTCAGAACCTGAGTTCTTGCAGCTCCACCACCACAGGCTAATAAAGTACTCTGTGGTCCTACATAACTTTGAAAAGTGGCTTAAGCCACAAAGGCTGCAATTCCTGGTCAAGTCTTGGTACTGTGCTGGGCTCAGAGCCAGTGAACTTGGTGGGGATGCAACCCAGTGAGACGCCAGCAGGGGTGGCCAAAGGAGTGCTTGTGCCACCCTTAGCCCAATGGCAGGAAACTCAGCTTGCAGCTCCAGGAGAGGCTCTTTCCCTCTGCTTGAGGAGAGGAGAGGGAAAAGTAAAGAGGACTTTGTATTCCAACTTGGGTATTAGCTCAGCCACAGTAGGATACGGTACCAGGCAGAGTACTGAGGCCCCTATTCCAGGCCCTAGCTTCCAGTGACATTTCCAAACATACACTAGGGTGGGAGGAAACCCTCTTCCTTAAAAGGAAGGACTCGGTTGCAGCAGGATTCATCACCTGCTGACTAAAGAGTCCTTGGGCCCTGAATAATCAGCAGTGATACCCAAGCAGTGCTCACCATGGGCCATAGGTGAGACCCAGAGATGTGCTTGCTTTCGGTGTGACCTAACACATTCTCAGCTATGGTGGCCATGGGAAGAAACTACTGATTGAGGAAAGGACAGGGAAAAGTACACAGTATTTTGTCTTACAGCATAGGTAAGAGCTCAGGCACAGTAGGGTATAGCACTGTATTAATCCATACTCACACTGCTATAAGGACATGCCTGAGATTGGGTAATATATAAAGGAAAGAAGTTTAATTGACTTATGGTTCTGCAGGGCAGGGGAGGCTCCATGAAACTTAAAATCATGGTGAAGGAAGAAGCAAACGTGTCCTTTCCTTCTTTTCATGGTGACAGGAAGGAGAAGAATGAGAGCCAAGCAAATGCATAAGCCCCTTGTAAAACCACCAGATCTTATGAAAACTTACTCATTATCATGAGAATAGCATGGGGGAAACCACCCCAGTGATTCAAATACCTCCTACCGGCTCCATCCAAGGACATGTTGGTATTATTGGATCTACAATTCAAGACGAGCTTTGGGTGGAGACACAGCAAAACCATATCATTCCTCCCCTGGCCCCTCCAAAATCTCATGTCCTCGCATTTCAAAACACAATCATGCCCTTCCAAAAGTTCTCCAAACTCTTATTCCAGCATTAACTCAAAAGTCAAAGTCCAAAATCTCACTGGAGACAAGGCAAGTTCCTTCTGCATTTGAGCCTGGAAAATCAAAAGCAAGTTAGTTACTTCCTAGATACAATGAGGTTACAGGCATTGGGTAAATACACCTATTCTAAATGTGATAAATTGGCCAAAACAAAGGGGCTACGGGCCCCATGTGAGTCCAAAACAGTACAGTCATTAAACCTTAAAGTTACAAACTTATCTCCTTTGACTTCATGTCTCACATCCAGGGCATGCTGTTGCAAGAGGTGGGCTCCCATGGCCTTGGGCAGCTCTGCCCCTGTGGCTTTACAGGTACAGTCCCCCTCCCAGCTGCTTTCATGGGCTGGCATTGAGTGTCTGTTACTTTTCCAGGCACATGGTGCAAGCGGTCAGTGGATCTACCATTCTGGGGTCTGGAAGACAGTGGCCTTCTTCTTACAGCTACACCAGGCAGTGCCCCAGTGAGGACTTTGTGTGGGGGCTCTGACCCCACATTTCCCTTCCACACTTTCCTAGCAGAGGTTCTCCATGAGGGCTTCACCCCTGCAGCAGACTTCTGCCTGACATCGAGGCATTTCCATACATTCTCTGAAATCTAGGCAGAGGTTCCCAAACCTCAATTCTTGTCTTCTGTGCACCCTCAGGACCAATACCGCATGGTAGCTGCCAAGGCTTGGGGCTTGCACCCTCTGAAACAATGGCCTGAGCTGTAACTTGACCTCTTTCAGCCATGGCTGGAGTGGCTGAGATGAAGGGCTCCAAGTCCTGAGGTTAAACAGCAGGGGAGCCCTGGATCTGGCCCATTTTTTCCTTTTAAGCCTCTGGGCCTGTAATGAAAGGGGCTGCCATGAAGGTCTCCGACATGCCCTGGAGACATTTTCCCCATTGTCTTGGCTATTAACGTTTGGCTCCTTGTTACTTATGCAGATTTCTGTAGCTGGCTTGTATTTCTCCCCAGAAAATGAGTTTTTCTTTTCTATCACATTGTCAGGCTGCAAAATTTCCAAACTTTTAGGCGTGCTTCCTCTTGAATGTTTTGCTGCTTAGAAATTTCTTCCACCAGATACCCTAAATAATCTCTCTCAAGTCCAAAGTTGCACAAATATTTAGGGCAGGGGCAAAATGCTGCCATTCTCTTTGAAGAGCAAGAGTGACTTTTACTCCAGTTCGCAACAAGTTTCTCATCTCCATCTGAGACCACCTCAGCCTGGTCTTCATTGTCCATATCACTATCAGCATTTTGGTCAAACATTCCGCAAGTCTCTAGGAAGTTCCAAAGTTTCCCACATCTTCCTGTCTTCTGAGCCCACCAAGTCTCTAGGAAGTTCCCAACTTTCCCACATTTTCCTATCTTCTTCTGAGCCCTCCAAACTGTTCCAACCTCTGCCTGTTACCCAGTTCCAAAGTTGCTTCCACATTTTTGGTTATCTTTACAGCAGCACCCCACTTTTTGCGGTACCAATTTACTGTATTAGTCTGTTCCCACGCGGCTATAAGGACATACTCAAGATTGGGTAATTTACAAAGGAAAGAGGTTAAATTCACTTACAGTTCTGCAGGGCTGAGGAAGCCTCAGGAAACTTATAACCATGGCAGAAGGGGAAGCAAACAAATCCTTCTTCACAGGGCGGCAGGACGGAGAAGAATGAGATCCAAGTTCAAAGGGAAAAGCCTCTTATAAAACCCTCAGATCTTGTGAGAACTTACTCACTATCATGAGAATGGCATGGAGGAAACCACCCCGATGATTCAATTACTTCCCACCAGGTCCCTCCCACAACATGTGGGGATTATGGAAAGTACAATTCAAAATGAGATTTGGGTGGGGACACAGCCAAACCATATCAAACACCAAATGGGCTCTTGAGGTTCCCAATTCCAGGTCTTGGCTCTTAGAGAGCATTTCTTGACTTGCCCTGAGTCAAAGAGGAGTCCACTGCTCTGAAAAGAGAGTTCCAGGCCTGGAAGCATTTACCACCAGCTGACTGAAAAGCCCTTGGGGCTTGAATAAATATTGGTGGTAACCAGACATTACTCACCACAGGCTTGGGTGGTGGTGACCATGGGGAGCAAAACCTCTGCATGTGGAAAGTGAAGGGAAAAGTGGGAAAGATGTTTTCTTGTTGCCTTGGTGTCAGCTGAACCACAATAAAAAAAGAGCACCAGGTTGATACCTAAGGTTTGTGACTCCAGGGACTGGCTGCCAGACAGCATCTCTGGACCTAACTGTGATCAGGGGACACTTGAAGCCCTGAAGGTTGAGAGAAAAGCCTGGATGGTTTCACCACCAGCAGATTCTAGAACTCTAGAAACTTGAGTTAACATAGGCAATAGCCAGGCAGTGGTTATCGTGGACCTTGGGTGAGACCCAGTGTTGTGCTGGCTTTGGGCCTAACTTGGTGCAGTCCCCATGATGGTGTCACCGCCTTTCCCAGCCCTAGAAGCTCAGTTCAGACAGAAAGACTCTGTTTATTTGGGAGAAAGTAATGGGAAGGAACAAGAGTCTCTGCCTGATAATCCAGTGAATTCTTCCAGGTTTTATCCAAGACCACAAAGGCAGTACTTCTAGGAGTCATCAAGATCCTTCGAGTTACTGGGCGTGGGGTTCCTCCTAATGCAGATATGCCTGCAGTAACCAAAAACTTAGATAAAAACACCCAGGTCCCTTTGGATACCTGGAGAGCCTTCCCAAGAAGAATGGGCACAGACTGCAAATACTACTATAAATGCCTAACTCTTCAATGCCTCGATAATGATAAACATCCATAAGCATCAAGACAATCCAGTAAAACATGCATTCACCAAATGAACTAAATAAGGCACCAGTGAAACATTATGGAGAGAGAGATATGTGACCTTACAGACAGAAAATTCAAAATAGTTGTTTTGAGGAAACTCAACAAAATTCATGATGACACAGAGAAGGAATTCTGAATCCTATGAGATAAATTTAACAAAGATTGAAATAATTTAAAAGAATCAAACAGAAACTCTGAGTTAAAAAAATGCAATTGACTCACTGCAGGGTGCATAAGAGTCTTGTAATAGCAGCATTGATCAAGCAGAAGAATTAGTGAATTTGAAGAGAGGCTATGTGAAAATACACAGACAGAGAAGACAAAAGAAAGAATAAATGAGAATAATGCATGCATGCAAGATCTGGAAGATAGCTTCAAAAGGGAAAATCTAAGAGTTCTTGGCCTTAAAGAGGATGTAGAGAGAGAGAGAGAGAGTGAGAGAAAGGTAGAAAGTTTAATCAAAAGAATAATAACAGAGAATTTCCCAAACCTAGAGAAAGATATCAATATCCAAGTACAAGAAGGTTACAGAACATGAAGCACATTTATCCTAAGTAAGTCTATCTGAAGACATTTAATAATGAAACTGCCAAAGGCCAAGGATAAAGAAAGGATTCTAAAAGTGACAAGAGAAATAAAACAAATAATATACAATGGAGCTCCAATACATGTGGCAGCGGACTTCTCAGTGGAACCCTTACAGGACAGGAGACAGTGGCAAGACATATGTAAAGTGTCAAAAGAAAAAAAAAAACTGTTAACTTTTATTGTAGAATAGTATATCCAGTGAAACTATCCTTCAAAGATGAAGGAGAGATGAAGACTTTCCCAGACAAAAAAAAGCTGAGGGATTTCATGAACACAAGACCTGTCCTACAACAATTGCTAGGACACTCCCCTTGTCAATGCTTCCTCTACACCCCTATGGTTCATACTTCTAGTCAATCTTAACAAAACATCCGATTTCTAGAAAATATAGCATTTGACCAGGTGTCATGACTCATGCCTGTAATGCCAGAAATCTGGGAGGCCGAGGCAGGTGGATCACTTGAGATCAGGAGTTCGAGACCAGCCTGGCCAGCATGGAGAAACCCCATCTCTACTAAAAATACAAAAATTAGCTGGGCATGGTGGTGCAGGCCTGTAATCCCAGCTACTGGGGGGCGGGTGGCTGAGGCAGGAGAATCACTTGAACCCAGGAGGCAGAGGTTGCTGAGAGCTGAGATCACACCACTGCACTCCAGTCTGGGTGACAGAGTGAAACTCTGTCTCAAAAAAAAAAAAAAAAAAAAGAAAATATAGCATCTACCACACAGGAACTCTCACAACTGACTAGCCTGAATTGTGATCTCTTGTTTTCCCTTCACTACTGAATAAACAAAACAAAACAAAACAAAAAAATGTTCCTCCTCTCATGTAAGCCAAACTCTCTACTTCTGCTGGAAGTCCTAGCCCCTCTATGTTCAGGAGCCTTGTCTTATATACTGTCCCTCTCTCTCCTGTGTCATCCACACTGTCTCCCCTATATTAGACCATTGTCTCAGTTTTTAACTCTGTGAAGAAGCTTGCACATCTCTGAGACAATTCATGTTTCCTCCTTACTTCAAGCATGTTAGCTGATGTTTTGATAATGACTCTCTCCATTTCCTCACTGCTCTTGCATCCTGGAACTTACTGAAAGCTGGCTTTTCTATGTCTTTCATTTAGGCAGATGCTTACTGAGAGCTGACTATGCACCAGGCACCATTCTAAGGTGTAGTTAATGAGATTCATACATTCTGGTCATCAGGAATTGTACCAAAAGCTCCTTTGAGAGATCACATAGTCATTTATATTTTCAATATTTACCACACTCTCCATTCTTTCTTCTTTTATACAATTGTTGCTTGTTTAAGCAAATCTCAGCACTGAATATGTATTTCTTTCTCTCTCTCTCTCTCTTTTTTCTTTTGAGACAGAGGCTGCCTCTTACACCTGGGCTGGAGAGCAGTGGCGCGATCTTGGCTCACGCAACCTCCACCTACCAGGTTCAAGCAACTCTCTTGCCTCAGCCTCCTAAGTAGCTGGGATTACAGGCACCCACCACCACTCTCTGCTAATTTTTGTATTTTTAGTAGAGATGGGGTTTCACCATGTTGGCCAGGCTGGTCTTGAACTCCTGATCTCAAGCGATCTACCCGCCTCGGCCTCCCGAAGTGCTGAGATTACAAGCATGAGCTACCATGCCCTGCCCTGAACATGTATTTCATGCCTTAAGTTTATCTTCTGAAAAAAATGATGTAAATATCTCCAGATAATAGAAACAAAAAAAGTTGAGTAGTTTTATCCCATATAAATTTTGACAATTTTTTTTTGTTTGTTTTTTGAGAAGGAGTCTCGCTCTGTCACCCAGGCGGGAGTGCAATGGCATGATCTTGGCTCACTGCAACCTCTGCCTTCCGGGTTCAAGTGATTCTCCTGCCTCAGCCTCAAGAGTAGCTGGAATTTCAGGCGTGTGCCACCACGCCCAGCTAATTTTTTGTATTTTTAGTAGAGACACGGTTTCACCATGCTAGCCAGGATGGTCTCGATCTCCTGACCTCGTGATCTGCCTGCCTTGGTCTCCCAAAGTGCTGGGATTACAGGCATGAGCCAATGCTCCCGGCCTATAATTTCTTATATTTAACATCACAACCCACTCTGATCTTCAAGAAGATATATTAGAAATTTCTGAGTAATCAAAATAAAGACAATCATAACTAAAACAGGACAGTAACAGTTCACTCTGCTAACAGTGAACACGCTACAGTTTATTGCTGCAAGACACCATGTCCAAATACTACCTATGTGAATAATCTCCCTATTGAGGCTTGTAACGTGTTTGTTTTGTCACCATTCTCACTTGGAAACTTTTAAATTACTACCATGTACTTTCAGTCATGCCATACCATTGATACTAGAGATTCAACAGCTTACATGAAATCTGCCTATGCAATGGAAGTTCTTGCAGAACTGCCAAAGCTCTAGTTTTCATGTTACTTGCTTATTTTGTGGTTTAGATTTGCTTTTATTTTTATTTTATTTATTTTTACAAAAGTTTATTCTTAAATGTGCGGCAGGCTCTAAGATGACACTTCATTCTAACTATAGGTGGCAAAGGATGTTACAGCAGGAAATTCAGATGTTTAAATAGGGATGGAATTCAGGGTCACCATGGCCTCCGGCACAAGAAACAGCTTGCTTTTTACCAGATTTCTTAATTCCACCTTTGCCCAGGGGCCCCTTCCCTGCAGCCTCTGCTTTTAGTTTCTTGAGTTTCTTCTGTTCCTCTTTCTGCTTCTGCTTGAAAATGTTATCTCCTCGTTCATCTCCTCAGCCTGCTTCTTGGGCTGTTTGGGGGGCTTCTTGCCAGCTTCGTGGCCAGACATGGTGCCTGCACCCCTCTCCCACCAGTTTTACCCTTAAGTTAGTGTCCATGTTTGTATGTGGAAAATGATGTATAAGGATGGAATTCCATCTCAATTTGTCTCCATCTGCACAAACATAGATGGTGGCATAGTCTTGACATCCAACTCCACAACTATTAATGTTCCCCTGATTTTTATAAGTTCTGTGTTTCCCACATCCAAACTCTTTCTGCTCCCTTTGCTCTCCTCCTGCTTGCCTTTCTTCCTGGCTTTGCCACAGTAGCACAAGACAGCTGATCCACAGGTTTCTGGCAGATGCCGTAGCGCCGACTCCAGGGCAATGATGTGAATGTAAACCAGCATCTGTAGGCGCTCATTACAAACTGTAGGTAATTCAGAGTTAGCCTTATGTAAAATTTACCATCTATTTTCCAAGGACTGAGGAGTAGGGAGTGTGATCTAGTGGATAGAGAACTAATTGGGAGTCAAGAGACCCAGATTCTATTCTGAATTCCATTATAGTTGTGGTTTCTGATTCTGAGCAATTAGAGGCAACCTCTATTTCAATTGTCCTCCCTGTAAATTGCATATACTACTTATCACCTACAACTCTCTGCAGAATTTGAAAGATCTAAGTGAGTTATTGTCTGTAGAGTGGTTTGTGCTCCTGAGGAAAACAAAGTACATACTTCAAGATAGAAATCCTTTAAACAAAATAAACAACTCTAATACTAACACATCTTTGTTCCACCAAAAGAAAAAAAAAGGTGAATTTTAGAAGTTTTGGTTCATTGTGCTTTTTTTTTTAAGGAAAAAGATAATAAAAGGCACAAATGGGATGATAAAGTTTATTTTCTCCTCTAATTAAATATCAGGGTGGTAGCAAGGATCAGTGGTCCTTCGAGCACTGAGGCCAGTGGCTTTCCTGTTAAACCTTAAAACCTTAAAGATCTGTGATGGCACCACTGATAACAGACACACCACTTTTGTGCTGGGAGAGTTTTAAGATGATTCTTCTAGAACACCCCAAAGAACACCCCACATATCCCAATATCCTAAATAATATTTAGTTTACATCTGTCGTGCACAATAAATTGTTAAAACCTGTATGTATATCACTGCCCGCTCAAGGGCTTTTGTCCTTTTTCCCTCTGATGATAAACTGAGGTCAGGGAAGTTCAGACATCACAATCACTTGGTATAACAAATACCAAAGTAAGTCGTTATAACCTGGTACCTGGGAAACAAAGCCGCAATAAGAAGCTTCTCTGAAGTGATAGGTAGGGGACATTTTCCTAATAGTGATTAACACAAGAATAGTTACAGGGGCAAAATAATGAAGAACTTGTCATAGGAGTAAAGTGTAAATTTTGTAATTTGGTTTAGCAGAATAGACAGGGTAAGTAGGGCTAAAATTATCAGGTTATTAATTAGTAGAAAGTTAACACACACATCAAATTTATTCTACTATAAATTAAGAGCCACAATTGTTTAAGCAAAAAGTGAAATAAAAATACTATGATAAACACATTGGTATCTTAAGCTATGGAGTGCCCAGGAAATACCTTGTCCTTTTAATACAAGGAATATCTGAGAATTAATTCTGTAAATTAATTTACATTCCAGTATAAACTGCCTTTGTAAGAAAAGCCTAAGCTTTTCATTGTATAATTGTCCTGAAGAGCACTGATACACTAAGGAGAGTATAGGCTTAGGCACCGGGTTGCGGCCTAGCCAAATAAGAAGGGGGCTTTTGAGGGGACTTCTCTAAACTGAACTGCCTAAGATTCTAAAAGGGAAATAATCACACAAGGGAAGCTTCTATAGTGGAAACAATCACCTTTGTGCATAAGGGTCTTCTGAGGATAAAAATAAAGCAGCTCTAAGAAAGTGTGTGTGTGCATGTGTGTGTGTGAGAGAGACATAATTAACACTAAACATTACACTAAAGGATTAAGGTTTTCCCTGTAAGTACTGATGTCTGTATAGTGTGCTATTAAAATAATGTGGTAGTACATTTTTAAAAACCTCTTTTTTCTTCAAAATAAATTGCCACATTTCTATAATTCTGGTAGCTCATAAAGTAATAAATCTGGAGACTTAAGCCTCACTATATGGGTGATTTAAATACACATTTTACAATTTTTTAACAGGAAAATTCATCAGTTTCTTTGAAAGAATAATTAACATTTAAAAATAGCTATGCAACTACTTTTTTAATTTAAAAAGCAGAACCTCTATTGATCAATTGCTCAAGTATTTCTATCTTCTAATATGTATATCTAATTGAGATCTATATCTACTTATCACTTCAGAGAAGCTTAAGATATCTATCAAATTAAGATATATGTATAATTAAGATATGTTGCTAATGAAGATAGATATCAGGATATATATGTATGTGTGTGGATATGTGGATGTGTGTGGAACTTTGGATAAATATCTTTATTAAAATTGAAAACAACGTTCCAGAATTTACATAAGCATCTACAAAAAATACTCTGATATTTAGATATTTAGCTATAAAGAAAAGTCTCTTGCTTAAAATAATTTTAAATCTGTACAATGGGACGATTCTCAATTTGTTTGTTTCATAGACTTTTTTTTCATGAATCCTTAAAGATATTACCAAATAGAGTGCCTCCGCCTGGTTCCCGCACCGCCTGGGAAGTGAAGAGCGCTTCTGCCGGGCCACCCCCCACCACCACCTCCCTCGGTCTGGGAAGTGAGGGTCGCCTCTGCCCGGCCGCCCCACCGTCTGGGAAGTGAGGGGGGCCTCCGCCCGGCCCCGCGCAATGTCTGGGAAGTGAGGAGCGCCTCTGCCTGGCCACCTCTCCCCGCACCTCCCTCGGTCTGGGAAGTGAGGGGCGCTGCTGCCCGTCCGCTGCACCATCTGGAAAGTGAGGACCGCCTCTGTCCCGTCGCCGCCCCGTCTGGGAAGTGAGGAGCACCTCTGTCCCGTCGCCCCATCATCTGAGAAGTGATGAGCGCCTCTGCCTGGCCGACCCACCGTCTGGGAAGTGAGGAGCGCCTCTGCCCGGCCTCCTCACCATCTGAGAAGTGATGAGCGCCTCTGTCCGGCCGCCGACCCGTCTGGGAAGTGAGGAGCGCCTCTGCTTGGCTGCCCCACCATCTGAGAAGTGATGAGCGCCTCTGTCCAGCCGCCGCCCCGTCGGGGAAGTGATGAGCGCCTCCCCCGGCCGCCCCACCGTCTGAGAAGTGAGCAGCGCCTCTGCTTGGCCGCCCCACCATCTGAGAAGTGATGAGAGTCTCTGCTTGGCCGCCCCACCATCTGAGAAGTGATGAGCGCCTCTGCCCAGCCGCCACCCCGTCTGGGAAGTGATGAGCACCTCTGCTTGGCCGCCCCACCGTCTGAGAAGTGATGAGCGCCTCTGCCCCGCTGCCGCCAGGTCTGGGAAGTGAGGAGCACCTCTGTCTGGCCACCACATTGTCTGGGAAGTGAGGAGCGCCTTTGACTGGCCACTGTGCAACCCTCCAAGTGTGAAGTGGCAGCCTTGTGTGTGATCTTTATGCCCTCCCCAGGTTTGCATTTTGACATTAAAGTTTACTTTTAAATTAAAAAAAAAAAATAGCAATTACAGTCAAGAAAAAAATACAATAACTCACCAAGAACAAATGTAATTTTTCTCATGTATACACAGTTGGTTTAACATCCGAAGGTTAACAAATGTAGTATTATATAAATGTAACGTATCTAAGCATATTACCTAAATGTAATAAAGAGAAAAACTGTAAGATTATCTTAGTAGAGGAAGAAAAAACATTTAACAAGATTCAGCACCATTCATGATTTAAAAAAAAATGTAATGAGAAATGGAGGAAAACGTCTTTAACCTGATAAAGCGTATCTATGAAAAATGTAAAACTAACTTCATATTTAATGATGAAAAACAGAATGTTTTCTCCTGAAATTGGGAAAAAGGCAAAGAATGTCCACTCTCACCGCTGCAAGTATAGCAAGACAAAAAAGAAATAAATGAAAGGCACATGTTAGAATGGAAGTAACAATAGTGCATTTATTTGCATATGACATGGTGTATGTAGAAAATCTTAAAGAACCTAATATAAAGCTTCCTAAAGCTAATGAGTCTAACACATTCTCAAGATATAAACTAACATGCAAAAATCAATTTTATTTTATACACCAGAAATAAACAACCTGACAATAAAATCAAATTTTAATTAACTACAGCATATACCATAAAAAGAAAAACTCTTACAAATAAATTTAACAAAAAGATGTGCAATGTCTGTGAACTGAAAACTCTAAAGCATTGCTTTAAAAAGTTAAGGCTTATCTAAATGGAAATATATACTTTTTTATTAATTTGAAAATTCACCATTTTTAAGAGGTCAATTCTTCCAGAATTGACTATAAATTGAATACATTCAGAATCAAAATCCTAGCAGTCTCTATATAAGAATTTGACAAGCCAATGTTAATATTTGTAAGGAAAGGCAAATAATCTAGAAAAGCTTAAAAATTTTTTTAAGAAAAAACAAAATCAGATGAATCAAATTAGCTGGTATTTAAGATTTACAATAAAAGCACTCTAAGGAGTATGAGATTGGCATAAGGATTGACATAAAGATCAACTAAAAGGAATTTTGAGTCCAGAAATATACCCACAATTATTATATTGTAGATGGGTTTTCAACAAAGATACCAAGGAAATTCAATGAAATGAAGATCGTGTTTTCAATAAATGGATTTAGAATAAATGAATATAAATATAGAAAAAAAACTTTGACCCTTTCCTCATACCATACACAAAAAGTATACAAACCTGATTATCAACTTAAATATAAGAGGTAAAACTATAAAGCTTTTAGAAGAAAATCTGGGAGAAATCTTTATCAATTTCCTCAATACCAACCATAGAATATTGTATTACAAATGTAAACACTTTAGTTCTTTAAGAAAAATCATGGATATGCAATACTCTGGTGTCTCTTCATAAACTAATAATGTTTCATTTACGTTTTCCACTAAGTATGACCAGCGATTCTACTGAAATTTAGAGACCTGCACCATGTTAATCTTTCTTAACCTTTCACTTAAACTTTCATGCCAATAAACCAACACTTCTGCACATTATCAACATGAAGATTTGTACTGCTGTTACAGTCCAGGAGACTGAGAATGCTGAATATAAAATTAATTTTCCTTATCTCTAAGTCATATATTTTATTTGTAGTATTTTTGAAGAGGGTATTTGAAATATTTAAAAAATTCTAATCTGCAGTTTTAAAAAATGACAAGACCATATGAATTATGATGATAAAAATGGAAAGACAGTTACTAAAAATAGTTGCTTCTCTGTTCATCTTGACAAACAGATGCAACACTTTGACAGCTAATCAACACAGGTTTTCTTTTTTTCATACTATATCTATCATGTTCTGGAATGACCTATTAATTTTAATTGCTTTGCTAGGCTCCCATTTAATGGTTCAATGAATATAATACATTTATGCTTTTCTTTGCATAATGAAGTGGCCAGGTAAGCGAGATAACTTTTTGAAGTTAATACAGCCAAAATATAAATATAGCCAAAGTAAAATATATATAAAATACAGCAAAATTTCAATATTTCAACTTCTCATTGCTACTACTAATAAAACTTATTTAAATTATGTTTGTAAACTTACAAATTGGCAATAAAAGTGAGCTTCACTCCACTACAAAAGTCTCCTTCAAATCATACACATTTTTTAAAGTTTATAGTTACCAAAATGCTCTTTATGATGATATAATAAATATATTTCCCTTTGTTACATGTTTATTTGGTTTTAAATTACTGTGAAGCCAAGTGATTGCCAATACACTTAACTCTTACTCAGAGTAAAATGACCAGTAATAACAATTTCAAAAGCATGGAGTTTTCCTATACATTTTTTTCATAGTCTTATTCTATTAAAATGTTTAAATATTTGGCAGCTCTGATAGTTTGTCAATTTTGTTTCTTCTACTAAATACTTTTTAGGGCTTTAATTAGAACTTCCTTATGTTGTCTAGTGAATGTTTCCTTGTTGTTGTCATTGTTGTTGTTGTCGTCATTGAGAGAGGGTCAGAGATTAATACACCAAAGATAAATTATTCCAGTTGAGACAGAATGAGCCAGGTACCAATATTATTTCATGAAACATAACAAGATGTGTGTGACATTTTTGATGCTCTGTATATTTCCTAAATGAGTCTAATATTTTTCACACACACCCACACACGCATACACACACCCACACATTCACACACATTCATCTTCATAATGCATTAAACAATGAGAGGTTTCAAAAACTTAGATAACGTTTCTTATTATCCATCGTGATCTGTAAATTATATTTCAAAAACTGCCATTTTCCCTTACTTATATCATTGCCTTTATTTTCACTAAAATCTATTTTAAAATAATATTACATATGCTTTTCATTTCTTATCCAGAGAATCTCACAATTTTCCTATTTTATTCCATTTCTATGTATCTTTTCTCTTCTTCTTTCATTGTGCCCATATTACTTGTCCCTATTTAAATGCTGCCTTTTTCTCTAGTTCTCATCTTTTATCTATTTTTCTATTTCCCAGTGTAATATTAAATGCTCATCGTTTTATGTAATGTTGTCTTATGACTTTGACCTTATTTCACAGCTGGGATTGGATCTTTGTTTTTCTCAGCTAAATTAGTACCAGTTCATTTATATCTCTTCTAAAGGACTGTTTCAAATAAAAGCAGCCCTTTGACCACTGAGGCTGCAAGGGAGACTTGGCTATACAAAACAATTCAGAAAAATTCCCAGGATACCAAAGATAAGGTACATATAGTTTTGGGTTTTACATTTAAGTATCTAATCCATCTTAAGTTATTTTTTGCATATAGTATAAGGAAGAAATCTAGTTTCAATTTCTGGAAGACAACATTCTGGACATAGGAACGGGCAAAGATTTCATGAGGAAGACACAAAAAGCAATTGCAACAAAATTAAAAATTGACAAACAGGATCTAATTAAACCAAAGCGCTTCTGCACAGCAAAGAGAACTATCAACAGAGTAAACAGGCAACCTACAGAATGGGAGAAAAATTTTGCAAACTATGCATCTGACAAAGTTCTAATATCCAGCATCTGTAAGAAACTTAACAAATTTACAAGAAGAAAAGCAAACAGTCCAATTGAAAAGTGGGTAAATGGATGTGAACAGATGCTTTTCAAAAGAAAACATACATGTGGCCGACAATCATATGAAAAAAAGCTCAACATCACTGATCATTAGAGAAATGCAAATCCAAACCACAATGAGATACCATCTCACACCAGTCAGAATAGCTATTATTAAAAAGTCACAAAACAATAGATGCTGATGAGGTTGTGGAGAAAAAGGAATGCTTTTACTCTGTGAGAGTGTAAATTAGTTCAACCATTGTGGAACACAGTGTAGTGATGCCTCAAAGACCTAGAGGCAGAAACACCATTCAACCCAGCAATCCCATTAGTGGGTATTACCCAAAGGAATATAAATCATTCTATTATAAAGACACAAGCATGTTTATATTCATTGCAGCACTATTCACAATAGCCAAACATGAAATCAATCTAAATGCCCTTCAGTGATAGACTGGATAAAGAAAATGTTGTACATATACACCATGGAATACTATGCAGCCCAAAAAAAGAACAAGCTCATGTCCTTTGCAGGAACATGGTTGGAGCCGGCAGACATTATCCTTAGCAAATTAATGCAGGAACAAAAAGCCAAAGAACACAGATTCTCACTTATAAATGGGAGCTAAATGATGAGAAGAAATGGACACATAGAGGGGAATAACACACACTGGGGCCTATTGGAGGGTGGGGAGTGGGATAAAGGAAGGGATCAGGAAGAATAACTAATGGGTACTAGACCTAAAACCTGGGTGACAAAATAATTGCACAAAAAACCCCATGACACAAGTTTACCTATATCTCAAGTTACCAATATAACAGGGATGCCGACACATATACCCCTGAACTTAAAAGTTAAATTTAAAAAAAAGAAAGAAAAAGTTACATATATCTACACAGGTGACTTGTTCCCAAGACTGTCTGTCCCTGAAGAGGCTATAAAGGCAAAGTACGCTCTCTGTTCAGTTTGGACTGAATGTCCATTATTCTCAAACACAAACAAAGAGCAAAGAACATCAACAACAACAAAAACTAGATAAAACAACATTAATTATCTAAGATAAGGCACTACTGCTACTGAGCCCTAAATGACACCCACAAGGCCTGGACACTTAATTGCATTCTCTACCAAACTGTATCAGGAAGCCACATAATAAACAGTTACTCTGCATTTTTTGGAGTGCAGAAACATTGAATCATCCATCCTTCATACCCACCTGTATGTACTCCTATACCCAGATAGGCAACATAGATCCACAAACTTACTCAGTTTTCCCTTTCTGCAAATATATTTATTGTTAGATGTCAGAAAGAGCAATGGGATAATTATTCAGTGGTATTAAACCTTTTCTGTACCCTAAAAAGCAGGAAGCCCAGAGAAGAATTCCCTCAGCTTGATGTGACAGAGGCTGCCCTGAGATGGCCAGACACAGACACCTTTCTCTCTTTTCATTTCCTACTTTGGCCTTAATATAAAAGTCATGTCTTCCAGCACCTCCTTTGCTCTTCCAATCCTTTCCATTTCAAAACAGCTAAAAGACTAAGTTTTAAATTTTCTCGCCACAAATAAATGATAGATATTTGAGGCGATGAATATGCTAATTAACCTGATTTGATCATTCCACCATGTATACATGTATTGAAACACCAAATTTTACCCCATAGATATACAAAAATATTATTTATCTAATAAAAGTAAAATTAGATAAAGTACATGTTATGACATTGCAGCTCTTATTTTCCTGTAGATGAAGTTCTATTCAGGCTGCCTTTCTAGTTTTCATGCAGCAGCTCTCCCTTCCCTCTCCAGGACCTCCATGCAGACAGGCTGGCTGCCCTTCAGTTTCTCTACCCACAGAAAAGCAGGTGAGCTCAATACGGGCTGCTCCCTGGAGGGCTTGCTCTGGTCTTCTTTACATTTTTACCACAGATGGGGCCTGTATTTGGGTCTGTGAGGCACTGGGCTGGCCCATTAATAAAGCTGATGACCCAATTGCTTATTTAACCACAGAGTTCTTGGTCAACTAGAGATTTTATTACAACTGGAAACACTAAAACCCTGGAGGCCAATGGTGCACCTTACACTCAACAGCACGCATGGCAGAATGGAAATCCCAGAGACCCGACAGCAACCAGAGCCGGCTGAAATCCCAGTTTGAAGACATAGTAATTAGAAAGGTATGTAATCTCAGTCTGATGTCTTAATTTTAACATTAGGATAATGCAACTTTGATGGATGTTTTAAAAAACCATTTAAACATGGTCGTTTTAGATCATGATTGTCAAGTGTCTAAAGTAGCACTTGGTGTTCAATATCACGGCCAGGGTTTGATAAAAGTAGCCAATTAAATGTGAATTTTAGTTAATCCACATATGCTTGGCAGTTCTGCCCATCCCCATTTGTTACCACATATTACCTTTGCTAGGGCCTGAATAGGCAATGAACAAGAATTTCAAACAATTTTTTCCTTAGCTTTGTTTTTCAAATCATGAAATAAATCCATGCTTCAAATATAATCTTCAACTATTAGCTTGGAGGTAGCTAAATTTTAGATGAACAAAGACAAGGCAATCTAACAGGTTTTATATGTTAGGAATAATCAGATATAAACATAATCTGAAACAGAAGAACAATTTTGGGGTCCCAAATACATTTCTAAAAACTAAGGCCTTTCAGATAACAGGTGGATTTTCACACTAATATTTGGAATGTAAATGTTGATTCACATGAAGCAGATATTTTAAATTTTTTAGCACCAAATTAGTAAATGGTGGCCTGTAACTATTTAAAATAAAACATTTTGGAAAATTATTTAACGGTGTTAAAAAGCCAGTTACACTCCACAATGTCATTACATAGTAAGGCATATGAGTGAAATTTACCCATGGCTAAAACCACCATGGCCTATGGGAAGATGTTTGAAAATGAATTTTTAAAAATTCATATAAAAGGAAAATATTTTGTTGCAGGATATTTGCTAAGATAACAAGAAGCCATAAGCAGAGTTTTTTGCTTTTCTTTTTCAAGATAAGACAGAAAAGCACGTTGAAAATTATGTTTGAAATTATATTTACTACCAATCTCACTGTAGACTCATGGAATATTACAGGTGAAAATCACTGTAGATTTAATCTAATCTACTGCCTTCATTTTAAAGATAAGGAACGTGGTTAAGTGACTTTCTCAAAGCTCTAGAGGCATCACCAAAATATGTACCAACTTGGGGGAATGTTATCACAATGGAAAAGTTACTGCACCTTTCTCCTCCAAATTGGGAGTAGGATCCTAATTAACAGAAACTAAGGTGATGATGAACACACATGATCTATTCTTTCATATGTCTTATGTATCTTCCATAATATAATGGGTCCTTTCTGAATGTAAGCATCAATGCTCAAGGTAAGATGAACTGCTGAGCTTGCTTCACATGGCCGTTCAATGTGGATGGGTGTTTACATGCAGAAAGCAGCTGACAGTGACTTAATCAGAGGTCAAAAATGGCAGCCTGCATGCTGAATCTACCATGTATTTTTTTTTTTTTTGCTACATTTTTATTTTATTAGCTCTGTGTTTGAGATAACAACTCCATCCGAAACTCTAATATTCCAGTTTTATTGAAAAACCACATGGGCCCTTTTACCATGTGGCCCACGCTCCCATGTGGCAAGATTCATTTCATTAAACTAAGCAGTGGTTGATGATTCCCTGATTTTAATGGGACAAAAACTCCCTTATTTACTACAGGATATACCATTTCCTGTTGTATGACACTCATTCAATTATGTCAACTGCCTGGCCTGGCCTGGGTAGTATTTGTGACTATCCGAAAAGATGATCCTATAAATTAATAAAACACTATAGTATAGTCACTATGACCTTTCATGTTTATCCCAATTCTTTAAGAAGTATAATCTATTATAAAGTGTTATCATTTCTCTCTCTCTCTCTTTCTCTCTCTCTCTCTCTCTCTCTCTCTCATATATCAATTCGGAAACACCAAGTATACTATTTCACTGGGTCCTCACAATAACATGGGGGTCAGTTGCATCAGCTGTGTAAGCCACATTTTACAGATCAGAGAACTGAGACTTAGAAAGGTAAGATAACTTGCTCATGGCCATAGATTACACGGCAAAGCTGGTGCTCAAAGTCTGGTCTTCTAAGACCAACAGGCATTGAACCATATCCTGCTGCGTTACCATGTCACCCATTCTAATAATAATGTGTATTTTAATAATGCTTTTAACTTTATCCCTAATAACCTTATTAGGTTGTAAAGCAAGATTTGTCATATTAAAAATCCTTCATGTATTCATTATTTTTATTGCTTATTTTGTAATTTATTTTAAAAATTAGAAATAAATCAAATAATTAACTTGCAATCATACATTGAGATCGTAGAACAATAAGGAACTAGTATTCCTATAGGGAAGAGTCATGTTCTTCACGTTCTGTGTAATTTAGTGTTTTTTGCCTAACACTGTTCTTTCCAGATACTCCAAGGATAATCATAGTCACTATTTATGAAAAGACCATATTTTATTAGGAGCTTTTCATTTTTAAACATTTTTTAGTTTTGAAAACAATCCTAAGAGGTGAGTGTTATTATAACTACTTCACAGAACAGCCAACTGAGATTTGAAGAGAGTAATAAGCCATTTACCTGATTTCACACAACTTGCAATGTGACTTTCTCACACGTGCTTTCAAAAAGTGGAGTCATAATTCTGGGGGTTGTCCAAGTGACTCTCTTTGGCCCATATATAGCAACAAATTAGATGTAAGTAAACATACCCGCAAGCAAGAGAGGAGAAGTCTCAGTACACAAGTACTTTTGTACCCAGCGCTTTGAGAACACTGAGACCACCATGTGGAGGAGCCCATGCTGCTGTTGGAGAGGCAACGTAGAGGAAAACTGAGGCTCCCTGGCTGACAGCCTGCTGACCACTAGTTCTAGGAGCAAAATAATCCTAAAGTGTTGAATGGATGAACAAACGATGGTGCATGTACAGATGCATTTCACACATACTGATGCACACAGTAACCTATGAATCTCAGATTTTTTTCTGATAAGTGAAAGAAGCCAGACCAAAACACTGCATACTGTAGATGCCATTTATACACCATTCTGGAAAAGGCAAAAGTACAGGAACAAAGAACACATCAGTAGTTCCAAGGAGTTAGAGATGTGAAAGGGTTTGACTATATAGATGGACAATATGAGGAAATTTCAGGGTGCCCATCATAGAACTATCCCGTATATTGATTGTGGTCATGCTATATGATGTTATGCATTTGCCAAAATTTATAGAACTGTAACCAAAATGAGTAAATTTTCTTGAATATAAATGAAAATGAAATTTAAAAATACTTCCCTTTTCCCCTCTTCCCCATGTTAACTGTGAAACTGTGTGAGTTGGTGGATTTAAAGGTGGAATGATCTGGATTATTTAAATACTGGATCTGCATTTTACTATTTGAGTTATTTAAGTAATCATCATTTCTCCGAGTTTCAGTTTATAATATGTAAAATGGAGAGAACAATACCCACCATAGGCTTCCAAATCTTCATCTGTGATGGAGTTGAGTTGTACCCTCCAGGGTTATGATAAGAGTTGAATGGGATAATGTTTGTAGAGGGCCTGGCATAAGTAAGTACTCAATAAAGGGAAATGATGATAGTGCAGAGGATTATGGTAAAGACAATGATTACCTCCATTAGGGAGGCACTCTTTGGAGAGTACTTATTCCTCTGGGAAACTGGGGGGACTCGCACTCCTGATTCTAAATTTACATTGTGTTGTCTGTTTCTCTAAAAGATCCTCATGTCCTGTGGGTGATGAGACTTTCAACAAATGGAGGGTCCCAAAATGAATAAATTCAGCAGATATCTACTAGGCACTTATTACATACAAAACACTATCAAGCAGGAGTTCTGTGTAGTAATTACAATGATAATATCTAATAAATTTTTTACAACAAACTACAATGATATCTTATACATCTTTGATTTATACTTGATTTAGGAGGTCCCACAGTAATCCTACTCATTACCCCTGAGGTCATCCTTTGGGAACTGCAGTCCCTGAACTCTAAAGCTTTATGGAATTCTAGAGTCTTTGCATATTTGACTGTAATTTTTAAGTGAACACTGCTTATATTATGTCAGTTTCCTTGCCTATACCAAATTCTTAGAATCAAGAAAAGTGTCTGAAGACAATCTTTGGATCATGCTCAAAATACAATTGATTCTTGAACAATATGGGTTTGATCTGCCTGGGTCCTCCTACATGCATATTTTTTCCAATAAATTTATTTAAAATTATTTTTGAGATTTGCAATAATTTGAAAAAATTCACAGGAGAAAATTGCAGCCTAGAAATATTGAAAAAATTAAGAAAAAGTTAGTTATGCTGTGAATGCATATATTTAGATATTTGTCTATTACTATTATAAAATGTGTATGAATATTTTATGAAAATTTAATATTTATTGAAACTTAAGCAGACAAACATTCATGGGCCATAGATGGCATCATTCAAAGTCAAGAGAAATGTACACAAATGTAAACATGCAATGTTAAATCATAACTGCGTAACGTTAACTATATTAACTACTGCACTACTCCAATAAATTCATGGCCACCTCTTATTGCTATCAAGTGTTCTGAGTATCTGCTTAAAATGCCATGTGATGCTAATCATCTTCACATGAGAAGTTCATCTCCTCAGCAAATAGTGTATCACAGTAAAAAGTGATGTCCCATAGTTTTGCATATTTTTCATCATATTTACTGCAATACTGTAAACCTTGAATAGCACCATGGAATCCATACAAAGTGCCATGAGTGACGCTGAAAGTCCTTCCAAGAAGCAGAGAAAAGTTACAAAATTACAAGAAAAAGTTGAATTGCTTGATATGTACCATAGATTCAGGATTGCAGATGAGGTTGCCCACCATTTCAAGATACATAAATCCAGCCCAAGGTCTACTGTGGAAAAAAAAAAAAAGAAAATTCATGAAATTGTCACTGTAGCTAAACCAGCAGGTGAAAAAACCTTGTGCTTTTTGCAAAATACATATTCTCTTGTATTGAAAACTTAGCTTTTATGTAGGTGCAGGATTGCTATAAGAAAGTCATACCTATAGACTGTAAATGATTTGAGAAAAAGAACAGTCATTAGATGACAACTTAAAGCAAAAGGATGGTGAAGGACCGAAAGTTGGAGAATTTAATGCCAGAAAAGAATGGTTTGATAATTTTAGAAAAGCACTTGGCTTAAAAAACTGTCAAGATAACAGGAGAAGCATGTTCTTCAAACCAAAAGGCAGCAGATGAGTTTCAAGATGCCATTAAGATAATCATTGAGGAGAAAGATCTGCCTGAACAGGTTTTTAATGCAGACAAAAGTGCCCTATTCTGGAAACAAAAGCCACAAAGAGCATTTATTAGTAGGGAATAACAGTGAGCACCAGGATCTAATGCAGGAAGGAAAAGGCTACTCCACTTGTTTGCAAATACAATTGGGTTGGTGACCAGGACTCCCCTTATCTATAAAGCTGTTAACTCCAAGCCTTCAAGGGAAAAGATAAACACCAGCTTCCAGTCTTTTGGTCATACAAAAAGGCCTAAACAATGAGAATCATTTTTCTGGATTGGTTCCATCAGTGCTTTGTCCCTGAAGTGAGGAAGTACTTTGCCAGTAGGGGACTGCCTTTTAAAGTTCTTTTGGTATTGAGTAATGTCCCTGGCTGCCCAAAACCCTTTGAGTTCAATATCAAAGTCATCGAAGTGGTCTACTTCCCCCCAAACACAATGTCTCCAATTCAGCCTCTAGACCAGAGGATTATAAGGACCTTTGAGGCTCATTAAACATGGTACACTATGGAAAGGATTGTCAACACTATGGAAGAGAACCCTGAAAGAACATCGTGAAAGTCTGTGAAGATTACACCATTAAAGTGGCCATCGTTATTGTAGAAAAAGCTGTGTCCAGATGTTGCACATGACTTCACAGGATTTCTGACAGAGCCAATCAAGGAAACTGTGAAAGAAATTTTGGATATGGAAAAAAGGTGGAGCGTGAAGGGTTTCAAAATATAGATATCGGAGAAATTAAAGAGCTAACAGCCACCACACCAGAGGAGAAGACAACTTGATGAAGATAAGAGCTTCCAAACCAGTGCCAGAAAATGAGGAAGAAGACATAGAAGAAGCAGTGCCAGAAAACGAATTGACATTAGACAAATTGGAAGAAGGGTTCCAATAATTAAATATTGCTTTTACTTCATTTATGACTTGAACCCTTCTTTTATATGGTTACTGGACTAAAGAAAGTGGTGGAAGAAATGTTGGTATAATATAGAAACATACTTAGAGAAATGGAAAAGCAAAAAGTTAGACAGAAATTATCATGTATTTCTGTAAAATTATACAAATTTCTGTAAAATTATGCCTGCCTCTAGTTCCACTTCCTCTACCTCTTCCACCTCTGCCACCTCTGAGACAGCAAGACCAACCCTTACTTTGCCTCCTCTTCCTCAGCTCACTCAATGTGAAGATAACAAGGATGAAGACCTTTATTATGACCCACTTAATGAATAGTAAACATATTTTCTCTTCTTTATGATTTTCTTAATAACATTTTGTTTTCTCTAACTTACTTTACTGTATACAAAATAATTGTATATTATACTATACAACATGTAAATTTGTTAATTGACTGTTTATGTTAACCATAAGCCTTCCAGTCAACAGTAGGATATAAGTAGTTAAGATTTTGAAGAGTCAAAATTTATACTTGGATTTTCAACTGTGCATGGTGTCAGTTTCCCTAATCCCTGGGTTGCTCAAGGATGGGCTGTACTAAAACAACATGCTAGCCCACATCTGAATGCTGTGCAGTCCCTAAAGACAGAGGGCATTACTTTAGTAGAAGGAGCAAGGAGGATTCTCCAGCACTCTGACTCCTCCAACCAAAGAACTTTTAAACTTAGAATTGATGGAATTTAACCAGAAGTTAGAAAAAGGAAAAAGTAGCCTATACATGCAGGTTGGTAAAAATATTAAGAAGATATTCATGCCTAGGGAAAAACTTATTGAGAGTTATACAGTCATTGATATTAACCAACTATCATGTATTGGAAAGAACATTAAGCTAGTAGTTAGGAGAACTGAGTTCTAGTCTTGTCTGTAGATCAAAGTCTCTCCACTCCATCTATCAGAGTCCTAGACTGGAGTGAGTCTATTCAATGAAACTATTCAGAAAACTGGCCATATTACCTACTATGGGGCAGGCTTTGGGAAAAGATATATGGCTTTATATGGCTAAACACCACCTAATTGCCTTGTTCTAATATATATATGTATATGTGTGTGTATGTATATATATATGTATATCAGAAGTACCATCTAGTCAAACAGTACATTCTAAACCTAAAGGATAAGAAGCTTGACTTTCGAGGGTAGAGAAGAATATAGTAAAGGGCATCCCTTTATAAAGAAGATTTAAATGCATAATCAACGATTTAGGCTAAGAGTAAAATTTTAGCTTGAATTTGATTGAAAGGATAAAAATGTCTTGATGAATGGTGAAGAAAACTGATTCTCAGTCTTTTAAAACGTCTTCATACAAAGAAAAAACAGGTAAAAATTTTAACTACAGGAGAACTTATCAATGACAAGGGAAGGAAAAAGCAAACTGATTAATAATCCACATATTCAGAAATGATAAAGAGCCTTGGAAAGTATGGAAATAATACTTTATTCACTTTTATGATTCTGGAAAATGTAATATGAAATAAAGCATAGTTAATTTATGTTTTTAATTGGAAAACTAAGTAATTGATATTTTTTAAAGCAGGGATACCCAAAAGTACATCACAATGGGTTTTCTCAATAGAACCCATAAGAAGTAAATTATAAAGTCCCCATTTGTGCTTCACAGGGAAAAAAAATCCATTACCATTTTCTCTTTATTGGCATAATAGTTCTTCAGAATGGCTTACAACCGAGCTCATATTTCACACATGAATGTTTGATTGAATTCACCTGTTGTGATCTGCTTTAAGTACCCACATTTTCAGTATGAGCTGTAGATTGCCAAACCAAAGCTTTTATAACATTTTAAAGTAATTTGAGAGCTTTTCCTTTGTTTTATTTGCACTTGAATATTAAACAGTAATTACTCAAATTTGCAAACTCGAAGGTTGACATGGGAGCTTGCTTATCTAACAAACTTTAGACAACCTTTTCTACCACTTTCCTACAACAAGGCATTCCTAGGACCAGCACAGAGACACTCAGCCTTGTTTACTGTCATTTCTGCCAAAGCTCTGACACAGGCATATATGCTCAGTACCTGGGGTGGTTAGGGCCTTGATTGCTTAAGACTAGTGCTGGAAAGTGGGGCATGCACCTGCTGGATTATCTAATGAGCCAGAAAAACACTGAAATGTTTTAGTCTTTCTTCCCATTGGCATCTGATAGGAGAAAGAGATGAAAAAGCCCATTATGTATACAAGAGTGACATTCCATGAGGGACAGAGACAACTAGACTTATAGCAAAAGATTCTAGAGGTCCAAGTGGTTGTCTGAGTTATCCTAATGAGACATAAGAATGAGTTCATTTATCCTTTGAAAATGCAAACTATTTATTAATTTAAAACTCTTCTCATAACAGGGATCCTAGCTTGTAGTAAAGGCTACATTGTCTATATTTCATTCTTTAGGCAGAAGTCTGCCTAAGCTATTTCAAACAAATACATGTTAACAATGTTAACATACAATACATGTTAAAGTACTAGTTACCAACCCCTTTACCAATCCATTTTACTATTTAACAACCTTAATTGCAAGGCACTTTTCCTTAAATACATTGAATTGCCTCAGACATGAGATATCATGACAGGGACATTTATTTTGACTCATATACCAGCTCTGTCACCTGCTGAGCCCTGCCTGAGCCTCTGTATCCTCATCTGTAATATGAAAATGTGAAGAATGCCTATTATTTATAGTCAGTTTGAGGAGGTAAACTATGTAGGAGTCCCTAGTGGAAGGTCTGTCCTGAAAAAAAATGAAGGCTCCTTTTTCCTATGTGTATTAGTCTGTTCTCATGCTGCTATGAAGAAATACCAGAGACTGGGTAATTTACAAAGAAAACAGGTTGAATTGATTCACAGTTCTGCATAGCTTGGGAGGCCTCAGGAAACTTACAGTCATAGCAGAAGGCACCTCTTTACAGGATGGCAGAAGAGAGAATGAGTACAAGCAGGGAAAATGCCAGACTCATAAAACCATCAGATCTTGTGAGAACTCACTCACTCTTATGAGAACAGCATGGTGGAAAATGTCCTCATGGTTTAATTACCTCTCACTGGGTCTCCCACAACACATGTGGACTATGAGATTACAATTCAAGATGAGATTTGAGTGGGGACACTAAGCCAAACCATATCATTCCACCCCTGGCTCCTCCCAAATCTCATGTCCTCACATATCAAAACAAAATCATGTCCTTTCAACAGTCCCCAAAAGTCTTAACTCATTCCAGTATTAACTCAAAATTCCAAGTCCAAAGTCTCATCTGAGACAAGGCAAGTCCCTTCTGCCTATAAGCCTGTAAAATCAAAAGCAAGTTAGTAACTTCCTAGATACAATCGGGGTACAGGTATTGGATAAATACACCCACTACAAGTGGGAGAAATTGGACAAAACAAAGGGGCTACAGGCCCCATGTAAGTCCAAAATCCAACAGAGTTGTCATTAAACCTTAAATTTCCAAACTTATCTCCTTTGACTCCAAGTCTCACAACCATGTCACACTGATGCAAAAGGTAGGTTCCCACAGCCTTGAGAAGCTCCATCCCTGTGGCTTTGTGTGGTACAGCCCCCATCCAGGCTGCTTTCACAGGCTGGCATTGAGTGTCTGGGGCTTTTCCAGGCACAAGGTGCAAACTGTTGGTAGATCTACCATTCTGGGCTCTGGAGGATGATGGCCCTCTTCTCAGAGTTCCACTATGCAGTGCCCCAGTGGGACTTTGTGTGGGGGCTCTGAACTCACATTTCCCTTCTGCATGGCACTAGCAGAGGTTCTCCATGAGGGCTCCATCCCTGCAGCAGACTTCTGCCTGGATATCCACGCATTTCCATACCTCCTCTGAAATCTAGGTGGAGGTTCCCCAACCTCAATTCTTGTCTTCTGTGTACCCACAGGACCAACGCTACGTGGAAGGTGTCAAGGCTTGGGGCTTGCACTCCCTGAAGCAATAGCCTGAGCTGTACCTTGGCCCCTTTTAGACTATACTGGGACACAGGGCACTAAGTCCCAAGACTGCACACAGCAGGGGTGCCCTGGATCTGGCCCAGGAAATCATTTTTCCCTCCTAGGCCTCCAGGCCTGTGATGGGAAGTGATGCCGCAAAGCTCTCTGACATGCTCTGGAGACATTTTCCCCTAGTCTTGGTATTAGCATTTGGCTCCTTATTACTTATGCAAATTTCTGCAGCTGGCTTGAATTTCTCCCTAGAAAATGGGTTTGTCTTTTCTACTGCATTGTCAGGCTGAAAATTTTTCAAACTTTTATGATCTGTCACCTCTTGAATGCTTTACTGCTTAGAAATTTCTTCTGTCAGATATGCTAAATCATCTCTCTCAAGTTCAAGGCTCCACAGAGCTCTAGGGCAGAGGCAAAATGCTGCCAGTCTCTTTGCATAGCAAGAGTGACCTTTACTCCAGTTCCCAACAAGGTCCTCACCTCCGACTGACACCACCTCAGCCTGGACTTCATTTCTCATATCACTATCAGCATTTTGGTCAAAGCAATTCAACAAGTCTCTAAAATGTTCCCAACTTTTCTACATTTTCCTGTCTTCTTCTGAGCCCTCTAAACTGTTTCAACCTCTGCCTGTTACTCAGTTCCAAAGTCACTTCCACATTTTGAGTATCTTTATAGCAACACCCCATTTCTGATATCAATTTACTGTATTAGTCCATTCTCACATCACTATGAAGCAATACCCAAAACAGGGTAATTTATAAAGAAAAGAGGTTTAATTGACTCATAGTTCTGCATAGCTGGGAAGGTCTCAAGAAACTTACAACCATGGCGGAAAGCAGCTCTCCACAGGGTGGCAGGAGAGAGAATAAGTGCAAGCAGGGGAAATGACAGACTCACAAAACCATCAGATCTCATGAGAACTCACTCACTATCATGAGAACAGCATGGGGGGAACCACCCCCATGTTTTAATTACCTCCCACCAGGTCCTTCCCACAACTTGTGGGAATTACGGGATTATAATTCAAGATGAAATTTGGTTGGGGACAGAAATCCAAACCATATCACTATGCTACACTTAGAGCCCATTATTTCGTTATTTTCTACTCCACAAAGGCAATAACAGTGTGTTAGTGCATTAATGCTATTCATATACTTGAAAATGACTGAAACTTCACCTTTGCTCTTACACTCAAAATGGTTCTGAGAATCAAACCATTTAAAAGAAAAATAAGACTTTAATTATTTAAGAGCCTAAATAAGCTCTTAATAAATAAGAGAATTTTGGAGCTTTTATTTGAAGAAAGAGTAGAGGAAAAAGCTGTGTTTATGTATATGAAACTATGCAACTCTGTGTGTGTGTAGTAGATACAAAGAAACAAAGAGGGAAGAATTTTTTTAAAAGAAGAGTGCATAATTTTGAGCAATCAACATTTTTTTCATAGCAGAAATGAAAACCCAGTTCTAATTAAATGCGAATTAGGCAGTAAAATGTGCTTTTAGTCTATTGTTAATTTTCCATTACATTAACCTTCTCATCAAAACTTAATGTTTATGTACTAAAGTTTTTCACTGAACTTCTTGAAATTCATGAAAAAAGTTTAGAATGCTTTATCTGCATACAATGTAGGTCTTTCTACAGGGTTATTTTGTGTTATATATAGAAAAATCAAAATATATATAAAGTCAGTATAAAAGTAGCTATTGTGACTTAATTATCTTCCATGGAGGGTTGATTCTAGATAAGAGAATACGATTATATGTAAATTTACCAATATCTAGAGAAAAGTTTTTTTTATATTTACTATTTAAATTATCCTAGAATGGCCTAAACAACTCCCTTTTACCTAAATAATAGAGTGTAAATATATTTGCATTTTTAATCCCCATGATATAATCCCTAGGCTGAACATTTGAATATAGGAGAAGATTGAGAGGCAGTTATTACAGCTTTATATTAGGAAACTTGAGTTGGAACTGAGATCAGTACCTAGAGAAAATGGTACAATGTTACAGAGAGCAAGGTAGACAGGCCAAGATGCAGAGTGGTCCCAGACAGGTGCAAGCACCTGTAGACTAAGAAGAAGGACTCACCTGGGAGTCCCTATCACAGAAAAACTGTTTTTCAAAGGTGGGAATTTTAGTACTTGAAAAGACTAGCAGACTAGAGACAGCATTTAGATGATAAGCTGGTGTCAGAATAGATGGAGATGTACAAGTAAGGCCTGGGCCCATTTCATGAAAAGAATTAAATTCAAGATTAAGGCAAGGAAAGAAGCTAGAACATTTAGGTCATCAGGGAAAGCCTTTCTGCAGAGAGTATTATATTTTAAATTCCATATTAGGTGTTAGTCATTAAAATCCCATTCATACACCATAGTGTTTCCCATGCGTGAAGGATCTGCAAACATAGAGCACATAGATTCAGGAATAAAGTCAGAGAAGCTCCCTGTGTCTGGGGGAACTCTCTGTGGTAGGAAAGTTTTCATAGCTCAGCGTAGTGCTCCTCACTCCTAATACAATTGCAGTTCAACATTTTACATTTTATTGGAACAATTTTCATTAGTGACTGCATATGAGCACCATTAGGAGAGAGATTGCATCTCTTCTCTTTGTCTTCCCAGCACCTAACATAGTGCCTCACAGAAAGTAAGAAATCCAAGTAAGAACTCCTTAAGTGAACAAGAGCAAGTATAATATAAAGGTAAGAACATGTTGAAACTGCTGCAAACAAAAATGACTCAGAACAGCAGCATCAAAGTCTGTGGACTGAAATTTTGTCAAAAACAAATCCTTAGAATTTATTGTTAAACATATATATTCAATTAGAGTTTTAGGAGTACATGTAAATTAAGCATTTTAATATCATTAAAGATTCTTTCTGTAACTGGTTTTCTTTTATCCCATATAATCTGTCCAGGCAGTAGGTTGTGTTCTGAGCATATGAATATACCTTATGAAATGTCATCTTCTGTCTCTCCGATTGGTAATTTAGGTGGTAGAGTTAACATTTGACAGTCCTAAATATAATAGTAGTATTTACGCTTATGAATCAAAAAATCAATCGAAGTTCAGAACGGCTAAATATATAAAATGTGGGCTCATGGATACTAAGTAGCCTAAACTATGTCTTAATCAGATCTCTCTGACTCTCAGGTCTGAGCTCTCCCTCCAGCACAGCACCTTGAATGATTGTCATGGCCTGTGGTTCAGATTTACTCATTTCCAGGGTGTGCTATCAGTGGGTTTCAAACATGTTTTCAAAGGAAAAACCTGCAGTGCTTATCAATATTGATACACAGCATTTGAACTGTACTTCATAGGATTCATGGACCTTATATAATTGATCTTCACACTATGTGAAGAATATAGGCCTGATGACATCGGTCCCATTTAATAGGTGACAGATTTAAATCTCTGAGTTTAAATGGCATGCTTATGATCCAGAGGCTGGAGAGTGAAAAAGCTGGTCTGGTTAATTCAAAATGTGTAAGGTTGACTTTGAATTCAATATTGAGAATAATCAATTTGTTTCAAATAATTCATTTTCATTAAGGTAGTGTGGATTATTTAATTTGGTGTAGGGGAACAGAGCATTTACACATAAGAAGTCCTGAAAATGAAATAATTAATGATTGACAACACACAAAGAAAGAAGCAAAAATTGTGCAAATGTTGCCACAGAGTTGTGCAGCTCTTTTTATGTGCATACAGGATTTAGTTGTGATTATCTTTTCCCAAGTTCAGTAACATATGTTCAAAAGATCCACTGTGTTCCAAATAAATGGACTAGGTAGATAATATGCTATAACATTACAGACTAAAGTTTGGTTTAAATAGCCAGTTTTAACACACATTTGTTTGAATTTCTATTGATTTGGGCTTTGTCAGATTTACTTCAATCTTTCAATCCTCCCCTAACCCTGCTAGAACTGTTTAATTTGCCAAGATTTTCTTTAATAGTTAAACAATGTGAAGCTTTTAAGTAAACCATGAGAATTGACTGTATCAATGTACAATTTGCACCAAGAAGCTCTTATTTCATGGTTCACACTCACAGTTGAAACATAGAAGCAACCTTCTTAGGAGGGAAAATACTTCTTATTTTGATTAAAGCTAACAAACCATTTTCCTTAGCCTGGACTCCTGAATTCTCAGGTAACTGATGTACTGCATCACTCCTGCAGAAGCCAATGCATAATTTGAACTTCATTTGCCAATTTATGCTAACTAGAGTTAGGCTGCAATTGCCAGTACTTATGAATATTCTTAGTCTCTGTAGAAGTCTACTATGGTCTAGTAAAGAAAATACTTTAAATGGAATTTTGAGTGAATAGCACTAGCTAAACATGACTTAACTCCAGAGACAGCCACTAAAAACCTTCTCATTTTGAGAGTTGTATTTTAGTTGTCTTTCTGAAGTCAAGAAGTATAATTTCTCTTTCTCTTTCTTTCTTTCTTCTTCTGTCTTCTCTTTTTTTTTTTTTTTTTTTTTTTTGGAGATGGAGTCTCGCTCTGTCACCCAGGCTGGAGTGCAGTGGCGAGATCTTGGCTCAGTGCAACCTCTGCCTCCCAGGTTCAAGCAATTCTCCTGCCTCAGCCTCCCAAGTAGCTGGGACTACAGGCGCCTGCCACCACGCCTGGCTAATTTTTTGTATTTTAGTAGAGACGGGGTTTCACCATGTTGCCCAGGTTGGTTTCAAACTCCTGAGCTCAGGAAATCTGCCTGCCTCAGCCACCCAAAGTGCTAGGATTACAGGCATGGGCCACCGCACCCGGCCAAGAAGTATAATTTCTACAGAGGGTATTGGGATTCAGTTTACAGCTTATTGAAGTGACAGTGCACACATTTGTGATAATAAAGTACATTTGTTGATGGACTGCTGCAATTAATGGCAACTCATTTTCTTCAGTGCAATAGATGTGTAACTTTAATCTTCTTTTAAGTAAGTGTTTGACTTGCTTTGCTTGCCTTGCAACCTTACATCAAATGATCCATTATTTCAACTATAAAAATCTTCATGAGACCTAAACTGTAAATCTGAAATAACTCCAAAAAGCCTTGGTTTGGAAGGGTTCTAAATTTCCAAACTGGCAGAGTATAAATAAGGCATAAGAGCAAAACAGATCAGTATAATCTCTCCTCTCTCAGTGAGAATAAAGGTATCCAAAAATATTGGTGTGTAGTCAGGATTTCTGATGTTTTCTCTAAGAACTCTCTTAACAATTATGAAATCATACAGCTATTTCAAATAAAGTTAGTAGAATTTCAGCCTAGAAATCTTAAAAGTAAACCTGGCCAGGAAGATTTTATAACACATATTTTATTCATTTGATGGTACAGCTATCAACATAAAATGTTTTTTATTGTAAGAAATGTGTCTAAAATTTGGCAGTCTTTTAGAGTAACCTCTATTTATCCGAACCAAAAAGGGATAATATTTGGGATGAAATGTAGCACTTCACACAGATCCTGGCACTTAACTACCTTAAATAGCTACATAATGCCTCTCTTTCTAGTGATATTTTTGAATAACCCAAGACTATTTTCTCAAGTTAACTTTCTAGAATTAGACATCCTGAGTCAAAGGAAATATACAAATTCTACAATTGTTAAAAGTGTTTTGCAAAGTTGCTTTGCAGAATTTGCTTGTCCTGCTGGTAGGTGTAAGAATGTTCTTTCTTTTCTAAAGGAAAACCAACAATAGAAAATATAATTTTTAAAAATGCCTGCAAAAAGACAGAGAAGGGACTGTTAAAAGGTTTATTTTAAAATCAAAAGGTAAAAGATAGAGACTCTTATAAAAAGTGGTCTATCTGTGCCTCTATGTGTGTTGTCTTTTGTAAATACTTCATGAAGTTTTGATTTTATGAGATTCTAATTGCTTGCTGTCTTCATAAAACAAGGAAACATAAAATAAAAATGAATTGAGAACAATACAATTTTAGAATGAATCTGGCATATAGACAAGTATATAAATTTTAAATTATAGCTATCAAAACTATAAGGAAGTATACCCATAGTTAAATAACATCTATTGTTTCAACTACTTAATTATGACACAAAATATATGATGCGAATCTCCACAACCAGATAAATGGATGAATGTCTAAAGGTATTCACTTAGCTGACAGTTTTCTTCTCATTCAAGAAGAATACCATATATTTTTTCAGAAACATGAAAAGGAAATATATCAGTACCAAAATTCAGAGAAAATAATGACTTAACTTTCTACTCATCTTACAAAATTAAGAGAAAACAAGTTGCATCTATTTATGACATTTTAAGTCTTTCTAGAGAAATAAGACTGAAGATTAATAATCTTCAGTATCTACCTAAACACTAAATATTACTTAAAGAATATATGTGTGTGTGACCTAAAACATTTTTTTTCTTTTTTTAAGTAAATGCCCTATACATAAAGGCAAAAGATTCATGTTTCAGTCCTTATAAATTCCTTGTTAAAATCTGATGGATCTCCAAGTTAATCAGTTTGGCTTTCTCTATCTCACAGTATCTAATCAGTATTAAAACCATTATGTTTTCATTGTTTAAACCAGGACTAAGATATATCTCTGACACAGGTTTCTATCATCAAGTATAGTAAATAGAAAAAAAAGCAAAACAGAAAAGGAATGGAATGGCATTTTGATAATCCTTTGGCAAAGAAGGTAAATGGAGACTTCTCTGTCAGAAATAAAGGCGGGGCTGAGCACTGAAAATAATTTACCATGGGAACTGAAAGAAAGTTTTAGAAACTTCCTTAGCATTCTCACTGTTCACAGAAAGCAGAATAGTCTGAAACTAGAAACAGCAACATACAATAAAATAGGGGTATGTGAAATAAAGAATGCATTAAAGTATATTAAGTACAAATTATTTATTAGTGTATTAAATAATTATTTTAAAGTGTATTAAATAAATGGAGGTACGTGAAATAAAGAATGAATTCAAGTTTATTAAATGAAATTATTACAAAACAGAAACCCAGAATTAAAATCCATATTGAAAGGCAAAAATTTACCTTGCAGAATTTATATTGCAGAACATAAAATCAAGGAACTGGATACAGGGAAAGTTCTCCCAGAATTCAGTAGAAAAGCTAAAGACAGTGAAACAAGGGGACCATAAGTCTGGAGGGTAGAAAACAGGTAACCAATGGATTGTCTCAGAGGAAGAAATAATAACTGAAGTAGAATAACAATTTTTAAAATGGAACTAAGTCTTTTAATCAAGAAGGTTTAAAAAGTTCTTACTATGCATATAAAAACTAGTTTCATTGTATTCCAAAAACACCTAAACATAATCTATGTAGATGGTTCTTGAAAGAATTAAGAAAAAAAATTGTTTAAAAAAAGATAGACTAAGAAAAGTGAAAAGATGGAGAGAGAGATATAAGAAAACAGGCTGCCTTTAAAACAACAACAAAATATGTTGTCTGAACTTGGCTTTGCAGGGGTATTAAACAGAAAACAGGAGCATAATTTTCACAGACTTTGAGGATAAGATGACATGGCAAGACATCAACCCAGTAATCATTAATAAAATAAAGCAACAGAAGGGTAAGTTAAGTTACTCTATGACTCACGATATACCATGTTTATCTGCTTATGTTTAAAAATGTTCTCTAAGATTTACTACAGACAGTCTTGAAATGAAACACATTTACAACTGAAGGCTCATATAGACTTGATTGGTGCATCTACTTTCATTGGTTTTAAATTTCAAAAGAAGCAATTCCACGTCTAAGGTAGCTGGACTTTGTAGAATTCCTGCTGCATTTCTTCTGGGTCTGCTCCAAGTCCAGTCATAGAAAATGATTTTCTAACACCACATTCTTGCCCATAGTTGAGATGTACAGAATGTTTTACAATTTTAAAAATTTAATAATAATGTTTTACAATTTTAATACAATAGGTAGTGCTAGCTGTTTCATTCTTGATAAAAATTCCTTAATAATATTGAACAGATACTAGGCCAGTTACTAGTGAAAAGAAGATTTTTCCGTTTATAACAGCCAAATTATGAAAATAAATATGGTCAAGGTACTTCAGTACAAATTACTAGAGGAATACATATATGATCATGTGTTTGTGTATGTGTGTGTGCATAGATGTGTATATATACATGTATGCAATTTCCACAGCAGTTTGATTTTTTAATGCTTTTTGTCTTTTGTTCCCCCCCATTTTCTTTTTTCAGCTTCAAGCAAGTTTAAGGAGTTAAATTTTTAAATGTTTACATTTCGCGTAGGACTGGCTGAATCATATAAGAAAAACAAACTGTCCAAGCATCCTTGAACTACTAACAGATTATTCTTTTGTTTGCTGGTCTGGTTTGTAGTCAATGTGGCCAGGAAGAAATTATACATTTTTTTAAGTTATTATTTTTTTCTTCAGCAATTTCTAGACCTTGTGTGACAGATACAGCAATTTCAATGCTGACAGAGATACTTTATACTATTTCTCTGAGTTCAATAATTTGACACTGTTGATTTGGTAACTTTTATAAACATTTAAATAGCTCTTTTATTTTAAAATATCAACTCTTCAACTAACTGCTTCATCACACTAAGGAACTGTTAGGCAAGCCAAAATTAACATCTCAAAAAGAAATCTAGGTATTGGTTGCCATGGAACTACTGTACTTTGTAAGGCATTAATCTCAAAGTTCTTTAAGACTTTTTTTTTCTATCTTGGCTGGAATGCCATAAGCAGTAAGTTTATCTCAACATCAGCAGAAAAGTCAGCAGATTCAAAGTAGGCAGGCAAAGAAACAGTGAGATAGGCAGAACCTGGAAGGCTCTATCTGTTAACTGTATAGTTACAATTCTCTTAAAAAAAAAAACAACAGACTTGGGGGGAGTTCAAATAATCCCCCTGATGGTTATGGATTTGAAAACATGCATGAGGAAAATCTATGTAGCCATCAGGAGTCAGAGAAAGTTTTGGTATGCCTTAATATTTAAGAATCCAATTCCATTTCTCATTATTCTCTCAAGAGCAAAGACATTCCTATAAATTCTCTCAGGGAATGTCAGTAATTTGAACAGGTGTTGTAGATGGTAGTATGACTGCTCTGTTGGCCATTCCATGTCCACCATTTAGAATGTTTATTTTTGCTCTTGGAAATGTTCAGAAACATGCAAGGGAAAAGGAGTCAAATCATTTACAGACATGCATAACCAAAATGAAACCAAAATCAGAATACTCACAAACATTTTAACCCAGGTATGCAGATCAAACAAATATTAAACCTGTTATGCAGAATCAAAAGTGAATTCACCAAAAAAGACACCCTCATAGACACAATGTAAATTCTGTAAAAACCAGAGTACTTAACCAGAAGGACATTTGTCTTTATACCAGAAAGGGCTTGCCACAAAAACAACAGAAAAAACTTTCATAGTCTTAAGACGGATACAAGGTCCTTTATTTAGGGCAGCCTTATTTATAGCCAAATCAGATCTTGAATAAAGTTAAAAAGAACTCAACAAAGGAAGAAGTAAAAGAATCTGAGAGGAGATTTACCAGCACAGAAAAGGTGACTCATGGAAATGAAGAGTGCAAAGGGCTCAATTGCTACCTTACATGATTCCAGGAGCCACCTATTGAACCTAGGTGAGCTCACTTTGGTTTAACTTCTGACACCATTTTGTCAATAAATAACAAACTGCAAGGGAGACTCTCTAAAAGAAAATAATATTCTTCCTAGAATAGGCATTGCAATGGGAATACATGTGCCATAGTAAGCCACGTGCATATTCAGGGAAGTTAAAAAAAAAAAACAAGAAAAAGTTTTTAAAGAAAAAATGAGAATAATTAAATAATAGTTTTGAGATAATTATCCTTGACTACATGTATTAATAACAAGTATGATACCAGTCTGAGTTTGGACAAACAGATGATAGGCAGATGTCCACAAGACTTATGTGTGTGTGTAAGGTTGTGATGGCCTTTTGCACAAGGTGTTTTTTGCAGAATCTTTTATGATAGTTCTTGTTATCAGGCATTTGTTCCGGAGAAGCCCCCCTTCATGCCCTTCCCCAGCTAGCTGTATTTGTGGTGGTTTTTAATACCAGTGCCTTCATTTTGATTCTGACAACTTTCACGTGCATGTGGATATTGAGGTGTTCCAACACCATTTATTAAAAAGATGATCCTTTCTGTGTGTGTTCTCAACACATTTGTCAAAAATCAGTTGACTGTAAATGCATGAATTTATGTCTTGGCCCTCTATTCTGTCTACTGTTGTATATGTTATTGTGAAATACCATTCTTTTTGGATTATTATAGCTTCATAATAGATTTTGAGATCAAGTACTATGATATTTCAAGCTTTGTTCTTTTTTGTCTTTGGGTATTTTGTGGTTCCATATGAATTTTAGAAGTGTTCTTTCTATTTATATACAGAATATCATTGGGATTTTGACAGCAATTGTAGTGAATTTGTAGATCTCCTTGGGGGGAGTATGAACATTTAAAAAATATTAATTCTTCCAATGTATGGACATAAGATATCTTTCCATTTATTTGTGTCATCAAGTTCTTTCATAGTGTTGCTGAGCTTTCAGTGTACAGGTCTTTTACCTCCTTGGTTAAATTTATTCCTAAGTATTTTATTTTTTGTAGCTGTTTTTAATGGGATTGTTTTCTTACTTTCTTTTTATGATAGTTCCTCATTAGTGTAGAGACACTACTGACTTTTGTATGCTGACTTCATATCCTCTAACTTTACTGAATTCATTTACTAGTTCTCAGAGTCTGTAGGGTTTTCTATATATAAGATTGTGCCATTTGCAAAGAAGGACAATTTAACTTCTTTCCTTCCAATTTGGAGGTCTTTTATTTCTCTCTCTTGCCTAACTGCTCTGATTAGGACTTCCAGTTATTATGCTGAATAGTAGTGTTGAGAGTGGGTATCCTTGCTTTGTGCATAAATTTAAAAAGAAAACTTGCAGTTTTTCACCATTGAGCATAAATATTAGCTGTAGGCTTATCACATATAAAATTGCACCTTTATTGTGGTAAGGTGCAATCCTTACATACTAAATCATATCTAATTTGTTGAGAGTTTTTATCATAAATGAATGTTGAATTTTGTTATAACATTTTTCTGCATCTATTGATCACGTTTATTTGGTTTCTGTCCTTTGTTCTATTAATGTAATGCATAATGTTTATTGATTTGCACATATTGAACCATCCTTGCAGCCCCAAAATAAATCACATTTGATTATGATGTATGGTGTTTTTAATGTGCTTTTGAATTTGGTTTGCTAGTATTTTGATGAGAATTTTTGCATCTATGTTCATCAGGGACATCACCCTATTTTTTTTTTTCTTACACTGTCTTTGCCTGGCTTTGGTATCAGGGTAAGCTAGCATTATTTGTTATTATGGTAATGCTAACAGATACACACAGAACATTCCATTCAATAGCAGCAGAATACACATTGTTCTGAAGCACACTTGAAATATTCTCCAGGATAAATCATATGTTAAGATATAAAACATGTCTTAACAAATTTAAGAAGACTGAAATAATATCAAGTATCTTTTCTGACCACAATGCTATCAAAATGAGAATCAATAACAGGAGGAAATCTGAAAAATTAACAAATATGTGGAAATGAAACAACATGCTCCTAAATAACCAAGAGTCAAAAAATAAATTGAAAGAAAAATCAAAAAATATCTTGAGTCAAACAAAAGTGGAAATATTACACACCAAAACTTATAGGCTACAACAGAAGCAGTTCAAAGAGGGCGGTTTGTAGCTATAAATGCCTACATTAAAAAAGAAGAAAAATCTCAAATAAACAACCAAGTGTTATACCTCAAGGAACAAGAAAAAAAACAAACTCAATCCAAAGTTAGTACGAGGAAAGAAAAAATAAAGATCAGAGCAGAGATAAAGAGAAACTAGAGAAACAATAGAAAAGATCAATGAACTGGAGTTGTTTTTTGAAAATAAAAATGAAATTGACAATTGACAATACTTTAGTGAGGTTAACTAGAATAAAAAGAAGGCTCAGACATGACAAAGGAGACATTAAAACATACCACAGAAATAGAAAGAAGCGGCTGGGCGTAGTGGCTCACGCCTTTAATCCCAGCACTTTGGGAGGCTGAGGCAGCTGATCACTTGAGGTCAGGAGTTCGAGACCAGCTCGGCCAACATAGTGAAACCCTGTCTCTACTAAAAATACAAAAATTAATCAACTACAGTGGTGCATGCCTGTAATCCCAGCTACTCGGGATGCTGAGGCATGAGAATTGCTTGAACCCTGGAGGCAGAGGTTGTGGTGAGCCGAAATCACACCACTGCACTCCAGCCTGGGTGACAGAGTGAGACTCCACCTCAATAAAAAAAAAAAAAAAAAAGGAAACAGAATCACAAAAGACTGCTGTAAAGAATTATACTCCAACAAACTAGATGACTTAAAATAAAACAGTAAATTCCTAGAAACATACAACCTACTGAGACTAAATTAGGAACAGATAGAAAGTCTGAAAAGACCAATAGTGAGTAAGGAGATTGAATAAGTAATTTAGAACTTTACATCAAAGAAAAGCACAGCACCAGATGGCATCAGCACTGAATTCTATGAAACATTTAAAGATGAACGAATACCAATTCTTCTTAAACTTTGAAAAATTCAAGCGGGGGGAATACGTCCAAATTTACTTTAGGAGGCCAGTATTACCCTTAAAATTTTTAAAAAATACATAAAGCAAATAAGCAAAAATGCTCAAGCTCACACTAATCAGACAAATGCAAATTAAGTCAACAACTGGATATCACTTCACACTCAAAAGATTAAAAAAAAAATTTTATAGTGAGAAAGAACTGATTGGTATCAGTGCAATATGCAGTCTATGTCCTGGAGGGATAAGTGCAAACTGAAAGCTCCAGACTTAGTGAAGTTGAAGATCTGCACAAATGCTATGATTTAGCAATTTCACACCGATAAGCTTAGAGAAATTCTTGTAGCATGTGTACAAGATGATATGCATAAATGGCAAGAGTTTATAAGAATAAAAATTAGAAACAACATAAATGTTCATTCCTCTATATAGAATACAACATAGAAGTTAAAGTAAATGAACTAGCACTACATACAACAATATGGATAAATATCAAAAACATTATGTTCAGCAGAAAAAGCAATAATGGTGTTATACTGCACATATTTAAATTTTATGTACTAATATTTAAATAAAGCTTAAATATGCAAACAATACCATATTGTTTATGAGTCTATAACTATAGAGTGAAACACTAAGAGATTATTGGAAAAAATAAACACCAAATGCTGCAATGTGGAAGACAGGAGAGAATGAAACTGGCAAAAGACACACAGGTATTTGGGATATTTGCTCTATACTTTTCTGTATACTTGAAATTTATCAAACTAATAATAATAGAGTATTATGAGACAAAATCTTTTGAAGTTAAGCTAACTTCCCAATATTAAAATGAAGTAAGTTGTAATAAGAAGGCATCTAGATTTTGACAGATTTCTAGATGCTGTCCATTTTGATTCTTCACCCCGTAATATCTTTAGAAAATTACAAATCAGTTGCTTGTTAGATTTAATATTGTAACAAATCATCTTTAAGCTCTACTGATTCATCCTAAAGGGCAGCTTGGACAATTACTCTGCAAATAAAGGTTTTTAACAAATGTATATTTTAATTGATTGAGGCAAGAAAAACTTAAGTGTACTATGGAAGTAAAATATCCCATAGATGATTTTTTTTTTTTTTTTTTTTTTTGTAGTGGAGTCTCGCTCTGTCACACAGGCTGGAGTGCAGTAGCGCGATCTGCAAGCTCTGCCTCCCAGGTTCACGCCATTCTCCTGCCTCAGCCTAGGAGTAGCTGGTACTACAGGCGCCCGCCACCAGGCTCTGCTAATTTTTTGTGTTTTTAGTAGAGATGGGGTGTCACGGTGTTAGCCAGAATGTCGGTCTCCTGACCTTGTGATCCACCCGCATCGGCCTCCCAAAGTGCTGGGATTACAGGCTTGAGCCACCCAGCCCAGCCAGATGATTTTTTTAATTATTAAAAAGGGAAGAACAAAGGAGTAGAATTTCTTGTAATGACTTTTGAAGCTCCATGAAAGAGAAGCACCATTATAAAAATGTTGGAGGCTAGGTGCAGGGCCAACAAATTTAGTAAGAAAGACCACTGGTTTTGCTACATCCTTTAGGATCAGATTTCATAATTACATAAACTTTCCAAGTTAGAGAAGTGGAATGGTTTGGAGAAAAAGTCTTTTACATAAGTTTTACAACCACCTTTAAGACATTACTACAAGTCCTGACTTGCTAATTAACTTTTTGTATGTTAATAGGCTTGAGCCAATTAATATACACATTAAGTAAAGCCCTAATTTGTTTCAGTGCTTTCATTTAATGGACCTACAACAGAACACATACAGGAAACCATTCATTCACTCATTAATATGGCTAACAGACATTCAGTTTTTCTTATACTCTGATGGGCTTTAAAGAAAAGCATACATGAAAAAATTTAAGCTCACATAAGCATCTATACAGAGAAGGAACCCCAAATAAGAGATGCCTTCTGGGTAACCATTTCACCCTAGCATGGCACACTGCATCCTTCCACATCGTTTTTGAAATTATTTCTCATCTGTATTGCACAATAGAAAGAGACTAAGGACTGATTAAACATCTTTCTATTAATACTTTAGACAAGTAATTCATATTTTTCTGCTTGAAAATAGAAACTATCTTTTTCTTTCAAATAGAGCTAGTCACTGAGATAGCAGATTCACCAACAGAATTTATGATAAATGTTAGATTGCTCAAGGGGTAGCTTATTGGACAGAAACAACATAATTTTCATCTAATCCCCTTGGAGTTTTTGTTTAGTCACTCCAAGTATAAATTATTTCTCCTTTCTCTGACAATTTAAGGCACTTGTAACATACTTTTTTTGTATTGTAATTTTTGAATAATATATTTTATCGACCCCAATAATGATCATTAACATTTGAGAAGCACTCTACAATATGTTGTCAGAGAGCTGATGACACACTCATTTGATGAGACAGTCTGCAGCTTCACCTAAGTCCTTGAAGAAAACAGCTATCAGGGTAGCATTAAAGAACTGTGTGTTGAGGAGAAAGGCGGAATGTCCAGGGTCTCAGACGTTGTTAGGTAGCTACCTACTGTTCTACTATAAGGGCTCAGGCAGGATGAAATCTGAGCTGAGAATAACAAAGCTAGAGGAAGATCCATTCCAAAAAGTGAGCTCTCCTTACAAGACCCTGGCCCATCATCATGCTGACTCATTATCAAGAGAATCAAAAGTCCTGGAAGATGTCTTAGGTATGCACAAAGGCAAACGAAGGGTAACAGCGTTACCAAGTATGTGTCAGAGGAAACTTCTATTGACTGCAGCAGAACAGAGCTCAATTATAACTGTTTCTCTTAGAGCTGTATTGCCCTCTGCACATAATACTAGTCATACTGTTACAGCAAACTTAAGTATGGACTGAGAAGAACTCCATACTTCTATATTTGAGTCCTTGTGGATGAACTGCAACCTAACTTAATAGGTAGACAAGACTGAAAACCTAATTTAGGAGTGTACGCCTGTAACATTACCTTAATCTCGGGAGTCTTGGCCAATCCCAGCAGCCATATTTCAACCAGTCACACACTGCTGAGTGTTCAAACTGCGTTCAAATAAGGCAAACCCGAGCTATAACCAATCCAGCTGTTTCTGTACCTCACTTCCGATTTCTATATCTCACTTTACTTTCTTTGTCTATAAATTTGTTCTGACCATGAGGCATCCTTGGAGTCTCTCTGAATCTGCTGTGATTCTGGGGGCTGCCTGATTTTTGAATCCTTCATTGCTCAATTAAAGTCCTTTGAATTTAATTCGGCTGAAGTTTTTCTTTTAGCAATACTATCTTGCTCTCCTCCACTATTCCTTTATCCTTGTGGTATCACTACCTTGTGGTGTCCTTCACTTTTGCTGCTGTTGGTGTACTGTGCAGTTTCTCTTGGGTTCTGCAGTTTCTCTTGCCTGCTTCTCTTACAGTTTCCAATGTCTCATGGGTTTCTCCACCCACCTGGGAAACTGTCCTTACATTTGGCTCACTGTGCCCTTCCTGCAGTTGCTGTTTCCTCACCAAGTGTTTCTTATTCATTTTCCCTGGTTTTATGTTCATTCTCCTTGCTTCTGGGATTGGCATAGAAGGTTGGAAATTACGTGGCATGAGCTGATGATACATGCCCAGCTTTCAAAATGCCTGAAACCATTATGACCATTTGAGCTATGCAGGGCAGTCTAAATGTGTCCCTCTGATTCCTGCCTGGGGCTCCTATTCTGTTTTACAAACTCATTTACTGTTACTTGAGAATAATTCTTATAGCATGCCCACTTTCTTAGTTATTGATGCTCATTCATTTATTCACTCAACTCATTCAATATTTATGTTTTTCTCTGTCTGCTCCTGTACTAGGTGCTAAAGAGAGTCTTAACATCGAGAACAATATGGGTTTGGGGAAACCATCCAGTAAGACCAGTAAGCTACACTGCATTATGAAGGCAGCCAGAGAGGTAGCAGAGAATGTACACTTGGCCCAACTTGAAGGGCCTAGAAATGTTTCCTGGAGGAAAAGATGTGGAAGCTAATATCTAAATGATAAAAAGGAGCTAATAAGATGAAGGGGAATGCATTGAGCATTATAGGGAGAGGAAATCATATATACAAAGTCTGGAGTTAAAAACAAACAAGCATGAGACTGCTTATTATTAAAGCTGTTGGGAATTGTAAGGAAAATATTTTTAAACACAACTCTTCACTGATCATTTCATTTTACATCAATTAAAAATAAATAAGTACATACTTGTGTTAAAAATATGAATCATTAACCACACACTTATATGAAGAATATGAGTCATTAAGTACATTTCGTTTAACAAAATCATAGACCTGCAAGGATTTTAAATAATTCATTTGTCTCATCTTTCTAAAACAATTGAGTTATTAACAGTAGTTCTCCATTTAAGACTATGTAGACTATGTTTATAAAGATACCAGGTCACTATAAGCTAAATAAACAATTAACTTTTTAACTTCATTCATTCATTCTTTTAATCATTCTACAAACACTTAAAAAATTCCTACTATTGCTGAGCACTTCTTTCACAGAGCTTACGCTATTAGTGGAAGGAAGGAAATACCAACACACAAAGAAGTAAACAACTAAATAAATTTGGTAGCACTTCAAATATAAACTTCAAAGGCAAAGCAAAACAAATCATCCATAAACATAAGATCAGGTCATATAGAAATGAGCATTTGCTAAAATGTTGCTGAAATCAAATCCAACACTAAAAATTGCTTTTAATAAATGTTATTAGTTGTATTTCCTTTAAAACTAAATAAACAAACACAAGTCACAGATTTTTTTCTAGAATTGGACTCAGCTTAGTAGGAATCACCAGTGATTCTACTGCGTTGGTGATAAGCAGTGTGATGCGGGGGTTTGGTGCTCCAGCTGTAGAGATGGCTCTTGTCCTTCTGCCATTTTTTTTTTTTTTTTTTTTTAGCTGGGGAATGTCAGTAGGCTATTTAGCCCTCTAAGAACCTCATTCCCTCTTTCATAATAGGAAGATAAAACAAAACCCAGTTTCTGACAAAACAGGCTTTAAACCAACAAAGATTAAAAAAGACAAAGAAGGTCATTACATAATGGGAAAGGGTTCAATTCAACAAGAGAGCTAACTACCCTAAATATATATGCACCCAATACAGGGGCACCCAGATTCATAAAGCAAGTTCTTAGAGATTGTCAAAGAGACTCAGACTCCCACACAATAATAGTGGGAGACTTTAACACCCCACTGACAATATTAGTCAGATCATTGAGACAGAAAATTAACAAAGATATTCAGGACCTGAACTCGACTCTGAATCAAGCAGACCTGACAGGTATCTACAGAACTGTCCACCTCAAAACAACAGAATAATAGTAGTAATCATCCCAAATGGGCTTTTCTGAGACTTAAAATGAACTAATTTACTTTAAATTCATTAATTCATGTTAGGCTATTAGAACACTGCCTGGCACATTCTAAACATGTTAGCTACTTGCATTACACTTCATTAAGAGGACAGTGAAGATCCTTGCTTGTCCAGAATCACCATGAGATTTATCAACTATTTTGGCTTTCTTATGCCTTCAAAAGCTGTTATGAAACAGTGATTTCACCTTTAACAAACCTTCCTGGTTATATCCTGATACCATTTGCTTTGATATGACATAATCAGGGATTTAGACACAATCTTCTTAGGAGTCTCAATCAGTAACCAGCCCATCCACTTGGAGATTCCATGTAATGTGCACACAGTCACAGGAAGAACCAGGGATGACCACTAATAGCTACCTGGTGACTCAATAATCAGGACAGATGCCTCCTCCCCGCCTTCCTGGCAGTCTCTCCCTTTGGGTGGCTGCATGGGGTGAAGCCTGGGAACACCTCCAAGACAAGAGCATTTGGAGAGAGACTGTCTTATGCTCCAGTTTTCTGATGTGGACAGCCCTGAGTAGGTCAGAGACACACATTGTGGCTGAGGTTGCTGGACGCTGATGAGCTTAACACCAGGACCTCTCCTCTTTTACCGTTTATGTAATAAGAGCCTTGAAATCAACCTCTGTCCCCTCAACCAAGGATGTTCCCATCCATTTCCATCTACTTTTTACACAAGAAATAGAATAAAGACATACTATGTTTCCCATTGCCTCCCTTAAGACAATACAAGGCAGTGGCATCATCAATTAGTGTGCTGTCTGTGTAGCCCTACCATAAACTACATGTGTTGTCCACATCAGGAGGTTTAGGAAGCATAAAAGGTGCTTGCTGCTATTACTCTGGCTTCCAACAAAAGACCTGTTCTGGCTCTTGTCTAATTCTTAGTACTCTTCATAGTAGTGGAATGAGCTATCTGTTGGTGGATGACAGCCATTGGTCCTCTCATGTGAGTGGAGCATGGGAGACATGGTCTCTATCTGTCCTCTTCCCTTGGACCAAAGCGAGGCAGCGATCCTGAGGAAGTCTCTCTGCTCTGCAGGTTCAAACCTCCCTCCCAAGTACTGATCCTCAGGTTAGCCTGTGTATCAGAACGTGTTAGTAGATCCACTTGACCTGACATCACATATAAGCTACAAGCCCCAATAGCTCCTTATCAGTTAACAAAAGGAATATTTTGATCTCCATCTGTCTGTAACTGTGTCTCAATGGTTTCTAAACCAGGTACATAAAAAGGATGGTATTTATTGGTATCCTCAAATCCCAACACTAAGTTATTTATGAAAAATAATTTTAAAATATAAGAATTGCTCTAAAGTAGATGGGAACTAGTAATATATATATTTTGATACGGAGTCTCGCTCTGTCACCCAGGCTGGAGTGCAGTGGCACATCTCCGCTCACTGCAAGCTCCGCTTCCCGGGTTCACACTATTCTCCTGCCTCAGCCTCCAAGTAGCTGGGAATACAGGCGCCCGCCACCACGCCCAGCTAATTTTTTGTATTTTTTTTAGTAGAGACAGGGTTTCACCGTGTTAGCCAGGATGGTCTCAATCTCCTGACCTCGTGATCCACCCACCTTGGCCTCCCAAAGTGCTGGGATTACAGGCGTGAGCCACCGCGCCCGGCCATAGAATATTTTCAAAACATGGCTAACAAAATAGAATATTCACCAGAAACTATACTATGCACTATCTCTTTTGTTGTTTGTTTACCTCTATAAATTAACAAAGTCTGTAAGCCTAGCATAAATAAGACAGTAGACCTAGATTATCATTTTATATTATTAATAAATGTGAGCCACTTACACAAGCAATTGGTCTTAGAGCTTAAAGCACGATTCTTCAGCCACACAAATGCTGAAAAGATCTTTTCCTTAATTTTCTATTACATAACAATTTGTGTCTGAGAATCCTGAGGTGCACAGTGTGAAGAGGTGCTGGCTTCAGCAGTGCCCATCTCTTACAAATTACACATTCTATTACTCATATATAAGAAAGAAATGTTTAATTTTTTGAACTAATGCATAAAAAATGCAAATGGGAACTCATTTATATCTACGCTTAACATATAATGGAATAAAACTTTTTCATTTGGCTTACGTAGCATTTTGTACCTTATCAACCACCATTAAAATGCATTAAATGGCTTTAATAATGATGAGCAACTGACCTGCCCAGTGCTTCAGCATTCCTAATCATGTCTAATTTCTGTCTGAAAATGAAGTACAGCCTAATTATCAAACTACTAACTTTGGATCTTTTGAGTACTAAAAAAAAAAAAAAAAAAAGGTATAAGATCATTAATTAGCTTCAACTCTCAATCTCATAAATGTAAGTACTTCTTGGTAAAACTATCAGTGACATAATTCAGGCCTTTCCTCCATATGCATGCCTGAGATATGAACACTACCTAGGTTTGATAAATTAGGCATACCTTATGCCGCTTTCCCATCTGTTATCTCCATGATATGAATCTGTATGGTATGCCAATATACTGACTCTTAAAATATCAACCAAAATTTCAATCTTGGTGTTGAATTTAGTCCTTTAAAATGTATGTGCTACCTCCAAAGAACAAATAGCCTGATGACATCTACATGTGTCAAAGAGAAAGATAAGGTGATATGTTATCATCTAAAAACAATTTTAAATATAAATTATAACTAATAAATATTACAACTTACTACAATTTTAAGAGTGTAGACTACACCTCAATTTTGGAGGACATCCAACATATCTCTCTTTTTCTTGCAAACTCTGCTAACAGTTACGAGCACTTGGGGTTGGGGGCTCAGGAGAGGTCAAAGGCAGAGAGAGAAACAGGCAGGTCGAGGTCATGAAAGGAAGCCTCTGGACCATGTTTAGGAGTTTGGGCTTTATTTTATGGGCTTGCGTTTTGATGTGTGCCTTTCTCAGAGCAATAACAGATGTTTTGCCAAACAAAAAAAATTTCATTTAGGAATATCACATTTTTGGGGAAACAAAGAGATGCCTTTATTCTAGGACTCCTATAAGGCCTTACTATGCAAATAAGAGTTTTTCAGCAATAAAAATTTCGATTACACAGAATTTCTAATTATTTCTATTATGGAATGCTTTTCTTCCTTGTGAAGACAGGAAGAATCTTGCTCTGTTGCCCAGGCTGGAGTGCGCTGGCACCATCTCTCTGTAGCCTCAAACTCTTGGGCTCAAGTAGTCCTCCTGCCTCAGCCTGCCAAGTAGCTACGATTACATGTATACACCACCACATCTGGCTAATCTTTTTATTTTACTTTTTGTAGAGACAGGGGACAGGGTCCCAATATGTTGCCCAGGCTGTTCTCAAACTCCTGGCCTCAGTTTCCCAAATCATTGGGATTATAGGTGTGAGCCACTGCACCTGGTCCTGGAATGCCTTTTTTGTTTGTTTGTTTGTTTTTTATTTTTGAGATAGGGTCTCACTCTGTTGCCCAGGCTGGAGTATAGTGGCATGATTTCAGTTTACTGCAGCCTCAACCTGCCAGTCTCAAGCAATTCTCCCACCTCAGCCTCCTAAGTAGCTGGGACTACAGGTGAGAGCCATCATGCCCAGCTAATTTTTGTAGAGATGGTTTCGCCATGTTGCCTAGGCTGGTCTCGAACTCCTGGGCTCCAAGCAATCCACCTGTCTCGGCCTCCCAAAATGCTGGGATTACAGGCATGAGCCACCGTGCCTGGCCTGGAATTACTTATTAAGAGGAGATTTCTTTATAGAACTTGGAATTACTGAATGCACTTTGGGTGTGTTTAGGCAAATGTCAACCACTGGAAGATTTTAATTTTAAGAGTGACACAATTTGATTCACCTTTATGTCGATTACTCTGAAGGCTGTGTGAAAAAGAGGCTCTCAGGTGATCATAGAGCCTGCCAAGACACAATGAATTAAAGCCAGAACAAGGCAATAGTTAGGATAAGAGGACCATAAAGACGAGGATATACTAAGGTAAAAATTTGGCAGGACTTGATAATGGTTTATAGGGGGAGTAAATCAAAGACTCTTTCCAGGTTTGAAATTTAGGTGCCTGGGTGGATATGGGTGCCAACAATCAAGATAGAGAATGACAGGGGAGGAACATCATAAACAAATACATAAACAAATGTAAGTTATGGTTTGTAGATTTTCATATTCATTATTTTATCTAACACTCATAACTACTCTCAGACACCAGCAGTATATACATTTTTCCTATTTTGATGAGAAAAAATGGGATTAGAATTGTAAATTACTTAGTTAAGGTAAGCTAATATCACATGCATAATCAGGTGAGGATCATCTCTTAGTAAAAAGGGAATTTTTCTATATTCAAGTTCTTAGGAAGTGACTTATGGTCCAGGACCCTTTCTTTTGAAGAAGCTGCATTATCTTGAAATGCCCTAAGCTAATTCTAGTTGAGATGCTCTGGAGCTCAGTTAAATGAGTTGATAGAAAGTGGGGCAAAGAAATGTGACCTGGATTTAGGATTACTCGCTAGGGTTATGCCCTTATACCTGCCACCGTTGGAAGTTACTATTCACAAGGTTTTTAAATATTGTCTTTAAAAGCCACAAACTACATTGTTAATTTTTAGAGATCATGAAATATTCACAACACAGATGTAAAAACAAAGCTTTCTAATATATTTATATTTAAGATAAAATTTATGCACAGAAACAACAGCTGCTGTATTAAAAATAAACTTAATATGAATGTAGAAATGATGGTCCTGGAAAACCACGTCAGATGGCCCCAAAATGGCTCTAAATGTCGCAAATGCATGTGTAGAATTTGAGTAACACTTTTTCAGGAGACGGGAGAAAGAGCAATTTCACTAACATACCATATAATTGCATATGTGATTGAAGTATGTATGGGTAATTAAAGTCATAAATTAAGTGTTGTAAGTAAGCCACAGAATTTCATCTACATCCCTAAGACTTTGTACATTTAGACTGGTGACAAATATTAGAAAAATTGAGAAAACAGGAAAATCATCTGTGATGCTGAGTTACCTTGTATTCAGACTTACTGGACATTTGGTTCCATCTCCTTCTTAACTACCTCCACTGCCTCCATCAGCCTAAGCAATGCCAGGCCACATTCTATCCAAGGTAAAACTGGGATGCCAATGCTGATCCCAGAAGCAAGGGAGGCAGTAAAACAACCTGGATATTTAGAAACAGCATAAACTGTCTTGACTTCATGAATCTTATTATGAAGATTTCAAAGTTTGCCTCTCCAATGGAAAAAACAAATTTCCAGAAAATAGGAATCTACGCATCATGAAAATGCTGATGTGGCTTCAGGTATTTATGGGGAAACAGCATAATGATGTGAAAAGAACCCTCAGCTTGAAGACAACTGTGTGGTCTTCTACAAGTGACTCATCCCTGCTGAAAAATAATTCTCTATGAATCTCTCACATTTCTGTGCATCTTGACAGTGAAGTGCTGACTGCCCTGTGTTCTGGATAAAGTTTTTGAAGGTGTTTGGAAAGCAAACAGCCTGAGAAGATAGAGGCAGTATCACCCTCTAGAGAAAAGGGATAGCTTGCTTACTCTCTAGTGTAATAAAGATAAATCACCCTCCAGGAGAAAGGGCCGACTTGCCTTCTACCCATTGGAAAAGGTCCTGGGTCCTAAGTGCAGGGCTCTCCTCCTGCCATGCAGCTCTGCCTGTACATGTATCAGGGAGCCTTCTTTATGTCCCCTGTGGGAAATGGGGCTTAAGGATTGGATATACAGATGCTGATACATTGGTTATTGTCATTCCGTGTATAAGAAACTGTCGGCCTGGCGCGGTGGCTCACGTCTGTAATCCCAGCACTTTGGAAGGCCGAGGCAGGTTGATCACCTGAGGTCAGGAGTTCAAGACCAGCCTGGCCAACATGGTGAAACCCTTTGCTACTAAAAATACAAGAATTAGCCGGGCACAGTGGCACATGCCTGTAGTCCCAGCTACTCAGGAGGCTGAGGCAGGAGAATCACTTGAACCTGGGAACCAGAGGTTGCAGTGAGCCGAGATCGCGCCACTGCACTCCAGCCTGCATGACAGAGACTCCGTCTCAAAAAAGAAAAAAGAAAGAAAGAAAAAAGAAACTGTCTTTCACCTCTTATCCAGGAGTCTTGCATTTTCTACCAGCATTCATGAAACCGTGACAAGCTAACTAGTTAGTTTGCAAATAGCCTAAAATCTCAGACCCTTCCCAGTTCTTGAAAAATCTCTATATTCTCCAGTTTACTCACCTAAAAAAAGAAGGTAGGCTAAAAGATCTTTAGTGCCCTTTCCAGCTTGATGATTACATATAATTTGTATTAGAAATAACAAAAACCATGGCAAGAATGGTGCTTATATTTTGTTTTTATTGTTTAATCACAACGTTGTTTTTCTAAAAGAATTTCACTTCTCTAAAGCTTTGAGATATTCATGGTGTCTCCTTCCTAAAACAAAAATAACCTGTATGCTTTCCATTTTCAAAACACAATCTCTTCTATTCAGTTAAAGATCCACTCTTAAACATCTCAGATTGAGCTATAATCAACCCTTCTCCTCACAAATCCCTTATGCACACTCGCTTCTTTTAAGGAGCCATTAAAATGTAGCTTTAGTTTTGAAATTTCTCCCAGCATCTGAAATGTTCATTAACATCATGCCTGTGAAATCTTAAATCAATTTATCTATTTTATATTATAAATTTTGTCTTTGTGTCTGTTTCAATCCCAATAATATTAGTCACAAAAAAGTTATTCTCCATATGGGATAAGAAAAATTAGTTACTCACATTTGACAAAAAATTCTCTATAAGGGTAGGAAATTTATTTATTTATTAGTAAGTATTTATGGAGTTCCTACTATGTGCCAGGAACTGCAATAGACATTATCACATAAAAATTAATGACACATTATCAATTACTGCCTTCCTAAAATGCCCAGTGAAATAGGCGAGGCTATAATCTAGTGCTATATCTCATAGTTTTAATTTCCTTAAAAAACAGATAATATACCATTCATACATTAACAAATATTTGTGACTAATAGCTTAATGAATGAATAGATGAATAATGAATGAATAAATACAAGTATGCAAAGTGAGGAGAATCAAGGCTATGGATCAAATTTCAGTGTTGGCAGCCTGGGGATTTCTGAAATCATTTCACATCAGTAATGTTAATAAAAACTCATTTCTTTGCAGAAATAGAATTTAAGTTCTAATTGCATTAAAATCCCTGGGCTAACATTTCTTACTAAGAATGTACATAGGAACTATTAAACTACACTTAAACTAACCCTGTCTTAGAGTTGGCTTATTTTTTTATTTTTTTGTAAAACAGGCCAAGGTTCACCTGGGTATATGTACCACTGCATGACTAACCCTTGTCACAGATCTCTATAGCACAGTCTTCTACACTGATGGCACAGGCCTACTAGGCACTGGGTGGCACACTGAGGCTTTGTAGTTTTTTAACTTAAAGACACAGCCTACACAACATCTGGGAGTGCAGACTGTTGGTTTGATTTTATTACTGATCAAGTAACAAGAAGGCAGATGGACTCTTGTTCTTCCTATTAGTACAGACCCCTGAAGTCATCAGTCTGCCTGAATGTCCTGAGAATTTATATCATTAATTCATTCACTCCAAAATACTAATGTGGTACCTAATATTTCTTCCAATCACTGCCTAGGTAAGAAAGTAGTGGGTGTTCCACAAAGATGAATGGTCTCTCTGTGGACCTGGAGAATTTGCCGAGAAGACGGGAGACACGCATGCTCACCTGTAATTATAACATGATGTACAGTGTCCTCATGGTGGTTAGCAGTTCAGTTAAGGTTCAAACAATGTGAGATAAAGTAATTTCAAGAGATAAAAAGCAACCTTTTCTATCTGACTCTCCAAGATGTAGATCAAATGCCAGTTATCTTTAATGTTGCGGGGAGAAGGCTATTTTAGAAGACGATGCTCAGCTTCTTTTCCCTCAAAGAATCCTCCAGAGCCTCTGACTGGCTCATGCATTGCAGAGCCTTCTTGTCTGTGCATGTTTTTATTTGATTCATTGGCTCCATAACTCCCAAGGAGGCAAAGAAAATGTTGCTTCTTCTTTCAAAGCACTTCAAGTCTAATATTGGAATCAGCATGAGTGAATAAAATGGTCCATGTGCTAAGAGAGAAAGGTGTGTCAGATGCAGAAGAGAGTTGTCACTTCTCTCAGGAGCTTCAGCAAGGAGATCTTGATCAGAGTGCTGAGGGATGAGAGGTCACAGGCGAGGAGGGCTAAGCCTGAGCTGAAGCTCAGCAATGGGAAGGAGTCAGGTCGACAGAAGTGTCTCAGCACCTCTGTCCTCTTCCTTGCCTGATTTCCCTAAACATCCCTTCCTGCTCTCCTAAGTCTAATTTGGGCTAATAACATAACTATCTCTTCCTAATATGTCCTCTCTCCAATTTGTAGCTGATCCTTTAGTTTCAACCCATTTCCCTGCCTGGTTAGTGTTGCCAGTTCATACTTGGTGTTTGACCAGCCCACGAGCTTCATCCATAGTGTTCATCCATACACATGGGGACCCTGACCAGGAGGAACACCTCTGTCTCCATCCTGGAACATAACTTCTGTAAACCTGCTTCTTCTTCCACAGTTGCCCAGGATGCCTGCATAGCATCTCAAAATCAATCTGTCATTACTTTTTGGTGATGCTACCTCCTCTTACAATCATAAATTCCAGAAAACTGAAAGGTAATTTTCATTATGTTCAGTCCAATAGAAATTAACATTTAATGGACATTTGATAAACCACAAAAACTGGTCAATTTCATATTATGATGCTATTTGGTTGTTATAACATCTTTTCAATGTAGGAACTGATTTATATTTCATAAACAAAATACCTGAGGTGTAGTGAAGTTATAATTTGTCCAATTTGCACAAACTACAAGATGCTTTAAAGACAAATAACCACAAATATACATATGTATTCTTATTATATATGATATATGTTGTGTATTTAAATGTTTATATATTTATATGTATATTTATTTTATATATTATAATATAAACAGTCAGGCCTCCGTATCTACAGGTTCCACATCTGTGAATTCAACCAAATGAAGATCAAAAATATTCCGAGGAAAAGTAAGAGTAAACAATTATAATACAACAATAAAAATAATACAAATACAAATATATGTAACAACTTTTCATAGCATTTATATTGTGTTAGGTATTATAAATAACCTAGAGATGATTAAACAGTATGTGAGAGAATGTGAGGAGGCTATTTACAAATACTCTCCCATTTTATACAAGAAACTTAGCACCCTCGGATTTTGATATCTGTAGACATCCTGGAATCAATCCCCAGGGAACAGAGGGATGACTATATTATCTATTCTAACATTTACATAACTTTTTATAGTATATATGTTAATATATATTATATATTTATACATTTATTATATATACTATTTACATTTTAATTTTATATCTGTTTTTATATACTTCTGTCTGATTGCTCTGCTTGATCACTGTCAGTGGTGAAAAGCTCATTACTCGGCTGGGCACGGTGGCTCATGCCTGTAATCCCAGCACTTTGGGAGGCCGAAGTGGGTGGATCACTTGAGGTCAGGAGTTCGAGACCAGCCTGTCCAACATGGTGAAACCCTATATCTATTAAAAATATAAAAATTAGCCGGGCATGGTGGCAGTGCCTGTAATCACAGCTACTCTGGAAGCTGAGGCATGAGAATCGCTTGAACCCGGGAGGCAGAGGTTGCTGTGAGCCAAGATTGCGCCACTGCCCTCCATCCTAGGCAACAGAGTGAGACTCTGTCTCAAATAAATAAATAAATAAAAATTAAAAAGCTCATTACTCTCTAAGGCAATATATTTTAATTTTTTGATGATTAAAATATACATAACATAAAATTTAACACTTTAACCATTTATTAGTGTACATTTCAGTGCCATTAAGTACATTCACATTGTTCTGCAGCCATCACCACCGTTGGTCCCCAGAACTTTTCATCATCGTCCCACGCTGTAACTCTATCCATTAACAATAACTTCCCATTCACCCCTGTCCCCAGCCCCCAGTAACCACCACTCTTTTTGTCTCTACCAATTTGATTACTCTAGGTACCTCATATAACTCGAATCATATGCTGTTTGACTTTTTGTGTCTGGCTTATTTCATTTAGTATAATGTTTTCAAGGTTCATGCATGTTGTTGCATGTATTGAAATTACATTCCTTTTTAAGGGTGGATAATATTCCATTGTTAGGTGTGTACCACATTTTGTTGATCCATTTGTCTTTCAATGGACTTTTGGATGATTTCCACCTTTTGGCTATTGTGAATAATGCTGCTATGCACTTGGTTGTGAAAATATCTGTTTGAGTCCCAACTCTTTTGCATATATAACCTGTAAATGGAATTGTCAGATCATACTGTAATTCTGTCAAATGTTTTGAAGAACTGCCATACAGCTTTTCACAGTGGCTGCACCATTTTACATTCCCATCAGCTATGCACAAGAGTTTCATAAGGCAACATATCTTGGATCACATGAAATTAAACGTAAACAGTAATTTGTCAAGACAAGTGGACCCCTTGCTAGAACACAAATCCAAACCTGAAAGGAGTAAGAAAGTTGTAGATGTGTCTCTTCAGGTCCTGGGAGGAGCAGGAGGAAGAGATGAAACAAGGCTTCACCTGGAGAAGGTCTGATATATCTACCTTCACTCTTTGAGACTGGGAAGAATTCAAACTTTGTCTTCTGGTTGGCACAAGCCTGAGAGGCTACTTTCCCTTCAACTCATCCTAACAAGGATTTCACGGACTTTAATAGCCTAGCTACTGAGCCTGGCCTGCTTATTCTTTCCAGATGGACCCCGACTAGTGTTCTGTGTGTGCTGGGACCCAGGCCTGTACCACGTGCATATGCTTTACTGTCTGTACCCACAGCAAATTTCAACCTCTGCTTCTCCAATTACACTTTTCCTAAAGTTTTATATTTTCTTCAACTTTACCTAAACCTTCTATTTAAAGCCAGTTTTATTCACTAAATGTATACAAATTACTAATAGTTGAACAAATCACAATCTGTCATCTCTAACACCTATATCTAGTTCTAACCTTTACCTGTATAGTTAGGTTTTTGCTTCAACCCAGGCTTAAACTTTCCTGAATCAATTCCCGCCTCTAATTTCAGCATGCCAGACTCCCAGTCCCTCTAAAACAAGGCAGCTTGCTCTAATCCTCCCTAGAGGGATTAAATATTAAAGAATCCCCTTGCTGCACTTCCACATGAAAACACCTGGACCCTCCAAGCAACTGTGCCACAAATTTCGTTGCACAATTAAGTATGGCAGAAGATGCATGATGATGTGCAATAGTCCCAAGAACTAATGAGGCTCATGAAATACTCAGGCTTTTCCTTTGTCCATATGGAGTTATTTTTAAATGATAACTATTAATACTAGGATTGCATATTCCAAGTCAGGGTATGTTTGTGTAATGACCTGCTCAAGGGTTACACAGCCACTTAAGCAGAAGGGACCATCATTTCTGCTAACCTAAAGTGAAAATCTGAAAACACAGAGGAATTTTCTGAAAGTCAGGCACGAGCAAGACATTACTTGCCTTTGTTGAGTAGGACAGGCAGGCTTTGGCTCGTATTTCTTAGTTCAATATTTTGGATGAGAAATGTGTAAATGATATTATTTTTCTTATATTTAAAAATAGTCATCACGTGAGATTCCTTCCAAACTAGTATCTCCAATGGTTTCAACAGTTTCTTATACAACATAGTTTTCACTCATCTCAGGTGAGGACATTCTTGTTTATTAGGGTTCATCTTAAAATTCACAGCCCAGAGTAAGCCAAATTACTCCAGATGAGAACTGCTCAGTGGAGAGCTTCTGCTAATAGCAGCTAGATAGTCCCATTGAGCAGCCTAAGATTTGTGTTAGATACTTTAGAAGCCAGAAAACACAACTGGGTCTCATAAAAACTGTGAGCAACTGAAACCTCTGCCTGTTTTTACCTTAATGTTGTTACACATGTATTTTGCTATTCCATGCTTTGGAGGTTGATTTCTAACAAAGTATATCATCTTGTCTGTCTTTTCCATCATGCAAGCCAACAGACTTTTCTTTTCAAATTTGTTAACGTTTTTAAATTTATCTACAATGCCTAAAAAATTATGTCATCTACAAATATAAACATGCTTCCTGGATTAGTATTCCTTCAAAACAGACCAAATAGTTTAAGTCGAATAATTTATTCTTAGTGAACTCATGAGGCTTTCTAGTGATCACTATATTCTTTTCCAAGTATTTCTTATGTCCTCTATTTATTAGTCCTTTGCTGGAGACTAATACACATAATAATTGATAGCTGCTTAAATTCACCTTTTCCTAAATGTTGGAAATTAGGATCAAGGCTGCAGATGGATGGCAGCCTAGCATATTTATGAACAATAAAATACTGATAATAAATAAAACAATAAAAAAACAATAAAAAATACCGACAGTTAGTCTAAAATAATATCTTCAAGTTCATTTAAGGCCTGACAATTCTTCTGAGACTTGATTTATTTAAATGCTATGTGTTTTCTCACTCTCTGATCCCCTATCTGATTAATGAAGAATCTCTTCCTTGAACTGAAAGTGTATTCTTTGGCTAGGATAGAATGGAAGAAATGAAGAATGAGTAGCTCTTGCTTTCCCGTTGTCATTTTGCAACCTCATACTTATCTACTCCAGAATGAGCCTATCATATCTTCCTTGTTAGTTTTGCTCTAACTAGCTTTGCAAAAATACTTCTTAAATTTTTTAACATTTTTTCAAAAAATCATCCCATCCTACACTTTGTCTGGCATTATTCTTACATGTTTATTCATATTTTTTAATCCTTGTTTAGTTATGCATTTTCCTTTGATATTTTATGTGTTTTCCTTTCAAAAGTTGGATTTATTAAAAACCTACTAATATTTCCATGGAAATGTCTACTTTTTGATCTTCCTTAAGGTAATTTGTAATTGTATAGTCAAGATACGCCTTTGAAACTCTTCTATCAATTCTTAGATAATCTCTTTAGAATCTTTGAACATGGAAATAAATCTTCTTATTTTAAGATATTCTGATATCTTTTTCTTTAAAGGCAAGACTCATATCTGGAGATGCCCAACAACTCCTTTTTCTCTCTACTGCAACTTTTATGTTGATAGCATGATGAGCTCCCAAGGTTCCCACAACCACCAATACATTGTTCTCTTTGGATAGAATAAATTCAAGCAAAGCTCCTATCTTCATTCATAGAAGTGTAATTTTAAGTTATGCAGCACATAGATAAGCCAAGGACTCTCTGCTTTTAGTAAACTGAACTTACAGTAGATGCCTTCACATTAAAATCCTGTTACTACTACACCCTCCAGAACCAACTTACAGTTTGTATGGGAAAGCATCACTTGTAACTATCTGTCCACAGGAAGATCTTTGTGTTGGCTCTTCAGACATGTATGCCACCAAACCTTTATTCACTATTCTAAATGTCCTCAGTTCTCCTGTTTAAAATGTCGCTTGTCATTAGGATTTTCAGATTGGCCATAATAAATGAAAGGTAAAGTGGGGATGTTATGTCATTCATTTGCTCCTCGAGTAGGCTACTTAGCAGTTAATGTACCCATTCCAAGTACCTTGTGATAGTCACTAAATTATTGTACCCTGTCTTTTCCATAAATCTCAGAAAATTCAATCTAACTCTTATAGTTTGCAGTAACCCTGATGGTTCTGTGGTGAATTACTAATGTAGAATAACTGGACTCAGGTCAACCTTTCTAGTGGCACCTAGAACACAACTCCCATGATGTCTGAAAGTAAAGGCTTTGGTAGACTCAGTAATATCCATGTTGTGCCACTTCCAGACCTTCAAAATATAGGAGGGCCAGTCAGCCCCTTCACACTGGGCTCATTTCTTCTGCATGTATATGATCTCAAAGCTCTTAAAATATACATGTGATAAATTATTTCCAAGATCATTTTAATGCAAAAAATAGGATTTGCTAGTTTAATAGCTGCATAAGGTCTACAAATCATTGAAATCTTATAATTTATTGGCTAATATGGTACAGTTCACAATTCCAAATTTCCTGGATTTTTAAAAATTTTTCTTTTACTTATAATTGGCATCATAAGTGTACATATTTATAGGTTACAGTGTGATGTTTCAATACATGAATACACAGTAAAATGTTCAAATAGGGGTAATTGACACATCGATCACTTTAAACATTTATCATTTCTTTGTGGCAATAGCATTCAAAATCCTCTTTTTCAGCTATCTTGAAATATATGTTACTTTAGTTACATTGACCCTACTGGGTAATAGAACACCTGAACATATTCTTCCTGGCTAACCATAACGTTTCACGTGTTTACTAACCTCTCCCCACCTTCCTCTCCACTCTCTCCTCCCCTGCCTCTGGTAACAACTATTCTACTGTCTACTTCTATGTGATCAACTTCTTTATACTCCACACAAGAGTGAGGTTATATGATGTTTGTCTTTCTGTGCCTGGCTTGCTTCACTTACATAATGTTCTCTAGTTTCATCTATGTTGCCGCAAATGACAGGATTTCATTCTGTTTCATGGCTGAATGGTATTCCATTGTGTATGTATGCAGGAAAACATACACACATACACACACACACATACTGTTTTATTTTTCTTCAACACAGTAATGGAAGTTCTAGCTGAAAAATTAGGCAAAAGAAGTAAAGTATAGGATATCCCCATTTGGAAAGAAAGAAGTCAAGCTGTCCCTGTTTGCAGATGACCTGATTATATATAGTCTGGTATATATATTCCAGGTATACATATGTATATATGTGTATATATACATATATGTGTATATATATGTGTGTATATACATATATGTGTATATATGTGTGTATATACATATATGTGTATATATGTGTATATATACATATATGTGTATATATGTGTGTATATATACATATATGTGTATATATGTGTATATATGTGTGTATATATACATATATGTGTATATATGTGTATATATACATATGTGTGTATATATACATATATGTGTATATATGTGTATATATACATATATGTGTATATGTGTGTATATATACATATATGTGTATATATACATATATGTGTATATGTGTGTATATATACATATATGTGTATATATGTGTGTATATATACATATATATGTGTGTATATGTGCGTGTATATGTGTGTGTGTGTGTGTATATATATACCCACATGTACATATTTTGGTGGCTGTGTCACCATGGCCACCACCAAAAAACCGTTTTAATTAATAAATAAATGTGGTAAAGTTCCAGGATACAAAGTCAACAAACAATAACCAGTAGAGTTTCTATACACCAATAGCAAAATATCTGAAAATGAAATCAAGAAAGCAATCCCATTTCCAATAGCTACCAAAAAATAAAATAAAACAACTAGGAATAAACTTAATCGAAGACGTAAAAGATCTCTACAATGAATACCATAAAACACTGATGAAAGAAAATGAGAAAGACACAAATAAATAAAAATATATTGGATTGTACTGGAAAAATTAATATTGTTAAAATTTCCAAGCTACTCAAAGTTATCTAACAATTTAATGCAATCCCTATCAAAATACCCATGACATTCTTCACAGACACAGAAAGAAAAAAATTTAAAATTCATATGGAACTACAAAAGACTCTAAATTTCTTAGTTTTATCAGTGGCTTACTAGTGTGTAGCAAACTGGAGTACTGACAGCAGTCAATATCCATAGGCAACTGGGTTGCAGGATAAAAAACATAGCAATTAGAAGTATAAAGTACTTGCTAAATCACAGTTCACCCTTCCCACTGCCAACTCATAAAGAAAAGCAATAGGGTATGCTTTTCTACATACACTGTTGTAGTATGCTTTTCTACATACACTATTGTAGTGAGGAGAGAAAATATAATGTACCATTTTCTATTGAATACCTACGTAAAAATATTAAGCTATCTAGCTAAATAAGGGTAATCTAGTGTTCACATTTTAAAATGCTTTTAATCACTCTCCTCCCTGTATATAGAGCTTTGAAATATCACAAACATGAATATTGTTGTGATAACAATAATTCAAAACATAGACATCTGGAAATGTAGTATGCACTATGCACTTATGTATAATATATGTACATAATTACATAATGCACTTATGTACATTATATTTCCCATTTACATCAACTATTCTAAATAGAAGTCATAGAGGTTGGGCTACCTGACATTTAATGTTCTTTTAAACTTATTTTAAAGAAGTGATTTCTTTATTTGTGTTTCAGATGAGTCCATCAAAGTCCAGCTCCAGCACTGTGTTGCCCCAGAAGCCACAATAACCCTCCACCCCCCAGCCTGGCTGTCAAAGGGATTTCTGAATCTCAACAACCAATCCAAACTTTCATGTCAAGATGAAATGCCTTTTCCAGTTTGCTTTCTTGTCTTCTATTTGCATAATTCTCTAATGTTAATAACATTAACTTTTAAAATGTTAAGTTTCACTTGGATACTAATTATACATTGACCATATAACAACCTTATTCATCCATAAAGAATCAAAATGTGATCTCTATACTACAGCAATTTTATACTCACTTTCAAATTCAAAAGTTTCTATAAACAGAACACTAAGTATACTTTTTTTTTAAGAGATAGAGACTTGATCTGTCATGCATCCTGGAGTGCAGTGGCGCAATCAGAGCTTACTGTAGCCTCAAACTCCTGGACTCAAGAAATTCTCCCACCTTAGGCTCCTGAGTAGCTGGGACTACAGGCATGTGTCACCATGCCCAGTTAATTAAAAAATTTTTTTGAAGGCATGGGATCTTGCTGTGTTGCCCAGGCTGGTCTCAAACTCCTGGCCTAGAGGAATCCTCCTGCCTTAGCCTCCCAAAGTGCTGAGATTCCAGGTGTGTGCCACTGTGTCCAGCAAAGAATACATTTTTAAACACTTGTTTAAATGTTTGTTAAATAAGATGTTCAACTGACTATAGAATAGTAAAATTTATAGTAGTTTTATGTATATAAATGAGAGAATAATGTTGAAATAAAAATAATTTGTCACCTGAGTAGATAGGATACATTTGTAAAAATAATAATGACAACTCAGATAAGGCTGACTCTATGCCAGGCAGAATTCTAGGCCATTACAAATATTAACTCGATTAATCCTCACAACAACCCTATATAATAGGCACTATTATTACCCCCATTTTGCATAACAGGTAGGGCAAAGCCAGTTTAGGTAAATTGCCCAGGGTAGCCCAGGAGCTATGTCACAAAACCAGGATTTGAACATGGTCAGTCAGACTCTGGAGTATGTACTCTTATGCAGGCTCCAAAGTGATTTCTGAAGGATTAATAAATAATAATATTTGGTTTTAGTCTGCAATAATAATAATGATGAAAAAGGAAAGATGATATGTAATAGCTAGAAATCCAAAATAATATCCCATACTTGTATTTTCCACTCTCTGAGTTCTCATCAGACATGCTTCCTGTAAGTATGATATTCCCAGTTCCTCCCCCAAATGTCTATTGTTGGCACATTGATAGTTATATTAAAGTGTGCTTTGCTCCATTCTTCTAATATCTACCATGACTCCCACTTGATTTTAAGAAAGTGAATCTTAACCTCTCAAGAGTAATTATTTCTGTGACTGACAGCCTGACCCAACTTTGGACATTATTAATACATTCTTTTCAAAGAACATTACAAAGAGTGTGGGCAGCTGTGCCACACTGGCTGGGGCTGCTGTGATAACCCTTCTTCCAGTCAGCACTTCAATAAAAGAGAAGCCCTGTAATTCAGTGTCACAAGATGAGAAACATCAAGAGCCCTAAGAGTTCCTTTGTGCAGGAGTCTCAGGCTTCCACACTGGAAAGGCAACCTGATGCCCAGCAGTATGTAACTGGGTGACACTCAAAGGGCATTAATGGATTCAGGAATCAAGAGACTAGACACTTTTGTTACAGAGGAAAAGCTTGATTTAAAAGGTTTCTATTGCATTGGTCTTTGTACATATAATCTGTATTCAAAAGGATACCCAAGCCTGTTCCAGGCTTCACTGTGACTATATAGACATTTCCATCAGGACTCTGCACAGCTCTGAGTGCCAATAAAATAATATACTTCCAAATTTCCAAAGCAACCAAACAAAAAGAAAGATTTTCTTTTCTTCTTTTCCTTTTATTTTATTTTCTATCTCTTTTTTTTTTTTTTTGGTTCAGTGGTTGAGGGGTGCAATTCTTAAGTTTTAAAATTTGAGCCAAAGTTATAGAGGGAATAAGACACCTCTTTTATATCTCCCTTTTGCACAAATATTGGAAACATTTTTTTCTATTGAGAAAGGAATTGTCAGAGATATTAATGCCTTTCCAATCATGATAGAATGGATTGAAATTTACACTGGGAGATAGAAGATCTGGATTAGAGTTTTGTCTTTGTCACTTAATATTTATTCCTGAATAATTTATAGTTTATTAGCTTTCAAAAAGCATTTGTGGGGTGGCTTGCAATAAAAATTTACATACAAAAGCACAGAGAAAAGTTAAATGGGAAACAAGAAACAGCATAGAGTAAAAAGGGAGAAAATTTCCTTAGCCTTTGTCATCTAACTCCGCAGGTCCTGGACACAAAGTGAAAAAGAGAAACACAATGAACCTCATGGGTCTCATGTTGTCAAAAGAAAGCCTGCCAATTATTCACAAGAGATGTAGTTTCTGCTTGTTTTGTTTTTTTTTCTGGCATTAAATTGCAAAAGAATTTTTTTCCTGTGGATCTTCATACAAAAAGACATCAGGTTTGACTCTTCATCCTGAAAAAATGCAGCAGCTCTGAATAAAGGTTAAAGGCATTTTATTGAATCATATTTGAACAAAGGTAATTTCTTTGGAGAGTTAATCCACTGTAGTTCAAGTAAATTGCTTTTGATGCTCTAACTTGACAGAAAGAGTCACCAAGTAGCAATGTGACCTCTCTTGCCTCTCAGTCAGTAAAATAGGGGATTTTGATTACATGCACTTCAAGGTTGCTTCTAACTCACAAGGTGTATTATTTCTAGAATGAATTTCATCTAGACTAACTGTTATCGTTAACATGTCATCCAAGCTCAGATGCCAACAGTATGGGAACTCATATCACCTTCTTGATTTTTTATAAAATTAACATCATAAATGTCTTTTGAACCAAATCACATGCTTTAAGTAAGAGAAAGGGTCTATCACAGTACCTGAAAACAATGCCTGTTGAACTCATAATTACATACACAAATAGATCAAATTCCCCATTGTCACTTGTGTAACTTGTCTTTGAAAGCTCAAATTAATGGCTAGAAAGTGAGCTGTCCCATGAATTCTAAAATAAACAGCACAAAACACTTGCTGTAGCTGAGTGTTTCCAAGGGTAATCTAATAACACTGAAGCATGTAGTTAAAATTTCTGGAAAAATAAAAATGTAAGTACTTTAATGGGCAGCACATAAAATACAACTATTAATCGGTGTTGTTTTGTAGCAGCTGTATCTCATGTCTGTTTTGAAGAATGAATGAAGATGACAAGACGCTTTCCTTGACCAAACTTTCATTAGGCTCCCCTAAGCCCTCTTCCTGACAATGCCTCAACCTTGCCTCCGAGCAAACCACCATCTGTGGGAAGCCTGCGTAGCCAAGTTTCAGCAAGAATGCTCCTAAGTTTACAGGGAATCCTCCCATCCTTAATATCTGATCACCCTAGCCTGCCCTCAGCAGGAATCCTATTATGTCAGTTTAGCAAGATTCCCCCTACCCTTGATGTCCTGGCTTCTGAATTTTCCATCCACTATCACATCCAAACCTGCTTTTTGGCCATTACTGCAGCTCAGAGCATCATACTCCAAAGTACAGTGCTTTGGCAGGCTGAGGACTTTGAACTTCTGAAAGGGATTGGCAGGGCCTCAAAAGCAGGAAGTTCTCTCTGACCTTCTTCTGCCCTCCTTTCTCCTTCTCCTATTTCACCCACAAAGCAGGCCATAAAAACTAGAATTCCTTTTCCCCAAAGCAGGTAATAGAAACTAGAACTCCTCTCCCCCAAAGCAAGCCATAAAACCTAGAAATGTCACTCTCTGAACTCCTTTCTCCCTTGAAGACCCTCATTTGATAGGTGACCTGCCCCATACCCAGGAGGAAAAAATTATAAAAAGAGAGGCCAAGAAGAATTGGAATAAATAGTCCTGGCTGCCTTCCCCTGCCTTAGGTTTATATCATTACATCATATGCTTTTTGTCCAATTATATTTCTACATGACTATTCTTCATCAAACCTAAACATAAAAAATACATTAAAAAACATAAAAATACAGTTTTCCTGCAGGCTTCTATGTAACATAAAACTTTGTTAAATAAATTTGTTATACTCTTTTCTTATTAATCTGTCTTTTCCCATATCAGTGTCAGCTAGACCCTTGTGATGGGTGAGGAAAAGGTATTAAACCTATTTGTCCTAATGATATAAATCCCTACTTGTCCTTGCATGTATTTGCAGTTGAGACCCATTTCTCTCCTCAATTCTGATAGTTTTGACACCTATCACAATAGTCCTGAATAAAGTCTTCCTTACCATTTCAGCAAATGTTAGATTTTTTTTCTTTAACAATCAGCCCACCGTTCTTACATTATAAAATCCTTTCTTTAGAAAAATATGCACATTACTTTTTAACTTGGGGTACAGAGCATGTAAATAAACACATGGTGATTTCTGACGCCTCTTAGGAATTATTACCATTTTCAAGAGGAAATCAGAATTAAATTTAAAGGAATCTACAAGTTTTTAAAGAAAAAGATGAATCTCATTTTGCAAATTGCTATTTACAGGATAGTTTAGACAAAACTAAATAGAACCCTTGCCTTTTTAATTTAAATTTAAGGTGTCTCCATATTTCTATGTTCAATTTAACTTACAAGAACCAAAAATTCCACAGGAAATAGTCAGTGTAGAAGCTGAACTTTTATCCCCGGACGTTCAAAAGGAATAAGCCCAGTGTACACCCCACTTCCACTTTTGTTCCACTCTGGTTCAATCTCCAAGCAGCAGTCAGACTGAGCTTCTTAAAATATAAATTAGACCTTGCCCTCTCCTGCAAAGACACTTGAATAGCTTCCTATCTGGCTAAGGAAAGAAACTCTAAACGCCTTACTATGGCCTAGTAGGCCCTGTGAGATCAGTTCCTGTCTACCTTTCTCTCTCATCTCAGACAATCTCTCACTTAACTCACTCCCTAGGTATCACTCATTCTGGGGTTTCAGTTGCCCAAACAAAGCAACCTCATCCTGACCCCAGAGCTTCTGCATTATGTTTTACCCACCATCTGGAACATTCTTCCTAGTGGTCTAATCACAGGCATCTCCTTCTTATTCTTTAGATTCTTCTTAATGCCAACTACTCAGAGCAGAGAGCCTCTCTCTGACCACCCTGTGTCAAGAGCTGTGATGGTTAATACTGAGTATGAACTTGATTGGATTGAAGGATGCAAAGGATTGATCCTGGGTGTGTCTATGAGGGTGTTGCCAAAAGAGATTAACATTTGAGTCAGTGGGCTGGGGAAGGCAGATCCACCCTTAATTTGGCTGAGCACCATCTAGTCAGCTACCAGCCTGGCTAGAATATAAAGCAGGCAGTAAAACATTAAAAGACTAGACTGACCTAGTCTCCCAGCCTACATCTTTCTCCCTTGCTGGACCCTTCCTGCCCTGGAATATTGGACTCCAAGTTCTTCAGCTTTGGGACTCGGACTGGCTTTCTTTGCTCCTCAGCTTGCAGATGGCCTATTGTGGGATCTTGTGATCACGTGAGTTAATACTTAATAAACTCCCCTCTCTCTATATATATACCTATATCTATCCTATTAGTTCTGTCCCTCTAGATAACCCTAATATAAGAGCTGACCTTAAAATTTTCTATTTCAGCTCATGTTTAATCCTTTCATGGCATTCATCACAACTCACAATTACTTCATTTGGCTGTTGACTTGTTTTCTTCTATTTGACCTTGCAGAACATAAGTTCCATAATGGAAGATTTGTGTTGTCCTGTTCACTGTTGCATTTCAAAACTAAGTAAATACTCATTTACTGGAAAACTAAAGAATGACTCTTATTTTATAATTGTATATTAATGGTATAGTATAATTTATTTTATAATTATTTCCCATTTTTTTCTTTTTCAAGTCATCAACATGAATATAGTTTCTAAACAAACGAGAAAAATTATAAACTTTTCACATCATGAAATATGATAACTTCTACAAGGACCTAATGGTATTTTCACAACCTATCACAGTTTAAAAGGTTTTATGGCTACTTCAAACTAATGTGTTACCAAAGCAGCTCAAAATAAACAGACACATCATTGGCAGATAATAAATAACATATATCAAAATATACTGGACATATATTCTATCAAAGAAGCCACTGAGAAAGAAATTTGTGAAAAGTTTTTTCCTATCCCCTTGTTAAATCAATTCCCAGATCTTCCTGTAAAGAATAAATTTTAACAATAACTTATTGTGCAACAGCGACTCACAAGGCTTGTTGACCTCCGCATCTTCTTGACCAGTTGTTTTTCACACTTCAGTTTATGAAATAAACTGCAGTTGTGAAATTAATTCAGTGGACAATGATCAGAATTTCTAAAAATTAAATATAATAGAAAGAAAGGAATATAACCAAGTACATTGCCGAGACTTACAGTAACTGCTATGTGAAGAAACTTGTTTCAGTTACATGTTTGAAAGTTCATGTGTGAGTTGGTGTGTGCACGTGCTGTGCATGTGTGAGTGTTGTTTGTATATGTGTACACACATATGTGTGTGAGAGTGTGTGTCTGTTATGTGTGTTGTGTTATATATATATGTACTATACTTGACAGTAAAATAGACAGAAACAAGGGCTAGCAACTACTTGTAAAACACAGGCATATATTCAAATTCATGACACTCCTTATAGGAGTGCCTATATGTTTTTTTTTCCTGCCCCTGATATACTTCATTCTGTCCTATGCTCCAGAAAATTGCTTTCATATCTGTTTCCAATTATAATGTAAGCTCCTCGAAGGTAGAGAAATGTCTTATTCATCAGTGAACTAAGGTGATCATTGTGTTGAATGGCCACAAGTTATCTGATACCATTTCCGGGCAAAATATCCAGTAAGGATTTCTCTCTCTTCCTTTTCAATATGGGAGGAAGGGATCTATGATTGCATTGACCAGTGAAAATGGCAGAAATGATATGTTGTGCATTTCTAGGCCTACACCTCATGAGGCTGGCAGCTTTCACTTTCTGTTTGTTGGACCACTGATTCTTGGGGCCTAAGCGTCCATGTGAGAAAGTGGACTGTTTTGCTGGAGAAACCATGCAGAGACACCCTGCAACTACCGAGGGAGGGAGAGAAGATGGGCTGAGCCCACTCTCTAGCCATCTGCATGAAAGTAAATGAAATGTGTTAGCCTTCTTGGGTTCTCTAGACCAGGTACTAGCAGACTGAGCAACCACATGACTTTGTCATTCAGTGGTCAGGCTGAGTAGCTTTGACAAACAGTACAGCCCACAAAGCCTAAAATACATACCTTCTGGCCCTTCACCAAAAAACTTTGCTGACTTCGGTTGTGGACCATCCCAGCCACCTCTGAATGACTACAAGTGGCATCACATGGAGCAGAAGGAACTCTCAGTCAAGCTCAGGCTGTTTTTTAGTCTACAAAAGTCATAAGGTATAATAAAATGGTGCTTGTTTCAAGCCACTTGTTTTAGGGTCAATTTTTACACAACAGTAGAAAACCGGGACAAAATCCATTACCTGGGGGTGTGGTGTTGCTGTACAAAACCTGTCACATGTGTGGACAGCTTTGGAATCAAGCAGTGGACAGAAGCTAGAAGGGCCTCATAGAGACTGTTAGTGGAAAGAAGAGGACTTCAAGGAGACTGTTAGCAAAAGCCCCAAGGGCCTTGAAAAGACTGTTGGTGAAGCCTTTAGAGACAATGAAAATATGTTACTGGAGGCCAGAAAATATGTGATACTTTTTCTGTACTGGCAGAAAGTTTGGCATTAATGTTGCACGTGATAAGAAACTTAATGGACATCCACAAAAGTCTGGCAAGAAAGATGAACAGGCAAAATGGAGAAAGCGCCAACTGGTTCCTAGCTGCCTATGGTAAAACATGGAAAGGGATAAGCCAAAGAAGAAATTTTCTGTTTCTAAGCAAGATTCAGAGGAAAAAAGGACCAGAACATGCTGAATATGAAGGTAAAATTGTTTCTCATTCCCAGGCTCTCCCAGCAATAGACTTGCAAAGTTACAAATGACCTCAGGGCAAAGATTAAATCCAGGCTGCTGCTACTTGTACAATATGGTTTTAGGAAAATAAAGCTCATGGATGTTCCTTTGTTGACCTCTCAGAAATATCTGAAGGTAAGCCTAATTGGACTTATAGAAATCATAATATATGTCTCTGTGAATTTTAAGGATGCCTGATGAACCCTTTCAACTAGAAAGAAGGCTTCTTTTCATTTCCCCAGAATGCCCTAAGTTCCAGCAAAAAAGGACTATGTCAGAACCAAATGTGTACATGGCTTTTCTCTGATGGATTGGATCATTATTTGATACACAGGGGTCCCATAAAGTTTTTATGGAAAAGGAGGATGGATTCAAGAGAGAAACGGAGAGCCAGGGCAATAGTTTCCAGGAAACAGGACTAGAGCCTAGTTAAGGATCTAGTGACCTGCATCTGGTTGGATTTTAGAATTACTGTGGAACATGTTTCCCATTTTCTTTTTTAAAGAGGAGAATCTACTCCTCTCTGACCATTATATGTTGTGGGGAGGGCACAAAATTTGTTCCTATGGTCTACAGGTCTTCAGATGGAGAGAAAATATACACAAAGAATCTCATCTCTACATAGAACTGATTTTACCAGCGGCTTCTTAAATTCAAGGCAGGGCTCTGATGGAATAAGATTTTCTTTTCTTTCTTTCTTTCTTTTTTTTTTTTTTTTTTTGAGACAGAGTCTCACTTACTCCGTCACCCAGGCTGGAGTGCAGTGGCACAATGATCTTGGCTCACTGCAACCTCCACCTCCCGAGTTCAAGCAGTTCTCTCATCTCAGCCTCCCAAGTAGCTGTAATAACAGGCATGAGTCACCACACCCAGCTAATTTTTGTATTTTTAATAAAGATGGAGTTTCACCATTTTGGCCAGGCTGGTCTGACCTCAAGTGATCCATCTGCCTCAGCCTCCCAAAATGCTGGAATTACAGGCTTGAGCCACTGTGCCCTGCTGGCATGAGATTTTCAAAGATGGGAGAAATGTAAGCTATCTGTGGCCAAAAGGTGAACAATAGTCTTTCCACAGAGAGTTACACCTCTCCCCTTAAATCTGAAGGTATGCTCTGACTATAATGACAAACAGTATTATGGAAGCTATGCTGTGCCAGTTTGGGGGCCTGTCCCTTATTAATGACAAGCAGTTTTCAGTTCCTGTCTCTTTAATTACTTACTCTTAAAACCTTGAACTGTCATTTAAGATATACAGTTACTCTGCTAGAGAGAGTGTGTGGAAAGGTCCTGAGCACACAGGGAGAATGAGAGAGATTAAGTCAAGCCCAGCCTTCTAGCTATGAACAAAACCATTTTTCACTTTCCAGCCAAGCCATTAACTGGATACCACCAGGGATGCCACATGGAGAATTGCCCAGCCAAACCCCATCCAAATTTTGACCCACAGAATCCTGATATATAACAAAACGGCTGTTGTTTTAAGGCACTAAGTTTTGGGGTGATTTGTTATGTAGCAATAGATAATAAACACATGTTTCATACTGGTTCTAAAAATACACATTTATATTTTCAATATCACTAACTTCCAAAGCCATTGAGTTAGGAAACGTATGGTCTTTGTTGAATTGGACAAAGGGTCTTTGCAGATGCAACCAAGTTAAGGTAAAGTCTTACTGGATTATGGGAGGTTCTAATGCAAGGACTGGTGTCCTTATATAGTGTGGGAAGTTTCGACCTAGTCCTACCAGGTAAAGGCCATGTAAAGATAGAGGTAGAGATTGGAGTGATGCATCTACAAGCCAAGGAATGCCAAGGATTACTGACAACCACCAGAAACAAAGAAGGAATCTTTCCCTAGAGCATGGCTCTGCCGACATCTTGATTCTGGACTTCTAGCTCCAAGAACTGTAAGTGAATAAATATCTGTTGTTTTAAGCAACTTGATTTGTGGACCTTGTTCCTGCAGCCATGAGTAACTAATAAAGTCTCCTACATCAGGTAGCACAGAGTAGAACTTACATGTTATTATAAATGCTAATGATAACCTATCTTTTGGAATGTGATTAATACTGAGTAGCAATCTTCACACGGCTCAGCACATACAAATTCCAAATATTTCAGCTGCTTCTCCATATTGTGCCAATACTCTTTTATATGCTGTTTCTTGAAGTCATTCTGCGCCTCTGGTCTTCCTGGCCCTTCCAATCCACTTGATGGCTTATAGACCTTACACCTGAGGAACAGCCAGAGTCATAAAAAGGGATAAAATCCAATGAGGCAATGCCACTACTTGCCAGCAGTTTGGTGATGGATAACTGTAATTATTCTCCAAAATGCGACTTGTAAATTTTCTTGGCTTTTAGTTACTCATTCTAAATGCTTTCAGATAATGATACTAGGGCCCAAAGCCATGGGTAAAGCATTTAATGATGTCTATTTATATCCTATCAATACTACAGAATGCCTGTCACTCTAGAAACAGAAGAAAAGTTTGTGCTGCTTATGTTTACTATACGTTCATATATATAGCTAAGAAAAATGATGCACAGGTCCATACTTAGTAAGTCTCCCTCTAAAGTGATTATTTACACCTGACTTCATAAAACAACGAGAGAAATGTGACTATTACAAGATTCCAGTAAGGGCACTGCAGTGTTTCTTAATTGACATTAAACCTCACTTAAGTAGCCCCTGGTACACCTACACAAAATGCAGAATTATTGCCCTATTACTATTAAAAATGCATGTCATATTTCCAGATTGTGTTCATTTGGCCGATGGGACATGCACTATAATGAAGCTAGTACCAGGTTCATCTGAGCTATAAAAATAAATAATAACTACATAATCATCTTTTGATGTACAGCCAAGAATCATTTAACTTCTGGAGTCATAAAAAGGTGAAATGAACCACAAATTCAAAATTACCTGTGGGTACTTGAGGAAAATATCCTTTAGAGACAGGTAACTCTATCTCTTTCAGACAATGAAAAAAATTAATTTCTTAAGGGAAAAGTTGATAGAGAAATTACACATTTCTGTACTTGTGTAATGGAAAATCAAAAATATCTTTTAAAGTACTAGTTTGTGCATTTTAAAAAACAATCTCATGAATTGTGCTGGAAAAACAACTGTTTTTTGTTGGTTTTGTTTTTGACACAGAGTCTCATTGTGTCTGCCAGGCTAGAGTGCAGTGGCACAAACACAACTCACTGTCGCCGCAACCTCATTCTCCCAAGTAGCTGGGACTACAGGCCATGCCAAAATGCCTAGCTAAGTTTTGTATTTTTTGTAGAGATGGGGTTTCGGCATGGTGCCCAGGCTGGTCTTGAACTCCTGGGCTCAAGTGATCTGCCTATCTTGGCTTCTTGACGGAAGTGCTGAGACTGTAAGTGTGAGCCACAGTGCCTGGTCGAAAACTTCTTAGAAACAAATAAAAACAAAAACAGAAGCATTCAATAGAGAACAGAATTTTGTCAGTTTGTGATTGCAAATCTAGGATCACATCACAGCTCATTCACAGGTTAGCAGGGTTAGTTAAGCAACCTAACCTTCTCGGACTGCAGTCTCCTCATATCTAAAATGAAATTACATTATTATCCATGTCACTCAACCACTATAGTGAAAAATGAGAAAAGCATACAGAAATTTTCATCATAAACTGTAATGCATTATAAAGATGTTATGTTATTCATTTTCCTAATTGGAAAAGTAACACCAGATTACAAATTTTCAAATATATACTAATTCAAAGATTTGAAATTTAGATTTATGCTCAAGTCTTTCTGATGATGACTTTTTATTTTTACTGAAAATATAAGTACAGAATATACCAAACCAGTTCTTTATTAGCAATGGATATCTAGAATGGCAATATGTTCTTGGAAGTCTCAAGCATTTGCTGTTAAAACATTCTCACTGACCTTTAACGAAGTCCGTTAAGCAGAAACAAGAGGTTAAGAATGTAATGGACTGAGAAACATTATCTTATTTCTGAAGCATTTATGATTTCACACGTTCCCTTTTCAAAGTCTTTTAACAGCTCTGTCATGAGGCTCTATTGAAGTTTCAGCTGGCATGCAGACAGGTTGAAGGGCAACAAGTAGAAAAGCTTGCTATTAGAATCAAAATGGAAATAATTCCTTAATTGTTCCCTTTGAATTCAGATCATGATCATCCGAGCATATTTCTGCCCAGGTCTTCTAGCTGGGGATGTCCCCCAGACTTCAAAGTAATCTCCTCTCAAAGAAGACATTAGGTGACTCATATCTGAAGACAGAGTTAAACATGAAAAAAACAGAATTTTAATCTTTTTAAAAGTATTAATACAAAGCGGTATTTGATTGGTCTTGCACAAACAAGGACAACATACGTAATAACCTATTGGTCCTGGAGCTATAAATTAGTTGTCAAAAGTTCAAATAGTAGATGTTTGTCTCTTCATGCTTGATAGTTCACTTTCCAGTGTATCTAATATAAAAAATCAAAAATTTTCCTATACCAGATAAGAAAGAATTATTCAAGCTTTTCTAACTCTTAAAGAAGATAAAAAGGTTCTTAATGTTCAGTACTTTCCTGTTTGGACTGTATTGTTCAGGACACTAAGCAGAATGTTTGAATGCAGTGCTCAGTTCTAGCTTTTCACATTTGTGGAGTGTCTATTTTATGCAAGACACTACGCTGACGGTGCCAGGCACATGAGGTGTGGTCCCTGCCTTCAAGGAGTTTGGAAACTTGTGGGAGAGACTGGATGCAAATCACAAATTGAATATAGTGAGGTGAGAGCTAGGGGAGATAGGCATCAGGTGGCAGCTTATGTATCCAAGAAGAGGCAACACACAGTTGGGTCTTAACATGTATGAGTTCTAACTCCTAACATGTAGGAGTTAGCTGGGGACAGGAGGGAGTGAAGATCCATATAGAGAAAAGAAAGGGTTTAAATGTACATAAGTGACCCCAGTAGTTTAATATGGCTATACAATAGGGCTTTGGGGGGGAGGAAGAGGGGGTGGAAGAGGAGGGAGGAAGGGATATACATACATATATACATATATATATATGGAGAGAGAGAGAGACAGAGAGAGAGAGAGAGGAGGAGGAGGTAGAAGAGGAGGGAGGAAGGGAGATACATACATATATATAGAGAGAGAGAGAAAGAGAGAGAGAGAGAAGTCTAGAGATTAGAGAAAAATGATTTGCATCCAAGCCAAAGCATGTGGACTGTGTCCACAGTGGCAGAAGAACCAGTGAATGTGTCTAAGCAGGGTGGGTGAACACTCATATGAGTGTTTTGAATGGGCCTGGTAGGGATACAGAGAATTCATGCAAAGAAGGTATGGCTAGGAGTGAAACTGTTAGGAACCATTACAAAAATTGAGGGAAGAGGTGGCAAGGGTTTACTTAACACTACTCAGGTGGGGAAAGAAGGGAAGGGACACTCTAATTAGAAAGATCTTGGGCATTAGATATGTAAAATTAGGTTAGTAACTGGATACAGTTACAAGGGAAAGGGAGGTATTTCCAGTCATGTCCAGGTTGCCATCTGGAGCGACTGAGTGATCTGTGGTGTCAATCACCAAGATGGCCGTACTAGAGGAGGGGCAGGTATGGGTTAAGTGTCCAGGGGTCTTAGTGGGGTAAATTAAAAGACAAAAATGCCAAATTATGTATTTCAGCCTCAAATCTGTCGATTCTAACCTCTTAACATGCCTCAAACTCAACTCCCTCTCTTTCCTACTGCCACTACCCTCTCTTAGACTCCCAGGACCTTTTCCTGTTTCTGCAGCCAGTGCCTCCTTGTTTCCTACGTACCCTGGCTTATACTCTGAATGGTAGTCATGTTTGTGCTTAAAAATCTTCAGTGGCTCTCCTCTAACTCCTTCCTGTGATATATACTTTTCTTCCTCATCTGTTCCCAGCTCACCCCCCCATCCTCATTATTCATCACCCCTGTTGCCCACATGAAACCAGGGCCTGGAAACTACTGTACTCACCTCTCCCTAACCTCAACCTTGGCTCACCCTTTCTCTTCTATCTGGAATCGTCCATGCTTTTCTCTTGCTACTTCCTCGTCCTCATTCTTGGAGCCACAAATTAAGAATCTTTCATTCATTTGGCTGTTCTTGTCACCAAGACTGAGATAGGTGCTGCATCTAGGTGCTGTCGTGGTATCTACCCTTGGTTTAGTGGTAAATCAACAGTTCACCAGTTTCACTGAGCTAGTAGCTCCTTGAAGGCAGGACAAGAATCGTTCATCCACTTAAAATAGTACTACTATTTGACCCAGCAATCCCATGACTGGGTATATACTCAAAGGAAAATAATTCATTCTCTCATAAAGACACAGGCACCTGTATGTTCACTGCAGTGCTATTAACAATAGTAAGGACGTGAAATCAACCTAAGTGTCCATCAACAGTGGACTAGATAAAGAAAATATGGTACATATACACAATGGAATATCATGCAGCCATAAAAAAGAACAAAATCATGCCCTTTGCAGTACCACTGATGGAGCTGGAGGCTATTATCCTAAGCGACTAATACAGGAACAGAAAACCAACTGCCACATGTTCTCACTTATAAGTGGAAACTAAACATTGAATACACATGATTGCAAAGATGGGAATGATAAACACTGGGGATCACTGGAGGAGAAAAGGAGCGGAATGTAAGCTGAAGAAACTCCTGTTGGGTACGATTCTTCCGGAATGGGTGATGGGATCATTGGTACCCCACACCTCAGCATCACACAATTTATCCATGTAACAAACCTGCACATGTACCCTTTAATCCATGATAAAAATTGAAATTAAGAAAAGACTTGTTCATGCATGTATCTCTGTATTAATTAATGATTGCTGTATAGAAAAGTCTTTCAAATTTTTCAGGGTAAAAGAGTAAACACTTATTTTCTCACAGTTTCTGAGAGTTTGGAATTCTAGAGCAGCTATTCTTGGTGGTGCTGGCTCAAGGCCACTGATGAGGCTGCAATTAGAGTGTCAGCAGGGTCTGCAGTAACTTGAAACTTGACTGGGCTGAGAAGATATACTTCTCAGCTCACTTCCATGGCTGTTGGCAGAAGGCTTTAGATCCTCACCTCCTGGGACACTTCACAAAGCTGCTGATGACATGGATTCCCCAGAGAGGGTGACCCAAAAAAGGTAATGCAAAAGATGGAAGTCGATCTTTTACTACCTATCTTGGAAGTAACATACCATCAATTCTGCAATATTCTATGGATCCCACAGACCAACCCTGGTGCAACGTAGCCCAAGGGTGTGTAGCAGGAGACAGGGATCATTGGGTGGTATCTTGAAGGCTGAATCCCACAACCACCAATGCACAGCAGTGCAATTAGCCCATATAAGGTACTAAACAAATATTTGAGAATGAATTACTAAATAAAGAAATGAATACAAAGTAAACACATTTATGCAAAGTTCTGGGCTAATTACTCTGGAGAATGTAGAGAGGTAAAATATCTTTTTTAATCCTTTTAACATATTTGATTCCTAAAAATGTATAATCTCTGAGATGTTAAGGTGTTCCTTTACATAAGACATCTGGTGCAATGAGGATTGGTTTAGTGGCATATGGTTCTGTCTTCCCAGAAGACTGAGAAAACAGGAAATCTCTATGAGATAATATCAACATCATCTCTTTACAACTAGAAAAAAAACTAACCAAACAAATTTTGCTACCCACAGTTTCTCATGCTTTCCTTGTAATACGACCCCTCTCATTATAGGTATTTTACAACATTTAAGCTGATTAAAAGGTAAATGAAAACAATACCTGAAATAGCAGGTCCGTTAAGTAAGAAAACAAGAACCATAATTGTTAATGTATATTGAACTATATTACCTTTCATTGGACTTGTAAATTTGGTAGAAGATAATACTGAGCTGTGTGAAATGTAATTCAAAACCACATTATTATAGTAATAGATTTGTGCACTGGCATTGTTTTCCAGCTGTACTACATTAAATGTCATTTAACTGTTCTAATGAAGTTTTAACCCACAGGTACAAAATTGATATACATTTTTCAGTCTATAAATGGAATAAGTTGGCATAATATATGGATCAGTATGCAATGCAAAGTTGGATCAAACCAGTAAGAAAAAGCCCCATGAATGGCTTTAAAATAGTTACATTTTTAAAAGATTCCTCTGCAATGAAAACTCTAAAACATTGCTAAAAATAATTTTAAAAGATATAAGTAAATGGAAAGAGATCCCATGTTCATGAATTGGAAGACAATATTAAAATGTCAACAATCCCCCCCGCAAATGATCTATAGATTCAATGCAATTCCTATCAAAATCTCAATGACTTTTTAATAGAAATAGAAATTAAAATTCATATGGAATCTCAGGGGCATGAAGTAGCCGAAACAATCGCGATAAAAAAAGAACAAAGCTAGAGGATGTACATTTCCTGATTTCAAAACTTACTACAAAGCTATGGTAATCAAAACAGTGCATTTGGCATAAAAGCAGATGTAAAGATCAATGGAATTTTTCATATATGTGGTCAAACATTGTTGAAAAGAGTGGTAAGGCTATTCAATGGGGAAAGGCCAGTCCTCAAAAAATGGTGCTGGGGAACTGGATATCCACATGGTAATGAATGAATCTGGACCCTTACTTAATGCCATATACAAAAATTAGCTAAAAGCAGATCAAAGACCTAAATGTTACAGCTAACCTATGAAATTCTTAGAAGAAAACATAGAGCAAAATCTTCACAACATCAGATTTGGAAATTACTTCTTGAATATGACACTAAAGACACACGTGACAAAAGAAAAAACAAACAAATTGCACTTCATGGAAACTTAAAGCTTTTGTGTATCAAAGAACTATATTAACAGAGTATAAAGGCAATCCACGGAATGGGACAAAGTATTTACAAATCATATATCTGATGAGAGGTTAATACCCAAAATATGTAGAGAACTCCTAAACTCAACAGCAACAACAAAAAATCTGTTTCAAAAATTGGCAAAGGACTTAAAACAACATTTCTCCACAAAAGACATACGAATGGCCAATAAGCACATGAAAAGATTTTTTACCATCACTAATCATTAGGAAAATGCAAATCAAAACCATAATGAGATATCACCATTAGGTTGGCTACTATCAAAAAACAAAAACAAAACAAAACAAAAACAGAAAATAGCAAGTGTTGGCAAGGATGTGAACAAATTAGCATCTTTATTCCCTGTCGGCGGCAACGTAAAATGATGCAGGACACTGTGTAAATCAGTATTGCAGTTCCTCAAAAAAGAAATAAACATAGAATTACCATATGACCCAGCAATTCCACTTCTGAGTTTATACCCAAAAGAATTGAAAGTAGTGGCTCAAACAGATATTTGTATACTCATGTTCATGGCAGCGTTATTCACAATAGCCAAAAGGTGGAAACTGAAATGCCCACTGACAGTATGAATAATGTGCCAGTGATATTTCTCAAGATATAAAAGGTACATACATTTAGTTTTTTGAACCAACTTCATCTGAATTTATTTTCATAGGGAAGTTGAAAATACCCATTATATTCTACATATTTTAATAATTAATAATTATTAAATAATAATTTAATAGTGAGCTTTGCACATGTAGAAGAATGAAACTGGATCCTCATCTCTCAGCTTATACAGAAATCAATCAAGATGGATCAAAGACTTTAAGACCTTAAATCATAAACATTCTAGAAGATAACATCGGAAAAACTTTTCCAGAAATGTAACAAAATCATAAGTAACAAATGTCCAGTAAGGCAAAATGTAACGAATGTAACAAAATTATAAGTAACAAATGTACAGTAAGGGTCCAGATTCATTCATTACCATGTAGATATCCAGTTACCCAGCACCATTTTTTGAGGACTGACCTTTCCTCATTGAATAGCCTTACCACTCTTGGATATTTGTGTCTTTCACTGACTTAGAAAAAAAAGATGCAATATAAAAAGAATGTCATCCTGCAGTGTTTCTTCTTTCCAAAGCCAATAATTATTTTTAAATACATTTTTATCTTTATTTCAATAAATGTAACAAAAATAAATATAGCAAAATTAATAATAAATGTAACAAAATTAATAAAACTAATAAATGGGAGCTAATTAAACTAATTAAACTAAAAAGCTATTTCACAGCAAAATAAATAATCAATAGAGTAAACAGACTACCCACAGAGTGGGAAAGAATTTTTGCAAACCACGCATCCCACAAAAGACTAATATCCAGAATCTACAAGAAACTCAAACAAATAATCCCTTCAAAATACAGACAAAGGACATGAATAGACAATTCTCAAAAAAAGATATACAAACAGCCAACAAACACGAAAAAATGCTAAACATCACCAATTATTAAAGTTACTTGAATTTCAAACAAACAAGAAAATGCAAAATGCAAATTAAATGCAAATTGAAACCATCATAAGATACCACCTTATTCCTGTAAGAATGACCATAATTAAAAAGTCAAAAAACAACAGATGTTGGCATGGATGTGGAGAAAAGGGAACATTTTTACACTGCATGTGGGAATGTAAACTAGTACAAACACTGTGGAAAACAGTTTGGAGATTCCTTAAAGAACTAAAAGTAGAAATACCATTCAATCCAGCAATCTCACTGCTAGGTATCTACCTAAAGGAAAAGAAGCCATTACATGTAAAGGACACATGGACATGCATGTTTATAGCAGCACAATTCACAATTGCAAAAATATGGAACCAACCTAAGTGCCCATCTAACCAATGAATGATTAAAGAAAATGTGATACATATACACCATGGAATACCACTCAGCTATAAAAAGGAATGAAATAATGTCTCTTGTAGCAATGTGGATGGAGCTGGAGGACATTACTCTAAGTGAAGTAATTCAGGAATGGTAAACCAAATATTGTGTGCTATTACTTCTACATGGAAGTTAAGCTATGAGGATGCAAAGGCATAAGAATGATATAATGGACTTTGGGGACTCAGGGTGAAGGTTGGGAGCTGGGTAAGGGATAAAAGACTACCTATTGGATACAGTGTACATGGTTTGGGTGACAGGTGCACAAAAATCTCAGAAATCACCACTAAATAACTTATCCATGTACTCCCAAACCACATGTACCCCAAAAAGTATTGAAATAAAAATGTATTTGAAAATAATTATTGGCTTTGGGAAGAAGAAACACTGCAGGATGACATTCTCTTTATATTGCATCTTTCTTTTTCTAAGTAGTAAAAACACAAATGTTCAAGATTTTCAAGCTTGCAGCCGAGAGAGAGAATAGCCAATTTGCTATTTTGAACCATTAGCAAAATAGAAAGTTACATTTCATTCTCACGGGTAGGATACTGTGACTTATTAACTACTTATTCTTCAAAGATCCCACTGCTCTTACTAGTGAGCAGTTAAAATGGTTTAAATGTACCTTGTTCTGTTAACTTTTCTGGAATATAGTTCTTTCTGCTTTTCCTGGCAATTTTTGTTTAACTTAAGGGAATTTCAAAAGACTGGTGCCTCATGTTTTAGCTCTCTCTTGTAATGAATATTTCCTGACAAAATATGCATTACATAAGAATTGATAAAACAACCCATTTCTAATATGCATCTTATTAATTCAATCCATTGTTTGTGCCTTAAAATGAAATCAATCTTGGTTTTGAATTATTGGTAGAAAGGTCAGTTGAAATTAGTGTGAGAGAAGTAGACTATGTAATAAAATGATTTTATTAATGTAATTTTATTACTTATAAACATATTTTTAGGTCGTAATCATTATTAAAAAGTTTCTATTTAGGGACCCTGCAGAGCCTATTTAATAAAGATTTATGTTCTTTCTTTTTCAATACTCTTTTTAAATAAGTTTTACATTTACAGAAATATGACCAGAAAGTACAGAGTTCCTATATATCCTCTCCCTTCACCTCCCCTGGATCCTCAGATTACACTCTTATTAAGATTTAGCAACATTGTGGTACATTTATTACAATTGTTGAGTCTATATTGATACATTATTGTTAATTAAAGTCCATAGTTTATATTAGGGTTCATTCTTGGTGGGCATTCTATGGGTTCTGACAAAGGTAAGTGCCCATCATTACAATATCATACAGAATCATTTCATTGTGCTAAAAATCTGTTGTGCTTCAGCTATTCGTCCTTCCCTCTCTCCCTCCCTCTGTACCCCAAAATCCCTTAAAACCACTAATCGTTTTATTGTGCCCCTAATTTGTCTTTTCCAGAATGTCATATATTTGGAATTATTCAGTTTGTAGCCTTTTCAGATTAGCTTATTTAATTTAGCAATATGCTCTTAAGGTTTCACCATGTCTTTTTATGGCTTGATAACTCATATCTTTGTATTGGTCAATAATATTTCATTGTCTGGATGTATCACAGTTGATTCATTCACCTACTGAAGGTGTGAAAGTTTTCAGAGTCTAAATGGAGGCACTTGTGTCAAGCATTGACAAATGGAGAGAGGGAAAGCCACTGGGGGAGGGTTCTCATGCACATATCCCTGATAATAAGAACTACCACAAAAGATGGCAAAATCCACAACTTTACACAAAGGCCACCACAGCTTTACACAGAAAATACTTCTGCGAGGACACCTGTTCAGCAACTGCCTGTCCAACCTTGGACTCACAGCATTCTTGTTATTTATTCTTGTTTCCAAGGATAATTGATTCAAAATAACTTATGTAATCCACCTCATTTTGTCTTTAAAAACTTTCCCGTGCCTCAATATTTTTGACTACACACATAGTTAACTATGGCGTGCATAATCCCATTGTAATATTACTCCTGAATAAATATCATTTTCTTTTAGAGAGTATCTCTGTAAAGGACATCTTTGTTGCTTCTAAGTTTTGGCAATTATGAGCAAAGCTGTTGTAGACATTTGGGTGTAGGTTATTGTGTGACTATAAGTTTTCATGTAATTGGGGTAAATACCAAGGCATGTAATTGCTGAGTCATAAGATAAGAGCATGTTTAGATTTATAAGAAACTGCCAAACTGTCTTCCAAAATGCCTCTACCATTTTGCATTCCCACCAGCAATGGATGAGAGTTCCTGCTGTCCCATATTTTCTCCAGCATTGGATGCTGTCAGTGTTTTGAATTTAGCCATTCTAATAAGCATACAATGATATCTCTTTGTTTTAATTTGCATTATCCTGATGAGTTATGATGTGGATGACATATGATATGGAGCATATTTTCCTATGTTTATTAGCGATCTGTGCATCTTCTCTGGTGAGAAACCTGTTCACATCTTTTTCCCATTGTTGAGTTTTCAGAGTCATCATATATGTTGGATACTAGCCCTTTATCAGTTACGTTTTGGAGTGTTTTTGTTTGTTTGTCAGCAAATGTTTTGTCCCCATCTGTAGCATGATCCAATTTAAATAGCTTAAGCAACTTCCTTTTTCACTTTTACAAGATCTTTACAACTTAGAATAGGTCCCTCACATAGTATTTATTTAGCAACTGTATGAAGATGCCCATTTAACATGGTTTTCCAATACAGGTTGAGTATCCCTTATCTGAAATGCTTGGAACCAGAAGCATTTTGGATTTTAAATTATATTTTATTTTGGAATACTGCATTATATACTTACCAGTTTAACATCCCAAATCCAAAAATCCAAAATCCTGGGGTGGAGCCAAGATGCTGAATAGCAACAGCTCCAGTCTACAGCTCCCAGTGTGAGCGACACAGAAGACGGGTGATTTCTACATTTCCAACTGAGGTACTGGGTTCATCTCACTGGGGAGTGTTGGAAAGTGGGTGCAGGACAGTGGGTACAGTGCACCGAGCGTGAGCCGAACCAGGGCAAGGCATTGCCTCACCCAGGAAACACAAAGGGTCACGGAATTCCCTTTCCTAGTCAAAGAAAGGGGTGACAGATGGCACCTGCAAAATCGGGTCACTCCCACCCTAATACTGCACTTTTCCAATGGTCTTAGCAAACAGCATACCAGGAGATGATAACCTATGCCTGGCTCGGAGGGTCCTACGCCCACAGAGCCTCACTCATTTCTAGCACGCAGTCTGAGATCCAACTGCAAGGCGGCAGCGAGGCTGGGGGAGGGGTGTCGGCCATTGCCGAGGCTTGAGTAGGTAAACAAAGTGGCCTGGAAGCTGGAACTCGGTAGAGCCCACCGCAGCTCAAGGAGGTCTGCCTGCCTCTGTAGACTCCACCTCTGGGGGCAGGGCATAACCAAACAAAACGCAGTAGAAATCTCTGCAGACTTAAATGTCCCTGTCTGACAGCTTTGAAGAGAGTAGTGGTTCTCCCAGCACGCAGCTGGAGATCTGAGAATGGACAGACTGCCTCCTCAAGTGGGTCCCTGATCCCTGAGTAGCCTAACTGGGAGGCACCCCCCAGTAGGGGCAGACTGACACCTCACACAGCCAGGTACTCCTCTGAGACAAAACTTACAGAGGAACAATCAGGCAGCAACATTTGCTGTTCACCAATATCTGCTGTTCTGCAGCCTCCGCTGCTGATACCCAGGCAAACAGGGTCTGGAGTGGACTTCCAGCAAAATCCAACAGACCTGCAGCTGAAGGTCCTGACTGTTAGAAGGAAAACTAACAAACAGAAAGGACATCCACACCAAAACTCCATCTGTACGTCACCATCATCAAAGACCAAAGGTAGATAAACCACAAAGATGGGGAAGAAACAGAGCAGAAAAGCTGGAAACTCTAAAAATCAGAGCACCTTTCCTCCTGCAAAGCAACGCAGCTCCTCACCAGCAATGGAACAAAGCTGGACGGAGAATGACTTTGACAAGTTGAGAGAAGGCTTCAGATGATCAAACTTCTCTGAGCTAAAGGAGGAAGTTCGAACCCATGGCAAAGAAGTTAAAAACTTTGAAAAAAAATTAGATGAATGGCTAACTAGAATAACCAATGCAGAGAAGTCCTTAAAGGACCTGATGGAGCTTGAAACCATGGCATGAGAAGTACGTGACAAATGCACAAGCCTCAGTAGCTGATTTGATCAACTGGAAAAAAGTGTATCAGTGATGGAAGATCAAATAAATGAAATGAAGTGAGAAGAGAAATTTAGAGAAAAAAGAATAAAAAGAAATGAACAAAGCCTCTAAGAAATATGGGACTATGTAAAAAGACCAAATCTACATCAGATTGGTGTACCTGAAAGTGACAGGGAGAATGGAAACAAGTTGGAAAACACTCTGCAGGATATTATCCAGGAGAACTTCCCCAATCTAGCAAGGCAGGCCAACATTCAAACTCAGGAAACACAGAGAATGCCACAAGGATACTCCTTGAGAAGAGCAATTCCAAGACACATAATTGTCAGATTCACGAAAGTTGAAATGAAGGAAAAAATGTTAAGGGCAAACAGAGAGAAAGGTCGGGATACCCACAAAGGGAAGCCCATCAGACTAACAGCTGATCTCTTGGCAGAAACTCTACAAGCCAGAAGAGAGTGGGGGCCAATATTTAACATTCTTAAAGAAAAGAATTTTCAATCCAGAATTTCATATCCAGTCAAACTAAGCTTCATAAGTGAAAGAGAAATAAAATCCTTTACAGAAAAGCAAATGCTGAGAGATTTTGTCACCACCAGGCCTGCCCTAAAAGAGCTCCTGAAGGAAGCACTAAACATGGAAAGGAACAACCGGTACCAGCCACTGCAAAAACATGCCAAATTGTAAAGACCATCGAGGCTAGGAAGAAACTGCATCAACTAACGAGCAAAATAACCAGCTAACATCATAATGACAGGATCAAATACACACATAACAATATTATCCTTAAATGTAAATGGGCTAAATGCTCCAATCAGATGACACAGACTGGCAAATTGGATAAAGAGTCAGGCCCCATCAGTGCGCTGTATTCAGGAAACCCATCTCACATGCAGAGACACACGTAGGCTCAAAATAAAGGGATGGAGGAAGATCTACCAAGCAAATGGAAAACAAAAAAAGGCAGGGGTTGCAATCCTAGTCTCTGACAAAACAGACTTTAAATCAACAAAGATCAAAAGAGACAAAGAAGGCCATTACATAATGGTAAAGGGATCAATTCAACAAGAAGAGCTAACTATCCTAAATATATATGCACCCAATACAGGAGCACCCAGATTCATAAAGCAAGTCCTTAGAGACCTACAAAGAGACTTAGACTACCACACAATAATAATGGGAGACTTTAACACCCCACTGTCAACATTAGACAGATCAACGAGACAGAAAGTTAACAAGGATATCCAGGAATTGAACTCAGCTCAGCACCAAGCAGACCTAATAGACATCTACAGAACTCTCCACCCAAAATCAACAGAATATACATTCTTCTCAGCACCACACTGCACTTATTCCAAAATTGGCCACATAGTTGGAAGTAAAGCACTCCTCAGCAAATGTGAAAGAACAGAAATTATAATAAATTGTCTCTTAGACCACAGTGCAATCAAACTAGAACTCAGGATTCAGAAACTCACTCAAAACCGCTCAACTACATGGAAACTGAACAACCTGCTCCTGAATGACTACTGGGTACAAAACGAAATGAAGGCAGAAATAAATATGTTCTTTGAAACCAACGAGAACAAAGACACAACATACCAGAATCTCTGGGACACATATAAAGCAGTGTGTAGAGGGAAATTTATAGCACTAAATGCCCACAAGAGAAAGCAGGAAAGATCTAAAATTGAGACCCTAACATCACAATTAAAAGAACTAGAGAAACAAGAGCAAACACATTCAAAAGCTACCAGAAGGCAAGAAATAACTAAGATCAGAGCAGAAATGAAGAAAACAGAGACACAAAAAACCCTTCAAAAAATCAATGAATCCAGCAGCGGGTTTTTTGAAAAGATCAACAAAATTGATAGACCACTAGCAAGACTAATAAAGAAGAAAAGAGAAGAATAAAATAGACGCAATAAAAAATGATAAAGGGGATATCACCACTGATCCCACAGAAATAGAAACTACCATCAGAGAATACTATAAACATCTCTACACAAATAAACTAGAAAATCTAGAAGAAATGGATAAATTCCTTGACACATACACCCTCCCAAGACTAAACCAGGAAGAAGCTGAATCTCTGAATAGACCAATAACAGGCTCTGAAATTGAAGCAATAATTAATAGCTTACCAACCAAAAAAAGTCCAGGACCAGATGGATTCACAGCCGAATTCTACCAGAGGTACAAGGAGGAGCTGGTACCATTCCCTCTGAAACTATTCCAATCAATAGAAAAAGAGGGAATCCTCCCTAACTCATTTTATGAGGCCAGCATCATCCTGATACCAAAGCCTGGCAGAGACACAACAAAAAAAGAGAATTTTAGACCAACATCCCTGATGAATATCGATGCAAAAATCCTCAATAAAATACTGGCAAACCGAATCCAGCAGAACATCAAAAAGCTTATCCACCATGATCAAGTGGGCTTCAACCCTGGGATGCAAGTCTGGTTCAACATATGCAAATCAATAAACGTAATACAGCATATAAACAGAACCAATGACAAAAACCACATGATTATCTCAATAGAGAACCAATGACAAAAACCACATGATTATCTCAATAGATGAAGAAAAGGCCTTTGACAACTTCAACAACCTTCATTGCTAAAAACTCTCAATAAATTAGGTATTGATGGGATGTATCTCAAAATAATAAGAGGTATCTATGACAAACCCACAGCCAATATCATACTGAATGGGCAAAAACTGGAAGCATTCCCTTTGAAAGCTGGCACAAGACAGGGATGCCCTCTCACCACTCCTATTCAACATAGGACGTTGGACAACATGGGACGTGCTGGACGTTCTGGCCAGGGCAATCAGGCAGGAGAGGAAATAAAGGGTATTCAATTAGGAAAAGAGGAAGTCAAATTGTCCCTGTTTGCAGATGACATGATTGCATATCTAGAAAACCCCATCTTCTCAGCCCAAAATCTCCTTAAGCTGATAGGCAACTTCAGCAAAGTCACAGGATACAAAATCAATGTGCAAAAAATCACAAGCATTCTTATACACCCATAACAGACAAACAGAGAGCCAAATCATGAGTAAATTCCCATTCACAATTGCTTCAAAGAGAATAAAATACCTAGGAATCCAACTTACAAGAGACGTGAAGGACCTCTTCAAGGAGAACTACAAACCACTGCTCAATGAAATACAAGAGGATACAAACAAATGGAAGAATATTCCATGCTCATGGGTAGGAAGAATCAATATCGTGAAAATGGCCGTACTGCCCAAGGTAATTTATAGATTCAATGCCATGCCCATCAAGCTACCAATGACTTTCTTCACAGAATTGGAAAAAACAACTTTAAAGTTCACATGGAACCAAAAAAGAGTCCACATTGCCAAGTCAATCCTAAGCCAAAAGAACAAAGCTGGAGGCATTCACACTACCTGACTTCAAACTATGTTACAAGGCTACAGTAACCAAAACAGCATGGTGCTGGTACCAAAACAGAGATATAGATGAATGGAACAGAACAGAGCCCTCAGAAATAATGCCACATATCTACAGCCATCTGATCTTTGACAAACCTGAGAAAAACAAGCAATGGGGAAAGGATTCCCTATTTAATAAATGGTGCTGGGAAAACTGGCTAGCCATATGTAGAAAGCTGAAACTGGATCCCTTCCTCACACCTTATACAAAAATTAATTCAAGATGGATTGAAGACTTAAATGTTAGACCTAAATCCATAAAAACCCTAGAAGAAAACCTAGGCAATACCCATTCAGGATATAGGCATGGGCAAGGACTTCATGTCTAAAACATCAAAAGCAATGGCAACAAAAGTCAAAATTGACAAACGGGATCTAATTAAACTAAAGAGCTTCTGCACGGCAAAAGAAACTACTATAAGAGTGAACATGCAACCTACAGAATGGGAGAAAATTTTTGCAATCCACTTATCTGACAAAGGGCTAATATCCAGAATCTACAATGAAATCAAACAAATTTACAAGAAAAAACAAACAACCCATCAAAAAGTGGGTGAAGGATATGAACAGACACTTCTCAAAAGAAGACATTTATGCAGCCAAAAGACACATGAAAAAATGCTCATCATCACTGGCCATCAGAGAAATGCAAATCAAAACCACAATGAGATACCATTTCACACCAGTTAGAATGGCGATCATTAAAAAGTCAGGAAACAACAGGTGCTGGAAAGGATGTGGGGAAATAAGAACACTTACACTGTTGGTTAGACTGTAATCTAGTTCAACCATTGTGGAAGTTAGTGTGGCGATTCCTCAGGATCTAGAACTAGAAATACCATTTGACCCAGCCATCCCATTACTGGGTATATACCCAAAGGATTATAAATCATGCTGCTATAAAGACATACGCACACATATGTTTATTGTGGCACTATTCACAATAGCAAAGACTTGGAACCAACCCAAATGTCCAACAATGATAGACTGGATTAAAAAAATGTGGCACATATACACCATGGAATACTATGCAGCCATAAAAAATGATGAGTTCATATCCTTTGTAGAGATAGGGATGAAGCTGGAAACCATCATTCTCAGCAAACTATCACAAGGACAAAAAACCAAACCCCACATGTTCTCACTTATAGGTGGGAATTGAACAATGAGAACACATGGACACAGGAAGGGGAACATCACAGAGTGGGGACTGTTGTGGGGTGGGAGGAGGGGGGGGATAGCATTAGGAGATATACCTAATGTTAAATGAAGAGTTAATGGGTGCAGCACACCAACATGGCACAAGTATATATATGTAACTAACCTGCACCTTGTGCACATGTACCCTAAAACTTAAAGTATAATAAAAAAAAATCCAAAATGCTACAATGAGCATTTCCTTCGTTACTGTATTAGTCCGTTTTCATGCTGCCAATAAAGACATACCCGAGACTTGGTAACTTATAAAGGACAGAGGTTAAATTGACCCACAGTTCTGTAGGGCTGGGGAGGCCTCAGAAAACTTACAATCCTTGTGGACGAGGAAGCAAATATGTCTTTCTTCACATGGTGGCAGCAAGGAGAAGTGCAGAAAAAGGGGGAAAAGTCCCTTATAAAACCATCAGATCTCATGAAAACTCACTCACTCTCATGAGAACAGCAACAAGGGGGTAACCGCCCCCATGATTCAATTACTCCCACCAGGTTTCTCCCACAATGTGGGATTATGGCAACTACAATTAAAGATGAGATTTGGGTGGGGACACAGCCAAACCATATCAAGCCATGAAGAAAATTGTTTTGTGCAGGCACATTGCTGCAAAAGTTATTGAGAATAAGTGCTAACATACTTCTACTCTCCCTCCACAAACACCACTTGAGCACTTGGACCAGAGATAAATTTGATAAAAAATATATCAATTGGCTTTCAAAACTGCTGCTTGTTTTGCAAAGTTACTGCATTTCAGGTAAAACAACTCATTTTTTTAACTGGACACCAGCCTCTAAGGCAGAAAGATGTACACTACATTGGTGCACTAGATCAAGATGGCCACATCCCTGATTTCTGCTTTGCCAAAGCTAATAATAACTGCTTCTCTCATTTACATTTTAGGTATTGAAGCTGGGTTACCCTCTCATTTCAACTTCCAAGATAGTCAACTTTTCAAAAAGATTTATCTTGCAAAATCAACTTCTATGAAATACTATGAACTATTGAGGGACCCCAGCAGTATTAAAGATCATCCTTCTTTTTCATTTGCAATAAATCCTGACGAATCCCAGGGGTACCCTGGAAATTAAAATAAAGACACTAAACAAGTGGGCCATGGCATGGGCTAAAATAATATTTCACAGGGCATTATGTTTACACTACAATTTGTGCTTGTAGTTGAACTCTGGAAAGTTGCTATATAAGAGCCTTCTATGAATTCCATTTTAGACAAGATTTTCCTTTGTAGTCGCTTTTTCAAATAACTATAATGTACAATTAACCCATAGCTGTAACTTAGATAATGTGCTAAAATGGATTTGCTATCCTTGTTAGAAAAACAAGAGATGTGTCCTGCGTGATGGCTCTGTCTTAAAAAATCTATTAAGTCTTCCTTTGCAATCTATTTATACCAAACATCAGGCTATTATATCCCCAGTAAAGTCCTATAAGCTGAGCACAGCTGGTGGAAATAAGCACACTGGACAAATCATCTCACCTGCAACTTCCACAATCAGAGCTCTCAAGATTTAAACTCCTGAATCAGTTTTTCTTCACAGGAGAATATTAGGTTCAGTGTTTATGATTATAGATACCCATCATATAATAGTTGGCTAGTATTAAATACATCACAAAGTGTATGTTTTAAAAATCTGCTGCAAGGTAAGCTGTGTTTTGATTATTGGTGGCAAACATGTTATTCAGAAAGACGTAAACACCACAAGGGCATCTCAAATGCATAGGATTCTCCTCAACTAAAGACTGTCAAACAAAGTTCCAGAACCTAGCTTGACAAGCGAGTGACCTAATGCTTAGAATCTACTTCTGCCAAGCAGGGAGAAGTGTGTGGTACAGGCTAACACTCAAATTGGAGCCAGGAAATATTTGAAAGCAGAGTCCTTTTCACAAGGAAAGATCAGCTTCCTGTCAATAGAATCAAGCTTGCTCTACAAGGAATACACTAGAATCAAGGAAGTAAGTCCGGTTTCATCGCAAACCTCAGACTATTACCATAACAAGAAGGAGGACTTTTAACTTGTTCAGTTCAGGTGGGCAAAATCGGACCTGACCAGAATTTTGGACAATGGCACTCCAGGTTACACAGGCTGTAACTGTAGCCAGATATGACTCTGGATTATGTCAGCAGAATGACAGTTTAATACACCAGGAGCATTTTCTGGGGTGGTTTTAAATGTTAAAAGAGCTAAAATTTGCCTAGCAACTTAACAATTTAAAAGTTTTCATCCAGCTCCATGTTATACATTTAATTCAATATTGTGTTACATTATGGAATATTTAAAATTTTCCCTAAACATATGATCTTATTCTGAGTGCCTGGGAAGAAACTTGAGAGATAGTTATTCAGAAGGTAGATTCACCCACTGTAGGATGTTTATAATCTGTCTAACATAAAGAGATGATTATCAGGAGAAATAATGATAAAAATGCATTATACATTTTATTTTATTTCTCTTTAATTGAGAGTACTTTTGTGTTCCTCTCTGTGACTAAATGGGCTTTATCTTTATAGCAATGTCTCCGGTGTTTTGAACATAGTAGGTTTACAGTAAATGTTTTGTGAATGAATAAATAAATGTATGAATGAGTATGGAATATTCAGGTCATAAATATATTTGGCCTGAATGTGAACTTAGTGCCTTGTGAACAGTTGTGCTGTTTGTCTTCTTTGAAAAATGGTGCTGAAATTCTTATAACACAGTTTTTGAAAGGACTCTTATATGTCTTTTGGAACTGTAAGTGAAATATTTTTTAAATTTCCCAAAATAGAATCAAACCTGTTTTGCATTCATCCCTTTGCATCTATTATTTCCATAGGGAATATCAACTATTTCCCCTTGAGCTCCTTATAATTAATAATAGCTTTTTCAAAATTGCTGACATTTATGCCCTGAGTACTTGCTCTTCTAAGAAAACATTCCAACTTACATCCTAGTGAAGTTTATGTGCCAGTTGTACATCAATACATGCATAATTGCATTATTGTTCTTTTTTCAGCTTTCAGAAAAAATTGGAAGAAGAAAAAACAGAATTCTAAATAGGATTCTGAAAGAAGAATGAATATATTAGTATTTCAAAGACACAACTTTCATTGTTTAAATGACTTAGAGCAATAACCTCACTTCATTCAATCTGCAGAACGATTTCCTAAAGGAAATTCTTGATTATCTATTTGATCAAAAACAGGGTGAGAGGGTTTACATAAATTAGTGCTTTACAACAATTTTATGTATTAAAGGCATACATTCACAATTAGTTTTTAATAGAGACAGAGAAAAAAAGAAGTGGTTCTTTTTTCTTTTCTGGAAACAATACTTGGTAATAGAATGGGGGATAGGAATTGATAGTTTAAACTCAGTAAGTTTCCATGTTGTCTCACTATTCACCTGAGTTTTTTTTTTCTTACATTCCTGCTTATGCCAACTGTCAACTATTCTCTCCTGAAAACTGTAGGTGGAAACATATATTACAATTAATTAGAAGGAAGTTTAAATATTCAACTTCGAGCTCTCTGTTTTCTTCTAGGGGTTTCTTGGGGACCATAAGCCTTGCAATTGTAAACTCAGAATATCTCCCACATCTCCATCACAGCATTTTTTTTTTTTTGAGACAAGGTTCACTCTGTCACCCAGGCTTCAGGCTGTACCGCAGTGGCATGATTATGGCTCACTAGAGCCTCTATCTCCCCAGGCTCAGGTGATCCTCCCACCTCAACCTCCCAGGTAGCTGGGACCACAGGTGCACACCACCATGCCCAGCTAATTTTGTATTTTTTGTAGCAATAGGGTTTCACTATGTTGCCCACGCTGGTCTCAAACTCCTGGGCTCAAGAGATCTTCCTGACTCAGTTTTCCAAAGTGTTAGTATTACAGACGTGAGCCATCGCACCTGGCCCCACCACACCTTTTAAATTGTGTAAGTAAAAGTCATGCTGAGGAGGTTGCATATTTGCCTGTCTCTCTTTTCCCAAAGTTGATCCTGTCTAGCCTGGTGATAGAAAAGATGCCAGTGAAGTGGCTCATGCAATCCAAGGGCAGCCAGAATTGACAGTGCTCATCAATATTTTTTGCTTAAGAGCCTAATATTTTCTTCCAAACCCTAATTTTTATGTGACTGACATCCAAAAGAATAAGCAGTCACAAAAGGTGTTATTTCCATTGTTCTCTAATTAATTACATTTTAAAATAAAACTGCTACATAACTCTTTTAAAAGTATCCATTGAATTAATCAATATCATCTATTTCAAAAAGACATGAAGGAAGTCTTCGAAAGTCAGAAATCTTATGTAGTTCCTTTTTCTCTTTGAAGTCATGTTGACATTTTACTTCCCCCATAGAACATTCTCCTTTATTTTTTTTTCTGAAAATTTTTTCTCACTTGATCATACTTCTTAGAAACAATTTACCTGTAATTAAGATTTTTATTTTCTGTCACTGCAAATCATTCACTCTCGATACTAGCATCAGTATTTTGAAAGTTTCCTTTCTTTGGTGCTGCAGTGGTTTTACCCCTCCAAACATCCCATGGTAAAATGAGGGGTGGGTGAGAGTTAGCCTTTTACTTTGCAGAGTGGGAGAATGGAATTTAGAGTTCAGATGTGGGAAAGGGAGCTCACTTCAACTATTTCAGGCAGATGGATTTTATGGAAACTGAGGATCTGAAACTCATCCTCCCAAAGTCTTCACACACAGGAGCACCCCACGCAGTCTTCGTGTGCCCCAGGTGGCACGTCCATGTGGAGATGAAAACCACTCGGCTTAAAAGCTCATTGGCACCAAGAATCCCACACAGACTTGATCCAGTTAAAAAAATGCCCCATTAGCCTAAGTCACCCAGAGGGGCTCATGGAGTCCAGGGCTCTGTCCTACTTGACCTCCCAGTTGCATGCAGTCTCAGGCACTGAAATGATGGTGGAGTTTCGAGTCAGACAGGCATTAGTTGGATATATTAAGATCTATTGCTAATTTTCAGAATGAACTTAGTCAAACTACTTAAATCCGTAGGCCCCAGTTTCTGGACCATATAAATAGGTCCCATAATGCCTGCCTTTTGTGAGGACTAACTGAGGCCATGTCTTTTGGAAGCACCTAGCTCAATGCACACACAGCTGCTTTCTTTGACTCTTTCCTTCCCTCTCTCCACAGTTACCCAGTACCCGTCTCTGCTGTGCCTATCTCCTTACCAAAATATATATACATTTAATTAGATCTATATTAAATTGAAGACATAAAATGTCAGAAAACAATCAAATGTTGGATTTTTCACTTTTCCATTTTTTTGTTTTTTGTTTTTATTTTTTGGCTTTGTTTGTTTTTAAAAATCAGTTTTCAAAGCCTGCATGTAAACAATGATTCCTCCAGGAATGAGATTTCAGGTATAACTCAGTAGTGAAATGGATTTGAGGGAAGAGATAACCTCTCTGTTGTCTAGAAATTGTATGGCACTATTTGTTCCTGACTCAGTCGGCTTGTCAGGTGGCCTTGATTATAATCCTGGATTGAAACCTGAGGTTCTCCAAGTCTGAAGAGGAATATTTTTAATCTTTGGAGTGATACTAGTGTCATCCTTGTCCACCCACATGTACTCTCAGCCTCTCAGCAGAATCTGCAGCAGAGGAGTCACCTCGCTGGTTGATTCAGGGTCTTATATAACCAGCTAGCTCCATTTCAGATGAGTACACACTCGGGCTGGGCAGATATGACCGTACAACCCCCGAGGATGCGCAAATGGAACCAACTCCTCTACTTATTCAGTACCTGATCAGACACTTCAAACAATGGGGCACCACCCACTTTTACTTTATTTACACTTTCGAATCTTATGGACTAATCAGTTTGCAAACTAATGAATAATATTAAAAAGAAATTAAGGAAAAAGTCCCATGTATCCTAGCAGCAACTGTAGGGTAGGAACATTTACGTTAAGGAAAGTAACATACACATTACGTTCTAAATACTTTCTAATCATGCTCAAGTTAATATAAAATGGTTCTTTTTGACAATATTAGAATTAATATTTGCAATTTGCTTTGTAAGACTTTAAACACAGTTACCTTTCCTGTCTTTAGTTATCTTCCTAACCAAACTCGCCTTTGAAAGATCCTTCCCAGTGTTTCAATACTTTCAAAAAACAGGCAAAATTTGGCTTTCATTTCTATAGTAATAACTTCAATGCCATTTATCATCTTCTTTAAGCCTTCAAGTCCAATATTTTTTTTCAACTGAAGTTTCACTTCAAGTTTTCCTCCCATTTCAGCATGTTATTGTCTCTCACACTGAAGCATTTCATAAGACTCAATATAAAGGAGGCAGTTGAAAATAGATGATAGACTATTTTATTTTATGACAGCAACAAACCAGTTACACTACTAGGTCACTAGGATGACACTGTGTCATTAACCATTCTATTTTATGACATAATAACTTTAGAATTTTTCTATGTGTATCAGGGTTTATGCAATTAATTTATAGTTGAGGATGAATGTGAGATATATAGTTCCAAGCAGAATTGTGAGAAATAGATGAGTTTCAGGGATATTCCATCTCATCTATTTCAGGGTATGTTGCTTACACATTTGCCTAGAACTTTTGGAGATATACTGGTATGTCAAAAGTTTCACTATAAGCTATCATGGCTGCTTCAAAGATCTAAGAGTCCTTCCTACTTTCCTGCTAAGTTATGATGCAGAACATATTTCTATTTCAGACAGTACAAAAAATCTGAATAATCATACTTGTCAAGATTCAACTGAAAATCATAGAAACACACACTAGATGGGTCTGAAATCCCACAGCTGAATTCTCTGGAGGTAACAAAGCCAAGGATTTGGGAGAGTACAGAGCCATAATTTGCATTCATGTTGCAACCAAGTCTATTATTTTTCCTTTGAAATATAACTTAGAACCTGTTAACTATCAGCTTCATGATGCATGCCCTGACCAAGGTGAGTGATGATTGTATCTTCCACAATAAATTACAATTTAGCTAGATCTGTAGCTCCTTGCTTTCTAGTCTTTCTGAATGTGACTTGTATGTGCATTATCAAAATAGGAAGTATTCAGGCAGGACACTTCCTTCTCAGTAAACACAGGATGCTTTTTATAGTCATATGTGATTTAGAAATTCAAATAAAATTTTATTTTGGCAATTTAAATCTTTTTTTAATGTTACACTTGCAATTCCTTTAATCATAATTAAACAAATTTGTCTTAATTTGGACATATAACAGGTGTACAAATATTATTTTTAAAAATTCAGACTTAAAATGCAAATGAGCACCATTTTATAAAACAAAACACCTTTTAGTATATGGGTTGAGCATGGCATCATAATGGATAGATATTTTCAGTCTTAAAATTATGGTTTTATTTTCTTTAAATACAACACAGGACATTTCTATCTAGTCTGAATCTCACTGATTTTCAAAACAACCATTAGCAAATAACAAGCCCTTTAAATATCAACACATGGTTGAGTAAATGACTCACTTTTCCAAGAGAGAGGCAAAAGAATATATATTTTATTATGAAGGTAGATCTCCCGTTGGTCAATGAGTTGTACAGGCAGCCCTTCAGCTGTAAAATGCAAGGTTGTTTTGCAGTTCTGAAATTTCTATTTCTGAATTTAGTATCTCTTTCTGCACCTGCTCTCTTCTCTACCTCTGCTAATGGTACCTTCCTTTCTACAGTAGCTGGCTTGTCACCTGGATTCAAGCTCTTTGAATGTCATGACTCTTGCATCCCATTGTTGCCCACAGTTAATTCATTACCAACTTCTGTTAATTTTACCTCCACCATGACCCATGAAGGTGACCTTCCATGCAGAATGCAACTACTCTAGTTGGCCATCCTTATATCTTTTCCCAAGATGATGCAATATGCCCATAAATTTTCTCCTGTATCCACACTTGCTTTTGGTAACATAATCTTCTAAAATACAGCTCTTGATCATGGCCTTCACTGATAAAATTTCAAAGTCCTCACATCACCACACAAATTAAGTTTCAATTCCTTAAATTGAATTAAGGTTCTCACTAGTCCCCCATCAGCTGTCTTAATAACTACACTTACTTTATGCATTAGCTTGAATGACATACACATCACTCCTCAAAAACACCAAAAGCAGAAGGCACCCAATCACCCCCAGTCATACAAGTGAGGAGGGAGGAGTGGCAGAGGATGCAGTCATATGAACAAGCCTTTGAGGTACAGCTGACTAAACAACACAGAGTTATCCTCAAGAAAAAGTAATTAAAAGGTATCATTTTATTTAAATATTTTCAGAGTAATTAGCTATCTGAGGAAAGTGCTTTTGGCTTCAGCTTTAACCTAATTATCTACCCAAGTCTGCCTTGTCTTTTCTTCCTAGACTCACAGCTCTTGACATAATGCTATGTTCTCCTGACCCATTTCACTGTAGTGTCCTGAGTTTGAGGAAACAGCATCTCTAAGCCCTAGCATCTCAATCACTTCTGACCAGCTCTATTTGCCTGAGTCCATCTTCCCCACAAGACTACTTTGGCTTCAGTCGCCTAGCTTAACTCTCTATCCAACCTTAGTATAGTGAAAACAGTCATACTACACAACCTGATACCACTCACTTTACCAAAAATACTTCAGCTAGAAGTGCTATCTCTTCTTGTCTCAAAAAGTTTCATGCAGTTCACATAATATTTCTCATGTTGCGCTTAGAGAATTATTTGTTTACAGTTTCTAAACATTTAATATAACTTTGTAGATACAAACAACTTGAGGCCAAGCCTTACGCATTTTAATCTTTCTAAAACCCAAAACAGTGATTGTGCACAAGAGAGGCACAAAACATACATGTGGAGTTAAACTGAATTCATGCCACAGATGAAAAATATTTCAACTTGCTGCAGATTTGTGTCTCTCTTTCTTCCTACAAAATCAGAAGGTTTTTGTTTTCCTAGTACTTAGTAAAGTGTCTGACGCACATGGTGCTCAAAAAAGACAAGTGGAAAGAAGGAAAGAAGAAAATTAAATATATAAAAGGGCAGAGAGATAGGGACAGAGGAGGGGATAAAGAGAAGGAGAGAGAGAGGAGGGAGAGAGGAAAGAAGGAGAGACAAGGGGAACAGGGTTTATATAGAATTTTGGCTTGATTTCCATTGACTTTCAGAATTTTTTTTTTTTTTTTTTGCTAGAAGAGAATGAATTAAACTATAAGGGGACAAAAAGCTGTGTTTTGTTAAACAATTAAGTAGGATATTTAAAATGGAGTCACATATGGGGTGGTCAGTGTCACCAGGAGATACCAGCTGCTTAGCTACCCAAGGACTCATGGGGTGCAGGAGATTCACCAGGGCAGCCCCCTCAGCTCTGTTACCTCAGAAATTTGACCACATTCCAGCAGTGAATCATTCTCAGAAGGGGATTCAAATTATTCAAACTCATAAAAATCCAAGTAGCAGAATGAGAATATTTCCTGATTCTTCCAATGTATACTGAGAAATAAAACTGTTGCAGAACTTGTAAGGTCATGACCAGTATGCTTTCCCCTATGGACACATCTGCAGTGGGTGTCAAATATTAAGGTTAATTTTTCTTGGTGAGCACCGAGATCAGAACCAGGAAGTTTGTTATATCATTTCAAAGGGTAATGGCATTAGGCTAAGATGGTTTGAGGTACATATCTGCTCAGTGGTCATTCATCCTGAACATGGAATCCTATTACCTGGCTCTTTGGCCAAACCTATGATTCCACTAAAACCATCAGATGTTGAATGATCACTGCCAAAATTTGACCTTCTGACTCTTCTTATGTTCTATTGCTGACTGATACCACACTTTGCTCCCTCCTCCCCCACACATAAACTAAACACACACACAACACACACACACACACACACACACACACACACACACACACAAAGCCTTCAAAGCCTTCTAGGCATTGACACATCCTTTCTTTAATTTACGAATACAGTCAGTCAGGTAGGGCTCGCACTGGGAAAAACTATCTCATTAAGATTTTCACTGCCCTCCTTATAATTATTGCATTCTGCTTTAATAGTTTATCTTTCTGAAATGTTTTATTGTCATTATTTCTTAATTCTTGGGAGATATCTAATTACTGCCCACCTCCCCTTCCCCCACCATGTACAGTAAAAAGCAAGAGAGTCCTCCTTTCAAGAACTCCTTGACAAGCAATGATAAAATTTGGTTCTCTCCTCAAATAGTAAAATTTAATACAAAAAAGTGTGAAAACAAAAGTCTGCACTTAAAGAGGAAGTAAATACTAAGATAAAGTACAAGCAGAATTGAATTAATGGCAGGTATAAACTAACTCTATTAACACAAATGGTGTACAACTAATACTTGAAAATGATGTGCAATCAAAATAATTTATTATAGACAAAAATTCCTAGAGAAACATTAATAGTTCAAGAAAATGGAATACACTGAAAGCAGTAGGTCAGGAGGCATCCCCATGCCTACACTATGTTCTTTTGTGCCCCACTGAATGCTGGCCAACAGGACCCCCCTAGCACATGGGGAAATGGCTTGGAACATTGAACAGCAGAAGCAGTAAGCTCAGGACTCACAGGTCAAACTCCTCATTTGCTATTTTGACGAATGAGAATGAGTCAAGATCCTCAGTCCTAACGACACATACCCAATGACCATAAATGCTTAGGACCCAGAAGGAGAAGGCCAGCGAGACCAACCTTCCATTCTTTTCCATCCATCATCACACTTTAGTGCTTGTGGCCCAGAGGGAGGGCCTGGAGACACCATGGTGTTTAGACCTCCAAAGAGATTTACAGCATCCTGGACAGATATTTTAAAGGACATGCAGGGAAAGAGTATAGATAGCTTCCATAATTTCTAGAAAGAAAGTTGAAACTTGAGTTTTAAAAATAGCGATTCTCTAGGAATGCATTTGTCAATGAGAAGCAATAGTCAGCAGGCACTTAATGAAGTATATTGGTCCATGTGTATCCTAACTAATGACCATGACCATATTGTTCAGCATCAAGATGAGTTGTTAAGGTTGTTGCAATTTTTGCAGTAGGACCTTGTCAAAATTATATCTGTATGCGTTATGGAATTCCCTAACTCAAATTCGATTTCTCCCTTTAAAACCCAATTTCTGTTGAATGATCTGTAACCATTGGAGCTTTAAAGTCGTATTTCATAGAAATATCTGTGTTCAAAATAGCTATCAACAACTAAAGAAGCAATAAAAATGGATGTGCTACTGAGGGTTGAAAGACAAAAAAAAAATCCTTTAAGTATTATATAATGAATGGTGAGTAACATGCTATGATAAATGTAACCACACACTAAGAATAACCATTGCTTAAAGATAAGCTATTCTGTGCCAGGCAATGTACTATTTCCTTTACAGACCCTCCTTCTGATCTTTAAACCAGCTGATAATTATTCTCATTTTACACATCAGTATCTGACTGACCAAGGTGACATAGCTAATGAGGCCTAGAACTGAGATTTCATTACATTTTTGCCTCACATCTCTGACACTTTCCAGTACAACTGAGCCTTTATAATGCAAGATTTGGTCCACCCAAAATCGATTTTCCACTTGAGTATGGAGTAGCTTCTGCTGGCCTATGAACGTCATGCCGAATGTCCACACACCAAGGACACAACCACAGCAGGATGCTGTCACTCTGGTTGAGTTCCATCAGAAGATTTTCTAAGCCAGTCAGTGGTGGGAAATGAATAAATCATAGAATATCAGGTCAGGAGTGTTTAAGTAATTACCCCAGAAGACAAGGTCAGTTAGTAACAGGTTGAGACTAGTACTTCATACCTGCTGGGTTTCAATTCCCCATTCTTGCTTCATTATGTTTGCATCTTTACATTTTAACAAATACACATACAAAGAAATGATGTTTGAGGTGATAGATGTGCTAAATACCCTGATTTGACCATTTACACATTGTTTCATGTATCGAAATATCACATTATTCCCCCAAAATGTCTATAATAATTTTGTGCTGATTACAAATCATACTAAAAGGGGGAAAAAAGCATGTAGATGACTACTTTGTCCTAAGCAACTCAGCTCAGAAGATTAAATTATGCATTAGAAAACAGCTTCTTAGTGGACCATATAAGAAAAGAAGTGAATTGGAGCTCCACAAAAAACACTTGCACCAAGCTATACTACATTTCTCTGTGCTTAGATTGGGGCTGAGAGAGCACTGAAAATTTCTTGCACCAGTTCTCTTCCTAATGGACAATCTGCTTAAAGGTAGGGCCAAATCTCTATGGATTTAGACAGACACATATCTTCTCAGCAACTCATTTTTACACCATCCCTTAGGATGTATATATGCTGATGGCTATGCCCATCTTATTTCAATTTAAATATAAAAACAGGTTTACCCCTGATCTTGTGGCTGATTAGGAAGAAGGTGAAGTCTTGTTCCATTTTCCTACTTCCCTGCTCCTGGCAACTTCTTTAAAAGACAGTACTAATCGTGTTTTTCAAAATCGAAATTAGATGTAGAAGATTATCAAATACTTCCTTAGAAATTAAACTTATAGTACTGTAACAACCTTCACAATTTAAATGGCTATTTTTATTCTAGGCATTAATAAATAATCTTACAGTATTAAAAATAAGACATTAGGTTATGAGTTTTAGAGGCTGTATTTCTTTTATGCATCAGGCAATGTTTTCAATATGCACTTTTTTAAATTATACAGTCTCAACAATTTGACTTGGAATTTGAAGTTATCTGATTTTTTTCAAATTAAAACTCTCAAAAAATAAGCTGATTCCTAACTAAAATGTATCATATCCAACTTGATAGATAAAGCAATAAAGTGGATTGTCTGTCAATGCTATTCTTTGAAAACGCAAGTATAAGATCTCATAGCTTCTAAATTATGTGTGTGAATCCCTTCAACACATTAACCTACAATTCCAAAAGGAGTCTTCATTTTAAGACAATCTATTCTGCAATTAGCATCATCTGGTTCAGATAAACTTCATTTGGGTACTCTGAAGTGCAGTTCACTGTTAGCAAACAACTTTTTGGAGGAAAGATCTCATTAAAAATACATGAGATAGGAAATGAGTGGACTAGAAATTGGATCCTCAGTCATTGGCTGTTTTTCAAGAGCCATGTGACAACCTTAGGAAATTAGAATGCGGAAATTTGCTCACACTGTGGATCATTCCAGGGCTATTAGGTTTATCTAGGGCTCATTCAACAACTTCACACATTTCATTTTAATTGTCACCAATTCAGTGACCAAAGAGCACAACTGTTTTTAAAAAACACAGTAAATCAACTGCTGGAGAACACATTTTCCCAATTGTCCCTACTGATTTGAATGTTATACCTTGTTTTTCGTTATCCCAGGGTCCACAACAATGACCAGGGAACTAAACTTTCTTCTCCTTATATACTCATCCCCTGAAGTAGAACTCAGGTATGCAGCTCAAGTGATTTGCAATGTGAATGTGTCAAGAGGCCACTGTGTTCCTAGGTGACACAATCTGGGAGGAGTTAACAGCCCAAACCTCTATATAATGTTACCACTGTAAAGAAATCCCAGGGAGCATGAGAAAACAAACTGTGAATCTTTTAACAAAGATGCCCTAAATAATACTTTGTTATGATCAGATCAAGCCCTATCATTCTATTTTTCCCTTATGCTTTTGTTTACTAAGAAGAAAATAAACTGTAACATTTTCTCTGGAGATCAGTTGACAGCTTTTTCACCTCTGAAACAATGTAGGGGATAGGATTTTATCTATATGCAGTGAATACCCATTGAGCACCTTTTATGTCCTGGCACTACAAGAAAAGCCAGAATTCACTATCAAGAATCCAACAAGTATATTGACATCCCTCATGGTCACTTACTTGGGATAGTCTGTGACTATAACAAAGTATAAGCTTAGCTAAAATGATATTTTAAATTAATGTTTATACTGTCTTTGTTATTGATACATCTTTCAAAAAGGAGCTAAGGGGAAAAGAGCCTCTGTGTAACAAACTTTAACTATTTTTCTCTATAGGAGCTAGAAACGATGTCTAGTCTTTGAAATATTGACCTGTAGAGCTCTCTTTGATGAAAAGGACTGCAAAAGAAGTGCAGAACCCAGCTGAGGTAAGAAGAAAGAATGTCTTTTCTTCATGTGGTTTAGGGAAGTAGAAGAGATTAATGAGCAAGTATACAGAAGTGCTTTCTTCCTAATGAGTAGGTAACCCACATCAATGCCCTGGTTTACCCATTTGCCGAACCTGAAATAGAAAACACTGCCAAGTCATGACTCCATGAATAGCTTCATTTGAGAATTCTGAACATGTAAGGAGGCAGTTCTAGATGAACATGTTTTTATTCATCTTGGAAGCCTTGTAGAATAATTAGGGAAGTGAGAACACTCAGATTAATTAAAGGATGGCATTCAGGCTACTTTTACAAAAGTCTGTGGTGGCCACTGCTGAAAACCAAGAATTTCCAAATGGTACAGGTGGTAAGATAGCATGGAGTAAGGCTTTCCAAGATGAAATAGAACGTTTAAGTTTCTATTGGCATCCCTGGCTTTTTTCAACTTTGGTTAGCAGCATGGTAACAGCCACATTTATATTTATTGCTTTTGTATATGCTTCTTTGAAAGGCTGATTCAAATTGGAAAAACTAATTATATTTAGAATTATACAAGAAAATATTTCTGGGAAACCGGTTCTATTTCAGAAACCTATTTGTGTACCAAACCTACAAAATGCTGTTTTGAAAATTAATTCACTTTTTAATATATCAATGCTACTGTTAAGTTTAGTCTAAAGCTGCCTCCTTACATATTTTAAGTTCAGAAGGCTTTTTCATACATAGTGAATTGTAACCTAACTGAATATGTAATGGGCTGTAATCTACTCTTAAGCCAATCACTGGGTTTGGGCAAATCAAAGGTGCCCAACTGTTCAAACAGTGTTCAAATGAGACAAATGCCAAGTAACCAGTCCAGTTGTTTTGTATCTTACTTCTATTTTCTATAGGTAATTTTCCTTCTTCTGTTCATAAATCTTCAATCATGAGGCAGTGCTAGAGCCTCTCTGAACCTATTCTGTTTTGGGAGCTGTCCAATTGGCAAATACTTCTTTGCTCCATTAAACTCCGGACAATTTAATTTTTCTAAAGTTTTTCTTTTAACACTAGCTATAGAGATGTTTCCCTTAAATAACATTTTAATTTTATGATTAAAAATACACTATTTACTTCAAGTGAATATTAGAATGATTTCTTTGAATTTATAGAATTTCCTCTTTGAATTTGATTTAATTTTATTAAACTTATGAATTCGACTGCAAAAATTTCATACTTTTACTACATTTAATATATCCAAAATAGAGCAATGCCCAGTCTCTTCATGTACTAAAGTCTTTATTCTTTAGAAGATTTGATAGTCTTCTGTTCATAGTTCTATACAATTTCTGCCAAGTTTACTACTATTATAATGTATATTTTGTTTTCTTATACTGCACTGTGTTTTTCACTCTAATTTGTACTTCGTAATGATTTCTACATTAAAGGAGATTCGAAGTCTGGCTAAGGAGAAAAGAAAGGCACACATTTAAGAACATGTAAATAACTCAATGGAGCTAAAACACTCAGTGTGCTCCCAACACCATCACACACTCACTGCTCCACAAAAGAAAATGTTTGCTGCAGCTGACTGTGACTTCTCCAAACCTTTTCAATAATTTATATGAAAATTGTGTTTTTCCATTTTTTCACTTGACATCAAATGCAAAAATGTAAGATAAATTCTAACAATTATAATAAGGAATTATTTTGGCCAAATAAGATACTTTTAAAGCTCTTTTTACTTATCCTTTCTGGAATATTTTTATCTCATAGACTTTGATTTACTTTTTAATTGCTAGAAAAATATATTTTAAAGGTGATAATAAAAGGTTAAAATTGACTGTGATTTTTACTTTTTATATTTAGAAATTAAACTTTTCACAGAAGTCTCTGTTTTTCCCTTTGAGTAGATAAACTCATTATGATCTAGATCTACCTTTATTTAACTATGTTACCCAGATAAAGTTAAGTGAAATAACAGCAGGATTATAATCTCATTTGTTTGTTCTCGTTTAATTTAATATTGTTTATACATCTGTTCCAAAGAGGTTCTTTCCTACGTTGAATTAAAAAATATGATTAGGTTTCAGATGATTGTGAACATATTTTTTCATTGTTATCCCGTGGCCACCTCTTAGAAGGGTTCCCCCACCCCCACTGACTCACATGCACACCAACCACCACCACCATGCATACAAACCTGTATGCAGCTAAGGATACAAATGTTGCATCCAGTTAACAGTATCGATCTGTTACAGCTACTATAGGACGTGAAAATCCTTTAGCCATTCAAGTTTTACCAATGAAACAGAAATGATTCTTGTTCTGATCATGATTTTAAATACAACACTACTACTCTCCAAATTTCTTATTTAAAATGTACTGATCCACACTACAATTTAAAGCAGCATATCAATTTTTAAAAGACAATTTTTAAACTAAAACTATGCCAGGAAACTGGTAACAAAATACTGTGTTCTTTTTCTCTAAGAAAAGGTGACAAAAGCAATAAAAATAAAGCCTTTCCGTGTTCACATATTGTTAAAACTGTCTCTTGTTTCTAAGCATAACTAAAATAAATACCTATTTTAGTAGACTATATATGAACATTGCCATAAAAATAGGAAGCAGAAAAATTTGGGGTAATACACAGAGAGGTGTTCCTTTTTTTTTGAGTCAACATCAAGTCCTAAATTTACAATCAAATGTGTATTTCTCTAAAACTAGTTTGAATATAAATCTTGACTTCATATGAAAAAAAGGTAATGATAAAATAAAATTCATTTGAGTTAACCATTGTGCTTTCAATCCTGAGTTCTCAATCTGAGGAGCACTCACTATAGCAAAATTATAGACCTCTTGGTCGCCCTGGGAGTCCAACCTGTGTGAACAGGGAATAAGCATTTCCAATCCCATCATCAAGGCCAAATTTCTGACATGGGCCACTCAACCAAGCCACTGTGGCTTCCATTACTGTGAAACAGACCCATGACAGTGCTTTCATCTGAGCACCTATCACATCAAATCCACTGCTCCACTGAAACAGGGAGGATAATAAATTGGTGTGGGGGAGAGGAGGTTTTTCTCTTCTTTGCACAGTGTTTAGCCATAATTTTAAATAAATTTTTATAAAAGTGCAAAAAATGATAGAACAACAAATTTTTTTTTCTGTTTACAAGTACACACCATTGTACTAACTTTAAGTTGGTTAGCTTCATGAGAAGCATGGGCTTATTTAACATGAAAAAGCTATGTCTTAGACATACAGGGAAAACATTATCTTCTCATCTCTATACTTTTCATTTATTCATTTATTCATGCAGCAAATATTTGTGAAGTACCTGCTGTATTGTGATAGGAAACTGTCAAGTGATAGGGATCTTGCATTGTATTGGGGAAGACATAAAGCACACTCATAATTATATATCATTAATGTATGGCTATTAATATATTAATATATTAATATTATTGATTCATACTTAATATAATTATTAATATATGTATTATGGTATACATTTATTAATATATATGTTAATAGCTAGCTACTGGTTATGATAAATGCCACAAAAACAAAAACAAGATCTACAGCTGGAGGAACAGATTTAGGTTGGAAAGATTCTTTTTAAAAAGTGCCCTTACCTTACACTGATCCCGAAGAGAAGACAAGAAAGGTGATACACACATGGCTTACCGAGGAGGAGTAGCACTTGGGAAAGCTCCTGATAGAAAGAACATGGGACTTAGGAGCACAGAAAAAAAGGCCAGTGTGGCTGCAGTGCAGTGCAGTGGACAAAGGGAGCTCATGCCAGGGAGGGAAGTGGAGATCAGAAGAGTCTCTGCTGTGGACTGGGGCTTACCATCTTAACTGTGGTGGGAAGTAGTTGGTAGGGTTGATACTGGGGCCTACCGTCTTAATTATGGTGGGAAGTAGTTGGTAGGTTTGATACTGGGGCATGCCAGAATCAGATCAGAGGTATTCTTTGAAAGATCCTTTATTTTATTTTATTATTATGATACTTTAAGTTTTAGGGTACATATGCACAACGTGCAGATTTGTTACATATGTATACATGTGCGATGCTGGTGTGCTGCACCCATTAACTCGTCATTTAGCATTAGATATATCTCCTAATGCTATCCCTTCCCCTCCCCCCACCCCACAACAGTCTCCAGAGTGTGATGTTCCCCTTCCTGTGTCCATGTGATCTCATTGTTCAATTCCCACCTATGAGTGAGAATATGTGGTGTTTGGTTTTTTGTTCTTGTGATAGTTTACTGAGAATGATGATTTCCAATTTCATCCATGTCCCTACAAAGGACATGAACTCATCATTTTTTATGGCTGCATAGTATTCCATGGTATATATGTGCCACATTTTCTTAACCCAGTCTATCATTGTTGGACATTTGGGTTGGTTCCAAGTCTTTGCTATTGTGAATAGAGCCACAATAAACATACATGTGCATGTGTCTTTATAGCAGCATGATTTATAATCCTTTGGGTATATACCCAGTAATGGGATGGCTGGGCAAAATGGTATTTCTAGTTCTAGATCCCTGAGGAATCGCCACACTGACTTCCACAATGGTTGAACTAGTTTACATTCCCACCAACAGTGTAAAAGTGTTCCTATTTCTCCACATCCTCTCCAGCACCTGTTGTTTCCTGACTTTTTAATGATTGCCATTCTAACTGGTGTGAGATGGTATCTCATTGTGGTTTTGATTTGCATTTCTCTGACGGCCAGTGATGGTGAGCATTTTTTCATGTGTTTTTTGGCTGCATAAATGTCTTCTTTTGAGAAGTGTCTGTTCATGTCCTTCGCCCACTTTTTGATGGGGTTGTTTGTTTTTTTCTTGTAAATTTGTTTGAGTTCATTGTAGATTCTGAATATTAGCCCTTTGTCAGATGAGTAGGTTGCGAAAATTTTCTCCCATTTTGTAGGTTGCCTGTTCACTCTGATGGTAGTTTCTTTTGCTGTGCAGAAGCTCTTTAGTTTAATTAGATCCCATTTGTCAATTTTGGCTTTTGTTGCCGTTGCTTTTGGTGTTTTAGACATGAAGTGCTTGCCCATGCCTATGTCCTGAATGGTAATGCCTAGGTTTTCTTCTAGGGTTTTTATGGTTTTAAGTCTAACATTTAAGTCTTTAATCCATCTTGAATTAATTTTTGTATAAGGTGTAAGGAAGGGATCCAGTGAAAGATCCTTATGGCTGACACGTGAAGAATAAAAGAAGACCAAGCAGTCTATTTAGCAGGTGATTGCAGTGATCTAGCAAAACATGGTGGCAGAGAAAAGCAAATGCATTGCAGAGCTATTTGGAGATAGAACCTGAACGACTTGGTCATGGCTCAGGAAAGAACAATGAGAAAGAATGTGAGGGTCTTGGGTCTCTATAATGAGCAAATGGGTGGAGACAAGCACCAGAAGTAGAAAAATAGGCAAAGCCACTGAGAAGCATGAGAGGGAGGAGGAGACCAAGGGCTACATATTGGAATTCTTACATTAGGGAGGCCAATGAAGAAGAAACTGGCTGCATGGATCTGCAACACAGCAGAAAGTCTGGGCTAGAGATAGGAATCCTGGAGCTGTTGCCATGTAGATGGACACCAAAGAAGCATATTTATTTTTTTCCTCTCAATACAGATCTGCTAAATTTACAAGTCTAACATAGTGTCTCTCACACTAAACTGTGAAAATTTAAGGTTTCAATCACTTGAAATACATCCTGTCTTTTCTTGCCCTGTTGAAGATGTTAATTACAATAACTGTAAAATCTCTTTTTTTAAAAAAAAGTTACAGTTAATATGCTACAACCAGCCTTGAATAGGAGATGGTGTGTTCAAAGATTTTCAAACATAAGGCACACAGAATTTCTTATAACTGTTTATTGGCATAGCATCTTAGGTTCCTATCACATTCAACTCCCACACAAATTAGTGGTAGGTCATGATGAAATGATTACAGAGAGTCTACACTAACACATTCAATTTAGTTAGTCAAGCTTTTTCCAGCAGTCTGGTTCTCATGACTGCCTCAGAAAGTTATTCAGCCTCCTCCTACTTTTCACTCTCCCTCACCTTTAACTATATCCCAGCAGGAAATAGCAGCAAACATTCCAGGATCCACTTCTTTAATTTCCCTATGAAGGAGTCCTGTTGTATCCTTGTGTCTCCTTAACAACTCTTCTTTTCTCCAAACACAAAAAGAGTTTTAGGTCCACGTGGAATTACACAGATCACAGCAAATACTAAGGGGGCATTTGCTGTAGTCAAAGCCAGCAGTGATTTTTGAAATAACTCAATACAGTCTTACAGGTCAAACAAAAATATGGACTAGCTTTATTTGCTGATGTGCAAGTTGGTCTTGGCTAAAGCAGAACATTTACACTAAGGTGTGAGGTTATTAGAAATGTAATTTTATGAAGGCACAGATTTGTCTGTCTTGTTCATTGCTATATCCCCAGCACATAGAATTTGCTGGTCTAAAGTAGCTTCTCAATAAACATTCTTGAATACACAAACAAACAAATATAATTAATTAATTAAATGTTGACATTAAATGAACATTAAAAAACACTTATGAGAAATTTTATTTTATGTTTAGCAGATTTTCTACCCGAAGAGGGGAGCTAATAGAATCCAACAAACAGGATTTTCTCTTTTTGTTAGATAAAGTGATCTTATTTTATATGCAAGAATTGGAGAATTCCCCCAAAAAAGCTGTGAAATAGAAACCGCTATACTACATATATATAAATAAGCCTCAAAAATACATTAATATTTATTTCCATTTTTATAGACTACAAAACTGAAGCTCAACAATTGTTATTTTGCTCTAGTTCACACTGCTGCTCAGTGAATCAGGATTCAAACCATGATGTGAGGTCAGAGTAACCCAAACTCCAAGTTGTTGCATGAAATCACGCTGAGTCTGATATCATTAGGATGTTTGCCTGACACACCTATCAGCTTCACTGAGGCATTTTTGCTGGACACTAGAGCTGAAACCTTACAAAAATTAGAGTCAGAAACTAATCTAACACTTATACTGCCACAACCTCCTATGAACCAGAGGTCTACTATAATCTGCTTGTCTCAGACAAGGGCACATTCCCTTATATCCACATGTTGATTTGGTATGCAATGGCTGACACATTGGTAATGAGATGAGGTACACCAAAACAAATCCAAAGAAAGAAACTATTCTATTTAAGGTTGTGCCTCCTTTCAAAGTACTCCTTGATTTGTTATACCCTCCAAAGTCTCAGGGACAGGTGCCACATAGATTTACAGAAGAAAAAATGATCCAAGTATCCATGTAAAAGGTTACCCCAACAACATGACACAAACACTGGAACATGCCCCAGAATATCAAAAGGACCTGAGAGATGTGTGTTTGTATGTTTCTGGAAAGGATAGAAGTGTTGAGTCCTCTCTAGAATTTGAACTATGTAGGTAATTACTTTGACTCAATTTCGACAGGAGGCCAGGTGCAGTGACTCACACTTATATTCCCAGTACTTTGGGAGGCTGAGGTGGGAGAATAGCTAGAGCCCACCAGTTGGAGACCAGCCTGGGAAACATAGGGAGACCCCATCTCTACCAAAAAAATTAAAATACAAAAATTTACCAGCATGGTGACACGTGCTTGTGGTCCCCAGGCTAAGGTGGGAAAATAGCTGAAATTGGGAGGTTGAGTCTGAAAGTGAACCATGATCTTGTCACTGCACACCTATCTGGGTGATAGAGTAAGGCTCTGTCTCAAAAAATAGGAGTATTTAAGAGTAAAAAGAACACATCTGTTAGCAAATCTCTATGGAGCAGGGTGTTCAATGTTTATAATTTTATTTATTATAATCCTTTTTGTGTAGTCAAATAAAAAATACTGAATATGAGGGAAAGATACTCTCCATCAAAGTTTTTCAAATCAATTCATGTCAATACATATTTTCGAGTGCCTACTCTCAGAAAGGAACTAGGCTGAAGATGGCTGAATAGGAACAGCTCCAGTCTGCAGCTCCCAGCGTAAGTGATGCAGAAGACGGGTGATTTCTGCATTTCCAACTGAGGTACTGGGTTCATCTCACTGGGGCTTGTCAGACAGTGGGTGCAGCCCATGGAGAAGGGCAGAGCAACGCTTCACCCAGGAAGCACAAGGGGTCAGAGAATTCCTTCCTACCAAAGAGAAGCCGTGACAGACGGTACCTGGAAAATCAGAACACTCCCACCCTAATACTGCTCTTTTCCAATGGCCTTAGCAAACGGCATGCCAGGAGATTGCATCCCGTGCCTGACTCGAAGGGTCCCACCCTCACAGAGCCTCGCTCACTACTAGCACAGCAGTCTGAGATGGAACTGCAAGGCTGCAGTGAGGCTGGGGGAGGGGTGTCTGCCATTGCTGAGGCTTGAGTAAGTAAACAAAGTAGCCTGGAAGCTCGAACTGGGTGGAGCCCACTGCAGCTCAAGGAGGCCTGCCTGCCTCTGTAGACTCCACCTCTGGGGGCAGGGCATAGCTGAACAAAAGGCAGCAGAAACTTCTGCAGACTTAAACTTCCCTGTCTGACAGCTTTGAAGAGAGTAGTGCTTCTCCAAGCACGGAGTTTGAGATCTGAGAACAGACAGACTGCCTCCTGAAATGGGTCCCTGACCCCCGAGTAGCCTAACTGGGAGACACCTCCCAATACGGGCTGACTGACACCTCATACAGCTGGGTGTCACTCTGAGATGAAGCATCCAGAAGAAGGATCAGACAGCAACATTTGCCATTCTGCAATATTTGCTGTTCTGCAGCCTCCGCTGGTGATACCCAGGCAAACAGGGTCTGGAATGGACCTCCAGCAAACTCCAACAGACCTGCAGCTGACGGTCCTGACTGTTAGAAGGAAAACTAACAAACAGAAAGGGCATCCACTCCAAAACCCCATCTGTATGTCACCATCATCAAAGACCAAAGGTAGATAAAACAGCAAAGACAGAGAGAAACCATAGCAGAAAAGCTGAGAATTCTAAAAATCAGAGCGCCTCTTCTCCTCCAAAGGAACGCAGCTCCTCGCCAGCAACGGAACAAAGCTGGACGGAGAATGACTGATAAGTTGAGAGAAGAAGGCTTCAGACAATTGGTAATAACAAACTTCTCCGAGAAAAAGGAGGATATTCGAACCCATCGAAAAGAAGCTAAAAACCTTGAAAAAAGATTAGACGAATAGCTAACTAGAATAAACAGTGTAGAGAAGTCCTTAAATGACCTGATGGAGCTGAAAACCATGGCATCAGAACTACACGATGCATGCACAAGCTTCAGTAGCCAATTTGATCAAGTGGAAGAAAGGGTATCAATGACCGAAGATCAAATGAATGAAATGAAGTGAGAAGACAAGTTTAAAAAAAAAGAGTAAAAAGAAACAAACAAAGCCTCCAAGAAATATGGGACTATGTGAAAAGACCAAATCTACGTCTGATTGCTGTGCCTGAAAGTGATGGGGAGAATGGAACCAAGTTGGAAAACACTCTTCAGGATATTATCCACAACTTCCCCAACCTAGTGAGGCAGGCCAACATTCAAATTCAGGAAATACAGAGAACACCACAAAGATATTCAAGAAGAGCAACTCCAAGACACATAATTGTCAGATTCACCAAAGTTGAAATGAAGGAAAAAATTGTTAAGAGCAGCCAGAGAGAAAGGTTGAGTTACCCACAAAGGGAAGCCCATCAGACTAACGGTGGATCTCTCAGCAGAAACTCTACAAGCCAGAAGAGATTAGGGGCCAATATTCAACATTCTTAAAGAAAAGAATTTTCAACCCAGAATTTCATATCCAGCCAAACTAAGCTTCATAAGTGAAGGAGAAATAAAATCCTTTACAGACAAACAAAAGCTGAGAGATTTTGTCACCATCAGGCCTGCCTTACAAGAGCTCCTCAAGGAAGCAATAAACATGGAAAGGAACAACTGGTACCAGCCACTGCAAAAACATGCAAAATTGTAAAGACCATCGAGGCTAGGAAGAAACCACATCAACTAACAAGCAAAATAACCAGCTAACATCATAATGACAGGATCAAATTCACACATAACAATATTAAACTTAAATGTAAATGGGCTTAATGCTCCAATTAAAAGACACAGACTGGCAAATTGGATAGAGTCAAGACCCATCAGTGTGCTGCATTCAGGAGACCCATCTCACATGCAGAGATACATGTAGGCTCAAAATAAAGGGATGGAGGAAGATCTACCAAGCAAATGGAAAACAAAAAAAAAGCAGGGGTTGTAATCCTAGTCTCTGATAAAACAGACTTTAAACCAACAAAGATCAAAAGAGACAAAGAAGGCAATTACATAATGGTAAAGGGATCAATTCAACAAGAAGAGATAACTATCCTAAATATATATGCACCCAATACAGGAGCACCCAGATTCATAAAGCAGGTCCTTGGAGACCTACAAAGAGACACAGACTCCCACACAATAATAATGGGAGACTTTCACATCCCACGGTCAACATTAGACAGATCAACGAGACAGAATGTAAAAAAGATATCCAGGAATTGAACTCAGCTCTGCACCATGCAGACCTAATAGACATCTACAGAACTCTCCACCCCAAATCAACAGAATATACATTCTTCTCAGCACCACACTGCACTTATTCCAAAATTGACCACATAGTTCGAAGTAAAGCACTCCTCAGCAAATGTAAAAGAACAGAAATTATAACAAACTGTCTCTCAGACCACAGTGCAATCAACTAGAACTCAGACTTAAGAAATTCACTCAAAACATCTAAACTACATGGAAACTGAACAACCTGCTCCTGCATGACTACTGGGTGCATAACAAAATGAAGCCAGAAATAAAGATGTTCTTTGAAACCAATGAAAACAAAGACACAACATACCAGAAACTCTGGGACACATTCAAAGCAGTCTATAGAGGGAAATTTATAGCACTAAATGCCCACATGAGAAAGCAGGAAAGATGTAAAATTGACACCCTAACATCACAATTGAAAGAACTAGAGAAGCAAGAGCAAACACATTCAAAAGCTAGCAGAAGTCAAGAAATAACTAAGATCAGAGCAGAATTGAAGGAGATAGAGACACAAAAACCCTTCGAAAAATCCATGAATCCAGGAGCTGGTTTTTTGAAAAGATCAACAAAATTGATGGACTGCTAGCAAGACTAATAAAGAAGAAAAGAGAGAAGAATCAAATAGATGCAATAAAAAATGATAAGGGGGATATCACCACTGATCCCACAGAAATACAAACTACCATCACAGAATACTACAAACACCTCTATTCAAATAAACTAGAAAATCTAGAAGAAGTTGATAAATTCCTGGGCACATACACCCTCCGAAGACTAAACCAGGAAGAAGTGGAATCCCTGAATAGACCCATACCAGGTTCTGAAATTGAGGCAATAATGAATAGCCTACCAACCAAAAAAAGTCCAGGACCAGATGGATTCACAGCTGAATTCTACCAGAGGTACAAAGAGGAGCTGGTACCATTCTTTCTGAAATTATTCCAATCAATAGAAAAAGCAGAATCATCCCTAATTCATTTTACGAGGCCAATATCATCCTGATACCAAAGCCTGACAGAGACACACAAAAAAAGAGAATTTTAGACCAATATCCCTGATGAACATTGATGCAAAAATCCTTAATAAAATACTGGCAAACTGAATCCAGCAGCACATCAAAAAGCTTATCCACCATGAGCAAGTTGGTCTCATCCCTGGGATGCAAGGCTGGTTCAACATATGCAAATCAATAAACGTAATCCAGCATATAAACAGAACCAAAGACAAAAACATGATTATCTCAATAGATGCAGAAAAGGCCTTTGACAAAATTCAATAGCCCTTCATGCTAAAAACTACCAATAAATCAGGTATCGCTGGGACGTATCTCAAAATAATAGGAGCTATTTATGACAAACCCACAGCCAATATCATACTGAATGGGCAAAAACTGGAAGCATTCCCTTTGAAAACTGGCACAAGACAGGGATGCCCTCTCTCACCACTCCAATTCAACATAATGTTGGAAGTTCTGGCCAGGGAAATCAGGCAAGAGAAAGAAATAAAGGATATGCAATTAGGAAAAGAGGAAGTCAAATTGTCCCTGCTTGCAGATGACATGATTGTATATTTAGAAAACCCCATCGTCTCAGCCCAAAATCTCCTTAAGCTGATAAGCAACTTCAGCAAAGTCTCAGGATACAAAATCAATGTGCAAAAATCACAAGCATTCCTATACACCAATAACAGACAAACAGAGAGCCAAATCATGAGTGAACTCCCATTCACAATCACTTCAAAGAGAATAAAATACCTAGGAATCCAACTTACAAGGGATGTGAAGGACCTCTTCAAGGGGAACTATAAACCACTGCTCAACGAAATAAAAGAAGACACAAACAAATGGAAGAACATTCCATGCTCAAGGATAGGAAGAATCAATATTGTGAAAATGGCCATACTGCCCAAGGTAATTTATAGATTCAATGCCATCCCCATCAAGCTACCAATGACTTTCTTCATGGAACTGGAAAAAACTACTTTAAAGTTCATATGAAACCAAAAATAGCCCACATTGCCAAGACAATCCTAAGCCAAAAGAACAAAGCTGGAGGCATCACCCTACCTGACTTCAAACTATACTACAAGCCTACAGTAACCAAAACAGCATGGTACCAGTACCAAAACAGAGATATAGACCAATAGAATAGAATAGAGCCCCCAGAAATAATACCACACATCTGCACCCATTTGATCTTTGACAAACCTGACAAAAACAAGAAATGGGTAAAGGATTCCCTATTTAATAAATGGTGCTGGGAAAACTGGCTAGCCATATGTAGAAAGCTGAAACTGGATCCCTTCCTTATATCTTATACAACAATTAATTCAAGATGGATTAAAGACTTAAATGTTAGACCTAAAACCAGAAAAACCCTAGAAGAAAACCTAGGCAATACCATTCAGGACATAGGCATGGGCAAGGACTTCATGACTAAAACACCAAAAGCAAAGGCAACAAAAGCCAAAATTGACAAATGGGATCTACTTAAACTAAAGAGCTTCTGCACAGCAAAAGAAACTACCATCAGAGTGAACAGGCAACCTACAGAATGGGAGAAAATTTTTGCCATCTACTCATCTGAGAAAGGGCTAATATCCAGAATCTACAAAGAACTTAAACAAATTTACAAGAAAAAATCAAACAACCCCATCAAAAAGTGGGCAAAGGATATGAACAGACACTTCTCAAAAGAAGACATTTACGCAGCCAACAGATACATAAAAAAATGCTCATCATCACTGGCCATCAGAGAAGTGCAAATCAAAACCACAATGTGATACCATCTCACACCAGTTAGAATGGTGATCATTAAAAAGTCAGGTAACAACAGATGCTGGGGAGGATGTGGAGAAATAGGAAAGCTTTTACACTGTTGGTGGGACTGTAAACTAGTTCAACCATTGTGGAAGTTAGTGTGGCAATTCCTCAAGGATCTAGAACTAGAAATACCATTTGACCCAGCCATCCTATTACTGGGCATATACCCAAAGGATTATAAATCATGCTGCTATAAAGACACATGCACACGTATGTTTATTGCGGCACTATTCACAATAGCAAAGACTTGGAACCATCCCAAATGTCCATCAATGATAGACTGGATTAAGAAAATGTGGCACATACACACCATGGAATACTATGCAGCCATAAAAAAGGATGAGTTTATGTCCTTTATGGGGACATGGATGAAGCTGGAAATCATCATTCTCAGCAAACTATCACAAGGACAGAAAACCAAACACCACGTGTTCTCACTCATAGGTGGGAATAGAACAATGAGAACATTTGGACACAGGGTGGGGAACATCACACACCAGGGCCTGTCGTCAGGTAGGTGGAGGGAGGAGGGATAGCATTAGGAGATATACCTAATGTAAATAATGAGTTAACGGGTGCAGGACACCAACATGGCACATGTATACATTTGTAACAAACATGCATGTTGTACACCTGTACCCTAGAACTTAAAGTATAATTAAAAAAGATAAAAAGAAAGGAACTAGCCTATGTAAGGTAAACGCTGATGAAAACACTGTTCTCACGAAGCCCACAGTCCAACACGCAGGACATGTATATAGACCCAAAGGCAGAATGTGATTCTACCAAAGGCACTGTAGAAGCACAAGGCAAATGGAGAGGCTTATTTTACTCGGAGGGTTAGGAGGTTTTATTGAAGAGGAGCTATATAAACTGAGAATAAAAGCCTTCATAGGCTATTGTCAGGTGAAGGTAGAAAGAAGAGAAAGAGGTCATTAGGTGAGAAAACACGTGGAAACTAGGAAGTGCTAGAACATACAGGTTAAGCGGAGGCTAAGCAAGTCAATGTGATTAGAGCACGACCAGAGGGCATGAGATGCCTGTGCTTCCCAAAGGAGTCTGCAGGAAGATCACAGTAGAGGGAGATGACCAGAAGGACACAAAGAATAGCCAGGTTAGAATCAGAATGTGGAAGGACCATGTTAAGAATGTGCACTTTTTCTGTAGGCTATGAGACACCAGAATATTTTAATAGGCTAAAATTTTAATAGATCAAATCTTGATAAATGAACATAAAAAAACTCCTAAGAGAAATTTTATTTTACATTTAGTAGGTTTTCTAACCGAACAGAGGTGCTAATAGAATCCAACAATCAGGATTTTCTGTTGTTAAATAAAGAGATCTTATTTTATATGCAAGAATTCAAGAATTCCCCCCAAAAAGCTGAGAAATAGAAACCTATATACTATGACTATATAAATAAGCCTCAAAGATATGTGTTAATATTTATTTCCATTTTAATAGACTACAAAACTACAAAACTGAAGCTCAGAGATTGTTGTGTTGCCCTAGTTCACATTGCTGCTCAATGAATCAGGATTCAAACCAGGATGTGAGGTCAGCGTAACCCAAACTCCATATTAATGCATGAAATCACGCTGAGTCTAATATCATTATGATGTTTGCCTTACGCACCTGTCAGCTTCACTGATGCATTTTTGCTGGACACTAGAACTTAAACCTTCTAAAAATCAGAACCAGAGACTAATCTAACACTTACATTATCACAACCTCGTATGAGCCAAAGGGCTACTGTAATCTGCATGTCTCAGACAAGAGGGGCATTCCTTTATATCCATGCCCTGATTTGGTCTGCAAAAATCAGGGCATGGATATAAAGGAATGTCCCATTGTCTGAGCCATGCAGATAGTAGTATGAGGGAATAATCCAGGGATTTCCATGCCCCAGTTGAAATACACTGAAGCTACCCTTTCAGCCCTTCATATAAGATGTTTTCCTCAAAGGTCTGCAAAGAGTGTAGAAATAGTCCAAAATAAATTTTCTAAAATGAAGGAAAACAATAAGACAAACATACTTCCAAGTATCTCTATTCAAAGTACAGACAAATGCCATTAACACATTTCCATTTGCTCCCCAAAGACTCCCCTGCAGCTCAATCTTATGCTGAAATGAACTGGCTTCTGTCCAGGCAAAGAACACAAGTCAGGCTCCCAAGCCACCCACCACTGAAGGTCACCTTTGCCTCTTCATGTCAGTACTTGAAAGTACAGATTCTTTATTTAATCAGTAGCAGTGACTTGCCATGGTACAGACAATTGTTAAGGAATCACAAACTGATTGGTTCTGGAAACTGGCCAAGAATACTATTTGAAAGTGATGGTTTAATAGAAACCTATTCATTTAAATTATTCAAGTCCTATTGTATTAAATTACACTATAAACAGAGGATTCCTAGACAACATTATCTCTCTTCCACAGAGAATTCCTTCATTAAATTACGGTTCAGTATTGTTCCTTCTAGCTTTGAGAGTGGGCATATGAGCACTGTTCATTTAAAAAAAAATACTGTATCTTCTTTTATATAAATACAAAAGAGTCAAGGATGCTAACCACTATATTTCACCACGTCTTTATGTATAGCCTGCTAAGATAAATTTTGTATTCCTTTTCTTTCAAGGTAAGGTTGTTATGCACTGTTTTGTGAGAAACTAAATCCTGCACAATTTATTACAAAGGGGTTAGTGTCCTGAATTTAAGAAGCTTACAATCAAATGAATGGCCCAATGATAATATTCTGTTGTATTCAGATATCTGGAATGATCACTTCCTTCCTTTAAATCATCTTTACTCTATTTTAAAGTCATTTTGATTGAACAAACATTTACTGAGTGCCTATAATATACGTAGTACTTGGCTAGACATTTGGATGCAGATATAAATAAATATCTTGCACATAAAAATATGTAAGCCACTGCAAGTACAGTAAATGGAAGAAGGTGCATCATACATAAATACGCCCACATGCATAATACACAGATTCAATTGTCTAGAATAGCTGCATCCAATTCAGCATTTCCTTTTTTCCACCAATATTCAAGTATAGAAAATTGAGTTGATAAATTAGGTAAAATCTTAAGTGAAGAAAAACTGCCATTGCTTTCAAGCTGTCTGGTTCAGATATTTTTGTATGACTGGGTCACCCTAATCTGCCAAGTTCAAAGAAAAAGGGATTGGACAGAGTGGAGTTTGAAGGCCCTTGGGCATCAGGCTTCATCCTAAATTCACGTGGTGACATCAGATGGCAGGGGGACCAATACCAGCTATGCTCACACAGAGAGCTCTGAGAGTCACTCTGAGGAAAACCTGAAGTCTAACTCAGAGCCCCACTGGGAGCAGAAGAGGAGAGATCAGAACACACAATGAAACCCAGGGCAGGGTTCAGCGACTCTCTAAAGAGTTCCTCCACATAATCTGCTCTAGCCACAAGCTGACTTTTGGTTCAGCCTCTTCAGCTCTCATTCCAAGGACTCCTTAAAAGAATACCACAGCTCCTGATAATGAGATACAACAAAGCTAGAATTTCCCCCCATAAAGCAGACGCTATTTCTGTAGGTAAGCACAGTATACATTTATGTATTCTCTCAACTTTTCATCATCATGAAATATACAACCCAATAGAAGCATTATTTTGCCAAGATTTTATAGCTGGCAACTTCAGATCAATAGTTTAGAACACATACATTCTCCATTTTACAGTGACGTTTTCTTTTCTAGTGAAACCTAGATTTGGGGGACATTAGCATCTGCGAAGCGTGGGATACACCAGGAGTAAGATTAAAGGATTGGTTTTATGATGAGTATTGAAGAGCCCCAGGATAGTACCCCTTTAGTTTCTAAAAATAGCAATATATTTGAGATGAAATTACAGAGTCATTCTAGTATATTCCTGAACCCACACTTTAAAAAACTGCTTTGCTATTTTTCACTAAAGAGAATCTAAAAACTAAAAGGTCAATTTTCCCCACCAACTTACTCACAGGTGCATGTCTGAACCACTGAACTCAGATGCCCTTGAGGAAATCTGAACCACAGTTACCCAGGAATTCTTGTTCACCTGCATTTAGGTAATTACATAGGTGAGATTCTCCAGTTTTCAGAGTTTTTTTTTGCATCTCAATTACACCACATTCATGTTTTATCCCTTTCTTCCTGTTTTTCTACCCAGAGTGCTTTGTTACTGCTGGATCTTGAATGAGCTTTACTTCCTGAAACTAAGCACCACACAGTCTACATTTATTTTATTTATTTATTTATTTATTTGAGACAGAGTTTTGCTGTTGTTGCCCAGGCTGAAGTGAAATGGCGCAATCTTGGCTCAGTGCAACCTCCACCTACCTCCAAGGTTCAAGCAATTCTCCTGCCTCAGCCTCCCAAGTAGCTGGGATTACAGGCATGTGCCACCATGCCCGCCTAATTTTGTATTTTTCGTAGAGATGGGGTTTCTCCATGTTAGTCAGGCTGATCTCAAACTCCCGACCTCAGGTGATCTGCCCTCGACCTCCCAAAGTACTGGGATTACAGACGTAAGCCACCGCGCCTGGGTACAGTCTACCCTTTTAACCAGCACAGCAAGGACAGCACCAAAAAAAGTGGAAGAAGACAGAAAGCCACCACTGTCTCCCCGTAAGTCCCAGTCACAGAGGTTACAACAACCAGAAAATTGACAGCTCCCCAGAGTTTCACAAACATACTTTTGTGAGCCAGACAGCACCAATGCCTGTTGGCCCACCTCACCCTGGCAAACTTTTCTCTGATACCCCTTCTGGGACTCCCATTTTCCTAGGGAGAATATATGCACGTGACATTCTCGGCTATGTGGTCACAGGTCTCAAAAAGGAAAAGTGGAAGAAGAGTTCATAATGAGCAGGTAGGAAGGCATTTCAGTTTTTCCATGCACAAGAATTTTTACACGTCACTTTAATAATTTTTAATGCTTTTGTGATGCCTGTTGTATGATTTCTCTTTAAATCAATACATTAATTTTTAAAGTATTCCCAAAGAAATAAAAAACCTTTCATATGTTTTTTACTGTAAATTTTTTGAAAGTATACAAGATACAAAATTTCTAAAATAAAATATTTGTCCATGTATCACCTAAAATGGCTTTTGGGACCATTATAGGACAAACAGAAATGCTGTGACATACTGTGCAAAGAAGATGGAAGAAAAGTTGTCATTATTTGCAGCTTATAAAATTATATTATTTTTTAAATTAAGGGAATCTCCTGAAACACTGTTAAATCAAAGATGAAATATATAAGATAATTTAAAATCCTACTTCAATAATCAGTTAGAAAAAATATGGTATATAACTTCAATAATTAGTTAGAAAATATAATGACATATATATGATTTAAAATAGTAACTTTGGGTTAATCCAGGTACTGGAAAATTTTCTAGTAAGGGATCCTGTGAAAGAACTTTGATCTGTGGACCAAACCAGGGATCCAATTTAAATTTTCTATTTGTGTAATTTGCTTGTTATCCATGACCCTTGAGTAATGTTTTGTTCTATGGAACAGTCCTGTCTCCACAACCACTTCAAGGAACTGAAAAATGGGTTTGTCATCAGGATTGACACAAATATATTTAGAAACTCAAAAAAAAAAATAGCCACGTAAGAGCAGATGGTCTCAAGAAAGCAAAAGATAACTTAAGGACATTTTCTAATTCTGGATTAAGTTCAAGATTTCAAATACAACTGGACTCGTTTCTGATTAGAAAGTTTGATATTTATCATAGTCTTCCCTGTCTTCCATAATCAGTGTTAGAGAGACTGCAAAAAAGTAAACTGAAAGGGCCCATTCTTTTATTTAACAATTAACCCCATCTGGGTAAATAATACGGTGTGGTGCACTTGAGCCATTGCTGTTAGGCTCTGAGTTCAGAACTCAACACGGCTTCAAAGCACAACCATGAACCGATGACAAGATGCTACAGAAATGGCTTTTTATGTGGACTATAATGCGCATCTAGTGTTACATAGTACAGTAATGAGGAGAAGAGGGTTGTAAAGACAGAGAGGATAGAGTGTCTGGAAGTACTTACCTGAGGGAAACACAATCTTGGTTTAGTTCAGGCCCTTAGGCCTAGAAGGACAGTATATGGTCTAGAAACTTGAATATTCAAAAACAATTTCACTAAGGTTGTAAGGTTTCCATCACAGGCAAATACAAACAAAATTCCCTGGCAGTCACCAAAGCAGTCAAGAGCTAAGATGCTTCAGAAAACCTGAGCTTCATTCCCTGTTTTATCAGGTAATTTCATTATACAAAGGGGCATATGTCTTTTAAAAGTATCAAACAGCACATTAGAACTGTGAAAGCCCATCAGTCAACAAATCCTTTTGATAAAGATCGATCGCTCCCTGAATAAGGGGAAAACACAGTCCAGGTCAATCTGTCAGCAAACGCATTCAAAAATCTATACTCTGAATTGAGACAAGAAGCTCTAATAAAGTGAGGTTACTTCCCTAGAAAATTTTTGGGTATCCCTACAAGCCCAGGCCCCACACCTGACTACATTCGCCATCCCGGGAAGAATAGGCCGAGGGACACACAGAGGTGTGCAGGCATCTTTGGTTACTTCTGAGAAGCAGGCCTCACCTGATTTCCACCCACCTGTATCACTTTTAGTAAATGGTGCAGGGATGGAAATTAGTGGGATAACCATCTCAAGACTTGTCAGCTCCAATTTCCCGAGTGGGTTTTCTATTGTAATATGGGTAGTCTGAAGACCACATGAGAAACCCAGGGTCTGGGGTCGGCTTGAGAGTAAACTGTTTGCAAAGCCCCCCGGAACAAAAAGGATTTGTGCATCTAATTTCTGTTGGTTACAGATGTCTCGAGAGAGATCCAGGAGGAAAATAAAACATGGAGAAAATTAAAAAAAAAAAAGATAACTTGAGGGAGGACAGAGAATTTAGGTGAAGTGACAGGACATGAGATGTGAGAGGAACAAGCATGCTTTTTTAAAAAAAAATTGTTTTTGTCCTTCCTGTGATATTTGTCATCAGAACTCATAAAATGCTTGGGCTTCCTGTATTCAATTTGAATATTTGCTCAACATAAAAGAAAATGTGAACTCACACTATAATATATCTGGATGACAAACATGCATAAGTTTACATATATGCATATAAATACATGCTTAATATATCTAAACAACCACCATAAACTAGAACTCAGGATTAAGAAACCCACTCAAAACCACTCAACTACATGGAAACTGAACAACCTGCTCCTGAATGACTACTGGGTACATGACGAAATGAAGCTAGAAATAAAGATGTTCTTTGAAACCAATGAGAACAAAGACACAACATACCAGAATCTTGGGAAACATTTAAAGCAGTGTGTAGAGGGAAATTTATAGCACTAAATGCCCACAAGAGAAAGCAGGAAAGATCTAAAATTGACACCCTAACATCACAACTAAAAGAACTAGAGAAGCAAGAGCAAACACATTCAAAAGTTAGCAGAAGTCAAGAAATAACTAAGATCAGAGCAGAATTGAAGGAGATAGAGACACAAAAAAAACCTTCAAAAAATCCATGAATCCAGGAGCTGGTTTTTTGAAAAGATCAACAAAATTGATAGACTGCTAGCAAGACTAATAAAGAAGAAAAGAGAGAAGAATCAAATAGATGCAATAAAAAATGATAGAGGGGGATATTACCATCAATCCCACAGAACTACAAAAACCATCAGAGAATACTATAAACACCTGTATGCAAATACACTAGAAAATCTAGAAGAAATTGATGAATTCCTGGGCACATACACCCTCCCAAGACTAAACCAGGAAGAAGTTGAATCCCTGAATAGACCAATAACAGGTTCTCAAATTGAGGCAACAATTAATAGACTACCAACCAAAAAAAGTCCAGGACCAGATGGATTCACAGCTGAATTCTACCAGAGGTACAAGGAGGAGCTGGTACCATTCCTTTTGAAACTATTCCAATCAATAGAAAAAGAGGGAATCCTCCCTAACTCATTTTATGAGGCCAGCATCATCCTGATACCAAAGCCTGGCAGAGGCACAACAAAAAAGAGAATTTTAGACCAATATCCCTGATGAACATCGATGCAAAAATCCTCAACAAAATACTGGCAAACTGAATCCAGCAGCACATCAAAAAGCTTATCCACCACGATCAAGTTGGCTTTATCCCTGGGATGCAAGGGTGGTTCAACGTATGCAAATCAATAAATGTAATCCAGCATATAAACAGAACCAAAGACAAGAATCACATGATTATCTCAATAGATGCAGAAAAGGCCTTTGACAAAATTCAATAGCCCTTCATGCTAAAAACTACCAATAAATCAGGTATCGCTGGGACGTATCTCAAAATAATAAGAGCTATTTATGAGAAACCCACAGCCAATATCATACTGAATGGGCAAAAACTGGAAGCATTCCCTTTGAAAACTGGCACAAGATAGGGATGCCGTCTCTCACCACTCCTATTCAATATAATGTTGGACGATCTGGCCAGGGCAATCAGGCAGGAGAAAGGAATAAAGGATATGCAATTAGGAAAAGAGGAAGTCAAATTGTCCCTGTTTGCAGATGACATGATAGTATATTTAGAAAACTCCATCATCTCAGCCCAAAATCTCCTTAAGCTGATAAGCAACTTCAGCAAAGTCTCAGGATACAAAATCAACGTGCAAAAATCACAAGCATTCTTATACACCAATAACAGACAAACAGAGAGCCAAATCGTGAGTTAACTCCCATTCACAATTGCTTCAAAGAGAATAAAATACCTAGGAATCCAACCTACAAGGGACGTGAAGGACCTCTTCAAGGGGAACTACAAACCACTGCTCCACGAAATAAAAGAGGACACAAACAAATGGAAGAACATTCCATGCTCATGGATAGGAAGAACAAATATCGTGAAAATGGCCATACTGCCCAAGGTAATTTATAGATTCAATGCCATCCCCATCAAGCTACCAATGACTTTCTTCACAAAATTGGAAAAAACTACTTTAAAGTTCATATGGAACCAAAAAAGAGCCCACATTGCCAAGACAATCCTAAGCCAAAAGGACAAAGCTGGAGGCATCATGCTACCTGACTTCAAACTATACTACAAGGCTACAGTAACCAAAACAGCATGGTACTGGTACCAAAACAGAGATATAGACCAATGGAACAGAACAGAGCTCTCAGAAATAATACCACTTATCTACAGCCATCTGATCTTTGACAAACCTGAGAAAAACAAGAAATGGGGAAAGGATTCCCTATTTAATAAATGGTGCTGGGAAAACTGGCTAGCCATATGTAGAAAGCTGAAACTGGATCCCTTCCTTACATCTTATACAACAATTAATTCAAGATGGATTAAAGACTTAAATGTTAGACCCAAAACCATAAAAACCCTAGAAGAAAGCCTAGGCAATACCATTCAGGACATACGCATGGGCAAGAACTTCATGTCTAAAACACCAAAAGCAATGGAAACAAAAATCCAAAATTGACGAATGGAATCTATTTAAACTAAAGAGCTTCTGCACAGCAAAAGAAACTACCATCAGAGTGAACAGGCAACCTACAGAATGGGAGAAAATTTTTGCAATCTACTCACCTGAAAAAGGGCTAATATCCAGAATCTACAAAGAACGCAAACAAATTTATAAGAAAAAATAACCCTATCAAAAGTGGGTGAAGGATATGAACAGACACTTCTCAAAAGAAGACATTTATGCAGCCAACAGACACGTGAAAAAATGCTCATCATCACTGGTCATAAGAGAAATGCAAATCAAAACCACTATGAGACACAATCTCACACCAGTTAGAATGGCAATCATTAAAAAGTCAGAAAACAACAGGTGATGGGGAGGATGTGGAGAATAGGAAAGCTTTTACACTGTTGGTGGGACTGTAAACTAGTTCATCCATGGTGGAAGACAGTGTGGTGATTCCTTAAGGATCTAGAACTAGAAATACCATTTGACCCAGCCATCCAATTACTGGGCATATACCCAAAGGATTATAAATCATGCTGCTATAAAGACACATGCATACGTGTGTTTATTGCAGCACTATTCACAATAGAAAAGACTTGGAACCAACCTAAATGTCCATCAATGATAGACTGGATTAAGAAAATGTGGCACATATACACCATGGAATACTACGCACCCATAAAAAAGGATGAGTTCATGTCCTTTATAGGGACATGGATGAAGCTGGAAACTATCATTCTTAGCAAACTATCACAGGGATAAAAAACCAAACACCACATGTTCTCACTCATAGGTGTGAACTGAACAATGAGAACACTTGGACACAGGAAGGGGAACATCACACACCGGGGCCTGTCATGGGGTCGGGGGAGTGGGGAGGGATAGCATTAGGAGATATACCTAATGTAAATGACGAGTTAATGGGTGCAGCACACCAACATGGCACATGTATACATATGTAACAAACCTGCACGTTGTGCACATGTACCCTAAAACTTAAAGTATAAAAAAAAAAAACCAGCAGTAGGATCTCTGGGTCCTGTCAGGCATGGTTTTATGCTTTGTACAGTGGGTCTACTTTGCTTCATTCCTTAGTTCTATCATGTGACCCTTATTCTAGGGTATGATGACTTACTCCTTGGCATAACCCTTATGGTACTAACTGCCTTAGGACTTCTCAGGGAGGCCTCTTCAGTCTACATGACCTGAGTCTCTTCAGCTCTCCATCCTGCAGCAGCTTTTCTAGGAGAGGCTCCACAGAGTCTCAATCCAGGCATGTGTGGCGGCCCAGGTCATAGGCAATGTCTTGAGACAGAACCACATCAACGCCTTGTTCCTCTCTATGTAGCTTTCTCTTACTTGCTCTGCCTGTCTCCGTGCTGATCTCCAATACCTGTCTTGTCATGTTAGCAAGACTGCTGTACTCCGGTTGGGCTCCAGGTTCTTGCTCTACACTGGAAAAGCACCTTAAAGGTAAAGTCTCCTTTATCTCAAGATCATAGTCCCACATTACCTGTTGTGCAGTGCCTGAAAACTACTGCCTCATCTATTTTATCCAGTGATATAGCTATTACCCTCAAAAGAGTATATTCAAAACCACCGACTTCATCCTTGCCAGAAGCAGAAGTCCTCAGAAAATTAAAAGTGGATTTTAAAAGTAAGTAAAGTGAACTTTATTCAAGGCCATATCCAAAATCCATCTGAACTTACCTTAACCTTTTTCACAAGAGAAATTTTAAATCCCCCTTTTTGGGATTTCTTACTAGAAAAATAACTTAGCTTAAGTGAATTACTTTAGAGGTGACTACATATTAGACAGTTTCAGAGAAGATGATAAATTTTCATACCACACAAGCTATGTTGTATAAAGGATAATGACTCACCTTTCTTACGCATGAGACGTCAGTCACCACCAAAGCCCACAGAAGGAGGGTTTGCAACACCGGGCAATTCAGAGGGATTAGGAGTGGGAGACAGTCATTAGTAGCTATCAATAAATCCCGTCCACCTACACCCCTACACATCCCCACAATTCTACCTAGGTCTAAGTTTAATAATGAAAAAAGCCAGATGCTTAAAAATACAAACTGCTTTCTGTTCAATTACAAAACAGTAATCATGCAGATTACAAAAAAATACCCTAGGAAAAAATGTATCCTACTTATATAATTTCCTACCCAATAACTCTTTTGACAGATTCATTAAAAATGTAGCTGAAATATGCTTGTTCTGTAATAACAAATTTTTATTAATTTCAATAGTATTTACCCTGGACTTTCAAAAATAGTTTTTAAACATTTTCTGAAAAACGCTTTCCATATGCATCATTATTAAATTTGAAACCCAGTGATCAATAAAATTTAACTATTATTAACAATTAATTAAAATTATAATGCCAAAAACTTACAGAATTCAAAGTTCAAAAGTTTAGAATCTTATATGGTAAAAGTATAGAGTTCTAGGAAAAATTAAACATAGAAAAAAATTAAAACATGCATTTTATTCACCACTGAAAATGAAGCAGAGAAATCACAGTTGTATTCTAAAAAGAGTCCAAATAATTATTTTAATGCAATGTTTGACTTAAACAAAACTATTCCTACCAAAAAATGTATTGACAATTATCTTCTCATTAATTTAGCAAAGCATGACTGCTAGTAATTACAAATTCCTGGCCTTTACGTTTAACCTTTCATAACACTCTCTTGAACATTACTTTTTTCTATCTTGAAAAAGATAGATAAATTAATAAATTGGGAAATTTGCCAACCTAATTTTAAAGTGATTTTAACAGACAAAACCAAATACGTAGGTACATTCAAAATCCACATGAAGCATGTGTGTACTTAATAGAACATCATCTCTCATTTTCGTAACTGCTCATTAGTACAGAGCTTGAGATCATCAGCAGCACAATAATTGATCTATATCTAGATTTCTTTTCTTATATCCAGTGCTGCCATCAAGCAATGGAGTGCCTTGTCACTACTCTGAAATACTTCTCCTCCATTGCTAATGAAAAAAGTCAAAATCAGGCTGGGCGCAGTGGCTCACTCCTGTAATCCCAGCAATTTGGGAGGCCAAGGCAGGCGGATCACTTGAGGTAATGAGTTCGATACAAGCCTAGCCAATATGGTGAAATCCCATCTCTACTAAAAATATAAAAATTAGCTGGGTGTGGTGACACAGGCCTGTAATTCCAGCTACTAAGGAGGCTGAGGCAAGAGAATCGCGTGAGCCCAGGAGGCGGAGGTTGCAGTGAGCTGAGATCGCACCACTGCACTCCAGCCTGGGTGACAGAGGGAGACTCTGTCTCAAAAAAATAAAAGAAAAAAGAAAAAAGTCAAAATCAGAACTGACATAGTAGACCGATACAGTAACTTACCATGCTCTCAGATTTAATATTTTTTGTACATTTCCAACCTTTTGGGTATTATTAAACCAAAAAAAGATACCCTGAGTTTCTACATAGCTGTTACAGCCTCAATAAGTTTATTTCTTAAGCATCTAAAAATGCATGGGATATTCCAAGAAGAAAATAAACGGTAAGCATCAAATTTAGAAGAGTCGATACTATTCAATATATTATCTCCATTTCAATATCAAAATAATTTAAAGACTCACATTATGGTAATATGCAAATAATTTGCTGATAAATATAATATTAGCATTTAAAAATTGTAATATGCCAAATGTGATTCATTGCACTAAACTAAATAAGCTTTTAAATGTAAATTTCATAGGATTCTTCTACTCCTTTAACCTAAAAACATTTAGCTATGTTTCACACACTTAAATTTATTCTTAGTTGGTCATAAAAGCTGGTCTTTAAACTAGAAAAGGAAGAATTTTTATGATTACAAAAAAGAATTTGAAGTAAGTCTATCAATATGGAAGCAATCAGCTTAATAGGCTCATAATGTGGGGGAAATAACAGAGAAAATTCAGAATTACAAAATTTCTTTCTCCACTTTTTCTAATCAAAATGGAACATCAAATAACAAATACCTTAAAAGGAAATTTAACTTAAGAAATCAAGAAATGCTCATCATCACTGGCCATCAGAGAAATGCAAATCAAAACCACAATGAGATACCATCTCACACCAGTTAGAATGCAATCATTAAAAAGTCAGGAAACAACAGGTGCTGGAGAGGATGTGGAGAAATAGGAACACTTTTACACTGTTGGTGGGACTGTAAACTAGTTCAACCATTGTGGAAGTCAGTGTGGCGATTCCTCAGGGATCTAGAACTAGAAATACCATTTGACCCAGCCATTCCATTACTGGGTATATACCCAAAGGACTATAAATCATGCTGCTATAAAAACACATGCACACGTATGTTTATTGCGGCACTATTCACAATAGCAAAGATTTGGAACCAACCCAAATGTCCAACAATGATAGACTGGATTAAGAAAATGTGGCACATATATACCATGGAATACTATGCAGCCATAAAAAATGATGAGTTCATGTCCTTTGTAGGGACATGGATGAAACTGGAAACCATCATTCTCAGCAAACTATCGCAAGGACAAAAAACCAAACACTGCATGTTCTCACTCATAGGTGGGAATTGAACAATGAGAACACATGGACACAGGAAGGGGAACATCACACTCTGGGGACTGTTGTGGGGTGGGGGGTCGGGGGAGGGATAGCATTAGGAGATAAACCTAATGCTAAATGACGAGTTAATGGATGCAGCACACCAGCATGGCACATGTATACATATGTAACAAACCTGCACATTGTGCACATGTACCCTAAAACTTAAAGTATAATAATAACTAAATTTAAAAAAAAATGAATTTCCAGGCAGTCTGGAGCAAGAAAATGTATTAGAAATTTATTAAACTGCTTTGTTTAAATAGAAAAAAAATCAAGAAAATGTAAAGCAACCAGAGACCTTCCCCAACGCCTTAGATGCATTCAAGTCTGAGGACCATCTGCATTTTATCATAGTGCAGAATCCCAAAGAGTTACATTATCACAGCTGGTTCACAGGAATCACAGATCATAGACTACACCCAACTTCAATGGAGATTAGTGAAGCATATAGTAACAACAGAAACACAGGCAGTAACAAAAAAGACTTCAACTGTCTCTCACAGTCTCCAAAAAATTGCTTTTTTTCAAATGGGATGCAGTTTGGTTCCAGAATAACAGATGAATGCTCATTATGTGTGTGGTGCAAGCTATCTCAGAAAACAAATAATAATAAGTTTAAGGCTTCTTACTTATTTCTCATGCAGATAAAGAGCTCATTGGACTAACTTCCACTCTCCAGCCATAGGCATCAAATAAACCCACGAATTCCAGGTTTAGTTATAGTAAGTAATCGAGATAGAAAAAGAATACCCAAATAAAAACATTCTTATATTTGAACCTCCTAGGTCATCTTTCTGTTACTAAATCTTGGAATGTTTACAGGAGGCCTGGTGGAGGTCAGCACCTGGCCCAGATTGTCTTCAGGAAAGGAAGGGGGGATTTACATATCACAGTTAACTCCTTCCTTCCCATTAGGGTGCTAATGGACTCATAACTATGATTTCAGAACCGTAGTAAGGTGTTTACATATTCATGCTACAAAGGAATGAAAGCCCCATTTGGGTAAACATCTCATAAGAGGGTACAGGGCTGGGCTGATAAAATTCACATCTCTTCTAAGCTGACTGCAAAAATACATAAGTAAACAGATGATTTCCTAAAAGCCTGTTATATTTGACCAACATTAGATTTGTTGGTATTAACACTGTGGCACAACAAGAACTTGTCATAGACATGCATCTTGATTTCGGGAAGGAAATGCAGACAAGGGCCAGTACTTCCTATAAAGAACAGAAAGAACTGTCTGCTGCATGATAGAAGAATGGTGTAGTTTTATCATTACAGTAACCAAAACATGTTTATCAATTGTATCACTGACCATCTTAAACTGAAAAACTAGTATATGGTATAGGGCCTTTTTAAGGCTTTTTTCTATTCAGGTATTGTTTTTGTTTTGGAATGGAGAAGAACTATTAATACATAAAAGCAAAGAAGTCATGTGTTAGGTGATACAAAGTTGAAAAGCAGCATAATTTTTTTAATTAAATTAAATAACAGAACTCCCACAATTAGAATTCAAGAGGTTCTCAGCTGGTTGGAATGATTGGCTGAAATCAACAAAATAATATGAACAGACATAATTAAAAAGCACTAAATTTCTATTTTAATCTAATATTTCTTTAAGTATAGAACAAAGATCAGCAAACTATGGCCCAAGAGCCGAATATATCCTACTATCTGTTTCTACAAATAAAGTTTAATTGAAACACAACCACCCCAGTGATTTCTGTATTGTCCATGGCTACATGCTACAGCTGTGGAATTGAGTAGTTGTGATGGAGACTGAATGACCTTTGGTATCTAAAGTATTTGCTATCTGGCCCTTAACCAAGAAAGCTTGCTAATCCCTAGCTCAGAATGATGGATTCTCAGACTGACAACAGTTTATGTGAAGATCTGAAGTTTTAGTTGATAATAAGCTAACAAAAATTTTAAAAAAATTAATGCCATCTTAGTTTGCAGAACTAAGGAAAAAATAGTAGCTATGACCGCTAGGGCTGTACGTGTTATTTATACCACTTGGCAGGCCATAGTTAGAGGATTGGATGGAGTTCTGAATGCCTCACCTTGACAGGGACAGAGACAACCTGCATAGCGCCCTCAAGAAAGTAACCAGATGGGCAACATGGGTAAATGAGTTGTAAGAATAACCTTAGTAGAAGCTGGCAGGTCTCTATTCTTTGAAGGACAAAGCTGGTACTGAGTACAATTTGCAATGTTTTGGCAAAGTATAAGAAGTCTTTTTTGAATGTTAAATGTCCAACAAAGTCGCCAATTACTTGAGAAATGAGGACTTTTGTCTTTAGCCTTCCTGTCGGAGAACCCAGAGAGAGACTCACTGCTTCTCATTGGGGATATTATTTACTATCGTAGGCAAGAATTCCTCGTTGCACAGGACTTCCTGTTCATCACTGGCGTTAGCATTTCAGTGCTTTGGGAACTAAGTAACCACAACACTCATATCCCCCATACTCCCAACACTATGATAACCTACTTGTCTCCACACAGGCTTAAATGTCCTAGGCGAGTAGAAAAGTACAATGCTGCCCTGGGTTAAGAATCAAGTTGGGATGATCTGCTGTATGAATTCCAAAGGAAAATTATTGAATAACTTGAATCTAGGAACAACATTTTCATTCCAAAATTCTATCCACTTATTCCCTCATTTATTCATTTGTACAACAATCCATTTATACAACAAACAATTGAGCAGTTTTCCTGGTAGAATCTATGATTCTACTGTTTTATCTGAGACTGGTTGGAGGGCAGATATTTTTTGTAGGTTAACGTTACTGCCTCTATAATAGCCACATCTCTGTGAACTGTTCAGCTGAGCTACGTAAATAGCACAACGCTTCCACCCAGCAATCCTGCCCCTCACCGCAACATGGAGGCAAGTGGCTTCCAGCTCATAACACATCTCTGTGGAGTTTCCCTAAGTGTTGTGGATAATAAAGCTGAGGAACCAAAATATTTCAGCATTCTAGAATGTTCTTTGAAGAATCACTAGAGCTGAAATCAATTCTCTCTTCACTGACAAAAGTGACTGTAGTAGATGATCTCTAAAACATAATTTTTTTAAAACGGGGAAAAAATCCCAAATCCTCTCTAGTGCTATCACACCAATGAGACCCTTCATATCCTGAAAAAATTAAAACAGCTAACATGAGTCTATTTATTGTTGGTACTCTTTACTATGTGAAACTCCAGCATTATGCTCATTATGTAAGGAAGACATTATATTATTGGTTGGGATACAGTACAATTGAAATTTTCATTTCATTTCATACTAACCCTGCAAACTTCCTGATACTACCATTTCAGATATACCTCAGCTCTTAGGAACACCTTGATACTTCCTCCCAGACAAAACACCAAACAGTTCTCAATTCCCAGCTGGAGTCAGTTCCATTTAAAACTTTCTTTTCTAAAATTCCCAATTTGGCGGCCACCTACAAATCTTGTGCTTAAAGACAACAGTAAGAACAGATAAGTCAAAGAATTTATTGGAATAAAAAACCTCATTTGTGGTCCTATCTTGTTGTCATGAACTATTTTGTTGAAAGTTTGGGTCACAGTAAATTTCATCCATGCTGCATTCCAATCTTGGCAGAATGCAGAGCCACTTAGATTTATAATTTGAGTCTTTGACTCTCTATATTATTTCTAACTAAAACTAAAGCAGCCTGTAAAGACGTTAAAATGTATTTTGGATGTTTTTTCTTATGTTTCTTGGTTTATACTGAGAAATGTGATGAATATGTATGTTCTTATGAGTGACATTTAAAAATATCAGTTATGTTTTTAGTACCAATTTTTAATATTTTCATAAGTTTTCAAATGAACAGGAAGAAAAATTATTTCACAAGACATGCTAAACTTCAATTGAGCCAACCCTTCAATACTGCTCTTGTTTTTCACTGGAAGGCATTATGCTAAGTGAAATGAGCTAGGCACAGAAACGCAAATGCCACATGCTCGCACTTACATGTGGAATCTACAATAATTGAACTCAAAGAATCACAGAGTGAAATGCTGGCTACCATGGGTTGGAGATTGGCAGGAGTAATGAGGAGATGATTGTCAAAGAGTATAAAGCCAATTAGAAAGGCAGGATAAGGTTTTTTTTCTTTGTGAAATATTGCACAACGTGGTGAACACAGTAAATAATAATGTATTATACATTTCAAAATTGCTGAGAGTAAAAATGTTTTCATCACAAAAAATAAATATTTGAGGTGATATATGCATTAATTCGATTTAATTATTCCACATAGTTCTCATAAATTATAACTTTTTTCTTCATAAATATATACAACTATAATTTTTAAATTTATAGTTTAAAATTTAATTAAAAAAACACATTGCATATGAGCTGAAAGTACAAAGCCTATAATATGGGCTGGGCCCAGGGGCTCATGACTGTAATCCCAGCACTTTGAGAGGCCAAGGAAGGATGACTGCTTGAGCCAAGTAGTTCATGACCAGCCTGGGCAACATGGCAAGACCCTATCTCTACAAGAAAATTTTAAAACTTTGTTGGTTGTGGTCACACATGACTGTGATACCAGCTACTCAGGAGACTGAGGTGGGAGGATCACTTGAGCCCAGGAGTTCGAGGCTGCAGTGAGCTGTGATCATACCACTGCACTCCAGTGCTGACAGAGTGAGACCCTCTCTCAGAACAAACAAACAAAACTCTGTGATCTGAGTTACAAAACAATGGAAAAATAAAATAATAATAATAATAATAAGGACCTCCGCATTAGCTAAAGAAAGATAAATTAAGTAAATTGTTTTCATTGTTCGTACTTTAACATAAATTACTTTTTTATACTTAAAGGAAAGTACATGGAAATTTTTAGAGAATAGATAGACTTATTATACCCCATGTTTTGTTTTTATGGCTTCCTATAAAACAGTGAATCTCGTGAAATTATGCATTATATGCATGCTGAGGTTTTCCATCCAAAGACAATGTCAGCAACATTAATGAGCATTATCAAATGCCACACAAGTCAAAGTTGCTGACCTAAAGTAACTCACAATTGAGTATCATTAACAATATAGGACTGTGAAAGGAAAAACATACCTTAAGGTGGATCCACATAGTTTAATAAGTAATACATTTTCAGAAATGTGATAATAAAATCTACGTATTTGAACACTGAAGACAAGTGTCCCCAAGCTTATTTTCATAGCCTTTTAAAATTTGCTATGCACCCTGTATTAGCTAGAATAGACTAGCACCCACAGAAAGGAACATAGTCAAAGATAATCAGGATTGTATACCTAGCTCAGCAGTGGAGTAAAAAAAATAATGGGCGACTCCAGAGATATACTGTCTACTCTTTCTCAAAAGCAATTTTCTAGGGAATTGGAATATGAGGAAGTATAAGATCAAGAAAGAATTCCATAAACTGGGCAATTTTCAGCTTATCAAAGAGCTGTGTTGCAAAGAAGTGTTTGAAAGTTGGTTGTTTGGCACTCTCTGGGGTTAAAAATGTTTTTTCATAGCCCAGGAAAGCCTAGCTAAGGCACAGTGCTATTGATATATAGCATGGCCATAAAGTATTAGTAAAGTTGCAAGCAATACTTATCCACCATGCACAGGGGTTTTATTGAGCAATGTTCTTCTAGATTCCAGAATTACAAAGAATACATCTCCCGCACATTACATCCAAACTCAAGACAACAGCAGGGTCCTGTGACATCTGGAACAGCAATGACAGGGACAGATGTTGTACAGGAAGATGTATTTCAGACAGCAACAGAGAGGGTCACATTTTAGTGAGCTAAAGGAAAAAGTCCCACGTACCAGAAATGCAATAACTGTACTTAGAAATGTTAAGAGAGTTTATGTTGCCTATTTAGAGAGCCCTTTTCTCAAGCTAGTATCCCTGGTCAGGCATTCCCAGATTTGTAGTATTATGCATATACAAGCTACCCAACCAGAACCATACAAAAATAGCCTTTGTAGCAGTAGAGAGAACCTGGGTATAGACATTCATGGTGTTAGGTTGGAATCTCAGCTCTGTTTATCGGCCAGCAATGTGACCTTGGGTGAAACACTTAACTGATGTCTCCTTTTCCCTATCTATAAAAGAGGGATAATACTGACTGTGTGGAGGGAAGCTTTACAAAATATGAAGAGTTATGCACAATACCTAACATAACAGGTATTGCATAAAACTTGAGCTATTTTTATACCTTCCCACTTATTGAAATATTGTCAGTGGTGATGTCAATTTCTGATAATTTTAGGTCTTTGGAGAAATTTGCAGAACAGCCATTCTCCAGTCCTTCTTGCTGAGAGATCCCTGACTCTGGTCATGCAGCTAGGTGTCCCCCCAGAGGATAGATCACACTGGACTAAGCCATGACCATTTTACAGGGATTGATCCAGGGGAAGACAGGGACCCAATTCTGGTCAATTAGATATGGAAAGAAGTATGAACAGTCTTCTAGATATGGACAGTCTTTCTCTCCAGACAAAAAGAGAGCTGTGAGAGAGAAGAGGCTGTTCTGCATCTGTCCTCTTCCTTCTCCAGTTGAGTATTTTCATGTGGAAGCATGAGGCTTGTAACTGCTGACGGCATATTGTAGCTAAGCTGGAAGACCAAGGGAACCTGAGAAACATCAACTGGGAGCCCTACCACTGTTGAACATTATTGAATCCCAACCCAGCAACTATTTCTTCCTTGATTTCTTACTATATGAGATTTGTTATTAATAAATACCCATTGTCTAAATCTGTGCTTCTTAAACACCCTGTAGTTAAGAAATTAGATTTTTTAAAATTTTCAATCAGTTGAGGACAAAAACTATTGTAAAATACAATAAAAACAAATTCCTAGAATAAATGACCAGCCACTGGATGTCATGATACATTAAAGTTGCTATAAATGTTTCTAAATGCATGCTCTTAATTACTTGGCTACTTGCAGATCAGAAATAAACAGTTTGTATTCTGACCAACAATCTATGGGACATATTTTCAGTAGCACAAGTTTAAGCAATTTTTTCCTGAATTCTCTGCTTCCTATGACCAAAATCATCCTGATGGTGTAGGAAACATAATAACTCATTTACCAAGAAGTCAGTGAATACCTATTGAACAACTGTTAGGTGTATATCAGGACACAAGCACTGTGGGGAATACAAAAGCAAGTAAGGCAGGACCCTTTCTATCCTTCAAATAGAAGAAAAATATATATGAATAGTAAAAGGTTAACTAAAAAGTAAAGCAATGTGGAACATTAGCATGAAATAATAGTGTAGAGAAGACAACCACCTTATAATATTAAATGTATTAATGTCACATGTTATCTGCCAAGAGAATCATAACAAATAATTAAGGGAAACATAAGAAACTGCAGATATTTAACCTAAAAACACTGAAATTTTACCATGTTTCACTGACTTAGTAATCTATTAAAAAGGAAACAAACTGGCAAGTTTTCTGTATAAGGAAAAATGTTTTGCAGGAAAATCAAATTGAATGATCTGTTCTATTGCTTCAATTCTGAATCATATCTACATGCTCCAAAATTGTCACTGTGGAACACAATAAGAGAATTCTATTTATATTTTGTTATAACTCAGAAACCAGAATTATTATGTTTTTGAAAGTAATATGATATCATGCAAACATGTTTGAAATGTAATTACTGTACTACAGCAATGATGGATGTGATGCAGGGCAGATGCGCCCCATAACTGGGGCTTAGCCTGGCAGGTTTTGGGTTCACCCAGGGAATAATTCAAGGGCAAGCCAGTGGTCTTAGCAACATTTACTGAAGTGGCAATGCACAGCAGCAGCAGAGATCCTGCTCCTTGCAGAGCAGGGTTACCCCATAGGCAGTGTGCCCAGAGGAGCAGCTCAAAGGCAGTTCTGCAGCCATATTTATACCTGCTTTTAATTATATACAAATTAAAGGGTGGATTGTGCAGACATTTCTAGAAAAGGGGTGGTAACCTTTGAGTTGTCGGGTCACTGCCACAGAAAGGGGCAGTAACTTCCGGGTGTTGCCATGGCAGCAGTAAACTGACCTGGCACACTGGTGAGCTTGTCTTAGGAAGAGGCGCTTCTCCCTCTTCCCTGTTTTAGCTAGTCCTCAACCTTGTCTGGTGTCTGAGCCCCGCCTCCAGAGTCGAGTCCCGCCTCCTGACTCAGATGGAGCCAACTACAACTATTACATGAGACATATGTTACAATTTCTCAAGATTTCCTTTAAATTACATAGTATGTAAAACTAACTCATGCTACGTTTCCCTCGAATATGTCTGAAATTTTGATAATATCTATTTAAAATAATCGTTTTTCTTTCATATGTGTATATTACTAAAAGGGGTTTGACATCATTTAATAAGAAGGCATGCATATGAAGAGAGAAATCTTAATTTATTTTAATATGGTAATTCCTACCAAGGTTACATAAATCTCGAACTATTTCATGTCACACTCTAAAGTAGTGGTTTTATGATTGTTTTCAGTAGTATAACTCCTTTCCCAAATTAAGTCTTATTTAGACTCCAGTGTTTTATAAAACATAGAATCTTATTTATTTCACTCAAAATCCTCTGAGCCTTCATTTCCTATGGAGTAAGGCCAGGAGAGGGGTCCAGGGCTCCTTGCTTGGTGTCCCCTTATTTCTCCCCTCTGAGGAGTCCAAGAGGAGACTTTCTAGGACCCAAACATAGGACAGAGAAGAGTGAACAGAGGGACACAGTAAGGAGAGAAGGAGGGTGAAGAGACCAAATTCCCTTTAAAGCAAAGGAGAACTCAATTTAAATTAGTTTTGTGGGCCATGGAAAATTCTGAAAAATAGGTCCCCAGGGTACTGTTCATTGGCACTGTGGCCTTATGTGATAAATGCAGGAATCACACCATATTGAGGCCACTAACTTTCAGATACTTAAAAATCTCAAACTAAACTGGAAAGACACCACACACAAAGGTTAAAAGTATTGAATTGTTTTAAATTTCCTTGTGTCCAAAAATCTGAAGTCACCCGGTTACAGTGTTAATGCCACATCTTTGTATAAAAATGTGTACTATAAAAATACAGCCAAAAAGTTTTCACCATGCAGAGCTTTCCAGCGATTCTACTTCAGAGTGTTAAAAATTTAAGTGTGAATAAAGAAGGGAATAGGCTTGAAGACACAAATAAAATACAAAATAGATTTACTTTCATATTTAAATAAAGTTACATTATTTTAAATTTATGTTAAAATGTATAAATATTAAAAATGTTTGTTTTGCCAATGCCATGTACCAATTACGTGTCTATAGATGTTTACTGAAAGCTGCTCAGTTTATTTCTTTGCCTCCAATAATGGCTGTATCTACCTTTTTGGACAAAAGTTTCCCCAATCTACTCTATTCTACAGATCTTCAAAGAAATAATTTCCCAAATATTCTTCCATAAGCATCACAACACATCTTGTTTAGACAAAAGTGTTTACAGAATTTGATTATGCCTGGCAGTTTGTAGAAGAGATTAATTATAGAATAGTCACTTTCATGGCTTTACGATGAAGAGAAAAGCAAAGAAGTAGTAGAAAGAAGGATACGTGTACTCTCAAGCCCGAGGTAGCAGTTTTAAATAATGATTTGGGCAGTAGACAGTTAAGAATACATCACTTATACACTGACTTAAAATTAATGCCAAACTCCTTTTCTGTAATGGCACCTTTTATGTACCTGTTTCATCCATGATGTGCTGCCATGAGCTGTATGCTTCTGATATCACTCTTTTCTTAGGTCAAGAAAGTGGCCATGTTGGAAATATCACATGGCTCCTTTCTCAGCCATATGGGTGGAAAAGGTCAGATCATAAAACATTGCTCTAGGTGACCTCCAAGAGTCTTCATGAGAGTGTCACATTCACAAAACATGTGGCTAGTGAGAAAGATTCATGGTGTGACGCAGCCAGGCTACAGTCCCAGGAGCAGTGGCACATGCACCGTGATGTTGTAATTTTACCATCACAATGGACAGCTGGACAGATCAAGCTGCAGCTAGGGTCCTGCAGGGTGAGGATGCTGTATCATAAAAATTGGAATAGAAGCCTCTGTGCTTGTATCTTTCTCAGTAGTAAGAGCTTGACATAGAGCATAAGCAGTAGCTGTAGCTAACTTCAGTGCCAAGTAAACTCCAACTGCATCTTATTATATCCATAGGCCCAGACCAATAACATAGGGTAGAATCACCAGTTAGCAGGTACCAAGACTTGGGAACCACTAAGGAAGCTTGAGAACCAAGTGGGGAAGGAGTAATAAGGAAGGTGCCCAAGTTTCTCTAGTCAGCCACTTACAATATCGTTACCTTGTTATTCTTCCCACTTCTAAAAAAGAGAAGTTTAAGTATTTGATTTAATTAATGTTTTAATGGATACCAACTGAAGAGCTGAAGATAATATACACACTGTCTTGACTCTGTCAATATTGGCTCAGGAATTGGGGTGGGTCAGAACATGCAAAGTGGGACAATAACACCAGGAATGGAGAAAACAGGGCAGAAGCAGGTGGCCAGCGGGGAATATATTCCTTTCAACATTCTGAGACAGCTCCTTAGGAGGCAAATAATCCACCATTAGGCTAAGCAATATGAATTCCCTCATTTTTCCTTCTGAACTATTTCCAAATTAGCTTCCTCTTCAAGTTTGACTGTATAGTTTCGAAAATACTTCACTATTAGAAATATGAAACTATCATATTCCTTTGTTTAAATATATCTGACCAATGTTCAGTGGATTGCTACATATATTTAGCAATTAGCCTATATTTAGGCATTCCAATATTTACAGCTTAAGAAAATATTACACTTCTGATTCATCTTTTGTCTGTAGTTTATTACTGTTTAGATCTTCGTACTCAGGACTTTCTTGTAAATTGGCATCATTGCATGTATCGAAGTTCATATATAAATACGTAATATGGTCCTGCCCAAAACACCATTTCCTCTATACTTGAATGGAAAATAAGTCCAAAAATATTCAACGATTTTATTCCTTAGGTCTACAGATGAAGAGTATTAAATTTGCAGTGGTTTACTACACTATGTTTTCAGTCACATCTATTTCAATCTGGGCCACCTATTTCTAATGTCATCTGATTTTTGGCTACTATCATAATCATATACCAACTTGGATTAAGTTACGTCACATTAAATATTGGTCCTAGAATACTAGTCCTGTCATCTAGTTGTGATTCTTCACCCATACATCCATGAGGTCAGCCTGCAGTACTCACTGGAGCACCTTGGAGAAATGCTTGGCTGCCGAGCAGCTGATGGCCCATCAGCGTAATTCTGATGCCTGTAGGATAACAGTTCTCCACTGTTTTTCCTTTCCTTTTGGGCCATGAAAAGCACATAGGCATTACAGCTGACACTTAATCCAAATGTACATTCCAGATTACCTCTTCATTTAATATAAAGCAAACTACATATTGACTAAAGAAGTACATTTCTGTTTTTATAAGACCTTTGACTACCATTCTCCTAAGAGCATTTTAAACCTCTATTTGGTAGAATGAAAATTAACCAGGATTTTGGAAACAAATTAAATTTTATGATAACTAAAAATATAAAAATACAAAGTTTAAACATCTTAAAATATGTTTAAATACAATTATCTTTTTAGCCTTGATGTGGTCCTCTAAATGTGAAAACAATATTATTTCCTAAATATAGTGGGACAAAAATCAAGAATTTGGAATTAGAATTCATGCAGAGTTTTGCAAATACCAAACCAGTTTTTCATCAATAAGGAAAATATACTAAGACAATTAATATGCTTCACTTTGTGTTGTGTTGAAAGAAAAACTGAGCTATAAAAATCATATTACTTATATCTTTAATCAAAACCTCTGCCCTCTAATAAATGTATCATTAGTAGGGAAGGAGTTAAAAAGTGTGTATAAAGACACTTTTGGTTGAGCCAAACAAACATATTAATAATAGATGACCAATGTGCCTCTGTATGACATAGGCTCTGTGAAATATTACAAAACGTTGTCTTCTACTTGTGAAATGCTTCAACAGAACCACGTGCGGGAAGAGCACATCCCTAAGGACAACTCCATCTGTGTATTTCCAACCACAGCTCTCTTGTAGATGAAAAGACTCTTAGGGGATCTTTGCAAGCCTCCTAATGGTTCAGTGGCTTCATCTAATACTTCCCTCTAATTGGCCCTGCATTCAAGACACTCTGTCAGTGGTCTGGCTGCCACATTCAAATCTTTGGCAATCACAATACTACAAGGCCAAGGAAGAGTTTCCCAACAGACATCAAAAAGAATTAGTGGCTTAAACTTTTACGGAGAAAGAAGACACTTGTGAGTGTAGGTCCCAGTGGTATTAGCAGATTATATCCGGACAGTGAGAAAGCTTTGTCAGAAGTGGTTCATCGGCTGAAGAAAATAGAGCATGCAAAAACTGCAAAATACTTGGTCTGCAGAAAGCTTGCATTTCATTCTTTTGTTTCAGGATAAATTGGGATTCCTCCTGAGGGATTCCAAAAATAGATGTCAATAATGAGGGAAAGCTACCTTCTACCAACAGAAATGGCAAAAACAAAACAAAAGAAAAAGCCGTGTCCCAGAGTTAGTGTCTCTTCTTACTACTCAAGTCATCTGGATTACATTTTTAAAATCACATTTCATGTAAAGAAATTGTTTGCTTAAATAATTACTCTTCACAACAGGTTTGACCTAAGCCCAGAAGAGTGACTCTTTTTTTTAATGCAGTCACAATACCAAAATCTAAGATCTAATCTAAGATCACACACACACAGTTTTGTTATCTGCATTTCTACATTTCTCATGCTTTAAGCAATAGCATAACATATAATTTCAACATACTCCTTAATTTTCCCACATTTCAGTTTTCTCATCTGTGAAAGAGAATATATTAATATCTGCCTCATGAAAATAAGAATGATACAATGGAATTTGAAGCACAAGAGGATTTTGTTCCGCATTGTAACAATGATTGCTTTTTAAAATAATTAGAAAAGAAATTTTATGAGCTAAATAAGTTTTGGTGTGCTCACAAATAAATCACCTTCCTGAAGCCTTCTTCAAGATAGAATATTTAGTATTTTGATGTGGGGACAATGGAAAATGCAGATTATCCCAGCCTGGAAGAACCAGATGTGGGTGTCAAAAGGTATTTCAATCATTTCACCATTGATTACTTGACATCCTTGTGGAAGAAGCTAATTAGGACCAATGATGCCAACAGGTGGAAGAACTGGGTGTTGGAGTAAGTCCAGCTTTCCTCATGGGAACTAATCAACACTCATTAAGCAGAAATAACTTTCCCTCATAGTGAGAGATTCTAGATTCTAGTCACTCACCTAGAAGTGCAACCTATAACCCATTATCAGTTCTGAATCATTTAGCCACAGATCAGTTACCAACAAATCAGTTATGCAATGTGCATGAACACTTTAGGGAGATCCAAAAGCTATTATTAAAACCAAAGGATTTAATATTGTAATTTTTTGAAAATAAAAACTTCTCTATTATGTTTAAACAATTTTACAGACGTATTCAAAGCAATAAATAAAACACTTAGGTTATAAAATATACTTTCTATACATGCATTAATTAGTTACATTAAAAGCTTATGAATCAGTTCCAATTTGGTACAAGGAAAAAAACTGGCCTTATGAAGAAAGCCCCTGCCTGGTGATATGCTAGTAAATAATTTAACAACTGGCCTGGGGAGCTTAAGAATGATATTTCTATGATATAAACACTTCATAAAAAAATTTTAGCTACCAATATGATGTCACTGGATGTACAATTGGGAAGAGATACTCAATAGATAATCCTCTGTTATACAGAATTTCCACCATACAAACTGTATGTAAAATACGTACCGTGTAGATGTAAAATAACCCCCAGAGCAGAGATAACAGTATATTGCAATAAAATCATTAGAAAGTGTTGACTTTTAAATATGTATACTTTTGTTTTTAATATAATTTAATTATAAGTTTATATAGTTAATGTTTAATAAAGCTGTATTTAACAACTGGCTCACATGATTCCTGGAAACCCACCAGGAAGCTATCCCCAGTTGGTATGAGTCAGCTCCAGCCCATGACTGCCTGCATCGGCCGTTCACCATCCAGATATAAAGCAAATGAATAGAAGACAGAATGGAAATCAAAGCAAGTTTTACATTCTCAGAGACATTTAAGATTCAACAGAAGAGGCTTCAGTATTGAAGCATCACACACATAACTGCTTTGGAGCGAACAATGGCTCTAGATGATTTCTTGAGGACCTTTTGAAGCTAAGAAATGTTACTTTTCATAAACTATAATTTGAAAGAACTTCATCAAGAATTTATATTTTAAATACAAATTTGGTAAAGAATTATCATTAACAACAATTTATATATCCCATTGTCTTAATTATGATCATTTACAGCTAGTTACCAGCACAGGAAATATAACTTGAGTGTAGAGCATTCCTGTTTGTACCTTAATTAACCAATTAAACCAATCAACATCTGTAGCCTATGGCTTCCCACATGCAAACTCTTATTATACTAGATATTAATCAATACCAAATTATTACTGTGTCTCTCATTACTGGAATAGAAACTTTCAGAAATATATTTATGACTTATCGTCACCCCTGTTGAGCTCATATCTCTTACGAGAAACTGATCACTAAAATCCTCTTTCAATACTTCTTGTTAATAAAGGAACAGAGCATTCTAAAGAATGCTACTCTATGCAAAAAATGAAAGAAAAAAATCTAAAAAATGAATAATATCATTAACACTGCCAAGATCTTGCTTCCCTTAACAATAAGCTATCTAATTCTTGCAATTAGAGCCCTTGTCAGTACTCCAACTCCTGCCGCCCACCCACCTTCACCTTCGTCTCCTTTTACCAATGGATAAATGTTTCTCCTCCAGTTCAATGAACTGCAGATGCTCTTACCAGTGTCAAACAGAACAGCAACCTACCAGTTCAAGTGTTTCACATTCTCCAACTTAAGTCAACGCCTTCATCTGATTTTTTTTGTTTATAACTATGCTCATCTTAAAATATCTATTCTCCTATACTCTATCAAGACCTAAGGTAAGAATGTTCCATTACAGGGCATTCATAGCCTACCTTCCATTTTATTTCAATATCTTTGCAAAACATATCACATTAAAAATGTAAATTAGATAGTTTGTGCTATATGTCATTTGCTTGTACTACCATTTAACTGGCATTTGGAATACTAATCATTGATGAAGTATTTTAGTCTAATATTCTATTCTGCTGTAGATGCATGTTCACACACATTAACACTAATTAGTTTTAATGGGGATTAAAAGCATGAATTTTTGATGCACCTAAGAAAGAAGCTATACCAAATATAACCTTATCAAGTATTTGCCAAATAGTCTTCCTAAAATTGACCTCAAAGCATCCACTAATTGGAAAATCTCTCCTCTTTTTCAAAATTAATGTTACTGAAAAGTGCAACATAGAAAGTATTATAAGAAAATCAAAATAAGCAATAAAGAATAATTTGTGGTTTTCTTTTTAACTTCTCATTGTTGTCCAAAATACTATAAATCTTAACTTCCACATTAATCAGCTTTATTTTAAAAATAAGTAATATATTTATTCTCCCATTGCATATCATCTGCACAATGTTATTAATCAGCCAACTCTCAACATGTAAAGCCAAAAGGCACCAATACTCCAGCACTATGCCCACCATACCCTTCATGCAAGCAGAGCAAGTGCTGAATTTCTGTGTAACACATGAACACCTTTGTGCAGTGTACAGAGTGCACAAACTAATATTAAGGCCTTGGGCCAAATACACTCTGCTTGTCTCCTGGATTCTTCATTGTTGCTGATCTGCTGTTTGCTCCAGTTTTCTTCCTCACACTATTTTGGTTTCATCCAGATACTGGGGCCTTGGAAAAAAGGGAAGGTCTATGTCTCTCTAGCTCAGTAACATCTTGTCAGTCATCTTTTTCCCAAAGCATCCCAATATTGTGTTTTCCATTCTGATTTTTATTTTTATTTTTAACGAATGATTTGTATTAAGTGCTTGTAAACCTTATTCTTTTTTTCTTTTTTTCTTTTTTAGACAGTGTCTCACTCTGTCCCCAAGGCCAGAGTGCAGTGGCACCATTAAGGCTCACTGCAGCCTCGAACTCCTGGGCTCAACTGAACCTCCTCCCACCTCAGCCTCTCAAGTAGTTGGGACTACAGGCACAGACCACCACAACCATCTATATTTTATTTTTGTTTCCTTTTTTTGGAGAGAGGGGTTCTCCCTGTCTTTCCAGGGCTGGTCTGGAACTCCTGGGCTCAAGGGATCCTCCCACCTCAGCCTCTCAAAGTTTGGGGATTACAGGTCTGAGACACTATGCCCAGCCAATCTGATTCTTTAAGCAAGAGGCATTTCATCTTCACCTGATGAAAACAAATGCCTAAGGAAATAGTTCAAGTATGCACATGTAGATTTGTTCATTTTCCTGATCACTCATCAAAACTTCTGCAAAGAAACCATGCAATGTTTTTATTAATGTGTATCTTGTCCTAATGCCAAAATATTAAGTACTATTGGCTCATTTTTTAAGCATACAATATTTGAAATTCCTTTCTTATATAATCTGGATAACTGTTCCAATCCTAGAGACTGAAAACATACATTGCTACAACACAGGTACAATTTGTGAGAGAAAGGTAAAAAAATAAAATAAAATAAAATAAAATAAGTAGTTCATGTTTTAAAAGCAAAGACTATTGATGTTCTGGGGATAGAAAACAATTTATTTCCCAAAATCTTATGATATAGATTATTCTCCTAAGGAAAATAAAGGACTAGGCAAAACAAAAATCTATATGTAAGTAACCGGAATGAAAATGATTTGATTAAAATGGAGAATATAATTTGAAAAAAACAAAAGCAATTCATTATTTTATAAAGAATAATAACTACAGGTATATATAAATACTTCTTTCTATTTCAGTGAATTTTGTTCATCTCCATTTTCTTAGTTTTACAACCTTGAAATTTGCTTCAAGAAGCCTGAACTACATATGTTCAAGGGTATGAATATGTGTTGTTCATGAAATAGAAATCTGTCCCTATGGAACTGAGGATGCAGACCTGGAGAAGTAGGAAATAATTCTATTTTGGTAAGGCATTAAATGGCAGCTTACAGAGACATTATTTTTTTTGAAGAGGAGTGACAGGATGAAGTTTCCACTTAAGGAAGATTAATCAGGCATTGTAGAAAATGAATTCAATACATCTCTTGGCAGGGCAAGCAAGCTAAAGGGGGAATTTGGGAAAGGAGGTTTCAACCTAAAGAATTAAAAACAAATTAGGTTTCAGCGTAAAGAATATGAAGTATTAGTTAATAAAACAAAAGGTGAAATAAGTAACTGAAGCTTAAGAGAGAAAAGGTCTGATGGATGTTATAAATTTCATAGTTATATGTCAGGGAGGCTTAAGTCATGAGAATTGCAGAACTTTCTTATGAATACTTATTAGAAGGACATATTCAAACCAATGCTGATCAGGGTTACAAACATAAGGACTCTAGTTTGAGATCTATTACACAGCATAGTGACTATAGTTAATAATACTGTATTGTATATTTCAAAATTGCCAAGGGAGTAAATTTCAAATGTCTTGCCACAAAAAAATGATACGTGAGGTGATGAATGTGTTAATTAGCTTGTTTTTTTATTCCACATTTTATGCATATATCAAAACATCAAATTACCTCATAAGTATATACTATTATTATTTGCCAATTAAAAATAAAAATAAGAAATTTGGTTTGTAAAGTAGAGAAACAGGAACATTCGTCAGCCTCACAAATATGGTCTAAAACCATTTTAGTGTGTCCTCTAGAAGGAATGTTGAAACCATTTACTTCAAGTAAACCTTGAAACCATGCAGTATGAGCCCTGAGGCACTTTTATAAAAGCAAAGTGATCTTTACTGTCCTGGACTAAAGAAATAGATGCAATGTCAAGAGGGGCTGTGAGGGAGCACTTCACCCACTTCCTCCTGGGGCTTCTATCTGGACTCCCTCTCCAGACCAGGCTCTGAACCTGACCCAGCCTACGACCTAAAAGAGCAGACAGCCTACCGCAGATACACCAGATGCTACATGTGCAGAGGACAGGCAGTCTCAGTGACTGACCTATTCAGGATGGGAAACACGACACTCCCTCTGATAACAGACCACAGCCCTTGAAGAGCCTGTTAGGATGATTCCATGCTATCATAGACATTAAGTTTCCATAAGAGAAGCAACTCTTCTAAAACTTTATTTACTTATTTGTTTGTTTGTTTATTTATTTAGAGACAGATTCTTGTTCTGTCACCCACGCTGGAATGCAGTGGCATGATCATAGCTCATTGCAGCCTTCACCTCCTGAGTTCAAGCAATCCTCCCACCTCAATCTCCAAGGAGGCAGGACTACAAGTATTCATCTTACTGTTTGGTTATTTTTTTTTAAATTTTTTTTTTATAGAGACAGGGTCTCACTTTGTTGCCCAGGCAGGTCCCAAACTCCTGGCCTCAAGTGATCCTCCCCCCTCAGTCTCCCACAGTGCTGGATTACAGGCATGAGGCACCACACCCAGTATCCGTCCTAAAATCTTAAAAACTAAGGACATTTAGAGTGGCAACTCAGCTAACTCGGCTCTCAACTGACCTTCAGAAACTGGGTTTGCTCCTAATAGCCTTAGGAAGTATCCACAGTCTTTCCTCTTCAAGTTCTTCTGACCCAGGGAACTCTTCATTTGAGTAAACGTTCCCAAACCTCGATCTACCTCAGAATCATGCAAGGAGCTTTCAATAATTTGAGACTCTTGAGCCCTTCTCCAAAATATTTCTATCCAATAGATCCTGGTGAGCCTGAGCCACTGTTGTTCAGAAGCTCCCCCGGGTGATTCTGATACTGCTGATCCAAAGACTCCCATGAGGGCAGCACTGTCCAGGAGTCCTCAGGCCTGGCCTATTGCCTCTGCTGGCCTGAGAACTTAACCCTTTGACTCTAATTATTCCTGCCATGACATGGTCTCAACCTTCTGCCACCCGTAAGTCCAAATCCACATGCACATTGAACATAAGCATTTCTTTCACCATTTAAGTGGTTTTAATTAAACCTAGGTTTGTTCTACCTTAAAACATACTCCAGACTAGCTCTCTTTCTGTATTAAGTTCCTAGGGTTTCCTTGTATCACAACCAAGTGGCTTAAAACAAGAGGAGCAACTTATCTCATAGTTCTGGAGGCTAGAAATCCAAAATCCAGGTGTCAGCTGGGCCTACTCCCTCTGAAGCCTGTAGGGGACTCCCTCCTTGCCTCTCCCTGGCTTCCATGGGTTTGCCAGCAATCCCTGGCTCACTCCAATCCTCAGTCTTCATGTGGCACCTTGGAAAAAAGGGAAGGTCTACTGTCTCTCTAGCTCAGTAACATCTTGTCTGTCATCTTTTCCCCAAAGCGTCCCAATTGCGTGTTTTCCATTCTGATTTTTATTTTTATTTTTAATGAGTGATTTTTATCTCTCTGTGTCTTCCCAGTGTCTTTCCTCTGTGCTTTTCTGTCTTTGTGTCAAATTTCCTGGTTTTAATGCCATCAGTCATAAGAAATTAATGGCTTCATTTTAGCTTAATAACCTCTATAAAAACCACATTTCCAAATAAAATCACATTCTGAGGTATGGGGAGTTAGGACTTCAATGTATCTTTTTAGAGGACGAAATTCTTCCCATAACACTCTTCTCAGCAGTTTGCTGTCAGAGTGTTCTGCTATTTACTCAATTGTTCATAAAAACAAAATGCTCTGTTAACTGAAGGGTCTATGTCATTTATTACAACTAATCCATGTTGACTGTATTAATGTTAACGCTAATTTAAATGACTGCTTAGTACTTTACTAAACATTTAATAAAATTATTTGTTAATTAATTCTTATTAAATAAAATGACTCTCTTGCTGTACCATGATTTACATGCCACGGAAATCACTGCTTATGTTGACTTTGCTTCCACAGACCTGGCTTCCTAGGACAGAATACAAAAGTATGACAATTCATGTATTTTTATTAAAATGATAGTTTTGCTCTTAACCTCTCAGAAAAAAAAATCAAAAGATATAATTTGATAATAATTATTTATTGGCATATATCCTTTTTATTACCAATGATTCCAGCTCTATGTTTTTTGTGTTTTGTTTTACTTTTATCTTGAAATGTCAGCCCTATTTTTAAAGTAAGTTGATTCTTTCCAACCTCTTCTTCTGTATCCTTTGCTGGCTCCTTGTTCTCTACTCACCTTGTATTAAGTCCTATTTTCGGTTCTAGTCTCAACTATGTACTCTCTCTCCCAAGGTGATCTCATCCAGGGCTTTTTAAATACCAATATTGTTCATGATTCTTAATTCTAAATATGCAATCCAGGCTTGCCCTCTAGGTTCCACACTCATGTACCTGACAGCTACTTGGCCTCAAGTCTCAGAATCTTAAAGTATCTAAAACAGAACCCTTATGTATCCAAACACATCTGCTAGACCTACACACACACACACACACACACACACACACACACACACACACACACACGATACCCAAGCACAACAATTCATTTTGTTACTCACGATGTAACCCTTCAGTATTTGCCAACGCAGAATGGTTTCAATACCAGTCACAGTATAACTCAAGTCTCATTAGTAGACAAAATTTGAATTTCACTAACCTTTAAGTTTCACTAACTTTAAGTTTCATAGCATGAACCACGGTATTGAAATAAAGAAAGAGAATGGAAACAAAATGATTAATAATTATAGTGCAGAGGAGAAGAAAAGAACTATTAAAACCATGTCAAAGCCAAAGTATCAGTATAAATACATAGTAAAAGAAATATATTTCAGCATTCGCTGTCCAATATCTACGACAGGTGAGCTGCACCTTTCATAGAGCTTAGTTAAAAACATGTTACCACAGCTACACCACCCCCCTACAGACACCTCTTAACACATTTATCTCAGCATTCTAGTGTCATAGGTGCTTTGCTCACAGATGGTTTGAATGTGGTATGGAAAGGAAGTTAACTAAACTTCGTTTCCACTGTGAGAAAAAATGCTGATTTTCTTTGAGAGAATGTTCTCTATTTATTTATTTATTTACTTATGTATTTCTTTCTTTTTAGATAGAGAGTGTCACTCTGTCTCCCATGTTGGAGTGAGTGGTGGCATCATAGTACACTGCAGTCTTGATCTCCTGGGCTCAAGCAATCCTCCCACCTCAGCTTCCCAAGTAGCTGGGGCTAGAGGCACAACTCACCACACCTGGCTAAAATTTTTTGTAGAGATGAGGTTTCGCTATGTTGCCCAGACTGATCTGGAACTCCTGGACTCAAGCAATCCTCCTACCTTGGCTTCCCAAAGTGCTAGGATTACAGGCATAAGCCACTGTACCCAGTCAGATGTTCTCTACAATAAAAAATATACATCTATGAGTTAGAAGCTGCCTATTTTCTCTAAATCTTGTAGGGTTTCTGGTACCACAGATATGTCTGGTGAGAGTTTTGAGTTTTGTTTCCCTTATTCCTAGGTCTAATAGTAATAAGAATTTCACCTTGAAGTGATGAAAGGTGCAATGAATGTCCATGGGTAATAATAACATCCTGAGACGAAGATGTGTTGAACATGCCAAAGTTACATTGAACTTGCCAGAGTCCGACCTCTGTGAGGTTGGGAAGATGTCTAAAGCTCTGTGGGAACAATGCCTGCCAAAATTAGTTCAGTGCTTCACTGAGGCTACTCTCAGAAAATGGCTCTGAAATGAGATGTGGCATGTCAGACTTTGAAACCATGCAATTAAGGTTTATTTAAATGTGGTACCTGAAAAGAATGTGCTAAAAGCACATGATCAAGTGCTTCTTTTTATGTATAAATTACACATATCTAATGATAAGTATATACAGTATTATAAAACAAGCAAAACTGAAAGTATCCTTACAAAAAAAATGTACTAAAGGCTCTTGGATGACTAGATGAATCAGTGACACAGTAATGAATCACTTCTTTAAAAAAAATTATTTCACATCGTTTTTGATGGGCCTGTATTCATACTTTTCACTTTCTCTTTAATTTCATCTAGGAAAATCAGGAGGATCACAAATGAAAACCATGAGGCAAACATCTTGAGGGCAGAAGCCTGGAGAAAAACTAATGATGAAAGACAGCCAGAGCAGTGGAGTGAAAAAAGTAGAAAATGACTGAGATTTTGCAAACCGAAACTCATCCACAGATACTAGCTTGAAAAGGATATGTTTTCTCCAAGTAAATTTCCCAATTTGAGTTTTTATTTTCCCACTCCAGACAGTAGTTCAGACAAAATGGGAATAAGATAACGAAAAGCTTTTATTTGTTTCTTTAACTTTTAGGAGGAACTAATGTATCATCTATGTGATGACCTCCCAGTTAAGCCTTAGTCATGAGCATGTAGATTGTCTTCAGCAGATGTGTTCTCCCAACGCCATCCCCTTTCAACACCCTCACTAGTTCACTGCCTCATAATCTCCATTGTCTGACAGTTGGTGGAAGCAGAAAAAAACATAAAAGAGCAAAAAAAAAACAGTTGGTTTCAGTAGAAAGTGCACCAGATCTAGGAAACAGGGATCCCTATCCTATGATATGCTGAAGCAGGCTTATACGGGCTCAGAGTTAGAATTGGTTTTGTTAGATTTTTAGGAATTTTGTGAGCCAGTTGTTAAATACAGCCATTATTAAAAATTAAATTATGCAAACTTAAATTTAAAGAAATCCTACTAAAAACCAAGGTACTGAATAGTTAACAGTTATTCCTTCCTAATTATTTTGCTGTGTTTTACTTTACCAATGCTTTTGAGGTTAGGCCTATCTTATGTATATGACGGAAATGCTATATAAAGTATACTTGAAATTGGTCGTGATGGGAGTATTTACACCAAAGAATTTGGCAAACCCCACAAATCAGCGGTTGCTTACTGTTTTGTTGATTGTCTAGGCTTTTTAAATAATGGAGAAATATTTTAAATAATGCATATTAAACCTAAAAGTGTGTCATGTCTATAGACATTACATTGTCAATAGCTATGAAAGAAACTGAGGAAATAATTTTTAAGTATTTAAAAACTATTATCCAATTCAGCCAAGAATCTTTTCATGTAATTGATGAAGTAAAGTTCGAATATTTTCTTCAAATTTTCACTTTCCTCTTTTTTCTTAAAGCATACAAAAATATTCACCAGCATTCATGTCAGATTTATAAAACCAAGAGTTTTTCAAACTCAGCAAAAAGATTCTGCCAAAATTGAATGGCTGTATGGAATTCACACTAAAGACTATTACATATTTTACTATTGCTATCATTTGTCAACAGAGAGCTACACATCTTTTACATAGAGAAGATTATCTTGTATGCTATTATAATGTAATATATACATTTGTTTTGTTTACAATCCAGTTGTTAAATGCTTACCATCACCCCAATATTTCTACCATCCAAAAACTCTTGATTATGGAAAAACTGTTTATGAATATCAACTTCCTCACCTGCAAACAAATGAAATGAGTATCTACCTCACAGGATAGTTTTAAAAGTCAAAAGAAATGTTTATGTCAAAGTCCTGTATGGATTGCAAATGTTATGTATTATCAAAAATTCAGCAAATATGTTTCAGCTCCTAATATGAGCTCTAAGAACTTGCAGAGTTTGTAAAGATCACTAGTACTATGGTCCCTACCCTCAAGTTGCTTACAATCTAGTGGTGAGAAATATGTGTAAATAACTTAAAATTATTTAAGAGTGTATCAAATGTTTTATAACAGAGGAAAAAGCGAAGTGCTATGAGATTATAGGAATATAAGGGATTTTACCTGGAGCACCAAGGAAGACTTCATTAAAAAATGGAATTTTAAGATAAGCTTTGACAAATAAGTTGCATTTGTATCAACTAAGAAAGTGGAAAGAAGGGGCATGCTTGGCTGATGGATGAAATCTCAAAAACATTATCATCACAATGCCTGTTAAGAAAATCATAATTGCATTGATAAATCTGCTACATAAAAACCTTACTTGTTATTTCCATGTAAAATAGAAATTAGGCATTATAGATTATGCAATCCAGCATGCCTATCTATAATCTTACATTGAATCAAGGGTTGACTCAATGTTTAGTCAGTTTTTCCAACTTATAAGCCATGTCCATTTCTGAAAACCAAAATACAAATCAAGCTCCTGCCTTCTTTTCTTAGTGAAAGAAAACATTCATATTGTTTTAAATTTTTAAAATTTTTTTCAAGAAACTATAAAATATGTTTGATTCAAGTATTTCACAAGACAGAAGGCACTATCCAATAGGCTTAAAAAGTCACTGATTTCAAACCTACGAATACATAAATTATGCATGCATTATGTGAACAATGAAGGGCACATCCAAAGTGAGGTTTTCATGGGAGACTGGAACACTGAGGCAAGAGAAAAGTGAAAACATTCTAAAGCCTTCATGTAAACAAGGACTAACTACTAAAAAGCACGATTTTATCCCTCAGTTAATAAGTCTTGCAAGGGATGACATTACTAAGTAAAGTTCATTGCAAGCTTTTTCCTCTCACTTGTCAAAATATACTAGTTTATATTTGTGACTCGAAAAAAAATACAATGCTTGGAAGAAAGCTTGGCAGAGCACTCAGAATCTGTCTGAAGTATAACGCAAGGGAGATGTCTATTAATCTCTCACACACAAAAGTCTGACTCAAAAGGTCTGTGGCCTTGACCTCAAGTGACCATGGAATAGACCACAGAGCCAGTCCAGGATCCAAAGGGATTAAGAGGAGCATTTGCTCTGCTCTGAAAGGGCCTTTTTTCCCCACTCTAGTTTCTAACTTCCCATTACACACACTCCCTCTGCAAGGCACCGCGCCAATGGAGCCGGTTCACTCTGTTCTCTCCTTGATGACAGCTGTCAGTCTGTCGCCGCCTGAACATGCAACATTTCAACAAAATCCAAAGCGGAACTGGAAGGGCAGGGGCTGAAGCACACAGCCTGATCTCCTTCCTGGAGGTCCCAGACTCCTTAACCATCACTTTTCAACCTGCTTAAGGTTAGAACCACCTCACTCTTCACTAACAGAGTTGAGGCAGCTTCTGTCTCCTCAGAACCTGGGCATTCCCACACAGTGTAATTAAGCAACATTCCTGGAAATCATCCTAAGAAGAAAGAGCCCGCAAGTCCCCGTGTAACTTCAGCACGAACGCGGAGGGTGCTAAACCAGGTATCGGATCAAGGGGCGGGAAAATCCCTCACTCCGCCGGCTCCTGGCCCCTGGACCGCGTGGCGACGCCCGGCGGGAGCGCGGCGAACCCCAGCGCATGGGACCGGGGGTGAGACCGCGCCCTCCTGCAGGGCAGGGGCGACCTGGCGAGTGCCCGCGGCTGGAGAGCAGTGCGAGCCCAGCCAGGCGGTGGGGAGGGTGGGAGGCGGGCGGAGCGCCCTGTTCACCCGTTCGCCCCTTGCCGGGAGCTGCGGAACCGCAGAGGGAGTCGCAGAGGCCGGTCCTGGAGCAGGGACCTGTCCTGGGGCAGGGGCCCTCGGGGCACTCACCAACTGCAGCGCGCAGAGGCAGATGAGCGAGCAGCGTCCGGTGCAGCAGCCCATGGTGCCGGCGGCGTCCGAGCGGCGCTGACTGCCAGAGATCCTCGTCCTCCGCCGCTGCTGCCTCCTGACTCCGGAGTAGTCCCCGCCCGGCCCGGCCCAGGCTCCTCGGCCCCGCGGCCGCCGCTCGCGGCTCCAGGGCTCGGGGCTCGCGCCCGCCTTTGTTAGTTTCCCGGCGGGGCGGGCCGAGGTCAGTGCGGTGCGCACGACCCGAGCGTCTGGCGGGGGTCCCTGCGTCCCACTGTGCAGGTCTGTTTCTTGGGGAGGGGGAGCCAGGCGGGCGGGGCGGGGGGTTGGAAGGAGGCTACAGATGGCGAGTGGGTGAATGTCTGTTTAGGGGAGGGGAGTATGTAGGAGGTGGGCGTCTGGAAAGTGGAGTGGGCTGTCTGGGTCCGGGTGTGTGTGTGTGTGTGTGTGTGTGGTGGGAAGGGAAGAATGAAAGGGAGTGCCGCTGGGGAGGATCGGCCTGTCTAGTTAAGAGTCTTTGGGGAGAAAGGAAGAGGGACAGAGAGAAAAGAGAATGAATATGAATGAGCGTGAATTAGGGCGGCCGGCGGCGATGGAGACCCTCGTTGACCGGTGTAACTGGGTAGACCCAGCTGGGCTTTCTTGCTGAGGGTTGTGCTGGGGGTTGGGAGGGTGGTCGGACGCGTTTGCAAGGGAGGGGACACGGCTTAGTTGAGCTGCCCCAGAGGTGGCGAGGATGGGAGTTGGGTTAGCTTGGGTTCCGGGGAGGAAGGGCCGGGACGCGAGACACCCAGGGTGGGCGGGCGCCGGGGAGCGCAAGGCCCAGCTCCGGAACCTGCCCGGATGCGAGGGGGCCCGCGGGCGCTGCGCGGGCAAGTCTGTTGAGCCGGCGCTGGGCACGCAGCTCGGGGGTCTCCCATCCGAGCTTGCTTCTGCCCGCCACAGCCGGTTGCCTGGAGGGCGCCCCTGCTGGAGTCTGAAAGGGAAAGTTGGACAGAGTTGGGTGGCAAGGGGCGCTGCGGCGGAGCGATGCACCCGCCCAGGGCGCCGGGACTAGCCAGGACGCCGCGGGGAGACCTGGCTTAAGGTTCTTTTCTCACATACCCTTTGAAATCCTCACCGGGAGGGAGAAAAGAGAAGTCGAGGAAGAAGAAGATGCGTAGCTTTTTCTAGAAATGGAGAAGGTTTCCGGAATAGGTATAAATATATCTTCACAGAAATAAATTGAGAAGGATTTGGAAAGAAGATCTCGGATAGTTAAGATACGGACAAACTCTCTCTGAATCCTGTGGAAACTCTCCTGCTCTCTCCCACCTAATAAAACAGAGCGGAGGCGTTCTGCAGAGGATGAAATTTCATCAGGGCTCAAAGACAGATTTTATGGGCGCATTTGTTGTACCTGGTGGAACTGCGCAAGGAGCTCAAAAGCACACCAGAACAGGGAACAAGCCTGCAGGCCAATTATCTCAGAAAAGGCTGTTTTCAGAATTTGGCACAGAAACCCTGTTTCTAGCCCACTGCTGCCCTCCTGGGTTCTTGGCGGTAGGTTGGTAAGAAAAGGCAAGACATCTTTGCGTTTTTAATACTTCCACTCCAGACATGGAAACTGCTCAAGCCGTTAGTTCAGGCGTTAAAAGCAGTCCTGTTTTTATTTTTATCCTTTCTGAAACGTTTCTTCAGGATCTATGTTTATAATTTAAGACGGTTATCATTCCCAAGGAAGTCTGCACATCTTTGAAATTCTAGTAGGGACACATGAATAACCTCAGGATTTGGGTTATTAAAAGGGTCAAGAACATTCATTGTTTACATTCCACCTCTGATATTATCATGGAGACAGGAGAAGTCCAGTCAGAACTCCTCCTCCTTTTTTAATTCAAGCGTTAAGACATCAGTGATCAAGGATCATGTGAGCACGCTGCCTTTATGCACAATCCACGTACTCGTCATCATTCTTTATGGATGAAAACAATAGAAAAAAATGAACACTGACAAATAAGTAGTTTAGCATGTAGAAAAGGACATTGCAGAACATCTCAGGCCATTGACCCCTCTAAAAGCTGTAGGAAGCAGCTGAAAAGTGAGAGGACATGAACAAGTCTTCTATCTATAACTTCCAGAAATTGTTGTAACCTTTTCATCTCCAGAGACTGTGATGAATGATGGTAATAAAAATACTGACACTTCCTTCTCTCCAAATTACATATGTTTACCCCAGTATACTTTGTCATGATTTTATTTATTTAGGAAGTACCATATTAGCAGCTAACTTGCACTGGGTCCTTGCCAGGTGCCATACACCCATCTAAGTACTTTATGTGTGTTCACTCATTTAATCATCACTGCAACCTCATTGGGGTGGGTGCTGTGAGCATCATCACTGAAAAGATAGGGAAACAGGAGGAGAGGCTCCCCTGGCTGCTAAACCAGGAAGAGGAATACAAAGCCAGGGAATTTGACTCTAGAGCTCCTGGATTTACATATTCCCTGTGCTGCCTCTGAAACTTGGGACACAAATAGCAGTTACCCACAGGGAAGCTAACTGTTCCCTCATAAGCAGGTGTAATAATGTACATTGATCTAACATTCAGAGTTAGTACCACCCATGTGGTATGATTTTAGGAGACCAGGAGGGTCCCTTGTACCTCTCCCTTTCCCATTGCTGCCTTTACTGATAGCCTCAAATTGGAGTTTCTTCCTTGTGTAATTTAAGATGTTGAAAAATGCATTTGTACTAAATGCATTTAAATAAGAAACAAAGATAACACAATGCTAATAAGAAGTCTAGAAATTGTGTGAAGCTACCTTCATTTTTCTCTGCAATCTCTTATTCTCATTTTCTAAATTGTATTACATCCAGAACTAAAAATCTTTCTCCCTTCCTTTTTTTCCTTCTTTTCTCCATCCTTCCCTCAAATACTTCTTACAAGTTCACTTCTTAATTGCTTCTATGCAAAGGGCTGTGCTAGTTGCCTACTCTGCAAAGGTAAATGATACCACTCCCTCTCTTCCCCTCAAGGACTTACAGGTGGGAAGGGAGAGCAGATGCAGGCATAAAGTAGCACTCCCTCTGAAAGAGGTTAGTGCCGACTGCTGTCATTAAGTTTTCTTCCTATGAGAGTTAGAGAAGGTTTAAAAGAGGAATTACCAGTCTCTTGGGGAGAGGAAATGAGACTAAAAAATGACAGAGCAATGGAAAGGATGCGGCCTGGACAGGAGTTGGGTAAAACCAACTGGAGAGGAAATAATCTAAGTAGAACAGCCCATCAGCTATATGGCTGTTCATGCTGCTTCTTGGCCATAGAATCTCAGAGAAGCCATTTTGCTCCCCTGTGAGCCCTGTTTTCCCCATACATAAAGTGGGTGTGATAAAAATGACTTGCCCCAGAGGGCTAAGCCTTAGCATTTGCCCCTTGCCTGTCTCTGTGGAGTTTACAGCCTTGGCTTATGCAGGTCTCAGCCTCATGTCACATCCCATGGAGGCCTTTACTTAACAGGCCTTCTAAAATAATACTCCAGTCACTCTATTTTTCTTCAAACTGATTGTTTGCTTACTGTATGATTTCCTGTCTCCCCAACTCAAATACAAAGCTGTTTCCCCAGTGCTTATAACAGTAGTTAAATTCAATATTTGTTGCATGAAGAACAATATGTGTACATTTTTAGCATAATACTTCACACATCATGTTGAACATTATATGTGCACATATATAGTATGTAGTGAGTATTAAATATATGTATACACACACACTCCTTAATGCCATTTGAGTCTGTGTGTTTGTTTTGTTTTGTTTTTGTCTCATGTCTATCTCTTCTATGTTTTTATTTCTTGGTGAAATTCCTTTTGAGAAACTTCAGTCCTATCTCCCTTAAAGGAGGAGTGAGTTGTAGTTGTCCAAACTAACAGATAACTTGGGGGAGACAGCACATCCAGAGGCCAGATCTAGAAGTGCAGATTTCCAGATTCCCAACTTTTGGGGGTTCAGTTTCAAATACTGGATATGGGACACCAGCTTTAAGTTTCTCCTTAAATTAAGATTGTTTTGAGTTAAAATTACTCCTTAATTATTGCACTGTTTTTTGTTTGTTTGTGTGAACCTCCCAGTTCTGCATTTTCATTGAGTTGAATAGTTTATTGCCTGATTAAGCATTCTACCTCCATTGTGAAAAGTTCTTCAATGTATTAGTAAATATATGTGTTTCCTCTGATGCCTGCTTAATTGTGAGCACCTCCTTGGGGCCTTCATGGAGCAAGCAAATTATAATTCTCTACACCTTCTCCTACAACTGGCTTCACTTCATGATTATCTGACAGACATTTCAAAGCAGTATGCCAGCTCAAGTGGAGCGAAGATAAGGTTTACACTGGAGCAAAATGTGGACACACATGTATGGCTAGTTTGAAGCATGCCTGCGAAGGGCTGCAGAACATAAGTGTGCCATTGTGTGGCTGTTGAGACCATCCTTTTTGCTAGAATTGGTTCACTTATTATGCATAGCATTGAATGTATGAATGTTGGGGGCATGCACGAGGGAAAAATGATAAGTTATATTTTTTATATTTTCTTACTTTCTAAAAAGATAGATATTTCTTGATATTTTAAACACTTTACATATAAACATTTAAAAATGCCCCGGAGATGGCTGTTTTTCGGGAGATAAGAAAGAAATTAGAGATGGACATATGGTGTGGGGGTGTTTCTAAGGTCACTGGAAAGCTTGTGGAGTGGGAGAAACCAAAGGAGAAAGGATAAGAAAAGTTCTTTGGTATATTTTGATTGAATAAATGTTACTTATAATTAGTTCTGCAATTGGAAAGATATAGCCAAGCACCTTTTTTCCATTTCTGTTTTGGTTAATAATAAGCCTCAGTTAACATTAACTCCATCAATGGCCTAAAAACACTGATCTGGTTATGATAATTAGTATTGCAATGATACACATTTAGTGTTTTTCTTTTTTTACTTTTTTTTTTTTTTTTTTTTTTTTTTGACAGAGTTTCACTCTTTTCGCCCAGGCTGGAGTGCAATGGTGCGATCTCAGCTCACTCCACCCTCCGCCTCCCAGGTCCAAGCAATTCTCCTGCCTCAGTCTCCTGAGTAGCTGGGATTACAGGCACCCACCACCACTCCCACCTAATTTTTGTATTTTTAGTAGAGACGGGGTTTCACCATGTTGGCCAGGCTGGTCTCGAACTCCTGACCTGCAGTGATCCACCCGCCTTAGCCTCCCAAAGTGCAGGGATTACAGGCATAAGCCACCACGCCTGGCCCATTTAGTGTTTTTTTAATGTCATGCAGTGAGCAGCCCAACCAACACTGGCAAGTTCAAGAATTCCTCACTGCTTAATTTATTGCGGAGTATTGGCAACCACTGGGGATTTCTCTGCAACGAACATGCATACTGTGTATCTTGGGAGCCATGTGTCACAGTCCTCATATCAGAGATTCAAACAATTCATTACAACCATTAAAAACTCAGCTACTCTCTGCTTTCAAGATTTCAGGAGCTCAGATCAGACAAGTCCTCATAGGCTAGAGCCCCAACAATTGACAGTAACAAAGTAAGAGCGAGGGTAACATGATTGAAATGAAAAGAAAACACAAATACAGTCTCTGCAAATCCTGATGCCACCCTGAACGTTTTCTGTAAGCATGCATGTGTGTATTTATTAGATTACATTAAGCACTCCAAAGTACAGAGAATACTGCCCCCATTACCTCCCGTTTTCAAACGAAGGAGGCACTGCTATAACATAAGCAGAAAGACTATTAATATAATATAATGAACTTTTGGAGTAGATTTTCTCACACCTGTCTGGCTCAAGACTCAACTCTATGTTATTGCATTATGTTTCTGTAAAAGGTTTCCATTAAGAAAGGTGAGTGAAAGGTAATGGGATCTCTGTGTATTACTTTTGCAACTTTTCTGTACATCTAGGATTATTTCTAGTTAAAAATAAGAATCTTATACAAATGTGTGATGCATATACAGCAAGCATATGAAGTACTGAACAGATTGCCCATCAGAAACGTAAAACCTAACACAAAATACATTAACTCAGGCTAATATGGAATGAACTATTTTTCAGAAACATGAATGATAGATTTTTCTTAGTTGTTCATGATATATTAATATTCATATAAAATCACCAAATACTTACACCAAGATACATAAATATACAATTTGTATTTTTTAATCACTAAGACAAGCTTACATCTCAATATGAACATGACTCTACTTTTTCCTGTACATTTTTATTCAAGAAATTGAGAGGATTTTTAAACAACCATTAAACTATTTGGTAAAACCAAATAGTTTCCCTCTGTGTTCTCAAAGGAGAAAATTAGAAAATGAAATTGGTAGCAAGGAAAAGTGAGTAAGTAGTCAGTCAGCTGTTAAAAGTACTGTGATGAGAGGGGTGGCTGACAAGATGACTAAATAGGAACAGCTCCGGTCTGCAGCTCCCAGCGAGATCAACACAGATTTCTGCATTTCCAACTGCGGTACCCGACTCATCTCATTGGGACTGGTTAGACGTAGGTGCAGCTCATGGAAGGCCATCCGAAGCAGGGTGGGGCATTGCCTCACCTGAGAAGCTCAAGGGGTCAGGGAACTTCCTCCCCTAGCCAAGGGAAGCCATGAGGGACTGTGCCCTGAGGAGCAGTGCACTCTGGCCCAGATACTATGCCTTTCTGATGGTCTTCACAACCAGCAGACCAGGAGATTCCCTCAGGTGCCTATGCCACCAGGACCCAGGGTTTCAAGCACAAAACTGAGTGGCCCTCTGGGCAGACATAGAGCTAGCTGCAGGAGTTTTTTTTCATAACCCAGTGGTGCGTGGAATGCCAGCAAGACAGAACCATTCGCTCTCCAGAAAAGGGGGCTGAAGCCAGGGAGCCAAGTGGTCCAGCTCAGCGGATCCCACTCCCGTGGAGCCCAGCAAGCTAAGAAACCACTGGCTTCAAATTCTCACTGCCATCACAGCAGTCTGAAGTCCACCTGGGACTCTGGAGTTTGGTGAGGGGAGGGGCGTCCACCATTACTGAGACTTGAATAGATGGTTTTTCCCTCACAGTGTAAACAAAGCCCCCCGGGAAGTTCGAACTGGATGGAGCCCAACTCAGCTCCTCAAAGCTGCTGTAGCCAGACTGCCTCTCTAGATTCCTCATTTCTAGCCAGGGCATCTCTGAAAGAAAGGCAGCAGCCCCAGTCAGGGGCTTATAGATAAAACTCCCTGGGACACAGCACCTGGGGGAAGGGACGGCTGTGGGCACAGCTTCAGCAGACTTAAACACTCCTGCCTGCCAGCTCTGAAAAGAGCAGTGGATTTCCCAGCACAGCGTTCAAGCTCTGCTAAGGGATAGACTGCCTTCTTAAGTGAGTCCCTGACCCCCATACCTCCTGACTGGGAGACACCTCCCAGCAGGGTTCAACAAGCACTTCATATAGGAGAGCTCCAGCTGGCATCTGGCAGGTGCCCCTCTGGGACAAAGCTTCCAGAGGAAGGAACAGGCAGCAATCTTTGCTGTTCTGCAGCCTCCGCTGGTGATACCCAGGCAAACAGGGTCTGGAGTGGACCTCCAGCAAATTACAGCAGACCTGCAGCAGACGGGCCTGACCTTTAAAAGGAAAACCAACAAATGGAAAGGAATAGCATCAACATCAACAAAAATGACATACACACAGAAACCCCATCCAAATTTCACCAACATCAAAGATCAAAGGTAGATACCTCCTTGAAGATAAAGAAAAAACAACACAAAAGGCTGAAAATTGCAAAAATAGGAACCCCTCTTCTCCTCCAAAGGATGAAAACTCCTTGCCAGCAAGGGAATAAAGCTGGACAAAGAATGAGTTAGACGAATTTACAGAAGTAGGCTTCAGAAGGTTGATAATAACAAACTCCTCCGAGCTAAAGGAGCATGTTTTAACCCAATGCAAGGAAGCGAAAAACTTTGATAAAATGTTAGAGGAATTGCTAACTAGAATAACCAGCTTAGAGGAGAACATAAATGCCCTGATGGAGCTGAAAAACACAGCCTGAGAACTTCGTAAATCTTACACAAGAATCAATAGCTGAATAGTTCAAGTGGAAGAAAGGATATCAGAGATTGAAGATCATCTTAAGGAACTAAATCAAGAAGGCAAGATTAGAGAAAAAAGAATGAAAAGGAACCAACAAAGCCTCCAAGAAATATGGGACTATATGAAAAGACCAAATGTACATCTGATTGGTGTACCTGAAAGTGATGGGAGAATGGAACCAAGTGGGAAAACACTCCTCAGGATATTATCCAGGAGAACTTTCCCAACCTAGCAAGACAGGCCAACATTCAAATTCAGGAAGTACAGAGAACACCACAAAGATACTCCTGGAGAAGAGCAACCCCAAGACACATAATCTTCAGATTCACCAAGGATGAAATGAAAGCAAAAATGTTAAGGGCAGCCAGAGACACGAAAAACCCTTCAAAAAATCAGTGAATCCAGGTGCTGGTTTTTTGAAAAGATTAACAAAATAGACTGCTACCCAGCCTAATAAAGGAGAAAAGGTAGATGAATCAAATAGACACAATAAAAAATAATAAAGGTAATATCACCACTGATCCTACAGACATACAAACTACCATCAGAGAATACTATAAACACCCCTACACAAATAAACTAGAAAATCTTGAAGAAACGGATAAATTCCTGGACACATACATCCTCCCAAGACTAAAACAGGAAGAAGTCAAATCCCTGAATAGACCAATAATAAGTTCTGAAATTGAGACCGTAACTAATAGCCTACCAACAAAAAAAGCCCAGGACCAGACAGATTCACAGCTCAGTTCTACCACAGGTACAAAGAGGATCTGGTACCATTCCTTCTGAAACTATTCCAAACAACAGAAAAAGAAGGACTACTCCCTAACTAATTTTATGAGACCAGCATCATCCTGAAACCAAAACCTGGCAGAGAAACAGCAAAAAAAGAAAATTTTAGGCCAGTATCCCTGATGAACATCGATGTGAAAATCCTCAATAAAATACTGACAAACCGAATCCAGCATCACATTAAAAAGCTTGACCACCATCTTCAAGTTGGCTTCATTCCCAGGATGCAAGTCTGGTTCAACATATGCAAATCAAAAGGCATAATCCATCACATAAACAGTACCAATGACAAATACCACATGATTATCTCAATAGATGCAGAAAAGGCCTTCGATAAAATTCAACACCCTTTCATACTAAAAACTCTTGCTAAACTAGGTATTGATGGAACCTTTCTCAAAATAATAAGAGCTGTTTATGACAAACCCACAGCCAATATCATACTCAACTGGCAAAAGCTGGAAGCATTCCCTTTGAAAACTGGCACAAGACAAGGATGCCTTCTCCCACCACTCCTATTGAACATAGTATTGGAAGTTCTGGCAAGGTTAATCAGGCAAGAGAAAGCAAAAAAAGGGTATTCAAATAGGAAGAGAGGAAGTCAATTGTCTCGATTTGCAGATGACATGACCATATATTTAGAAAACCCTGTTGTCTCATCCCAAAGTTTCCTTAAGCTGATAAGCAACTTTTGCAAAGTCTCAGGATACAAAATGAGTGTGCAAAAATCACAAGCATTCTTCTCCACAAATAATAAACAGAGAGCCAAATCATGAGTGAACTTTCATTCACAATTGCTACAAAGAGAATAAAATACCTAGGAATACAACTTACAAAGGATGTGAAGGACCTCTTCAAGGAGAACTACAAACCACTGCTCAACGAAATAAGAGAGGACATAAACAAATGGAAAAACATTCCGTGATCATGAATAGGAAGAATCAATATCATGAAAATGGCCATACTCCCCAAAGTAATTTATAGATTTATTGCTATCCTCATCAATCTCCCATTGACTTTCTTCACAGAATTAGAAAAAACTACTTTAAATTTCATATGGAATGAAAAAAGAGCCTGTATAGCCAAGACAATCCTAAGCAAAAAGAACAAAGCTGGAGGCATCACGCTACCTCACTTCAATCTATACTACAAGGCTACAGTAATCAAAACAGCATGGTACTGGTATGAAAACAGATATGTGTATATATATATATATATGTGTGTGTGTGTATATATATATATGTGTATATATATATATGGCATAAATAGGATTCCCTATTTAATAAATGGTTTTTCTGTTGTTTGGAATAGTGTGTGTATGTATGTATGTATGTATGTATGTATATATATGTATATATACCAGTGGAACAGAACAGAGGGCTCAGAAATAACACCACACATCTACAACCATCTGATCTTTGACAAACCTGACAAAACAAGCAACGGGGAAAGGATTCCCTATTTAATAAATGGTGTTGGGAAAACTGGCTAGCCATATGCAGAAAACTGAAACTGGACCCCTTCCTTACACCTTATACAAAAATTAACTCAAGATGGATTAAAGACTTAAATGTAAGACCTAAAACCATAAAAACCCTAGAAGAAAACCTAGGCAATACCATTCAGGACATAGGCATGGGCAAAGACTTCATGACTATAACATAAAAGCCAATGGCAACAAAAGCCAAAATTGACAAATAGGATCTAATTAAACTACAGAGCACACAGCAAAAGAAACTATCATCAGAGTGAACAAACAGCCTAGAGAATGGGAGAAAATTTTTGCAATCCATCCATCTGACAAAGGGCTAATACCCAGAATCTACAAAGAACTTAAACAAATTTACAAGAAAAATCCAAACAACCTCATCAAAAAGTGGGCAAAAGATATGAACAGACACTTCTCAAAAGAAGACATTTATGTGGCCAACAAACATGAAAAAAAGCTCATCATCGCTAGTCATTAGAGAAATGCAAAAGCACAATGAGATATCATCTCATGTCAGTTAGAATGGTAATCATTAAAAAGTCAGGAAACAACAGATGCTGTTGAGGGTGCAGAAAAATAGGAATGCTTTTACACAGTTATTGGTATAGTAAATTAGTTCAACCATTGTGAAAGACAGTGTGGTGATTCCTCAAGGATCTAGAACCGGAAATACCATTTGACCTAGCAATACCATTACTGGATATATACCCAAAGGATCATAAGTCATTCTATTATGAAGACACATGCACACATGTGTTTATTGCAGCACTGTTCACAATAGCAAAGACTCGGAACCAACCCAAATGCCCTTCAATGATAGACTCAATAAAGAAAATGTGGCACATATACACTGTGGAATATTATTCAGCCATAAAAAAGGATGAGTTCATGTTTTTTGCAGGGACATGGATGAAGCTGGAAACCATCCTTCTCAGCAAACTAACACAGGAACAGAAAACCAAACACCGCATGTTCTCACTCATAAGTGGGAGTTGAACAATGAGAACACATGGACACAGGGAGGGGAACATTACATACCAGGGCCTGTCAGGGTGTGGGGGGCTAGGGGATGGATAGCGTTAGGAGAAATACCTAATGTAGATGATGGGTTTATGGGTGCAGCAAACCACCATGGGACGTGTATACCTATGTTACAAACCTGCGGTTTCTGCACAAATATCTCAGAACTTAAAGTATATATATATAAAAAAAGGTTGGGAAGTATTTCCTCTCCTTCTAGTCTTTTAATGGTCTAATATACTACTTGTTATTTCCTCCTGTGAAATGAAAAATTCTCCTGCACCTGGGTTTTTTTGTGGAAATATAAATAATAAATTCAATAATAATCTACTGTATAAACCAAATAATAAATTTTTTAAAAAGGCAGAGCATCACCTTGTTTGACTTCAGCTAAGAATATCTGCCTCAATTTTTTTCCTGCTTTGCACATGACAATGAATGACTGTAATATGTTGTGAGTATTGATTTGAAGGTTGCAAATAAATTTTAGCTAATAGGTGAATTTGGTAATATGTGTTCTGAGAATAATAATCATTGACTACATATATATTGTGTGTGTGTGTGTGTGTGTGTTCACTGGTGCAGCCTCAATTTTTTTTTTACTTACAATGATGAATTTTGAAAAGTTTAAATAGAACTGACCTGCAGAATAAAGCTGAAGCTACTCATGCAGGCATTTAAGAACTTTAATAATCTAGTTTTCTGTGTGATATATGCATGTATATATATGTATATATTATATTATATATACATATACGTATATGTATATATTATATATGTGTGTATATAATATATACATATACGTATATGTATATACACACATATATGTATGTATATACATATACGTATATGTATATTATATATAATATGTATATTATATATACATATACGTATATGTGTATATTATATTATATATGTATATGTGTATATTATATAATATATACATATATATTATATATACATATATGTATATATAATATATACATATATACCACAGAAAACTACTCAGCCATAAAAAGGAGTGAAGTAACGGCATTTGCAGGAACCTGGACAGAATTGGAGACAATTTTTCTAAGTGAAGTAACTCGGGAATTGAAAACCAAACATCATATGTTCTCACTCACAAATAGGAGCTAAGCTATGAGGACACAAAGGCATAAGAATGATACAATGGACTTTGGGGACTCGGGGGAATGGATGAGGGGGTGAGGGATAAAGACTACATATTGAGTAAAGTGTACACTGCTCAGGTGATGGGTGCACCAAAATCTCAGAAATCACCACTAAAGAACTTATTCATGTAAACAAACACCACCTGTTCCCCAATAACCTATTGAAATAAAAAAAAATCTTGTTTTCTAATTGTCTTTACTACTAACTAGTACTACTACAACTATTCCTTACATATTATGAGATTTGCAATTATTTTTAAATAATCTTGTTTCTCCTGCAGACAGTAAGCTAACTAAGGGCAGGGGCAAGGTTTTATGTCATGTATACCAACCTCCTTCTACAGTGCTTGGTTTATTGTAGAGTCTCAATAAATGTGGGGCCTTCTTTTGTCATTGTATTATTTTTAGTAAAACTGCATTGGATAATACTGGAAAATAATGCTCAGATAGGTAGGAGAAGAGACCAGCCAAGAAAGGCGTGGTCTGTGGTGCCAAGTGCTACAGAGAGATTAAAAAGGAACAGCAACAACTTTAAGAAGGAATAGGATCTGAAGATGATCACAGCTATAATTCAGGGGGCCCACTCTCATGACCAGCAGAAAAGGCACCTCAAACTCAGATATGTTTCTTTCCAAAGCCCATAGTCCTTCCCCTCAGACCACATCATTTCCACTACAGAAAGGAGCATAGAAAGACAGGAAGCCAGATTTACACTAGCTTTTGGTGTTTTATATTAGCAAATGGTGGTAGTTATATGTGAGTAAGTGTCCTGAAGCCACCTTGTGAAGGGCCTTGGGTCCCAAACAAGGTGCAAAGACAATGTGATCTCTAACTTCCTGTAGGGAAGTCAAAATTCAACCAGGCCCTCTCTGGTGAAACTTTTATCCCTGGGTCATCCAAAAGGCCACCAGGGCTGAGAACAATCTGGTAACTTTGCATAAGGGAGAAAAACCCAGAACCTCTTTAACCAAAATTTTTAGGAATAAATATATTCTGGTGGAGCTGCTGGTCATCATTAGCCATGCTTCTGCACCAGGCATTAAAAGATAAAGACATTAACACTAAGGTCAAACTTGTAGTTAGAATCTTACTTGAAGAACCCAGAGCTTTGCTTTGTCATTGATGATCAAAGTTAGTATTAATCCTGTGCTTTCTGATATAAGGATTAAACCATCTGAATTTCCTGTTTTTGAGTACCTAATGATGTTTATGAATAAAATGCTTGTTATGTGCTATACAATATTTGTTCTATTTACCTTTATTATTATCCTATGACAGACACAATACTAATGAGAGAAAATATTGCCTGAATTCCTGTGATAAGTTAAGCCCGGAAAATATACTCCTGTTTTCTGCAGAGTAAATTCAATCTACACAGATTAATAGCAGATTTTATATTGGTTATGATAGGGAGACTCTGATTTTTTCTGCACTGTTCTTTAAAAAAAAAAAAGCTTCTCAGTTTGCTTACAAATACTTAGCAAGTTAGTCATTTTACATAAACTGCCTCAATTTCGATAAAGAGTGCTGTTTTCTAACATGAGATATGGGCATATGAATTTAAAACTAGATCATATTTATGTCTGTCTATTAAAGAAAAAATTGAAAATATGATTTGTTAAAAATATTGATGAAACTATAAAAAATTCTGTGGTGTCTATACAAAAGATAACAGCAGACAAAAATCTTCTGAATCACTTGTTTCAGCATAGGGTCAGCCAGAGTGTGAAGAGGTGACACGCTGATGACTTATCTTAGTGGGCACCCCAAATGCTTCAGGCAATGGGTGTGAGCATGAGACCTCCTTGGACAGGGACAAACGGTAAAAGTTTTTGGAAGCATTTGTTTTTTTAACCACATGCGCAGCTTTTTGGATTGGCATCTTCAGTGATTCTCATTTTGGCTCACCATAAATCTTCCCTTCCCACCACTGTGCATTAACAAACATTTATTACATTTCCTGTATGTGTCAGAGACTGTGCAAGGAGCTTGGCAGGCACAAAGAATAAGCCAGGACTGTAGCTGTGACCAACTTGAGAGGAGCCCTGGTGGATTTCTGTATAATATGCCTGTCCTTTGGGTTTATAACGCTGTAGTTGAAATGAATGTTAACATCAACTAGTTAAAAAAAAAAAGAAATAAAAATTCTAATCTTCCTACTGAATGTGATTCATGGATGTGACAAATTTCTCAGGGTTCTTATGACTATTTCCCCTTTCTTTGATATGATACAAGGAAATAAGCCATCGTATTTATAGAGTTAAACATATTTCTGTTCCCCACACCTTCTCTACTCCACTGAAGAAATAGCAAAAGTCAAATTCCTTTGTCATTTGTTATACCATAGCACATAGGAACAGCTTTCAAAGAACCAGGTACTTTTGTTCCTATTGCAAATCGTCACTTGTCATTATAAACAGAGAACACATGCCACTGGAGAAGTATCATGTGGTGATATTAGTGGGGCTAAAAGAGGGATGAAAAAAATCACTAGAGCACCTTGGGAAAAAAAATGGCCAATAATAACATTTTACATGTCAGCCACGTAGGGAAAAAACCCAAACAACCTTGCAGACATATGAAATAGTAATTATGCCATTCACAGTCAACAGTATAGCTCTTATTACTACACACTACATGCAGAACATAATTATGTTACCTTTACATGATGTAGTTAATGATTAGCAACATAGACATAAGTGATCACACAAGATTTGGTTATCCTGCCCATTTTAATACTGTGATGAAATGATGAATTCAAAGCTGAAAGAAAAAACTACAACAACATACATCCTGCGTAGGCTCAGTCATCATTGTTGCCCACGTCGAGGTTGGAAGGGAACAGCAGTACTCATACCCAGGGCCCCTTTGCTTCCCCAAAACCCCACTGTGGATGAGCTCATATTCCAACCACTCGGGAAATGCTGGGATTCAACACCCTGCCATGTGTCTGGGAGGATGGCTGATAAAGTCTTTGTAGATATCCTGTTCCATCCACTTAAATGTTAGGTTTTCTCCTGTTAATGAAAAGTCTAATGTGTACAGTAGTTTCCAAATGTGGGTGGCTGAAGTGTTTTTAATGTGCAGGTTTCTAGGCCTTACCCTGCTTCCGTTATGCTGTGTAAGACACTGCTGAAAATCTCAGTGGCTCACGGATATTTATTTTACCCACTGCTGTGAATTTGGTTGTGGCTCAGAGGGAATGGTACTATGATCTGAATGTTTATGTCCCCCCAAAATTCATATGTTAAAACCTAGTCACTGAGGTTAGAAGGTGGGGTTTTGAGGAGATGATTAGGTCACCAGGGTAGAACTCTCATAAGTAGGATTGCTGTCCTTATACAGGTGACCCTGGACAGCTAGCTAGTCCCTTCTGCTATGCAAACACACAGGTGGAAGTTGCTGTCTTTGAGGAGCAGGACCTCACCAGACACAGAATCTTCCAATGCCTTAATCTTCGACTTCTCAGCTTCCAGAACTGTGAGAAATAAATTTCTGTTGTTAATAAGCTACTTTGTCTACAGTAGTTTGTTATAGCAGCCCAGATAGACTAAGACAGCTGGTCTGATCTGGGCTGGGCTTGGGTTCAAGTCTGCCCCAGGACTCTCTTTCTAGAACACAGACAAAAGGAACAGCAGCTACACGGAGTCTGCAGTTTTTATGACTATGGCAGGAGCATAAGAAGATGAATGAAAACATTTCATGGCCCTTAAAGTCCCTGTTTGGAACTGACCCACCCTAGCTTCCAGACACATTTTATTACTCAAAATGAGTCACATGACCAGACTCAAGTTCAGTGAAGTCCAGAAGTATCCCCTGCTCCGTGGGGCAAGGGAGGAGGAATGATCAATTGGAGATTGATGCTAAGGGACTGGGTATAACAAACTCCACAGGTGAGCCTTCTTTTCTTTTCTTTTTTAAGAGACAAGATCTTGCTTTGTCACCCAGACTAGTCTCAAATCTTTGGTGCCAAGCCATCCTCTCATCTTGGCCTCCCAAAGTGCTGGGATTACAGGGATGAGCCGTGGGTAATTCTTACGAAGCTAATCCTGCACCTGTTGGAGGATTGCCATCTTGGTACCACTAGAGAACATGTCATAGTAAGAGAAATGATGGGCTCCATTCTTTCAGTCGCTTAACCAATATGTAGTTAGTCACTAATATGCACTGTCCAAAATTAGAAACTGTTAACACAACTCATGTGACTTAATAATAGAGAATAGATAAGAATGGAAAGGGAACAAGGAAAGGGGCACCTAATACAAATTGAGAATGAGGATGAGCGTATCAGGAAAGGTCTCCCAGATAAGGCAATATCTGAGCTCAGTGATCATGACAGGTGAACATTTTCTAGAGCTGGGAAGGGCATGAATTGGTGGGAGTAGTCTAGGCAGAGGAGATCACAGGACAAAATGAGGAGTTTAGAAGCAGCATAATATATGTGGCAGAGAGTGCCATATGTTCTCCAAATCTTTCTTCTTTTCCATCTCAGTCTCAGAGTTTGGTAACATTTCCAAGCCTAGCTTCTAGTCAGGTATGGCCATGTGGCTGATTATGGCACAAGAATGAGGACATAATTAATATATTATCTTTCACATCTGGCCTTTAGAAACTTTCCACATGCAAACCTCCATTGTCTCCCTCTTTCTTCTCAATCAGGTGAAAGCTAGGAGAGTGAAGCAACAAAGGGAAGACACAGAGACACTGGATGATCATATGGAAAGTCTTCCCCAACTAGGAATGTTCGCATGAGTCAAAGATAAAGTTTTATTGTGTTAAGTCACTAAAATTTAGGATGTTTGTTATATCAGCTAATATTACTTGCCTTAATCAATATAGTATCCATATGTTATGCTGATGGTAAGTAATGGCTATGAGGCAGGAAAAAGAGATGTCAATCATTGACTAGCTGTGTTAGTCATTTCTTCTAGATACTTTGGGGGTTATTCTAGAAACCAAGTGGATTAAAAGATAGAGTAGCACCCTAGAAATATAAACCTCGGCAAGGCATTAATATGAACATGTAATCATGCCCAGCTTAAGGGCTGGTTTATGCTGCAGAGACTGTGTGTGAAGCACAATCATTTATAATATGCATGTATGGCAGAAGAACAATGAAGATGTTCTTCTGGCAGCTTTTTTATTCCTAATGTGTTTGGATGTGTGCCCCTCAAAAGTTCATGTTTAACTGCAGCTGAGTTGAGCTTACCCTGTACCTTTCAACCTTGGAAGTGTCTGTTAGCCAGTGAGACCTAAAGGAAAAAACCCAGCACATGAATCGGTAAGTCGTTACATGACTGGAATTAAATAGTATAACAATAAAACCTCTGAGTTGAAGCCATGACAAGTAAGACAAGGTATATGTTTCTGCTTCCTTTTTAAAGTAAGATATGACCTGGAAGTTATTCTTCCTGCCAAAGAAAGTGGAGACATAAAGGCTCCCTTTTCCTTTCCAGAATGATGACTCATAGAAGAGCTGAACTCTAGCAAATAGAGAAATAAGCCCATACAAGGGATAATAGGGACTGGTGAGAGGCAGGTAAGAGAAAGCCCTTTTCAGAGGAAACCTTTTCTTAACACACAAGATATTAACTCTGTATTGAATATGGATTTTGGCCACACACAAGCAGAGGCTTGGAATATTTGGCATATAATTATAATAAGGGTCTTGACACAAGGGCAAGATTACTTCATTGGGGATCTTCATGGAAAACAACGACAGAGGAAACCCAGAAGCAGGCTTGGTAGAACCCATCAATACCAGAAGAGAAACACAGAATTGACCAAAACAGAGGTAATTCTTCTAGTTACTTCAGTAAGTAGAGAATGGAAACACATCGGCACTCCCACTGTGTCGAATCTCTGATGCTTGACCCTATGTTGTGAGTTCAGTCATTATCTTCTAATCTTGCCCCTATATTTATAAAATCAGGATTCAAAGACTCCTTCAAATTCTTTTCATATATAAAAAATGGGGTTGAATCCCATTGATTATTTATTCAAGATCCTGGTGCCAAGAATGAACAGATTAGGAGAGTGCAGCCATGTTTAAGCGTGAGGTTTTAGGGAAGCAGACCCTTGAGACAAGAATTAAAATGCAAGCAGTTTATTTGGAAGATGATCCCTGAAACCACAGTAGATGAGTGAGAAAATAAAGCCGGAAGAGGGAGGGCCAATAAAAGTTGGATTATGAAACAAAATACCACAGTATTCCACTAAATCTGGGGAACTTTGGAAATGGTACAGAATATGCACCCCAGAGCCATCTTCTCTGAAGGACAAGGGTGTAGAGGTATTTACATAACAGCTCTTGACAAGTCAGAAGTTGAGAATTGTTCCTGGGAGATTTTAATTCCTCAGACCTGCAGCCTGCCCTAAAGGAGAAACACAGGTGCTGGCAGGAGGAAACTAAACCTCTGTGCACTGAAATAGTAAGGGCAGGAGATATGCGTGTGATATTAAGGGCATCTATAAACCCCTGTTGGATGCTTTTTCTAGACTGGACATGCTGCTTGGTAAAATTACTTCCATGTATTTCCCATTTTGTCCCAACACCAGTGATTTGGCTATACACTGGAGAATCTGTATGCAGGTACTCAGGGTTATTTTTAGGCAAAAGTTGGATTTCTGTGTCTTTTACTATTTACGTAATACAATTAAAATTGACTTTAAGTAAAAAATGAGCTAGGTCTACAACTGTTTTCAAAATGTATCAATTCCTTACCATTGTTCAGTATATGCATGCTATGGAAAACACACGGGTTTTCCATAGGACATTGTCTAATGAAATGTGTTCTCCCGTAGTGAGCTGTACATTATTCAGGTGAGACCACAGCCTTACTGAGGGCACATTTGTGATCTAGTAAATGCAAAGCAAATCTATACTATTTGGCCTTGAATGGCACTTCTAATTTTTAAAACTACTTAATAATATCAACCATCACAGTACTTTTTTAAATTATTATACTTTAAGTTTTGGGACACATGTGCAGAATGTGCAAGTTTGTTATATAGGTATACACGTGCCACAGTGGTTTGCTGCACTCATCAACCCAACAAGTACATTAGGTATTTCTCCTAATGCTATCCTGTTTCTAGCCCCCCAACCCCTGAGAGGCCCAGGTGTGTGATGTTCCCATCACTGTGTCCATGTGTTCTCGTTGTTCAACTCCCACTTATGAGGGAGAACATGCGGAGTTTGGTTTTCTGTTCCTGTGTTAGTTTGCTGAGAATGATGGTTTCCAGCTTCATCCATGTCCCTGCAAAGTACATGAACTCATCCTTTTCTATGGCTGCATAGTATTCCATGGTGTATATGTGCCACATTTTCTTCATCCAGTCTATCATTGATGAGCATTTGGGTTAGTTCTAAGGCTTTGGTATTGTGAACAGTGCTTCAATAAACATGCGTGTGCATGTGTCTTTATAATAGAATGATTCATAATCCTTATTATGAATAAGGGTCATGCTGGGTCAAATGGTATTTCTGGTTCTAGATGCTTGAGGAATCACCACACTGTCTTCTGCAATGGTTGAACTAATTTACTCTCCCACCAACAGTGTAAAATCATTCCTACTTATCCACATCCTCTCCAGCATCTGTTGTTTCCTGACTTTTTAATGGTCACCATTCTAACTAGCGTGAGATGGTATCTCATTGTGGTTTTGATTTGCATTTCTCTAATGACCAATGATGACGAGATTTTTTTCATGTTTGCTGGTGGCATAAATGTCTTCTTTTGAGAAGTGTCTTTTCATATCCTTTGCCCACTTTTTGATGGGGTTGTTTGTTTTTTTTTCTCGTAAATTTGTTTAAGTTCCTTATACATTCTGGATATTAGCCCTTTGTCAGACGGATAGATTGCAAAAATTTTCTCCCATTCTGTAGGCTTCCTGTTTACTCTGGTGATAGTTTCTTTCACTGTGCAGAAGCTCTTTAGTTTAATTAGATCCTATTTGTCAATTTTTGCTTTTGTTGCCATTGGTTTTGGTGTTTGTCATGAAATCCTTGCCCATGCCCATGTCCTGAATGGTATTGTCTAGGTTTTCTACTAGGGTTTTTATGGTTCTAGGTCTTATGTTTAAGTTTTTAATCCATCTTGTATTAATTTTTGTATAAGGTGTAAAAAAGGGGTCCAGTTTCAGTTGTCTGCATATGGCTAGCCAGTTCTCCCAAAACCATTTATTAAATAGGGAATCCTTTCCCCATTTCTTCTTTTTGTCAGGTTTGTCAAAGATCAGATGGTTGTAGATGTGTGGCCTTGTTTCTGAGCGCTCTGTTCTGTTCCATCGTTCTATGTATCTATTTTGGTACCAGTACCATGCTGTTTTGGTTACTGTAGCATTGGAGTATAGATTGAAGTCAGGTAGCCTGATGCCTCAAGCTTTGTTCTTTTTGCTTAGGATTGTCTTGGCTATATGGGCTCTTTTTTGGTTCCATATGAAATTTGCAGTAGTTTTTTCTAATTCTGTGACGAAAGTCAATGGTAGCTTGATAGGGATAATGTTTAATCTATGAATTACTTTGGGCAGTATGGCCATTTTCATGATATTGATTCTTCCTATCCATGATCATGGAAAGTTCTTCCATTTGTTTACGTCCTCTCTTATTTCTTTGAGCAGTGCTTTGTAGTTCTCCTTGAAGAGGTCCTTCACATCCCTTGTAAGTTGTATTCCTAGGCATTTTATTCTCTTTGTAGCAATTGTGAATGGGAGTTCACTCATGATTTGGCTGTCTGTTTGTCTGTTATTTGTGTAGAGGAATGCTGGTGATTTTCACACATTGATTTTGTATCCTGAGACATTGCTGAAGTTGCTTATCAGCTGAAGTAGATTTTGGGCTGAGACAATGGGGTTTTCTAAATATACAATCATGTCATTTGCAAACAGAGACATTTGACTTCCTTCTTTCCTATTTGAATACCCTTTATTTCTTTCTCTTGCCTGATTGCCCTGGCCAGAATTTCCAATATTATGTTGAATAGGAGTGGTGAGAGAGGGGATGCTTGTCTTGTGATGGTTTTCGAAGGGAATGCTTCTAGCTTTTGCCAGTTCAGTATGATGTGGCTGTGGGTTTGTCATAAATAGCCCATATTATTTTGAGATAGATTCCATCAATACCTAGTTTATCGAGAGTTTTTAGCATAAAGGAATGTTTAATTTTATCAAAGGCCTTTTCTGCATCTATTGAGATAATCATGTGGTTTTTGTCATTGATACTGTTTATGTGATGGACTACGTTTATTGATTTGTGTATGTTAAACCAGCTTTGCATCCTAGGGATGAAGTCGACTTGTTCATAGTGGATAAGTTTTTTTCTGTGCTGCTGGATTCGGTTTGCCAATATTTTGTTGAGGATTTTTGCATCAATGTTCATCAGGGATATTGGCCTGAAATTTTCTTTTTCTGTTGTGTCTCTGCCAGGTTTTTCTATCAGGATGATGCTACTCTCATAAAATGAGTTAGGGAGGAGTCCCTCCATTTCTATTGTTTGGAATAGTAAGACGGATTGGTACCAGCTCCTCTTTGTACCTGTGGTAGAATTCAGCTGTGAATTCCTCTGGTCCTGGGCTTGTTTTTGTTGGTAGACTATTAGTAACTGTCTCAATTTCAGAACTTGTTATTGATCTATTCAGGGATTCGACTTCCACCTGGTTTAGTCTTAGGAGCATGTATGTGTCCAGGAATTTATTCATTGCTTCTAGATTTCTTAGTTTATTTGCGTAGAGGTGTTTATAGTATTCTCTGATGGTAGTTTGTATGTCTGTGGGATCAGTGGTGATATCCCCTTTATCATTTTTTATTGTGTCTATTTCATTCTTCTCTCTTTTCTTCTTTATTAGTATTGCTAGTGGTCTATCTATTTTGTTAATCTTTTCAAAAACCCAGCTCCTGGATTCATTGATTTTTTGAAGGGTACTTCATGTCTCTATCTCCTTCAGTTCTGCTCTGATCTTAGTCATTTCTTGACTTCTGTTAGATTTTGAATTTGTTTGCTCTTGCTTCTCCAGTTCTTTTAATTGTGATGTTAGATTGTCAAATTTAGATCATTCCTGTCCTTTCCTGTGGGCATTTAGTGCTACAAATTTTCCTCTAAATACTCCTTTAGCTGTGTCTCAGAGATTCTGGTACATTGTGTCTTTGTTCTTATTGGTTTCAAACACCTTCTTTATTTCTACCTTAATTTTGTTATTTACCCAGTAGTCATTAAGGAACAGGTTGTTTAGTTTCCATGCAGTTATGCAGTTTTGAGTGAGTTTCTTAATCCTGAGTTCTATTTTTTCTAAGTTTTTAATCCATCTTGGTCTGAGAGACTGTTTGTTAAGATTTCCAGTCTTTTGCATTCGCTGATGAGTGTTGTACTTCCAATTATGTGGTCAGTTTTAGAATAAGCGTGATGTGGTGCTGAGAAGAATGTATATTCTGTTGATTTGGGGTGGAGAGTTCTGTAGATGTCTATTAGGTCCACTTGGTCCAGAGCTGAGTCCAAGTCCTGAATATCCTTATTAATTTTCTGTGTTGTTGATCTGTCTAGTATTGACAGTGGGGTGTTAAAGTCTCCCACTATTATTGTGTGGGAGTCTAAGTCTATTTATAAGTCTCTAAGAACTTGCTTTATGAATCTGGGTGCTGCTGTATTGGGCGCATATATATTTAGGATGGTTAGCTCTTCTTGTTGCATTGATCTCTTTAACATTATGTAAGGCCCTTCTTTGTCTTTTTTTGATCTTTGTTGGTTTAAAGTCTGTTTTATCAGAGACTAGGATTGCAACCCCTGCTTTTTTTTTTATTTTTTTGCTTTCCATTTGCTTGGTAAATATTACTTCATCACTTTATTTTGGATAATTCTTTCATTACTTTATTTTGCGTGTGTCTTTGCATGTGAAGTGGGTCTCCTGAACACAGCACACAAAAGGTCCTGACTCTTTATCCAATTTGCCAGCCCATTTACATTTAAGGTTAATAATAATATGTGTGAATTTGATCCTGTCATTATGATGCTAGCTGGTTATTTTGCCCATTAGTTGACGCAGTTTCTTCATAGTGTTGAGGGTTTTTAAAATTTGATATGTTTTTGCAGTGGCTGGTACCAGTTTTTCCATTCCATATTTAGTGCTTCCTTCAGGAGCTCTTGTAAGGCAGGCCTGGTGGTGACAAAATCTCTCAACATTTGCTTGTCTGTAAATGACTTTATTTCTCCTTTGCTTATGAGGCTTAGTTTGGCTGGATGATATGAAATTCTGGGTTGAAAATTCTTTTTTCTTAAGAATGTTGAATATTGGCCCCCACTCTCTTCTGGCTTGTAGAGTTTCTGCAGAGATATCTGATGTTAGTCTGATGGGATTCCCTTTGTGGGTATCCCTACCTTTCTCTCTGGCTCCCCTGAACATTTTTTCCTTCATTTCAACCTTGGTGAATCTGATGATTATGTGTCTTGGAGTTGCTGTTCTCGAGGAGTATCTTTGTGGTGTTCTCTGTACTTCCTGAATTTGAATGTTGGCCTGTCTTGCTAGATTGGGGAAGTTCTCCTGGATAATATCCTGAGGAGTGTTTTCCCACTTGGTTCCATTCTCCCTGTGACTTTCAGGTACATCAATCAAATGTATATTTGGTCTTTTCATATAGTCCCATATTTCTTGGAGGCTTTGTTGGTTCCTTTTCATTCTTTTTTCTCTAATCTTGTCTTCTTGATTTAGTTCCTTAAGTTGATCTTCAATCTCTGATATCCTTTCTTCTGCTTGATCGATTCAGCTATTGATACTTGTGTATGGTTCACAAAGTTCTCATGCTGTGTTTTTCAGCTCCATCAGGTCATTTATGTTCTTCTCTAAACTGGTTATTCTAGTTAGCATTTCCTCTTACCTTTTATCTAGGTTCTTAGCTTTCTTGCATTAGGTTAGAACATGCTCCTTTAGCTCGGAGGAGTTTCTTATTAACCACCTTCTGAAGCCTACTTCTGTCAATTTGTCAAACTCATTCTCCATCCAGTTTTGTTCTCTTGCTGGTGAGGTGTTTTGATCCTTTGGAGGAGAAGAGGCATTCTGGTTTTTGTAATTTTCAATCTTTTGTGCTGTTTTTTCCTTATATTCATGATTTATCTACCTTCAGTCTTTGATGTTGGTGTCTTTCAGATGGGGTATCTGTGTGGGTGTTATTTTTGTTAATGCTGATGCTATTCCTTTCAGTTTGTTAGTTTTCCTTCTAACAGTCAGGCCCTTCTGTTGTAGGTCTGCTGGAGTTTTCAGTAGGTCTACTCCAGACCCTGTTTGCCTGGGTATCACCAGCACAGGATATAGAACAGCAAAGATTGCTGCCTGTTCATTCCTCTGGAAGTTTCATCCCACAGGGGCACCTGCAAGATGCCTGCCAGAGCTCTCCTGTATTAGGTGTCTGTTGACCTCTGCTGGGAGGTGTCTCTCAGTCAGGAGGCATGGGGGTCACTGAACCACTTAAGGAGGCAGTCTGTCCCTTAGCTGAGCTGGAGCTCTGTGCTGGGAGATCCATAGCACTCTTCAGGGCCAGCAGGCAGGAATGTTTTAGTTGGCTGAAGCTATACTCACAGTCACTCCTTCCCCCAGGTGCTCTGTCCCAGGGCGATGGGAGTTTTATCTATAAGCCCCTGACTGGGGCTGCTGCCTTTCTTTTAGAAGTGCCCTGCCCAGAGAGGAGGAATCTAGAGAGACAGTCTGGCTACAGCAGCTTTGCCTAGCTGTGGTGGGCTCCACTCAGTTCGAACTTCCTGGGGGCTTTGTTTACACTGTGAGGGTAAAACCACCATTCAAGCCTCAGTAACGTTGGACACCCCTCCCTCCACCAAGCTTTACAGTCCCAGGTTGACTTCTGACTGCTGCACTGGAAGGGAGAATTTCAAGCCAGTGGATCTCACTTGCTGGGCTCCTTGTGGGTGGGGTCCACTGAGCTGGATCACCTTATTCCCTGGCTTCAGCCCCTTTCCAGGGGAGTGTATGGTTCTGTCTCGCTGGCATTCCAGGTGCCACTGGGGTATGAAAAATAACTCCTGCAGCTAGCTCTGTGTCTACCCAAACAGATGCCCAGTTTTGTACTTAAAACCCAGGGCCCTGGTGGCATAGGCACCCAAGGGAATCTCCTGGTCTGCAGGTTGTGAAGATTGTGAAAAAAGTGTAGTATCTGGGCTGGAATGCATCATTTCTCACAGCACATTCTCTCAAGGTTTCCCTTGGCTAGGGGACAGGGTTCCCCAATTCCTTGTGCTTCCCAGGTGAGACAATGCCCCACCCTGCTTCGGCTCGCCCTCTGTGGTCTGCACCCACTGTCTAACTAGTTCCAATGAGATGAGCCGGGTACCTCAGTTGGAAATGCAGAGAGAGACCTTCTCCGTTGGTCTCTCTGGGAGCTGCCAAATGGAGCTGTTCCTATTCGGCCATCTTGCCAGCCACCTGCTCTGCCTTTTTATTAATTAACAAATAAAATTTGTGTATATTTTGGGTTTACAAATTGATGTCTTGAAATACTTATACATTATAAAATGATTGCTGCAATCAAGCTAATTAAAATATCCAATACCACATATAGTTACCATTTCCTTCCTTCCTTCCTTTCTTCCTTCCTTCCTTCCTTCTTTTCTCTTTTGTTGGTGAAAACACTTAAGATATTCCTTCCCAGCATGCTTCAAGTAGACTGCACAGTATTGTTAACTATAGTTATCATGTTGTACCTTAGCTCTCCCGAACATATTCACCTTGCTTAAGTAAACACTCCATGCAACATGTTCTGACCAACATGTTCCCATTTTCCCCCTTTTCCCAGATACTGGAAATCACTATTTTACTATCGGCTTCTGTAGATTTTAGTTATTTAAATTCTACTTATAAGTGAGTTCATGCAATATTTGGCTTTCTGTACCAGTCTTATTTCACTGAGCATAATGCCCTTCTGGTTTATCCATGTTTTCCAAAAGGTAGGATTTTCTTCTTTTTTTAAAGCTATTTCGTTGTATTTACATTTTCTTTATACATTCATTTATTTATGAACTTGTATTTTACTATCTTGGCTGTTGTATTAATACTGCCTTGAACATGGAAGTGCAGATATTGATGTCATTTCCTTTTGATATACACCTTGTAGTGGAATTGCTGAATAATATGGTAGTTTTATTTTTAATTTTTTGAGGAACCTCCATGTTTTCTATAATATCTGTACCAATTTACATTCCCACTAACAGAGTACAAGGGTTCCCTTTTTTTCCCATATCCTCACTTATACTTGTTATCTTTTGTCTTTTTGATTATAGGCATTCTAAAGGATGTGATGTGATAACTAATAATAGCTTGGATCTGCTATTGGAAAACTATTAAGAATAGCAATAACCACTACAATTTGTTAAAGTATGTACCATATAAACATTTTCCTGATGATTCGTGATGTTGAGCACTTTTTCATATATCTGTTGCCTATCTTATGTCTTCTTTTGAGAAATCTCTACTCAGGTTCTTTGTCCATTATTTAATAGGGTTATTAAATTTTTGGCCTTCAACTTGTATGAGTTTCTTATATGTGTTGGATATTAACCCTTTATCAGAATTATTGTTTGCAAATATTTTCTCCCATTCCATAGGTTAACTTTTCACTCTGTTGATTATTTCCATCACTGTGCAGAAGGTTTTTAATTCAATGCAAACCTCACTTGACTATTTTTGCTTTTGCCTTTGTTGCCTGTGCTTTTGGGATTATAGGCAAAGAATTATTGCCCAGACCGATATTAAGAAGCTCTTTCCCCTTGATTTCTTCCCATGGTTATTTGGCTTCAGGTGTTAACATTTAAGTCTTTAATCCACTTTTTTGTATTAGGACACAATTTCATTCTTCTGCATGTGAGTATCCAGTTTTCCCAATACCATTTATTGAAGAGATTATCTTTGCCCTATTGTGTATTCTTGGCACTGTTTTTTGAAAATCAGTTGGCAGTATTTATTTCTGTGTTTTCTATCCTATTCCATTGTTCTATACATGTATTTTTATGCCAGTATCACTCTGTTTTGATTACAATAGCTTCATAATCCACTTTGGAATCAGGATGTGTGATGCCTACAGCCTTATTCTTCTTGCTCGAGATTTCTTTGGTTACTTAGGATTTTGTGGTTCTGTATGAATTTTGAGATTTTTTTTCCATTTCTGTAAAGAATCCCATCAGGATTTTGATAGGGATTACATTGAATCTGTAAGTAACTTTGGGTAGTACAGACATTTCAACAATAAGTCTAATAATAATTTCAATAATCCAGGAACACAGATATAGTTCTATTTATCTGTGTCTTCTTTGATTTATTTCATCAATATTTTATAATTTTTACCACACAAGGCTTTTGCTTCTTTAAGTTTATTCCTAAGTCTTTATTTTTCTTTCATTGCAATTTTAAATAGGATTATTTTCTTAACTTTATTTTTGGATGGCTTGTTGTTTGTACAAAGAAACATTAATTATTTTATGTTAATTTTTGTGTCCTGCAACTTTACTAAATTTGTTTATTTGTTCTAATAGTCTTTTTATTGTTGAGTCTTTAGGGTTTCTTGCATATATGTTTATGTGATTTGCAAGCAGAGATAATTTTACTCTTTCCTTTCTGAAGTGGATGTGTTTTATGTCTTTTTATTGCTAAGTTTTCTGAGTAGGGCTTTTAGTACTATGCTGAATTGAAGTGGCAAGGGTGGGCACCCTTATCTTGTGCCACCTTAATATAAAAGTTAAAAGACAAAACTATTAAGAATAGCAATAACCACAAAAAATTGTTAATGTATGTGCCATATATAAAGAACTAAACGCAGACTATAAGAATATAAAGCTACAGAGGAGAGTAACATTGTAAAGTTTTTGTATGCTATGAAGCTGACTTAAAATAAAAAGTTATAACTGCAAGATATTTTATGCAAGCCGTGAGGTAACCATTGATTTTCTAGAACATAACTACCATGACTAGTGAAACTAGACTGTGTGTATGTGTTTCCATATGCATTATAACAACATGCTATATAATTCATATGACATACCCAGAAAACTGCATTAAGACACAGAAACCTTAGGTCAAGGTTAAGCTTCTTTCAGGTGGGCATACAAAGAGATTACATTGAATTATATAGACAATTCAATTGTTTCTTCATGTTCAGTTGGCTATTAAGCCAAAATAAACCTATCTTTGAATAAACATTTAGTCTAACTAGAGTAGAACCCTAGGATTTCACCTGTTTTTGCTCACATATAAGCTTAATAAAGACTCCATCATAGGACATTTTTCTATCAGTAAATTTATTGAGTAGTTATCCTCTGGTGTGCAAATTCTATTAGTGCTTGCCTTATGAAACCCCATCTCTGCCTGCTGTCATCTATATAGGCAACAAAAATCAACCATCCTCGATAAATGGAGTCAGGGAGACAATAGGAGGAGATGCTCAGAAAGGAGGTATGTGGTGGCAGCATAAAATGACACATAAAGGTCACTATCAAAATCTGAGGAAGACTAGTCTATAGTCTAATAGACAAAGTTGATTTCTAGCAGGCACTAGATTTGAAGAGTGGCCTATAGGAGTTTGAGATTTCACAGATGCATGGTTCTGGCTGATGCAAAAGTCCAAGTTGCAATCATTGGGAGTGAGTGGCTTAAACTGAATGAAAGTGAAAATCATTAGAAATCAAATGGTCAAATAATTCTACTTCCTTTAAAAATGTCAGGAATTGGGATGGGGGATAAATCTATGAACCAGGCCTCCAAATTCTTCCTAAATGCAGAAGAGTGACCCAGAAAGTGAATATCACATAGAGGTGGGCAGACAGGTGTATTATAGCTGGATGCCCTGGGCTTCAGTACATTTTTGTTTAACAATGGAACAGTAAACATTGGGAAATATGCAGCATAGATGGCTCTGGGTTCAGAATAGGAAAAAACACTAGAAAAATAAAAATAGCATCTCCTGCTTTCCAGGACATCTTTTTCCTCTTGGTAGTTCTAGAATATGGAAGGATGATAAAAATGTGTGAAGAACTTGTTCAAGGTAACGCTTAATTCCACTGGGCACAATGTAAGGGGTGAGGAGAAAGATGAACCCGTAGGTGAGGATGAGTGCAGAGGTGGAGGAGCGGAGCCACAGAAGTCACCAGAGAGGCCTGACTTTGAGACTGGGCCCAGTGATTCCCAAGAGAAGAATAGAAGGAATTTACTAGCCTAGGAAAGGTTTCCTACATTTGATATAAATGTCATTTAATGCTAGAATTGACTGAAAGTCTCAGGTGTTATCAGAGTCTGGTCTATCCAAGACTTCCCCCTTTGAGGCATAATAAGTGGCCCATAGCATCCAGAAAGATTTTTGGCAAGCCCTGTATTCCAGCTTGGTGAGCTGTGATCCAGGTGTGACGTGAGGCCCTAAGCAGGATTTACAAAGTCCTTTACCATTTATCTTCATCTCCTATTTTTTCTGGCAAGAGTAAATTTCCAACAACACTCCCCTCTCCACAGCCAAGTTCCATATGGGCACAATTTATGTGTCCTCTCTAACTCTATCTGGGGAGTTCTCAATCCAATTCAAGGCTCAACTGAAATGACAGCTCCTCTGTGAAATCTTATGCAACTGCTCCTTCTCTCCCCAGGCTTCATCGAACTCCTCTTTCATGTCAGAAAGTTCACAGAGCACTTCAAACACACTGAAGGTGGCATGGGGAAACTGAATTAGACAAAATTAGACAGAATTAATGTGCCCTGAGCCCCCAAATAACATGGCTCATGTCCTTTCTAATGGAGAAAGCATTAGCAAAGTCTGATTATAAATCCAAACATAAACATATATACCTGGCAAACGAGAGCCAACAACATGTAGTGATAAAAACTCCAGACCCAGATTTCTTGGCCTGGAATCTTGAGCTACCAGGGATTTACTTGATAGCTTTGAGAAACTTATGTTATTTCCAGGTCCTTCTTTGTAAAAAGAGGATGATGCTAAAGGTATTTAAAACATGTAAGTGTTACGAAAATTAAATGAATAAATTAACGTAAAGCAGTTAGAGGTGCCCCACACTCATGGATAATGTGCAGTAACAGATAGGTGTTATTTTTATTAGAACAACTTTTAAAATCTTCTTTATTCTAATTGAAAATTGATATTAAATTTGTTTACATATTTTTTATTTTTGTTCATTATCTTTTACTTTATACTTTTTCTTTTTGGAGAATACAAGTAATAAAAAGTAAACTAAAGAATATTATTAGGAAACATTTCAGTTTTTCCTAAATCTCATATAGCTAATGCTTATTTTCAAATTATGATTTGATATATTTATATTTACACACACATATGAACACACATATGATAATCATTTAAAAATAATTGTATTTCATTATTAGTTAACTAAAATAACCTAAATTGTTTAATATTTTATGTCATTGTATTCTATACATATTTTTAAAAGGAGATTTATGTAAAGTAATTTTAAATAGATGAGGTGAAAATGGGAGTATGTTTAGACAATATATTTTAAGAAACTTGTACTTTTTCTTACCAGTTCTTGTTCTTACAAGTCTATGTTATTACAGACAGGGATTCCTTACTTTCACTTCTTATTTGAATCATGTGGGAATGTAAATATTGGTAGCTTTTCAGACAAAACTGCAAAGTGAAAATGTATTCTGTGTTTTAGCGGGGCTTTTCCCTGCTCTTAAAATAAACCAGCAAGTGGGAGATTTTCAGACTTGAGGTCTATTTATTAGTTAACAGTCTGCTTAAGACAGCATTTGTTCTAAGCATTTGCCAAATTTCTAAGCAGTTAGAAATCTTACTAACTCAACCCTAGCCAATCCATCACAGCTTCACAAAGGAGACAATGAAAAGCATGCCTGTCTCTTGCACTTAAAATTGAAATTAGCCTGATTGGATTGCACAAAGAGTCCTCGGCAGTCAGCCCTGATCGCCTTCAAAGGATTCATATACATAGAAAAAAATATCTGAAGCTACGAAGACTTGAGAATCTGGCACAAATAATGTCATCTTCAACTTGAAGCTTTTTTAAAAAAATCTGCTATTCCAGAAGTTTCCAAACAAACAGTTTTAATACTATATTTATTTGATCAACTTATTTATTTGTAATGCAATAGCTACAGGTGGCTCTAAATATGACTATTCAAATTTAAGCCTATTATCTTTACATAACTTTTGAAATATATCTTGTTTAGGGAAGTAAAGAAAATAAATAATGTTCCTGAAATTCTGCTGTGCTCACTGACCATTTACAGTAGGCGTGGCAAATAGAAATGCTTTCATGGCCAGGCAGGAGGTGTGATCAGGGGCAGCAGGCTGGGTGGGGATGTTGTGAATGGAGGGGAGAGTGTTGATTAAAACAAGTGACCAATACTCAGCTTCAGCTAATTGTTGCTTTGCATGGGAACTGAAACTCTGGAGTTTATCAAGAGAAGGCTGAAAATTGGATTTTTATGTGGTAACTTCCATTTTTTCCACAATTTAATTAATTTAAGAAATTAAAGCACTGTGTGGGTCAGCAAAACAAATGAGTCATATTTATCTTTGGAGCAATTATTTAGCCACCTCTGTTTAATAGTTTGTTTCATAATTAGCGTTCTAGAGAATGATCTTGAATTTTTGTGTTTTATAGTTTGTTTTTGTTCTTCTACCGTAAGACCTTTGGTCAGCCTCTAGGATATTCTAATATAATATGGTGTCATGAATATCAGTTAGTAATATTAATATCTAGATTTACCAAGCTGGTGTCCATAAAAACATTTCACCTCCTCCTTCTCCCTCTTTTCTCCTTTTGTAGATAAGAGTTAACTCGTACTCCTTTAAACAAGGAAGGGAACTAACATTCAAGTGACTCACATACCAGACATTTCTCTTCCAAATACTTTTATCCTAATGAAACCCTCCAAGAATCCCAGATAAAGAGAGGAAGTCCAATGGTGAATAAATAACTTATTAAGTATCAAACATCTAATAAATAGAATAAAAGTAATTGAAACCAAGATCTGGTGATAGTAAAGCCCAGCCCATTTTCATTTTAGAATGCTGCCACTGAGAACAAACATTTATTTTCTCTTTTATTCTATAGGTAATTCAAGCAATTTTTCATTCTTTTATACATCATAAAACAATTGGAAAATAAAAAAAGGATACCAGTGCTAACATCAATTTAAATCTAATGAACTAGACTGGGCGTGGTGACTCACACATGTAGTCCCAGTATTTTGGGAGGCCAGGGCAGGTAGATGACTTGAGCCCAGGAGTTTGAGACCAGCCTGCGCAACACAGGGAGACCCCATCTCTACAGAAAATACAAAATAATTTGCTGGGTGTGGTGGTGAAAGCCAGTAGTCCCAGCTATTCGGGAGACTGAGACAGGAGAATCACTTGAGCCCAGGAGGTCAAGGCTACAATGAACAGTCATCATGCCACTCTACTCCAGCCTGGGTGACAGAGAAGAATGCTGTTTCAAAAATAAACATAAAAATAAATTTAATAAATTCTAGGATTTCTAATTTGAAGATAGAAGCAATAAAGAAAATGAGAAACCAAAGTAAATTATGTTTGATTAAACCAGAGGTCAGCCATAATTCTGAGCCTAAAAATACGAGGAGGCCACCTGAAGCAGTTGTGAGTAAGCTGGGTGTGATAGGAAGCAGAGCGAGGTTGCTCATTGCCAGATCTTAATTAAAAAAATATTAAATTAGGATGATATACTTTTGCAAAATTAAAGAAAGCCCCTGAGGTGCTAATACAAAATTTCCTTTTTGCAACAGGACTAATAAAGAAATTCATGTAGTAGTGGGATCTGCCATGGACTGAGTTTGTTTCCAAGAACAGAAGAGTCAGGACCAGTGAAAAATAGCACAGACATATTTGCAAAAGCAGTCCTCCCGCGTTAGGAAGAAGGGATACTTTTGCACAGTGAACAGCACAACAATTGCTTGTTTCTTTCATGTACTACTTACACATGGAATTAATGAGATAATCCTGTGTTCCATACATAGTCCTTCCTGCCCCTATTGAATAGAGAAACCCAATTTCACCTTGGTTATCTCTAGATCAATTACGTGTCAATAGATTTACTGTTTTCTTTACCTTTAGTTTCAAGAAGAACTAAATATGCCCAAGTGGTATTTCAACTTCCACTTAATGGAACCTGTCATCTAAAGAAGTTTCCTCCCTTGGGAATTAATATCTCTAAACGGGGAGAACCCAAAGTTTCACAAAAGGGAAGAGAAAGTCTGCAAGTGCAAATTAAGCATAATAGTGCAGGGTGCTCCCTCCCCTTGATTTTCAGATTCATGTGTTTTTGTTGTAAGAGAAATTACACGTTGGTCACTGATTCAAAGTTTATACCACACACTGTAGGACAACATCCCAACCTTACGGTGTGTTGTTTACCAGCTGGGAGCATTAACTGAGTTACATGATTCCATTCTATCATTTCAGATTCTTCTAGGTGAAGAATCCAATTGTTGTAAATCCAATGAATTGCATAAACGTGAGCCTATTACCACATGTCTTTTTTGGCAGCAAAATGAGTTCCTTAGTCAAAAACAATATTGTATGGGATATCATGATGGTAAATAACAAATTATTTAAGTTCATGCATGGTAGTACCAGCAGAATAATTACAAATGTAAAAGGTGAATTGGTACCCGAAATAAGTATCTATTTCAATGAGGACAAATTCCCTAAGGGATGCATCTCAGTGTCATCAATCTGCAAGTTGACTGGGTATCCCCTGAGGGAAGGTTGTCATATTAGCCTTAGAGTTGTTCTACATTGGTCCAGATACAATTTGATTATGTAAAGTCATGAATACATTTTATTCTTAATGTCATGTGCATTTGTCCATGAGCCCATTGAACAAGTGTCAGGTGACTAACATTTATTATACAACATGTCATTTTATGCATATGATTACTCCTCTTCAGTGGATTCCCTCTAATGAGATTTTTCTTGGGATACAAGTATTTTCATACTTTGTGTCTATTTTAAGAAGTCATCCTCTCATCATCCATCTTTTAATATTCTTCCTTTCAATTCCGTGATCATCTAGCCAAACTATTAGCAGCTACTCATGAATCAGGGTCCGCTTCTCGTAAAACCATGAGTACACCAGGTAGGTAAGTGAACCAATGTGGGAAATTTGTCAGTTTCCAAGCATGTCTGTTTAGCTATCGAATGGACCCAGAGGATCACTGAGCCAACTGTGAGACAATCCGGTAAAAATTTCATTATCATTTGACCCCCAAAAACCTAAACTCTTCTGACTTTTTATTTTTAAAAACATCAAACTATTCAAAAGTAACGAGAATAATATATCAATTCTCCATGTATCCGCTGCACAACATCACAAATTTTAAACCATGCATGAGTTCACATTTTGAATAGAAGGATCCAGGGCACAGGGGACACTAAAAGCCCCCAATATGGTCATGTGTCACATAATGGTTTTTTGGTAAATGCTAGACTGCATACAAAGGTGGTCGCTTAAGATAACAGAGCTGAAATATTCCTACCATCTAGTAACACTGTGGCCATGATAACATTATAGCACAATGCATTACTCATGTGTTTGTGGTGATGCTGGTATAAGCAAACCCACTACATTTGTCAGTGGCATTAAAGGTTAGCACATATACTTATGTTCTGTATGTCATACTTGATAACGATAATAAATGACTACGTTACTAGTTTATGTACAGTTGATCCTTGAACAGCATAGATTTGAAATGCATGAGTCCACTTATATGCAAATTTCCTTCTGCTTCTCCCATCCCTCAGACAACAAGACCAATTCCTCTTCTTCTTACTCCTCCTCAGGCTGCTCAACATGAAGACGCAGATGAAGACCTTTATGATGATCCACTTCCACTTAATGAATAGCAAACATATTTTCTCCTCCTTATGATTTTCTTAATAAAATTTTCTTTTCTCTTACTTTATTGTAAGAATACAGTATATAATTAACAAAGTATGCCTTAATTGACTATTTATTTGATCAGTAAAACTTGTAGTTAAGAATAGGCTATTAGTAGTTAAGTTTGGGGTAGCCAAAAGTTATATATGGATTTTCAACGGCACAGGGGCTGGTCCTCCTAAACCTTGCATTATTCAAGGATCAACAGTATTTTACCATACTACACATTTTATTCATATTTTAGAGTGTAGTACTTCTACTCATTAAAAAACATTAACTATAAAACGGCCTCAGGCAGGTCTTTCAGGAGTTATTCCAGAAGAAAGCATTGTTATCATAGGAGACGACAGCTGCATGCATATTATTGTCCCTGAAGACCCTGAGGACCTTTCACTGGGACAAGATGTGGAGATGGAAGACAGTGATATTGATTATCCTGACCCTTATAGGGCTAAGCTAGTGTGTGTGTTTGTATCTTAGTTTTTAACAAAAAAATTTAAAACATAAAAAAATAAAGCTTATAGAATAAGGATATAAAGAATTTCTGTACAGCTGTTCAATCTGTTTGTGTTTTAAGATGTGTTATTACAAAAGAATCAAAAAGTTTAAAAAATTAAAACGTTTATAAGATAAAGTTATGATAAGCTAAGATAAACTTGTTAAAGAAAGAAAAATTTTAAACACATTTAGTGTAGCCTAAGAGTACAGTGTGTATAAAGTCTACAGTCATGTATAGTAATATCCTAGGCCTTCACATTCACTCACCGTGCACTCACTGACTCATCAGAGCAACTGCCAGTCCTGCAAACTCCATTCATGGTAAGTATCCTATACTGGTGTACTGCTTTTTTTTTTTTACTTTTGTTTTATATATATATATATATCCATATATGTGATATATATCTAGATATATATCATATATATCCATATATATGATATATATCCATATATATGATATATATCTAGATATATATCATATATCCATATATATGATATATAGATATATATCATATATCCATATATATGATATATATCTATATATATCATATATATCCATATATATGATATATATCTATATATATCATATATATCCATATATATGATATATATCTATGTATATCATATATATCCATATATATGATGTATCATATACATATATATCCATATATATGATGTATCATATACATATATATCCATATATATGATATATCATATACATATATATCCATATATATGATATATATCTATATATCAGATATATCATATATATGATATATATCTATATATCAGATATATCATATATATGATATATATCTATATATCAGATATATCATATATATGATATATATCTATATATCAGATATATCCATATATATGATATATATCTATATATCAGATATATCCATATATATGATATATATCTATATATCAGATATATCCATATATATGATATATATCTATATATCAGATATATCCATATATATGATATATATCTATATATCAGATATATCCATATATATGATATATATCTATATATCAGATATATCCATATATGATATATATCTATATACCAGATATATCCATATATATGATATATATCTATATACCAGATATATCCATATATATGATATATATCTATATATCATATATATCCATATATATGATATATATCTATATATCATATATATCTATATATCATATATATCATATATATCATATATATATCTACATATCATATATATCTATATATCATATATATCTATATATCATATATATCTATATATCATATATATCTATATCATATATTATATATCATATATAGATATATATATCACATATATCTATATATATCACATATCTCTATATATCACATATATCTATATATCATATATCATATATATCTATATATGAGATATATATCTATCTATATATAACTATCTATATGTCTACCTATATATGACAGATATCTATCATATACATTTATCATATATATGATAGATATCATATATATCATATATGTCTATATATAGATATATATGATAGATACATATCATATCATATATATGATATCTCTCATATATGTCTATATATGATATCTCTCATATATGTCTATATATGATATCTCTCATATATGTCTATATATGTTATCTCTCATATATGTCTATATATGATATCTCTCATATATGTCTATATATGATATCTCTCATATATGTCTATATATGATATCTCTCATATATGTCTATATATGATATCTATCATATATGTCTATATATGATATCTATCATATATGTCTATCATATATATCCATATATGATATCTATCATATATATCCATATATGATATCTATCATATATATCCATATATGATATCTATCATATATATCCATATATGATATCTATCATATATATCCATATATGATATCTATCATATATATCCATATATGATATCTATCATATATATCCATATATGATATCTATCATATATATCCATATATGATATCTATCATATATATCCATATATGATATCTATCATATATATCCATATATGATATCTATCATATATATCCATATATGATATCTATCATACATATGATATCTATCATATATATCTATATATCTATCATATATATCTATGTCATATATATCTATCATATATATCATAGATATCTATGATATCTATATGATATATAGATATATCTAGATCATATATCTAGGTATACATGTATATCTTGATATATCTATATATGATAGATATCATATATCTATCATATATCATATATATCTATAGATATATATAGATATGATTTTGTTTTTGAGACAGAGTTTCATTTTGTTGCCCAGGCTAGAGTGCAAAGGTGCAATCTTGGCTCACTGCAACCTCTGCCTCCAGGGTTCCAGTGATTCTCCTGCCTCAGCCTCCCGAGTAGCTGGAATTACAGGCACAGACGACCACGCCCAGCTAATTTTGTATTTTTAGTAGAGACAGGGTTTCTCCATGTTGATCAGGCTGGTCTTGAACTCCTGACTTCAGGTGATCTGCCCGCATCAGCCTCCCAATCTACTATATTTTTACTGTACCTTTTCTATGTTCAGATACTACTATTGTGATATAATTGCCCACAGCAGTGGTCCCCAACCTTTTTGACACCAGGGACTGGTTTTGTGAAAGATAATTTTTCCACAGAGTGGGGATGGTTTGGGGATGAAACTGTTTCACCTCAGATCATCAGGCATCAGTTAGAGTCTCACAAGGAGCATGCAACCTACATCCCTCGCATGTGCAGTTCACAGTAGGGTTCATGCCCCCATGAGGATCTAATGCTGTTGCTGATCAGACAGGAGGCAGAACTCAGGTGGTAATGCTCGGCTGGTCAGCCACTCATCTCCTGCTTTGCACCCAGTTCCTAACAGGACACAAATAGGTGCTGGTCCATGGCTTGGGTGTTGGGGACCACTGGCCTACTATTTTCAGCACTGTGACATGCTACACAGGTGTGTAGCCTAGGAGCAATAGGCTATACAATATAGCCTAGGTATGTTGTCTAGGTATGTTGTAAGCTACACTATCTAGGTTTGTATAAGTACACTCTATGGTGTCCATACAGACACAAAATCACCTAATGATGCATTTCTTGGAATATATTACCATAAAGTGACATTTACCTGTATTAGGTCATCTCAGGTTTAGTGTCTAGTAATTTCAAAAGTATTTGTATATTCTTCTTTCCTGGACACATCATTATGCTCTGGTGCATATCTCTGTTTTATTCCCTAGACCCACTCTTTACTTTTTCTACATTCTGCTTTGTTCCTCAGGAGGCTGACCTGAATTGGATACTTCAGGTACCTCTCTTACCCTCATGCTTTTATTGGGGTTCAGCTAATGAAGGAGGTGGCAGAAGATAGGAGAGAGAAGAGTGTGTTTATCCCCCACTTCTGCCCTGCAGGGTCAGCACAGGCAGACTGTTTCCCTTTGCTGAAGGTCACAGCTCCTGTCTGGTGCCTTCTTGGCAAGCTGGCACTGTCTCTAGTTAGGTGACTGCTTTGCCTCTTACTACTTACACTCTTCTTTCTGGTTTCTTTATATCTTTCCTACTGTGCTGTAAGTAGTGCCTTTATTAGAATCCCTCCACATTACCCAGTTATATAAAGACAAATATTTGTCACTGATCTAGCTCACTCCCTGAGAATCAATTAGCCTTCATCAAAGATCTCTAATAGTCAGATATTCTGTTGGCCGCTCCATTCCTGCTACTCATTATTATAGTTGTGTCTTCCTTGTCTCTAGTGCAGTCACAAAAAAACAGTGCCTCCACTGTCACTTGTTCTTTGCATCTCTAGGATCACATCATTCCCCTTGAAATCAAAGAACCCACAATCTCCCCAAACCCACAAAATTCAGCCATCACAGCACTTTTTGAGCATTCCAGTGCTGACCCCCCACCCCCAGTAAATCAATTCTTAATTTCTTAGAAAAATATTTTTTGGGCCTTCTTGTGGGACAGAGTGGGGGATGGCTTGGTGGATCATACCTGATATTTTTACCCCAACCTTCTACTATTCCTGTGCCTTTGTATGCATCTCTCTTTATTATGCTAGGAAAGTTCTGGCAACACAACCTCAAAATAAGCAGGCCAGTGTGGATTCACAGATTCTGTTAGACAAAGTTGAACACCCCTTCTAACTTCTTGGGCTAAGACTTTAACTTCAGAATCTGTATGTATCCATGTTGATAAAGTTAGCCTATGTCAAGATTATATTCTGCATGCCTTAGTCAAACACCATGTACATTTATGCCTCATATATTTTCTAGGCTTTTGCTGAAAGGAATTAGCAAAATAGTGTGGTTGTTTTGGCCTTTAAACGATGTCCATTTTCTACCTGCTCTCCGTTGTACTCTTACAGACCTTGTTGACAATATTATAACTGCAACAGTCAACTACAATAGCCATTTTATCTCTCATATATCACTTTAAAACACACATCATTCCCAATAACCACATTTGATGATTTAAGTAATCATGATACCACCGTACAGTACAGATGACCAGGTTTCTGTCTTCTACCAACAAGAAGGTCAGGTTTTCATTCAAAGTGAAACAGGTCAGCAAACCACTTCCAGATTCTCATCTGTAAAGATCTATTTTGAGAACAATTTCTAGTGTCTATACAATATTAGTAAGAGTCAAGTCAAGAAGCAGGAAACATTCTAGATATTTTAAACAGAAAACAATTCAGGGAGAGATCAATTACAAGAGTATGTGTAGCAAAAGATGAAAGGATCAGGTTGTTAAAAAATAAGTAACTCAATAAATTTCTGCCTCTTTTGTGTTGGGCAAGTAAAAATGTTGACTAGAGATCAGTGGCAGATGATCCAAGGCGTCAACTGTCAAAGTTCAGCGTCTGGAGCAGATGCTGAGGAAATGTGCACTTCTAGGTCTGGGGGCCATTGGACCATTACTAGTGTCCTTGAAGCTGCTACCATGAGAACTCACATCTCAGCTGCTACAGCCAGAGCTGATATTGTCATTGCTTCCAGAGTTATTTTCATTGCTCCATCATGGGGATCCCTCCATACTACAGCTGCTGAAATCACTATTGTTATCTTTTCCAGTACTGTTGGCATTGCAGCATTATTATTAATGCAACTACCGCTGGAGATGGCTACAAACACCAGAAACAGAAAGAGTCACCTCTCCCCTCCCTAGCAGTGTGATTTTCAGTCGGCTCCTCTCATAGCCTGATGGTATAGAAATGATACACCAATGTCCTTAAGAACATAGATGCAAAATATTTAAAAACTATTAGAAATTCTATTCTCCTTAGAAAACTAAGTATACCTATATATTTTTCAAAAATCCATCAGTAATACAAAATAATGGCATTGGTTTTATACAGCATTGCGAGAATGTTTTAACAATAGAAGATATTTTAATGCCATTCACCATTAGGAGATTGAAAGAGGGAAAACATAGGATTACCTCAGAAGATGTAGGAAAAAATAAGATGATAAAATACAATATTCATTTATATTAAAATCCTTATATCAAACTAGGAAAGGCAGACAAATTTCTTAACCTGGTAAGTTTATCTATAACAAAACCATCAACACCTCCATATGTAATGTTGAAGCATAATAACTATTTTTTACTGCAATCTCATTGTGTGGAGATTTTTAAATTACCCATAGAAAATCAAAGAAAATTTGTGGATGCACTAATCAAATCAGCAAGGTTTTTAGATATGAAGGCAAAGCAAAAAGAAACATGAAATTCTTATAAACAGTAGCAATCTATTAAAAATATTGTAATATCACATTCATGATAACACAAAACATTAATGTACCTAAGAATTCAGAAAACATAAACATGATCTTTTATTTAATTTTATAGAATGACATAACAGAGTACCTAAACAAAACATAGGTATACCATATTCATGCATGGAAAGGCTTACAATCGCAAATATACCAATATATACATTTACAGTTATTCCAATAAATATACCACAAGTAATTTTTTAGAACTTGATTGGAAAAGTCATATTAAAATAATCAATAAAGGAAGAACCAAAATTATTTTGAAGAATAATACCCTATCAATATTTAAATGTATTTTAATTATAATAATTAAAATGATTTGCTTTGGCTCAGCGATACATTGAAACCAATTGGAAGAAAATGGAACATCAAGAAATATATCCATAGATATGCTGAATACATTGGACTTGTAATGAAAGATATGATACTACAAGCCAGTAGAAAAATTATACTATTCAATAAATGATGTCAGAATAAGTGACTATCCATATATAAGTAAAAATCTGTATATTACACTATATCACAAAAACCTATGTCTATTTAGGCTGAAGACTCAAATCTTAAACTATTTGTGAAATTATTTATGAATATTAAATGTTTAGATATTTTAAAGTATATATAGAAAACTAATGACATTGGGCAACAAATGGCCTATTAATCAAATGCCAGAACATATGAAGAATAAAAACAGAGAATAATAAATTAGATGGTATTAAAATGAAAAATTATAGGCATCCTAAAGGTTAAATGCAAGCCAGAAAATTGGGTAAAATATTTACAAAATATATAATTGAAAAATATAATATAAAGAGGATTTCTACAAATTAATGATACAAAATAAATAATTCAGTAGAAAAAATGATTAAGAACTATGACACAATATTCACAACAGATGATAAAATGAATAGTAAATTATTATGAAAATACACTTTAAAAGAGTAAGGTAAAATTTAACAGCAATAAGACTTTATGCTCTTTTCTTTAAAAACACAAAACTATGCCAAGGGCTTTAGGAACCATGAATTTATATACTGCTAAGGGGGGTTTAAATCTTCCACTTTGGATAGTTTTTTGGAAATATATAGTAAAGCTGAAAATATGTAATGTGTGTGTGTGTGTGTGTGTGTGTGTATATATGTATATATATATATATAAAACACTAGAAATTTCACCAGGTAAACCTTTTCAAAGAGAAATCCACATACATTTCCAGAAGAGATATGTCCAAAGACATTTGTTGAATTATTATTGGTAATAGCCAAAAATTGGAAATAATCTTAAAGTTCATTACTAGAAAAATGGAAAAGTGAATCATGGGTATGTGCATACAATGTAAAACTACACATCGGTTAAAATTAATTTTCTGAATTTATATGGATCAACATGGATAAATCTGGAAAACAATGTTGAGTGAAAATAGCAAATGCAAAAATATATGTAAAATATGATATAATTTATGGGAACTCTAAAAGCACATATCATAACACAAACTGTGGCTATACACAAATGTGAATAAGCATAATCTTTGGGATTTGGGGAATTGGATTGAAATAGAAGCTTCTATTATATCTGTAAGTTTATTTCTTATTTAAAAGTTTCTGAGGCAAATGCGGTACTTATTACTCTGAATGTTTTAATAAAGAAAAATTAGGAGTAAGGAATGACTAAAAAATTTAATGTTGGGAAATTTTTTATTTTTATATTTTCTATGTTCTAAATGCTTATCTTAACATCAGAATATACAGTTTCCATATAATTTGCAATATATAGAAATTAACATGATCAGATTTTGGGGGTCTTAAATATTTTTTATATATAAACCCAGGCTTTGCCTTCCTAAATCGTATGTGCATACCAAACAAACCAGTGGTCAGTCAGGAGAAAACGTTAATCTTATTTGACACTTGTTTGGAGTTTCTTCTTATATCTTCCATATCTTTTATTGGCACCCAGTCTTCACCTTAGAAGAGCTAAAAGAAAGCAGATACAAGGTTCCCAGGGCTGTATCAATTTTTCTATAAAGGAGATACATTTACACAGCGATTTATCTAACTGAGCTTTTTAGCTGAAGCCATAGGTTTTTCTCCTTAGGTAAGATCAACACAGGATCTAAATTAGTTAGAGTCCACTTGTTGACATTTCACTATAAAAAATGACTTGATGCTAAAATACCTATATATTCACAAATCAAGGTGATACATCTGTATTGCTGTGTACACTCTAATGGCTGTGCTTAGCCTCCTCTGTGCAAAGTCTTGGACAAACAAGGATGCCTCATCTGGCATTCTGATCAAATTAATTACCCTAACCTATGAACTTGAACTATCAAAGTGGGATTATCAGCCTTCAATTATAGGTACTCCACCAGCAATGGAACAATATTTGCTTCAACACACCACTACAGGGCTGAAGTTGCATAGGGAATGAAGAGCTGTTAATCCAATTCTATCAATAGGAAAACTGAAATCCAGGCAGATTAGCTGACTTGCCTAGGGTAACAAAGTGAGTTTAGGGCTGTATTCATCCATTCTCACACTGCTATAAAGAACTACCTGAGACTGGGTAATTTATGAAGAAAAGAGGTTTAATTGGCTCACAGTTCCACAGGCTGTACAGGAAGCATGGTTGAGAGGCCTCAGGAAACTTACAATCATGGTGGAAGGGTGAAGGGGAAGCAAGCACATCTTACCATGGTGGAGCAGGAGAGAGAGAGAGTGCAAAGGGGTAAGTGCTACACACTTTTAAACAACCAGATCTTTTGAGAATTCACTATCACAAGAACAGCAAAGGGAAAATGTGACCCCATGATCCAATCATCTCCCACTAGATTGCTCCCTCAACATTGGGGATTACAATTCAACATGAGATTTGGATGCAGACAGAGCCAAACCGTATCAAGGGAAGAGGCAGATTTTAAATCCTAACCTTCTATTCTTCTTTAATTTGGGAAACTGTAACATACTTGAGAACTGACAAAAAAACACAATTCTAGCCCTCTTAAGGAGACTCTTTTCAAACAAAGCTATTAAGGTAGAAAGTTGGAAAAGCCATGAGTACGAATTCTAGGAGATGCTTCTACACCAGGACATCCCCAGCTTTCATGAATGACCATAACCCACTTCATCAAGACTTTAAACTGAGAAGTTTATCATCTCATAAACATTTAACTAAATACATGAATATTGTTTCAGTTAGCAAGTCACAGATACTTTAAAGGGAGTATGGAGAAGACCATTTTAAAAAATAATCTCAAATTTTCCTCCAGATTATCTTGTGTTGTGTGCCCAGTGCTGTATAACACCAGCTCATTTTATTCACTGCCAGTACCATAACCCATTTAGATCAAATGTCTTTATGACCACATGAGTAATTAACCAATTTAATGCAAAATGTAAGCCAATTCTTCCAGGGCATAAGCTTATCCTTGCAAGGAAATTTGATAATTAGAAGGGTTTGGATCACATTTTTTTTTTCATATTTTAGAACTTTCAAGCTTATTCCCAAATAAAATTAATGCAATAAGATAATCTGATTCAGAAAAAGGAATAGGCTTCCTAAGCCCTTTCCAATGAAGAAAAATAATTTCCTGGTATATTTGAAATGTCAGCATTCACACTGAAGATTTCTAGGAACTAAAATAAACTAATAACCAACAGTTAAGGGAAACATCTAAAACAGTAGTGTTTTCAAAAAAGTTAAATGATAATGATTTCCATTTAATAAAGATTTTTGTATGTTTTTTAATGTAAAATTTTCAAGGAAAATAGAATGTTCTATTAACACAGGAGAAACACTCAAATAAAATAAATGAATTTATTTTCTTCTTCTGAATAAAATAAATGTCAGTTCCTTGGCTCATGATATACTGAGTTAGATATATAGTAACAAAAAATGTGATTAAATAGCTTCTCATTTGGTGCATTGTTTATGTATTCAGTCTTGATGATAATGCACTCAAACACAATCAATCACTGATTTTAATTTCCTTTATTGTGCTACAGAGAGACGAAAGGAAAAGAATTAAATGAAGTTGCTTAGCCAGGCTGTTCATCGTCTCTCAATCCAGCTGGTGAAAAATTCTGTGTTCTTTGTGTGGCCAAACATCTCACCCTGGCCCCTGCATTCACAAAGCACTTTCCTAGGAGATGAAGTTAGAAAAGCTCACCACCTTACCGTGCATGTGTCAGAGGGAATCATAATGTAAGGAGTTTAGTTTTTATAAATCACCTAATAAAAAGCAGCATCATATTCTGTATGACACTGTATTATACATTCTAAAAATTATAAGGTCAATAGCAGATACCTTTGACATTACTGGGGACTCAATGATCAAGACTATATTTGCTAACATTTTTTATTATAATATAATTGACTATTTCTGCTTCTTTTTCACTCTTTCTTTCTCTCTCTTTTTAAAACATACAAATGTTATCAGATTTTATGACATGATGTGAACGAAACTGTTGTGTGGAGATGGGGATAATCACTACATTTTTTCTTCATGAAGCTGAATATTTCCTACAGGGTTAGAGTAAAATCTAAGAAAATGATCTGCAATTAAAGATCTAAAATTTCCTAGGCTTTATGTTCAATGAGAATATAGAATTTTTAAGCCTTTTACTGATCACCCAGCATGACCACCATACATCATAATTTCTGAAGTCCTTTAGCTTGTGAAACTGTTTCTTCAAAAACCTTTTCAAAATGCCTGACTTTTCCTGGAAATATATCCTCACTAAAAACATAAAGCCTTTTATCATGGATATAGCTCACTATAACATCAACATCAATACAACTGGTTAAAAGGTAAAGTCTTTGGTGATTAAACAAGGATCTCTTCTTCCAGATACCCATTCCTGATCCTTAAGGGAATGTGACCCCTCTCTTCTTGGGTTCCCCTAATTCTCTACCTCTCTTACAGCATGACATACCCAAAGGATGTTTATTTGTTTGTATGTCTCTTCTCCGATCCAATTAACTGTATACTCCTAGGGGGATGGAACCGTGACTTCTCTATCCCTATATCTCCCAGGGTCATCACAATGCCTGGTATCTGAGTTCAATAAAATGAAAAAGATAGTTGAAGAATCCTCATATTAAAATAAAATTCACTTTTGCATTTCTTGTCGTTGAATTTCTGGATGTTTCTGGAGAACATTTAATCGTATATTTAGTATTTTCTAGATCACCTTTTAAACTTCTCACACCTGCACTGAAAGACTCATTCGAGGCCAGAAGTCTGGGTAAAGAGTGGTCTGTCCTTAATTTTCAGGGTCACAGCCGTTTCTCTCCACCACTGCCCGACTCTGCTTTTCTTTGCCAGTACGAAACCTTGTAATGTCCTCTTACATGTTCCATTGATGACTGAGAAAAGCAGGAGCAGAATTGTGCACAGCCAGTGACACAGAGATTCAGCACAGGTACATTATGTGGGAGTGGATAGAGAGACAGGAGCTTCAGGGTATAAAGCTCTCTCTTTATCCTGTTGATGTCACAGCTATCCCCTTCTGTCCAAGACTAACTGCAAAAGAAGTCACATAAGAAATCTTGTGAATTGAGCTGACTTACTCCCAGAATCACAGTAGGCTCTCAGGTTCCAGGCCATCACCAGCATAGACAATGGAGTCGAGAGAGATGATTTCCCCATTTTGGCTCCTTTGAGAACTTCACCAGACCAGCCATGATGCCGTTTTCCACCACCACCCCTCCAGGACTGACCACACTGAGACAGGTCACCAAGTATAGGTACCAACTTGTCTACTTATCAACTCTGTTGGCTTCCCCTAAAGTTGTTGCAGATATAGGCAACTCTGTCCACCCCACACTCACTTCCTGTTCTGCTGCTACTACCTCTGTTCTTCCACTCTCAGCAATCACAGCTGATAGGCCCTTAGCAGCCCCTGGTACACAACTATTGTCAACAGTGTCCACTAGGAAAACTTAGTTATACTAATTTTCCTCTTTGGGGATATTATAGGACATCGATGATTATTTACTGATTGTTACAATTGAGTGTTTAATCTATTGCAAACGATTACATTCATAGAATATTTGCCTTCTCCAAAGTATTACTGCAATGTTTGTTTTTGATCTAAAACATGTTCTCTATATCAAGCTGCAAGACAGAATAAAGAATAAACACTCATAATTTATTCTGATTATTCTCTTTTTTCTTCTGGAACGTTTTCATTAAAGCTCCCAGTGTGAAAATTCTTTCCCTGAATCTCTTTGTCCTAGCCAGCACCCATGATGTCAGAATTCTGTATATGCCATTAAAACCTATTCCCTGTTTAAACTGTAGTGCATAGAGACTGCCATTTAAGGAAGATTAATCCTAAAAAATTAAAACTTTGACGAAGTAAACTATAATAAGAAAATAAAATTTACTTTAGTGCACATAAAATAGTTAGAACAGACTTTCTGCAGCTCATACTTTAAGGATAAATGACAGAAAACCAAATAGTTGAGGCCAAGGTCACAGGAACCTTCTCCATCTCCACCATGGACCCTGGATACCAGGTTTGAAGTGGGACTGAAACCGATTGCAATCAATAATAATAATCATAAAAAGTGTGTCCCCATAACTCTATGGAACTACTTTCCATAAATTTTCACTTAATGGAATTGAGCCGAAAGTGGTTTCGAGGCATTCATAGCATTCTCTTTGTCATGTGGGGACATAGCACAAGAAGCCCCCTTTAATATCAGACCTCAAGGTCAAAGAGAAGAGGCCGATGCCTTTGTGTTTTCTCCCATCCTGAAACGTAGCACTATGCTAGATGGCCACACTGAAGGAAGGCAAGAAACAAAGGTATAAAATAGCAGACATTGTCCCCAGGAAAAGCAGGCAGAATATGCAATAGAATGAAACAAAAATGTATGCAAAGGGGAAAAAAAAAGCTCTTTATTCTTCTCATAATTCAGTGGAATAAAAGCCAGCAGAAGAAAAACGTACATATAACGGAAGGTACTCAGTTATGTGTGACCTATTAGCCATGTATTTTTGTCAGTGACACACTTCTCTGTGATTCTGTATGCCAGACAATTGGTGCCTAATTAAAAATGAGCACATATAAAAAGAAAGGTGAAAAGCAATGTTAGGTAGAATCATCAAATCATGGAAATAGAAAGACATCAATAATTGCTTCAAATTACCACTTCAGAACTTGTCTGCATTATACCTTTATGCTTTTATTTATTTATTTATTTTGCCTCACAAAAGTGATTTGATAAATAAGGAACTGCTATTTGTGAAGCATTTGCTGTCCTAAGTAATTATTTTTTCTAGGAAGGTATGGTCAAAGGAGGAAGTACACTTTTCAGACAGAACAGGTGACATAATCTATGAGAATTTGGCTGCCTATGTTAAGGTGATATTCTAATATCTGTACCTCATCTTTTGGGAAGCAGTGAAGAGTTATCCAGAGCAACTCTCAGACACTGAGCACTTGCTTCCCCTATCAGATCAAACCTGCCACTCTCAGATCTCTTTGGGGAGAAAAAAATCAAGAGACATTTGTGTCTCCCAACACCAAAAATTGACCTAGTTAACTATTTCACTCCACCTGGAAGAGAAAACTCATGGCATTCAATTTGCCATGGCATAGGATGTTGAAAAGATAAAACCTGTCTGGCTTCTTGATTATCAACAGAACAGATAAATTGCAACTAACACTGGGGTGTCAGAAGTCCCAGCAGAGCCAGGTTGTTTATATTTTCTGCAATGCTCCTAAGGCTAAATTAGAAAAGATACTAAATAGCATTGGAACTGACAGGGTGTACAAACTGATATCAACAAAACTACTCAGAAATGGAAGGAAGTCTTAGCTTTAAACGTCAAGTCCAAATTGATCTGTAGACAGAGAAAGACTCCCTCCTGGAAAAAAAAAATAATAATACAGCCCAATGCTCATCAATAGAGACAAAAGATGAGCTTGGAAAACTCATTAAAGTGCCTGTGAAGCTGTTTGATAAACCACAGAACAAACACAAAGCTTTCTGTTAAAAGAGCAGTCTGAAGCCCTGCTTTCAACCTGCCAACTGCAGTGAACATGAGCATCCCTTAACAAGAAATGTGCAAGGGGTGGAAAAGTGAAGGAACGAGTCACTGAATGAGAAAGAAAGCTCTGGATCCATCAAAGGTATTGCCTGAAATACCTGGAGTTGGGTAAATGCCAGTGCCCAATGATGCAGCAAAAATCTGCAATCAACTACTCAGAAAAGATCAACATTCGGCACAACCAAAACCTAGCTAACTCTTCATTTAAAATTCTACACATCTGGGACAGGGCAGGACTGAATGGGCTGAGCCAAATGTCATGCATGGGCAAGATAATGAGTGCTGAATAACAGAACAACTATCTCTTGCCATCTGACTCCAAACTATCTTGCAGATTATGCGTTACTGAGAGCATTAGAGGCTTTACATGGTATCTATATGTATAAGTTTACACACTTAGCTTTAAATGAATTGAGCCAGGTGTGTTGGCTCACGCCTGTAATCCCAGCACTTTGGGAGGCCGAGGTAGGGAGATGACTTGAGGTGGGAGTTTGAGACCAGCCAACATAGTGAAACCTTGTCTCTACTCAAAAAATACAAAAATTAGCCAGGTGTGGTGGCGCACACCTGTAGTCTCAGCTACTCAGGAAGCTGAGACAAGAGAATCGCTTGAACACAGGAGGTGGAGGTTGCAGTAAGCAGAGATCCTGAAACTGCACTCCAGCCTGGGCAACAGAGTGAGACTCTGTCTCAAGAAAAAATAAATAAATTAATAAATAAATTAATTAATTCACATATTCTTGCTTTGCCAATTTATACCCCAAGCTAGTCACAGAATTGGGGCCAGAAATTATATATGCTTAAAGATTTAAAGTGGGATAGTGGTGCTTTGAAGTGGAGAGATAGGTTTGTAGCCACGGAGGTGCTCCACCTCTGTCTCTGGCAGGACACCCTCCTGTGGGGACTAACAGCCCCCAGCTGCTGCACTTCTGAGTCCCTTGCAGTCCCCATGCTGAGGCCTGCTTCCCCCTGCTGCTCCCATCAGTGACTGAGCATGGCAGGGCTATCGGCCCAGGCCACACATGCCTGACCTGGAACGGCTAACTGCAGTCTCTCCTTGGAGATCACTTATTGAAACAGGAGTTTCCATAGAACTGATGTTTATGGTTTCTTTTGAATAACCATAGAAATTGACCCTCCCAGTCTTGAAACTTGAGAAAATTAAATTTGTTTTATTTGAGTTCCTTTCTCAGGAAATCAACCATCAGGCCTCCCAGACAGTATCAAAGAACCGAAATTTATCAGATCATTGCGCCAGGGCAATGAGACACCAGACTCCTCACCCTTCATGATTCCCTAACTGACCATCTGCATCCTGTTAACCAACTTTCTCTTATCTTTCCCTAATTCCTGTTTTCCCACACATGATTACATTTCTTCTCTACCATATAAACCCCTAATTTTACTAGGTCAGGGAGATGGATTTGAGACTGATCTCCCATCTCCTCAGCTGCAGCACCCAATTAAAATCTTCTCCTCTGGCAATACTCATTGTCTCAGCGATTGGCTTTCTGTGAGGCAGGCTGTGGGACCTAGACCAAACCCCTGGTGTTTCAGTAAAACTGTCAGCTTGGTGAGACTATCTCAGATATGCACTATAGTCTGAAGCCCTTCCTACCCTCACCTTCCTTTTCCTCTTCCTCTCATAGAGACCACACATGCATCACAGTCTGAAGGCTCTTTTCTCCCACTTCCCCCACCCCTTATGCTCTGTGGCATTTCCTCAATAAATCTCTTGCACATCAATCCTGCCTTGGACAGGGTTCTTTGAAGATCTGAAACAGCATGAGCTTTATATCCAAAAATTATAGATGGCCACCAGTCTGATTCTACTAACTATAGATTCTATCTATGGAAGAGTTGAAAGAGATTTACCAAAATGTTTGGGAAAAGTTAGAAAGGTATATCATGTATCTTCTAATTGTAAGCCATGTAAGATTTAAGTGACTCTTCTTCAACAGGGTTCCTAGACTGATACATGAAGAGAAATGCAGAAGACATTGTATTTTCTCAAGATATCTGGCAGTGTCTTACATAAGACTATATTTGGTCCACAAATATTACTGGGCAATTAACTCTGACTAAGCACATTCAAGGACAATTCAGAGGCTGTGAAGGATGCATGGCAGAGGTGCATTCTGGGACGATAGAGAAGATGGCAAAGTCCCAGCTGGCTAAAAGCTCTCATCCACAGGGATATTTACAGAGCATTTCCTATGCACCAGGCAATGTATAAAGCACATTGCCTATTGTATGTAATGTATAGAAATACATAAAACCAGCAGAGTATCCTTCTGACAGGCCTGTGAAGAGAGATGATATTCTCCTGTTAAGGATGAGACAGTCAAAAATTGGACACTTTGCCTAACTTGACAAAGAATGCATAGTAGGTTAAGGCCCAGGATCTAAACTCTGGTCTGTCATCCCCCAAGCCCAGTGCTTAACACAACTTCTTGCCTCCTGTCTTTGGAGAAGAATATCAAGTTCTGTACAGCCAGATTTAGATATGCACTGTGAGGAGTGGTGCAGGAGGAGGGTCCCCTCTCTACTCTTTGTGGTCTAAGTTTCCAATAAGACCTGCAATCATCAGGTCTTTTTTTCCTTTTTTTTTTTTTTTTACATGCAATCAGTGTTATCTGCAGGCCAGTACATGAAAGTACAGGAGAATATGCTGTGGGTCTCTGGCTGCTCTCTGAGCACCTCCACAGATACCTCATTGATGGGGTGGTTTTTGAGCAGAGTGACTAGCAGGATAGTGTTCAACATGGGGAGGGGGAGGGCTTAAGTCAGGCGAAGAGCATCACAGCTCACACATTACATGCTCTTTTCACAATAACATTGACTACATACTTCTGATCTCAATTTTAATTGTAGGGGACAGTTCCAGTAAAGCTCAGCCTGCTTTGTACTGCCAGCATCCCACCTACTAAAGTACCTTGCATCTTTTTCCATTCTCTCACAAGACCTCATCTAACTTAGTCAGATCACATTTCAGCCTGTGCTCCTGCACAGCCTGGAATTACAAAAAATTTAACACCTCTATCAGGGGAAGAGATTCACTGGATAATTCTGGGAGCATTTTCTATGATTCTTAGAAGTCCTGGAGGAACTGAGCTACTACTGCCTGCAATAGTATTCTACATAATACACTCTTAATATATTGGCTTTCCATCTTGTCTCAATTTCTCTGCTTCCTGATTCCTCTCGACTATCAACACAGGGCATTTTCTTATAGCCAGAAGGACTCCATGGCATCAATCAAGTATCACCAGCAGCCACAGGGCAAAATATGCTAAAAATGTACCCAGGATTGTGTTACAAGGGTGAAGGCTCTAGGAAGACTGAATGTATATCTCTGAGAGGCATCCTTTGCTAAAGGTAAGGGCCCTTGGAAGAAATAATGGCACCTTGGGACCTGGGATAGGTATTATTAGATGTCTGCATTCAACAAAGATACCGATAGAATTACCTCCCACCCCATCACTGCCGGCAACACATCTTCAGAATACGTATAATACAGATCTTAGGCCCACTGGATTAAAGGTCTGTGCTGGGAGCAGAGGGAGTAGTGGCAAGGGAAAAGACATCAGGGAAAGGACATTTCCCCTCAAACTGGAGCTCTGATTGTTTATTTTGGACTCTTTATTTCAGCACAAAAATGGGATGTATTTTTGAGCATCATTTTGATTGCCATCAGGAGCGAAGAGGAGAGTATGTCTACAATTTCAGGATCCACTGGGTTGTTCCTTTGTGTTTCTATGCCTGGTGAAAACTGTGGATGGACAATTGTAGCAACCATGGCTTAAAAATGGCAAGGTAACCAGGACAGATCCCTCAGGCTTGAAGATATGAGACATGCTACCAGGCAAGCAACTTAGTTCTGCAGGAGTACTGGGTGAGTGAGAGAAATTTAGAATGGATGGTTGAAAAGAAAGTGATAGATTTCAGTTATGATCTTGATACCAATTGCAGCAAGGGGGACCATTTCTTATTTATTGAACCTGCCTATATAAAGCTTTTTGAAAGAAATTGTAGCCAGTCACCACCTTGAAAATGCAGTGACAGAATGGACTCCATGAGAGACATGAGACAATCTGAACAGGGTGATGGGCTGGATTCTAGTAGATGCCAGTTGGCTTATCTCATTTTTAGTCTCACCTGCAGTAGACAGGGGAATACAAGGTCTGACTCACCTTGCTGTACCTCACCAAGCATAGCCTGAATCAACGCATTGTGCTCCAGGGCTTTCAGAGATGCCTGCAGAACTTGCTTGGCCCATGTGTAGGAACAGCCTGAAGCTAATACCCTTAACAGTGACCTTCAACCAATGTGAGATAGATGTCAGTGGATAACGGTTTCAGCCTCTTGATTTTCATGAGGCTGTTTCTGGGAAGTGTTCTGTTCATTTCTCAGAGGTTCTAGATGAACTGAGCCCAATTGCCTTTAGCAGTAGAAGCAATAATACACACATATATTGTTTTTTCTTCCTGTGGTCTTTCTGTCTCCCTCCCTTTCTGACTTCTGTGTCCTGAGATTGTATCTCAGATAAGCTACCTACCCTGAAACCCCTTCTCAGGCTGCATTTTCAGACGAAACTAAAGTAAAACACACAAACTGTCTCCAAAATCTTCACTTTTTTTCTGCTTTATAACAAAGATGCTCACTCCTGCTGGAAGGGTACCTGGAATGAACATTGGATAAAGAACATTTATTATTTAGAGCCCCTGAGCAGTATGAGTCTGGGGTATGTGCCAGATTTCAGATTTCTACTGCTTTGCAGAATCTTCACCATAAAACTTGGCAGAGATGCTGAAAACTCACAGTCACAGCCAGACAAGTTATTGCTATTGGAATTTTTAACAGTCACTCGGATAACATATTTTTAGAGAAAATCCACCCCAGAGCAAAATTGGAAGCATTGGAGGTAATATACCGTATAGGTCCATAATTTTTCACCTTTCAGATTCCCCTACATATCTAATGCATGTCATCATTAATATTGCTTTAGGGGCATTCCAAATTGTCCCCAGTGAGCAGTCTGCTACTCGCTCTAACCACTTCTAAGAAATGTGAAGTTCAAGCAGTGTCTAAAAGCTTAGATCAATGAGTCATGAAGAAGCTAAATGGAATGACTCGCCTTTGCAGACCTCCCCAACCCCAAGTGCGGCACAGGCAGTGCAGACAGATGCTCTCTGAGGCACAGCCCTTAAAATAATCCTTAGCAGTTTTCAGTCACAAATTATTTACCCACACTTTCATATATTCCATAGCCATGCCTTGAAGTATGTGATATTGCCCTCATCTTTCTAAATGGACTAAAATAGATTAAAAGTGACTTATTTGATAATCTGGCAGTCAAGAATCCAAAATTAGTACTTCATAGTTCTTTAGTTTAGGAACATTTCTTTTGGCTGTTTAAGTTTGAAGGATTCAAACAGGACTGATGTGTCATCCAAAAAGTTATATTTTCCCTCTACATTCTTTCTTGCTGTATCCCAGAAGCAAATGAAGTCAACCATTCTCTTAATGGAAAGCTTTGGATTTAAGCTCTTGGGAGTAAAGGATGTTTTTGTTACACTTAACATGCCATTGAAATTGCAGAGAACACAAATAGAGTATTTACTAATTCTTATCGTGAACAGACAAAAAAGGAGGTATAAACTAGAAGCAGTAGATTGAAAGGTGAGAGCAAGGAATAGAATAAATACCTCATTGTGTGTCCACAGTAATACAAAATTAAGGTACCACTCTTTAATTATGCTACCGAGTTGAATGACTTCTTACTTAGAGTGCTCATTGCAGAATATAACGGAGTCATTGTTTATAAATTACAATGAAATATAAATGTGGTTATAATGAATTTGTTAATTAAATTATTTTAATTTATCTTTTCACATAAATGTAACTCTTGAAATTCTGGGCATATTTATGTCCCCAAATAACTGAATGAAGTTTCTCAACACAGGAATCTAATGAAAACTAAGAAGTTTGGAAGATAATTGTATTAAGGTATGTAAATTCTCATAATTTTTGAAACTGAACACTGCCAGCCAAGTATCTTTTTTTACCCCCCAAATCCCTGAGATTCTTATTAAAAATACAGATTTCTGAACCTCACCTTGGACCACCAAATCAGAAGTCTTAGAGCAAAGCCCAGGGATCTACATTTTAAAACTCCATTACCACCTTCCCTTTCGCCACCAGGTGATTTAGGAACTGAGTCCTATGAAGTTTGGAAAAACAAAACCCTGCACATTTTATTCTTCATCATCATGGTTGCACAAGCAAGATGCATGGCATCTGATTTATAAGAGCATATCCAAGTTGGGATTTTTTTCCTCACATATCAAGAAGTCTGCATATAGGTGACTACTGGCTTTGCTTCAACAATGCTCCAATGCCAGGACCAGGGTTTCTGCAGATCCTCTTGACGTCCTCCTCATAATTGTTACCTTACACCAGGAAATACTACTGCTCAGCTCACATTGAAAGCCCCTGATATCACTCAGAGGGTGCAGCCTTGGGCATGGACAGTTTCCAGGGATTACAGTAGTATTAGCATGATTTTTTTTTTTTTTTGGTTACTTTCTCTGATCTTTCTATTTAGCTGTCTACTTCTGATGGTATCACCTATAGCTGTTAGGCTGCACTAATAGCTGACTAATTGCTGTATTTTCAACAATGCCCTAGGGCACACATTTCTCTGAGGTCTGATAGCATTTACAGGCACATTTTTTTAGTTTTGCTCTGACCCCTTGGAGGCATTTAAAAATCTGTCTCTTTCTTTAGTTCTTTCTGGTAAAATAGCTGGCCTTCAGTTTAGCTTGCTGTTCTCATGGAGCTACCAGCTTCCTTTTAATAACTTTCTACAAAATTCTTCATTGTTTTTTAACAGTAACCTTAGACTTGAAGAGCCCTACACTCAATTTTAAATGAAGTCAGTTTCCTTGATAAAAGCTACAGAGCTCTGTTCTTGTGACCAGAGCAAAATCTCTGAGCTGCTGCTCTTGAGCTGGGGGTGGGATGGTGGTCCCCTTCTTTTTTTTTTTAATTTATGAAGAACAGAAATTTATTTCTCATAGTTCCAGAGGCTGGAAAGTCCAAGATCAAGGGGCTGGCAAGTGTGGTGTCTGATAAGGGCCCAGTTTCTTCCTAGATGGTGACTTGTTGCTTTGTCCCCTGGAGGAGATAAATGCTATGTCCTCACAAGACAGAAAGGAGAGAAAGGGCTAAGCCAACCCCTCCAGTACTTTCGCCACTGCACTTCAGCCTGTGCAACAAGAGCAAAACTCCATCTAAAAAAAAAATTAAAAATTAAAAAAAATAAAATAAAAGGACTGGTGGTCCACTTCTTTCAGAGTGACACTGCTGATTGATGAGGAGTAGCTGGGTGAAGGCAGCAGACACAGGTCATTCCAGCTTGTCTCTCACAGCTTGGAACCTCTGTGTTATGAGGATCCCAGGATGAAGATGATTAGGACCCAGTATTCTTGGGAGCCCTGACTAGAATAGAGGCTCTGCCCTATGAGTGGGGCCAGATGGAGGAAGAAAGCCCTAACACTTGGGTTCACTCACCTGCCTAAATTTAGCCTTTACGAAATGGAGCTGGGGGACAGTAAGAAATCCTGGCAGCCTGATCCTCCTGGGGAAGATAACATTGTCCTAGACTTGGTCCTGTGGCCACACCCATCCCATCTGGACTGGAGTATTTTGTTGCAAGTTGGCTAGGGAGGGAGGGGGCAGGCAGGTCCTGGTCAAGTGTCAGAGACTGTGCTCTAAACAAAGTGGAGTAAATTTTCTTGGAAAAAAAAAAGTTTCTGTATTTTCTGTATGCCCTTAGCACAATTTGCAAAGACTTTAATTTTTTAAAAATTAATATTTTCATCAGTTATTGTTGTCTTGCTAGGCTGTAGGTCTGTGGAACTTCTCACATTGCCTTTCTAGAAGCTATGTCTTTCCTTGATTTTTAACATTGTTGACTCCATTAGAGACTCAACACATCTATGTGTGATATTAGTTGCAAGTATTTTTTTGCCAGTTTGTCATTTGTCTTTTTCCATCACTTGTTATTTTGCCATGCAATTTAACAATAACATTATCTAATTTAATCATTTTTCTCATTACTTGGATTTTTGAATGTTAGTTGGAAAAACATTCTCCACTCTCATGTTATAAAATAATTCACTCATTTTTTCTAATACTTACATGTTTTAATTTTTACATTTAGATCTCCATTTTTAATTTATTGAAGTGGGTTGCATGAAATACCATTTTCAAATAAATTTGTACTAAGTTGCCATTTAAGTGTTCCAACACTAATGATTAAAAATTCCATCTTTTTCTCAGATATTTGAGATTACATCTTCATTATATAAATGTTTTCCATATATATTTTAGTAGTCTTTGTATTTTATTCTGTTTTATTAGTATTATTGGCTTTGTAATATGCATATTATATATAAAACATAAAATACAAATGTTCAGCATATATTAAATAATATAATGTATAACATACTATTGATACATATAGAATTTAATATATGTTATAATATAACACATATCATATGTGGTTATTATATATACTGGTTATTTTTAAATTTTTACGTACATGCAAATACATATATACACAAATATATATACTCTTTTCAACTCAATTGTTCATATTTTTCAGGGTTTTCCAGACAGTCCCTTTTTATTGGAATATTAATTTTAAAGTTACTGTGTGTAGTTCCAGATGAAGAAAATAAAATAAAACGTTAGATTGTGTTGGTATTACATTAAATGTATACCTTAACATGGGAAGTAGTGGAATCTTTTAATTGAGTTTTTCTATCCAAGATCATAAAAGGTCTCTCCATGTGACAGAACCTACTTTCTCAGTCTTTCAATGATATTTTAGATTTTTCCTCATTTACATTTTCCATTTGTTTGTTAAAAATATTAATGGATATTTGTTCTTGCTGTTTCTATAATAAGTGTTGTTTTCTCTTCCAATATATTTTAAACTTGGCTATTTTGGGTCATAAAGGGGCTATTGATTTTTGTATTTTAACTTTTGTAACATGCTAAATTACTGATTCTCTTGTTTGTGTTAATTTTTTTCAATGGTTGCCTCTGGTTTCAAGGTATACTGTCATATAACCTAAACATAAAAACAATTTTTTTCCTTCTTTTTCATCTTTATGCCTCAAATCATTAATCTTGTCTGAAGTATTGGCTAATTCCTCCAATATAATATTAAGTAGTAGTGGATATTATAGTCATTCTTGCCTTTTTCATGGTTTTAATAACTGAGAAAGATGTTTCCTGTTAATTAAGATATTGATTTTGATTTGTCTTTAGTCTTCTGGGATAAGTGTAACTTACTCGTAATGCATTTTTAACAAATGCACTGCTGAATTCTATTTGCTAATGATTTGTTTATAACTTTTCATCAGTATCTATAAGAGATTAGTTTGTAAGTCAGTCATTTGTGTGGTTGTAATTGCTGCAATCATTGCCAGGTTTGAGGATCAATGTTAATGCCCTTTTATGAAATTAATTTGAACGTTTTCCTTATTTTATAAGCCTTGGAATAATTTAAATAGCATAACATTATTGTTCTTTGAAGATTTAAAATCAGTCTGTATGAAAACATCTGAATGAGGGCCTTTTTGGGAGTATAGCATTTTCATATTGTTCTCTATTTCTTCTATGGGTATTGAAATTCAAACTTACTCTTCTTCCCAGGATTGTTTTGGCAAATTTTAACTAGAAATTTACTTTTCTCATTTAAGTTTTCAACTTGACTTCCAAAGAACTGTATAAAGTCATCTAAGAAAATTTTAAAAATTCTTGTAACTTCAAAAGTTATTTTCTCTATAATTTTAATTTTGTGTATTTCTGCTTATGTTTTTTCCCTTTTTTCTTGGTTTTGTTAGCTATTGGGTTTGTTTTTTTTTATTTCATCAAAAAACCAACTTTTAAAAAGATATTAATTTTCCTGTTTTCTAATTTACTGTTTTCTGGTGTTATCCTTATTATTTTGTTTTTCTGCTTTCCTTATATTTATTTAGTTGTTATTTTCTTTCTTTATTAAATGATGCTTAGTTGATTTATCTCCCCTTCCCAGTTTTAATTGCTATTTGTATTAAGAACCACAAATCTTTCTCTGAACATTGTTTTAATTGTATTCCATAAAACATTTTTGGTAGAGTTGTGATTATTTCTAAAAGAAATTCTTTAATTTTGATTTGTTTACTCCTTTTAATACAAAGATGTTCTTAAAGAAGTTTTAAAATTCTGGTTGTAATGGCTTCTCACCCTCTTTAAAAAATAATTCTAGTTTAATGTATCATCATCAGAAAATGTTGTTTTAATTATTTTTTAAATGAAGCAGTGAGATTTATTCTATTCTCACTTATTAATTTTTTGTTTCAATTACTTGTCTTAGCTTGTAATATTTTGTCCATATCTCTTATTAATGGTGGGATTCTATTTAAAATTTTTATTTCCTATAGATTTATGAAAGTTATTGCTGTGTCATTTTTTCATTTCTATTCATAAATGTTTTATGTTGTTTGTGTGTTTGTGGTGTGATTTACTAAAAACTATATCTGTGCAACATTTCACACATTATAAACTACAGAGAAGAGTATAATTAACCTTTGTGTTCCTATCATGTGGTTTTGATATTTCTGTTTCTCTTTTCTTTCTTTTTTTTTTTTTTTGTTTGTTTGTTTGTTTTTAGTGGAAATGGGGTTTCACCCTGTTGGCCAGGCTGGTCTGGAACTCCTGACCTCAGGTGATTTGCCTGCTTCAGCCTCCCAAAGTACTGGGATTAAAGGCGCGAGCCACCACACTTAGCCAGGTAGCTTTAATATTTCTTACTTAACTCAAGACCAATTTTGTCTGATTTGTACTTCCTACACGTGCTCCCCCTGCATTATTTTGAAGCAAATTTTAAAACGGAATTTAATTTTGTTTTCTCTTTTACTATGTTTTCAAATAATTTAAGCCACATTGGGATTATACAGTCTTTAAAAGTTTGTCAGAATTCCCTCTCAAAACCAGTAGGCTTGCCACTTCCCTATTTCTTCTATGATAGTTGTTCTAACCTTCTACTGAGGCCAATTTTGATGAATTATATTTTCTGTCTAGAAAATTGTGCATTTCATTTAGTATTTAAATAATATTATAAAATATTGTCCCTTGCCTTTTCTTTTAAATATATTTTATTTTAATGATTAGTTCTTTTTGTGTAAACATTTACTCTTTTAATCTTGAAAAGTCATTATTAAAAGAATGAAAAGGCAAGTTTCAGACCAGGAGAAAACATTTGTAAATAACATGTGACAAGGGACCTTTTCTCAGAGTATATGAAGAACTGACAATACAAAAAGAAAAGCAATCTAATAAAAAAATGGACAAAATTTTAAGCAGGTGGGTGTGCAAAGAAGATATATGGAGAGATGAGATACAAAGAAGATGGCAAAACATGCACGTGAAAACAGGCTGAACATCATTAGTCACTAATTGTAAATGTAAATCACGATGAGATAGCTCTTTACAGATACTAGAATGGCTGAAGCAAAACAAAGCAAAGCAAAAACAAAACAAAATGACAATATCAAGCATGGGATGAGGATATGGAGCAAGTGAAACTCTCACACATTGCTCATAGGAGGGAATGCAAAATGTTAAGTCACTTTGTACAGTAAAACAACACTTACTCTATGACCAAACAATCTTACTCTTAGGTGAGCTTCACACCACAAAGTCTGTATGTAAAAGTTTATAGCAGCTTTATTCATAATCACTCCAAATGGGAAATACCTCATATGTCCTTCAACTGGTGAATGGATTTTTTAAAAATATGGTGCATTCATAGAATAAAATATTTCTTTACAATCAAAAGCAAATGAACTATTGATATACTCAAGAACATGAATGAATCTCAAATACACTTTGATAAGTGAAAGAAGCCATACTTACATGCTATATACTGCCTTTTGCGGTCATATGATTTCATTCACATGAGGTTCTGGAAGACAGAATACTCCATTGAAGTGAGAATACAGCACTGGATGCCAGGTTAGAGGAACAGAAGAGGTCACTGCAAAGAACTGCATGAGGAAATTTTGGGGAGGTAATGGATATGTTCTGTATCTTAATTTTGATAGTAGTTGCACTACTCTATGCACTTGTTAAAACTCATAAACCTGTATACTAATAAGAGTGTGTTTATTGTATGCAAATACAAAGATAAGAATAAGATGAGTTGGAAGTGCAAAGATATAAAGATAAAATAAATTCAAGAAAAATTAAATAAGTATGTTGGATATCTTTTTTTTTTTAACTACAAAATCATTCTCACCTTTTCTTCACACCCCGCGGTGACAGGCTTTTTAGTCTTCAACATGTTTCTATACCATCAGTCTTTAATGGGCTTTGCCAAATGATACCCCTATTGTGATATCAGAGGAAGGAGAAAGGAGATTTTAGGGTAATGATTCTCCTGGACTCTCCCTGTGGGCCTGAGCTTGGCTGTGATCTTTCACCGATCATCAGGACTTTCCTGGTCATACTATCAACACCAATCTCCTCTTGCAGTTCCTAGTATCTGCTTAATCTCCTGGCCCCTCTGCTTTAACAGTCTGCAGTGATATTAACCATAGGGAATTATACTCTCTTTGGTAGTTTCCCTACTTCTGTCCGTACTTTTGTATAAACAAAAATATTCCTTTATTAAAATCGATCTAATATCCAATTTAAGTTTGCCATCCACTTTTGTGGAGACAAAAATGGGAATGGTTTTAACATGTTCACGAGATAGCAAAGAAGCCAACTTTGACAGGGATAAGAAGGTATATTTTGAATAAGTGTGAAATAAGACAGAATTCATGGTCAAAATCACAATATCTAAAACAAGGTTAATCTTAATTATCTATGAAAATATGAAGCCACTGGAAAATTTTGAATAGAAAATTGATATTATTAAAGTAATGCTTAATAAAGACTGGTAATGGCATACAAGATGGATTAAAGCAGAAAACATAGAGTTCAGATGATACGTGACATGTAAAATGAGGGAAGCCACATAATACAATTATGCAGTGGAAAATGGCAAGCCGAGAAAATTAGATATTAAAGAGTAAGTAGATGCAATATAAGAAAAGAAAAAGAGGACTTTGAAGTTGAAAATCTGGAAGAATAATAATGTTATTAAAGGGTGAAATTTGTTGGGTGGGCAAACTGATTTGTAAAGGAAGATAATGTTTGGAAGATAAGAAACTCATATTCTCATTCTACCATCCCAGAAATCAGCTCTGGTTGGTGGGATTTGGTTTCAGCTTTGCTTAAAAATTTTTTTGTTCTCCCGTGTTAATGAAAACTCTAAGGTTATGAATCCCCATAGAGAACCATCAGATGTCTCAATGTGTAGTATTCAAAGTATGATTCCAGGGATCATTGGAAAGATAAACTCCAATCTCAGAAGCAATATAAAATAGTGGTTTCTCTGACTCAAATCAATTCAATGGGTCAAACAAGTTGGTGGTTGGAATCAGGGGGAATGTTACTTATGTTGGATTCGAAAAATGGCAAAAACTATCCAAACTGAGAGGAGCACTGATCTGGCAGAAGCTTTTCTGGCAGAAACTGTACCACACAGAGGGGTAAAGGCAAAGGAAAAGTTTATGACAAGCAATTTATGTACTTAGTAGTTTACCAGGCAGATGAAGTCTAATTACCTAAGCGTAATTAGCCATCCTGGGAAGGAGGTGGTGAGTGTTTTGATTCAAAGACCATGGAAGCACATGGTATCACTTCTGCTCAAGTCCTGGCCTGTGATTACTAGTGACATATGTATTTGGAGAAGTGTGCAGAAACCCAGCCGTTGTGTTCAGACAACCGAATCTAATGTTTGAGGAGCACAGTTTAATGGTGAGGTCAGGTTCCTTTTTCAATTATTGATATTCTTTCTGAAAACATGAAATGGCTTGACAGTTGGGGCAAGAAAGGAGATACACTATGAGGGAATCTTTGAACTCAGGTGAGAGGAAGGAAGCTGAGGAGGGACTATGCCCAAGACTCAGCCTCACATTTTTTTTTCTTTTCAGTCTTTTAGAAAACCTAACACAATGCTGGATTTAGAGGGGATGCTCATTAAATTCAATTTAATTGACACCAACACAGAAGAAAGGCAGTTCTACAACCAATATAGAATATTATTCCTTAAAAAAGTCAAAAAGGTATAAGATTCAGGGACCTCACAAAGATGTTTAAGTTTTGAAAAGATTGCAATGCTTCAGGAAGCATGAAGTGGGACCCTTATGTCAAGGGGAAACAAGTGTCTTGTGGAAAACGGTAGCTGATAGCATGACAAGACTATCTCGTCTGAAACTGGAACAGTACAGTGCAGTAAATATGTTCATTTACTGCACTCATAACTTACAAGTTTCTTTCATGTAAAAGGATTAAGAGTAGATATTAAGAGAAAACAAAACACTGCATGTTCTCTCTTATAAGTGGGAGCTGAACAATGAGAACACATGGACACAGGGAGGAGAACAACACAAGCTGGGCCACGGTGGGAGGGAGAGCATCAGGATAAATAGTTAATGCATGCGGGGCTTAATTCCTAGGTGATGGGTTGATAGGTGCAGCAAACCACCATGGCATATGTTTACCTATGTAACAAACCTGAAGATCCTGCACATGTATCCCAGAGTGTAAAATTAAATTAAATTAAATTTTTAAAAAGAGTCATTTCAATGACTGATATAAATTCTACCACCTCCAAATGAGTAAAGGCACTGTAACTAGAGAACATATAAAGACCTTTTTCCTAAGTTCTTTGCTCAACTCTGTCTTTGTTGAATAAGCTTCTCTAGAAGTGTTTCCCAGTGGTCAGAACTTCATGATTCAATATTGACAAGGAAATCTTCAGTGCTCATTTTTGTCATTGAATCAAAAGGCTCAGAGGAAATTGCTCTAAAAGAGACCTAACAGAAAAATCTACCTGCTTTTCCAGAATCATCTGTTAGTTTATTAGGAAATACCCATATCCGTGCTGCTGGATTATTCAGTTGTAAAGGCTGTTACTGTTTTGATTTTTTTTATTATACTTTAAGTTTTAGGGTACATATGCACAACATGCAGGTTTGTTACATATGTATACATGTGCCATGTCGGTGTGCTGCACCCATTAACTCGTCATTTAACATTAGGTATATCTCCTAATGCTATCCCTCCCCCCTCCCCCCACCCCACAACAGGCCCTGGTGTGGGATGTTCCCCTTCCTGTGTCCATGTGTTCTCATGGTATTTTGTTTTTAAGTTTTCTTCCTAAATTTGTCCTTGTCCAGGAGGATATCAGTAATAGCACATAGGCAGTTTATTGAAGACAAGCTCCAAAAAAATTAACAGAATACTTTACTCTTGAAAACATACTTATTAGTCACCTATAATATATTATAAAATGTTACAAATGGATACACAAGTATTCCTTAATATAGTTGATATGAAATATTGATATTTTAACAATGGCAGAAAAATTCATTTTCTTAGAATATGTATTGCATATCCAGATTACAGAGATCATTCTTACTCATTCTTAATTTTACTGATGAGGAAATTGAAGCCTAGGTATAGAGAAGTACCCAAAGTCACAGAACAAGCTAGCTCCCATACCACTGTATGCAATACACTCACTCAATAATCAAATATGCAAACTTGTTTTTTTGACAAAATATACATCAAGAAATAATAGTTTTCATTTTTACATATCAGTAATGGCAAACAGCTTAGCTATAATATTTGCAAGGTTCACTATAAAGTGTAACTGAGCAACACTGCTCAATATCAACATAAAGGAAATATGTTGCAAATAATGGAAGAATTTTAAGGTGAATGTGTGGGTGGCTACTTTATTCAGTTCTTGATACTTTATAAAATTGTTCAAGTCAGAAAAACTCTAAGAACTAACTCCTGGAAGAGGCAGAAAACATAAATAAACCTAATAGAAGGGGTGTTTTATTTTTAAAAGCACATGTATTATCTTATTTAAAAGTTAACTGATAAAAATTTGAATTGGTTCTTTTTTTTTAGAGTTAGAGAAAAGTAGAAATTCCCTTGGGAAATTTCTTCTACTTTCCTCAAGGCTGAAGAATTTGGTTTTATATAGATTAATAATCCTAGGATTTTATCCTCAAAGAAATGCTTAATATCCTATTGGATTATGGTGTAATTCAAGTGATTTTTATGAAATGATGTCTTTTATTTGTTAAAGCACAGCAAAAAGGAACTTCATATAATTGTAGTTACCCCCTTCTCAATGTAGTTTCTATTCTCTCTGAGTTTATCATGAAGAAGAATTATGCTTTGAACAAAAGGAACATTACCATTGCCCATTGTCAGACCTCACCAAGGACAGGTCTGTATGTCTTTCCTTTATGCTTTTTCACATGAAGGTGACAGAAAGCAATGGCAAAATACATCAGATTATGACAATTGTGCAGAGGCTGCTATATGTCTTCAGTTCCTCGTGAAACATTCACAAAACTTCTCTAACCATTGCCTTGCATGTACTCATTAATCTTAAGTAAACTTTCTTTATAAAAATGTAGAAATATGCTGAAAGAGGCAAGATCTATCAACTTCTAGCTCATCAACCTAGGCTTAGTAACTCATTAGTTTGATTCTAAGATTTAAGTCGAAGGGCAAGTAAGAAATTTAGTGCATTATCCAGTCTCTCCTCACTATATTTTTGCATCCTCACCATCACTTCTCTGGTTCAGTGTCTCATCATGCCTAAGCTGATTTATTGCAGTGATCTTACAGTTGATTTACCTGCGTCCTGTGTCTTTCCTTCGGAATGGATTCTTCACACAGTCCAGATAGTGTTTCAGGCCCGCACTCAGCTCTGTCACTGCCCAGGGTTTCCAAGCCTTTTGAGTGTGTGTGGCATTCCCTTCCCCACATCCACTGCCATCCCATCTGGAGGGAACATCTCCCCTCCTCATTCTACTTTCATTATTCCTAGACTTCAAGTTTATCTGGTTTCGCTTCCTTTTCCTTTCCCATCATTTTATGATTCTGGGCTTTATGACATTTCCTATCCATGCTGTGTGATTGTGATTTGATGAGAATCCTTTACTGATAAAACTTGATGGTTTTCCAGTGGGTTCATGTTAATTCATCTTGCAGAAATATTCATGTGAATCTGTATTTCAGAATATTGGGACTTCTCATATCTCTTCTATCTTTAATGATATTTCTTTCACATTATTCCAATGAGACAATTTCTGATACTTTTAAGGGCTACATTTTATATGTTTTTAATCACTTCAAGTGTATAAAAGCCAATTTGACTATTCACAAAGTGACATCAGAGTAATTTTGAACACTGATAACATTTCCAGGCAAAATGAAGTACATTGTTTCATAAATTGACATTGATCTTCCTTTAAACCTTATTACTAATGTATAAATAAGATTATGACTATTTTCCATGTGTGTCTCCTCATATAACCTTAAGAGATTATAAAAGTGCAGAATTAGTCACATGGGCATGTTGCTTAGGACCTATATTTGGACATGGTCTGTCTGTAAATGATAAGAAAACATTATTTTTTGTATGTGTGGAGAAAACAATGGAATAATGTAAATCTATGAATAGTATTGGCTCCGTTATAGATTAAAAAAGGTGTACAGGTCAGGCACAGTGGCTCATGCCTGTAATCCCAGCACTTTGGGAGGCCAAGTTGTACAGATCACTTGAGGTCAGGAGTTCGAGACCAGCCTGACCAACATGGCAAAACTCTGTCTCTACTAAAAATACAAAAATTAGCCAGGCATAGTGGTGCATGCCTGTAATCCCAGCTACTTGGGAGGCTGAGGCAGGAGAATTGCTTGAACCCAGAAAGTGGAGGTTGCAGTGAGCCAAGGTTGTGCCACTACATGCCCTTCACCCTGGGCGACAGAGCTAGACTCTGTCTCAAAAAAAAAAAAGTGTACAAAACTGAATCTGGGCAGAAACTGTTTTTTTCATCCCTTTTGCCATTTCATCTAATCAATCAAAATTTAAACCTACATAGGCAGTTTCACTAAACAACATAGAATTTGTTGACTACCCACTCTGCCTCAGAGCACACACCAAGCTGGGTAGTATCTGTACACAAGCCTTTATCAAAACCTTTGGGAGCATATGTGCTTCTGAATGCAATTTTTTTCAAATTTTAGGAAAGTAAAACAGTGCATGCATCTTCTATTACAAAATACCCCCCAGGGGGGACCCTGAGCAGTATCCTATAATCAAACACATTAATGTGTCAGCAGTGAAAATCATGACTATTCACTTAGGAATAATAAAGTTTATAAATGGTCTCAAGTCAAAATAAACCAGTTTTGCAGCCAGAGAAGTTATAGAGACAATTTTTGTTTTCTTCAAGTCTTTAGATTTCAGAATTGCAGATAAAGGCTTGAGGAACTGTGATGTTTAATGAAAAATAAAACAGTCTCTGCTCTTAAGGAACTCACAAAGTCTTGATACTTAACTGATTCATCCTGGTAGAGCCATACTGGTGTTAAAATATTAAAATATTGTTTTCCAATGAGAAAGTGGTCATTATGCCAAGCCATCCAAAAACTCCCTCTCCACTCCTCCCTTCCCCCAGCCTATTTATTCCCTGGAGCCCTGGCACCTTTCCTGCGCCCTCCCCATGACCCAAAGGATGGATGCTTGGCTCCACAGCCAGCCTCTGTGGTGATTGGTGGGTGCTTGTGCTATACCACGCGTTCAAAATTTAAATGTACCTTCTAAAAGCACAGGATAGTGAATTTCCTCCAAAAGCCAGAGGATTTTGACAGGATGAGGAGAAGTTGGGGGAACTAAGGAGTCTTACTTCTTTATTTTTAAATTCAGAGTTAAAATCAGATTAGAGGTTTCAGTAAGCAGAAAGCCAATGAAATTATCTGTCATCCATTAATAACCCTAAGTCTCTACTGCTGGTAGAGGGACAATCAGTCCCCGGGAGCGCTAGCAGGGCAGAGCGGACCTGGGGAGGGGCCTCTGTTGTCATTTCTCATCAATGGCTTTTATGATTGTATTTATTATGCTTACCTCGGATGTAAACAAATTCCTCATGTTTTTCTTGATACATTTTTTTTCAATAGATGTTAATTTTCATCATGTCATTATGAAGAGACCATGACTTCAGGGAAGATCTATTGTGGAGAACTTCTCCTCTACATTTTTGAAACAATCGCACCGAACAAATTCCAACCTCACTGAAACTTAGATTTTATTTTTCATGAGCACAAGCATTCCCTTTTGGGCGCTGCAGCGGGCAGGGAAGTGGTCATGGGCGAGGCTGTGCTACTGCGTGCGCACGCGCAGGGTCGTGCTTAGGCGAGGCTGGGTCCTCCGAGCAGGTTAGGTCAGATAAGGGAATCCCAGGGGTAGCTTCCGGGTCCTCTTTATAGAAGCTATGGCCTCTTTGCAATCTTCCAGTAACAATAGAAGATGGAGACCAGGCCAGAAGACCTGGAAGATTTCATTATTCAGAGGCAACTCTTGGAGCCCTTCTGAGACCATAGGAACAATCCAGCCTAGTCCCGGAGATGATGAGAGACCCTTGGAGCCTGAAGTAGCCACCCCAGGTGAGGCCCCCTTGAGCAACCAACCCTGAGCTGATCTGGAAGCCAACTAGATAGAGGCACATGAATGAGCATATGCCAGGCCAGCCAAAGAACCACCCAGCGAAGTTACAGAATTGTGAGCTATTAATAAATAAATTTTAGGTGTTTTAAAACGCTAAGTTTTGAGGTGATTTATTAGGCAGGAAAAGGTGATACACAGGCAAAAGGTGAAAAAGTTGTTATGAAAGGCTTCAAAGGAGAGCAGCTTATCACCTGGTGGTTCTTTTAATACATAAGGAAAACAACGGGCTGTGATATTGAAATATTGCCTAAGCTTTAAACAAACACACTTTTCCACCATCAATACTTAACCAAGAAGCCCAGCACACTTACTGAATTCTGAGCATAGCCACCCTGGCAGGGACCCCACTGAAGAATCCACACCTGATACTGCCACTGCACAGTCATACTGGGCAGCACTCACTGTGGGCATCATGGCCAGCACAGATTTTTGTCTCCAGGATTAGGGGATCAGGTACATGCCTGACAATGGAGAATTCTTCTTACTCCTGTCCCACAGCCATGACAATAAGAATAAAAATGCAGTAGCTATCTCACACCTAACTGTATTCATAATGTTCACGGCAACCGTGTTTATATTCTTTAAGCCTGACATGGTACAATTTTATTCTCTTTTATCAGTGGTGATTTGCTAGTTGTAATTTACTATTTTCTCCTTGTGTGATACTGCTCATATCAGATATTAAAGGTACTACTACTAAAAAAAAATTATATTTCTTGATTAAGAAAACTAAAACTTTAAATATCTGGTTCAAAAGGACTCAAGATTCCTCTTTTGTTTTCTTTTTTCACTGAATTTGATCAGCTCTGATGACTGTACCTATAAATGGGATACACTATTTTGTCTCCACCCTGTCTGGTGGGCCAGATGTCAGCTCAGTGACCTAAGCATATACTAATTAGTATTTTTTTTTAAAAAAAAAAAACGTAAAATCTTATTTTGTTTTATTTTATATTAACTAATGTTTTAAATTGATGAAAACTGTATATATTTATTGTGTACAAGATGATACGTTGAAATATGTATATATTGTGAAATGGCTAAATCAAGACAATTAACATATGTGCTAATTAGGATTTTCACTGAAAAATGCTCCCACTCTTTTGTTTTGTTTTGTTTTTCTTATTTTTGAGACAGAGTCTTGCTGTGTCACCCAGGCTTGAGGGCAGCGGTGCGATCTCAGATCACTGCAACCTCAGTCTGTGTTCAAGCCATTCTTGTGCCTCAGCATCCCCAGCAGCTGGGATTACAGGCATGCGCCACCATGCCCAGCTAATGTTTTTGTAGTTTTAGTAGAGACAGGGTTTCACCATGTTGGCCAGGCTGGTCTCGAACAGCTGGCCTCAAGTGATCTGCCCGCCTGGGCCTTCCAAAGTGATGGGATTACAAGTGTAAGCCACCATGCCTTGCCAGAAAAATGCTCCCTATTCTAAATTAGCATGAGAGGCAGTGCAGGATAATAATCAAAAACATGGTTTCTGAAAAGCAAACAGAACGTGGATTCTGGAACATGATTGCCTTTTTTAAAAAATTTATTTATTTTTTTGTGGTAAAAAGCTTTATTGAGATAAAATTCACAAACAATTCACCTATATAAAGTGTACAGATTCAATAGATTTTGGTATATCCACAGAGTTGTGTAACCATCAGCACAATCAAATTCATAATATTTTTAACAGGTTTATTGACAGACTATTGACAACATTTTATGTATTTAAGGTGTACAATTTGATGTTTTGATATACATATACATTGTAAATTCCAGCTAATTAACATATTTATTGCCTCTACATATTTACCACTTATGTATGTATGGTGAGAAGACTTAATTTATCTTTTCAGGAAATTTCAAGTTTGCAATATACTGTTTTTAATTATCATTATCACAGTGTACATTAGATCTCCAGAAATTATTCATCTTGCATAAATGAAGATTCATATCCTTTGACCAACATTACCCCATATGTTCCTCCCTTCAGTCCCCTGCAAACAACCATTCTACTCTTTCTGCTTCTGTAAGTTTGACTATTTTAGATTCCACATGTATGTGACATCATGCAGTATTTCACTTTCTCTGTGTTACTTATTTTGCTTAGTGTAATGGCCTCCAGCTGCACCTATGGCGGAATTTTCTTCCTTTTGAAGGCTAAATAATATGCCAGATATCTTGGCTGTTGTGAATACTGCTACAATTAACATGGGAAAGATTCTGTTTTCAACTTATTTGGATGTATACCCAGTAGTAGGATTACTGGGTCATGTGATAGTTTTTGATTT